>NC_000023.11:28387488-29637488 GCF_000001405.40 Homo sapiens | reverse complement strand
CATATTTGCTTCAGATTATTTTTAAAGAAATTAAACGTTATTAATATAGCTTAATTCTCCTTAAACCACATCCAGATCTTTTCTAAATTGCCAGAGACAACCACTGTTATAAATTGGAGGTATATTCTTCCATTCCATTTTTATACTTGCACTCACATCAATTAACATCATATGTAATGTTTGATGTGTATATATATATATATATATGTTATATATATAACATAAGAGATATATAATGTTATATATGTTAATGAATATTCTGGAATTTTGAATTTTCTATTTATACCTAAGTGTGTGTACTGGATGTCTATTGGTACTGATATACAGAGAAATCTAGTTCATCTGTTTTCCTTATTATTTACTATTCTGTGTTATCTATTTTATCTATTGAGTTTCCTTTTGACAGACTGTTCCTAAATTTTTTTTTTTTTTTTTGAGACGGAGTTTCCCTCTTGTTGCCCAGGCTGAAGTGCAATGGCTCCATCTCAGCTCACCGCAACCTCTGCCTCCTGGGTTCAAGCGATTCTCCTGCCTCAGCCTCCCGAGTAGCTGTATTACAGGCATGTGCCACCTGTATTTTGTATTTGTACCACCGGCTAATTTTGTATTTTTAGTAGAGACGGGGTTTCTCCATGTTGGCCAGGCTGGTCTCGAACTCCTGACCTCAGGTGATCCACCCACCTCGGCCTCCCAAAGTGCTGGGATTACAGGCGTGAGCCACAGTGCCCAGCCTGTTCCTAATTTTTTTTGCTGTTATAAACTATGTGACAAAGAGTAGCTTTACATACACATAGTACACATGGACAAGAAGCTAACTAGGTTCTATACACTAAGTGGATCATACAGAGGGTGACAGTATAGGAGATTGGCCTGGGATAACTCCAGTTTATGCCTTTGTTCTGGCATACATTTTAATAGTGCTCTCTTTCATGTTCAAAGGTGTCCTAGAATGAATAATAAATTATATGATTAATGTTGTAATAAGGCATCCAGATTTTCAATTTTATGAGCTGTTGCTAAATAGTTCCAAAAATGGTTGTGCAAATGTATACTCTTACTGGCAATATCTGAGATTAAAACGTTCCTTATATGTTCCCTAACACGTGATAAACAGATTTTAAAAGTCAATCTGATGGGCGAAAAATAGGAACTCACTATTGTTTTAAGTTGTTGTTTACTGATAAAAGTAGAAGTTGAACATCCTCTCATAATTGGATTTTATCTTCCGTGAATTATAATACTATAACTTTGACCATTTTTTGCACGAGTTTATTTTATTGCGTTTGATATCTTTCCTGTTGACTTAGAAAACTTTACAGATTTTACATACCATTTTTTGTCATATTATCCACTGGAAATTTAATTTTTCACTCTGTCATTTACCTCTTAAACATGTTTATGGTTTTTTTTTGCTTTAGACTTTGTTATAAGACTAACATTATAATGTGGTCAGATTTTAATTTCTATTTTTATTGCTGTATTTTGGGTCTATGCTAAGAAAGCTCTCCTTAACCAAGGACATATGGATATCTTCCTATATTTTTGAAGGGATTACATTTTAAGATGAGTCTTTGAATGACTAGCGTACCTACAATGAGGATGGAGAAAGGGCATATCAATCAAAGAAATAGAAAAGGCAGAAACATATAGCAAGTTGTTTAGAGATCTTTAGTTTTTGGGTTTTTTTTTTTTTCCGGAAGCATCCATTTACATATTTAACATCTAAATTTACTAATGATTGAATTCACTGAAAATGATTTTCTTCTATATATTTCTGTTTCTGTTTTCTCTGTTGCTTATAATCCACACATTTCTCTCAAGAGGTTTTCTCTTTAATTAATATATTTTTTTATCAATGTGTTCCCTGCTGTCTGGTTCTCAACTCTTCTTTGCCAGTTTATTCACTCATTTTGGTAACATATAACCTCCAGAACTTTCTTGTGAAATGATACATTGTAGTTATGTTTTTTGAGAACTTGTTGGCCTGAAAATTTCTATCTATCTGATCTTTCAGATTTAGAATTATAAGTGAAAAGCAATTAGTAATTGTCTCTCGAAACTTTGAAGACATTACTTTATTGATTTTTGCTTCAAGTGTTGCTCCTGAGAAGTCAGTGGTACTCTGATTTGTGTCATATTGTATATCACCTTCCTCTAACACCTTTGGAAAAGTTTTTAGAATCTTTACCCTTGGTGTCCTAACATTTCTGGCCACTATGCCTTGATGTCAGTTACCTTAATTTCCTTTTGCTGGTCACCTGTTGAACCCTTTAAACATGGAAAACCAGGCTTATTAATTAAATAAATTTTTCTTGCATCACTTATTTGATAATTTCCCCCTTCTCTATTTCTCTCATTTTTTTCAGGTATTCAAAATTCCTATTAACCAGACCTCCTGTATCAATCCTCCTTTGAAAAAAATCTTGTCATCTCTTTGATAATTTATTCTACCTTCTGGGGGATTTATGCCATAATATTTTATTCTCTCAAGAGTTCTTATTAGTTCCCTCAATGTTCATTTTTATAGCATTCTGGATGTTATAAAGTGCTTCTTTAATGTATTTGAGAATATTCATTGTAATTTTTTGAAGTTTTCATCTCCCTGAATAGCCTTTATTTTCTAATAGTTCGTTTTATCTGTACACTCATTTTTAAAAAATCTCTGTCTTTTACAATGCAAGCTTTCCTCAAATATCTTGTAACTCTTGGCTGACCACTGCTATTTATAAGTGAGGTAATGAAAAGCTGAATGGAAGCTTTGTGTGCAGAAGGATGGTGATTGCTAATTGAACTCCAGGGTATGAGATCAGGGAAGTTTTGATATTTTCATTTGGAGACACCCCCTGCCACCACCACCATCACCACACCCACACCAAAGGCAGGTCTTTTCTCTTGGGTTGGAGTGTTTTCTGCTGAGAAGAATCTCGTGACTAGGGTATGAGCCCAACTGCCAGGGTCCTGGTAGATAAGCATAGAGGGGTGGTAGGAGGGAGTCTACACCATTAAAATTATAGGCTGCTTCTTTACTTCCTTGTTTGAGTACAGTAACTCACCCTCCCTCAGCAATTCTTCATGTCCACTAGTCCAGAGCCACTTTGACTCCTCTCTGTTTTATTTTTTTTATAAAGCTGTAATTATCTTTTCTTTCTGCCTCAATATGGGATGGTTATATTCACTTGATGCCCAGAGTGGGGACATTGATCTAAGACTTTAACTTTCTTAAGTGGATTGTTAACCAAATTTACTATGTTAAGCCCCAGCCTTTACCCCTGAATCCAGAAGTACCTCGTATCTCCAGATCCTGAGACTGCCTGAGTTGCTTCGCACTGGCAACTAACTTTAATTCCTGCATTTTGCTGAATCAAGTAATATCGACTCACGATCTTTCAAAATCTTGAACCTATCTCATCTGTATTTAACCCTTCTTAAATCTTCTTGTCTGTACAATATTTTTATATTTCCGCTATCATGATTTCTGTGGGGTTTGGGGAAGGAACACTGTAGTGGATTAATTAGTAGCCCCCAAAATGGCATGTCACCCAGGAACCTGTGAATGTGACCTTATTTGGAAAAAAGCGCCCTTGTGGATATAATTAAGTTAAAAATCTCAATTACCCAGATGGGTGCTGGGTAAAACCAGTGGCCAGTGGCCTTATCAGAGACAGAAGAGAAGAGAACACAGGAAGGAAGATCATGTGGAAAAGGTGGCAAAGATTGGAGTGATACATCTATAAGCCAATGAATAACAAAGATTGCTGACAGACACTAGACGCTAGGAATACAGGCATAGAACAGATTCTCTCCACAAGCCTCCAGAATTAAACAACCCTGATAAAACTTTTATTTCAGACTTCTGGCCATCAGCACTGTGAGGGAATAAATTTCTGTTGTTTCAAGCCACCCAGCTTGTGGTAATTTGTTACAGCAGCCCTGGGAAACTAATATAAGCACAAATTAAATATTTGAGTTCAATCTATCATATATATGTGTGTGTGTGTGTGTGTGTGTGTGTGTGTGTGTATATATATATCGATAAATTGTCACAAACTGAACATACACACATAACTACCAACCAGATTCAGAAATAGAACATTAGATCAACATGCCAGAAGCTCTTCTCTTCTGTTTCCATTCCACCTCTTCTCAGCAAAGGTAAGTACTATTCTGATTTCTAATAATATTGATTAATTTTACTGTTTTGGAAATTTAGGTAAATGAAATCATATATTATATACTCTTTTTTTCTGGCTTCTTTCACATAATATTATGTTTGTGAGAGTCACTCATATTGTTGTGTGAAATCGGAACTCATTTATTTTTATTGCTGTAAGTTATTCCATTATGTGAATGTATCACAATTTATTCTACTGTTGATGGACCTTTAGGTAGTTAAAAATTTTGGCCTATTACCAATAGTGCTACTATGAACATACTCGTGTATATTGTATATGTTTCTGTTGGAAATATACCTAGGAAAGAAAAGGATGAATTATATATGTTCAACCTTATTAGATACTGACAGTTTTTAAAAATGATATTACTAATATACAATCCCAGTAGCAAAGCTTGAGAGTATTTCTGAAGGTTAGGTATCTTGCTGGTGTTATCATTAAGAATGGGTATCATGTAGCAGACAAATATTTGTGAGATAGGATTGACAGACATAAAATCATTAGTGTCTGTAAATTCGTTCAATATTACATCACCATAAAGGTTTGGAAAAGAGTGAAAAAAATGACATGATTCCTTTCTACTCCTGAAACTATCACCCACGTAAAGCTCAGATTTGCTGAAGTGACTGACCGTGAGGTTCCTCCTTGCCTACACAGATGACAAAGCTAACAAGACACCGTCAGCATAAGATTAAGAATGCTATTTCAGATTCATTGGACTTCAGTATCACCAGAGTAATAACATTCTTATGATCTTATGAACATAAAACATTTTAATTTTTATATGTATTTTTCCACTGCCCACATATCAGTATACACCCTCAGAAGCCTAGAATTCAGTGAAATAAATAGTTTATTGAAAGTTACAGGCCGGACGCGGTGGCTCATGCCTGTAATCCCAGCACTTTGGGAGGCCGAGGTGGGCGGATCACGGGGTCAGGAGATCGAGACCATCCTGGCTAACACAGTGAAACCCCGTCTCTACTGAAAATACAAAAAAATTAGCAGGGTGTGGTGGCGGGCGCCTGTAGTCCCAGCTACTCAGGAGGCTGAGGCAGGAGAATGGCGTGAACCCAGGAGGCGCAGCTTGCAGTGAGCAGAGATCATGCCACTGCACTCCAGCCTGGGCAACAGAGTGAGACTCTGTCTCAAAAAAAAAAAAAAGTTACAACCAAAACTATATCTGCCTTATCCTTAAGCTTCTGAGGAAATACATGTTTGAGGCACCATTTTGAGATTGAATGGGAAGAGATTAAAACTCATATAACTATATAATTAGTCACAGTAAGGTGAGAAAGGGCTTGATTTTTCTGTCACACTAATTAACACCTAGAAGTTCAGTTGCCAATAATTATAATTTCTCGGAAAGATCAAGGCAGTGCTATCTGACCCTTAATACTAAATCTTCTCCTTTTTGTATCCATTAGTTTTGTACTGAATATTACTTGAATAGAGTTTTGTGGTTGTGTGTGTGATTCAATTAGCTGTAATCAACTGAACTATTTTATTATTATTATTATTTGAGACAGAGTCTTGCTGTGTCACCCAGGCTGGAGTGCAGTGGCACAATCTTGGCTCACTGCAAGCTCCGCCTCCCGGGTTCAGGCGATTCTCCTGCCTCAGCCTCCGAGTAGGTGGGACTACAGGTGCCCAACACCATGCCCGGCTAATTTATTTTAACTGAATATCTATGACATATAGCATGTCTTTTCAAATAGGTATAAAATCATGTTGAGGCCAGGTATGGTGGGTCATGCCTGTAATCCCAGAACTTTGTGGGGGCCGAGGCAGGCAGAATGCCCGAACCCAGGAGTTCGAGCCCAGCCTGGGCAACATGGCAAAACCCTGTGTCTACAAAAAATTACAAAATAGAAAAAAATAGCTGGGCATGGTGGCACACGTATGTAGTCCCAGCTACCAAGGAGGCTGAGATGGGAGGCTCACCTGAGCCCATGGAGGTTGAGGCCGCAGTGAATCCTAATTGTGCCACTGCACTCCAGTCTGGGTGACAGAGTGAAACTAGATAGATAAGGTGAAACTTTTCTAGATAAGGTGAAATCAGAGTTATTATTACAAGTCTAAGCACAACCAAGAGCTGGAAAAAAAATAAATACAAATAATAAATAAATAAAATCATGTTGGAAACAAATGTAACAGTCACATACATTAGTCCCAAGGCAATTACAATGACAAAAAGTGCCTGTTTAGTTAAAGATCACAATCTAATGCTTCCATTTACTTGTATTAACCCATCACTATACAGATTCTTAGAACAGGAATATATTGAATAAATGTTCAATATATTGAAAAAACATATTTTCAATATTGGCCATTTATGATTCAAATATTTAAACCAAAAATGTATAATTTTGATGCACATTTTACATTTTTAGAAGTCAAAATGCAAATTTAATATGTCAAAAAAGATAGAACAGTTAAATATTTAAAAGTGGTATCCATTTAAATAATGTCTGGAGAGGGCTGGGCGCGGTGGCTCACGCCTGTAATCCCAGCGCTTTGGGAGGCCGAGGTGGGCGGATCACGAGGTCAGGAGATCGAGGCCATCCTGGCTAACAGGGTGAAACCCTGTCTCTACTAAAAATACAAAAAATTAGCTGGGCATGGTGGTGGGCGCCTGTAGTCCCAGCTACTCAGGAGGCTGAGGCAGGAGAATGGTGTGAACCCGGGAGGTGGAGCTTGCAGTGAGCCGAGATTGCACCACTGCACTCCAGCCTGGGTGACACAGCAAGACTCTGTCTCAAAAAAAAAAAAAAAGTCTGGAGAAACTATTTTCTCTGGAGTATTAAATGTTTCATTTCTAATAAGAGACTGGTAGTGAAATAGTTGTATTGACAATTCTTAATAAGGTGATTTGAATTTAGATATCTACAGCAACGAAGTCCTTCCCACTAAATTCAAACCACCTTTCTCCCAATAAACCTGAATTAATAGAATTTTACTATATAGTCATTGCTATGATCTAAATGTTTATGTCCCCCCAAAATTCATATGTGGAAATCCTCACTCCAGAGTCGCTGGTTTTAGGAGATGGGAGTCTTCGGGAGGTGGTTAGGTCATAGGGATGAAGTCCTCATAAAGGCAGTTAGTACCCTTACAAAAGAGTCTTGAGAGAGATCCCTTCTCCCTTCACCATGTGAGGGAGGGCTGTCTATGAGGAAGCACATCCTCACCAGACACTGAATCTGCTGGCACACTGATCTGGGACTTTCCAGCTTCCAGAGCAGTGAGAAAGAAGTTTCTGTTGTTTACAGGTTATCCACTTTGTGGTGTTTTGTTATAGCAGCCTGAGCAGACTAAGATACTCATTTAGGTATAATAAAATATTTTAAAGGAAAGAAGGTGGAAAATCCTCCTGATACATTAAGTGTTGATGAATACAAACAGCATTGAACGGGTTCCAGTTGACTCTTTCAGGCCAGTGGGAGAGGAAGATGCAAAAATGACTTTGGGATGGCCACCCAAGCTAGGAAGAGATCCACAGTCTAGCACAGAGAGAGATTTGATCTTTTCGTTCTTTGTTTGCAAAGGAAAACAAAATTGACTGTGGTTCATGAAACTAAAACAGAGTGCATTTTATCACAAAGAATTAGATATGATAACATAGAGGTTATCAAGAAAGAATGGGAACTAAATGCATTTCTTCAGAAGACAAACATTAAGCTATGCAACACACCACCTACACCTACTTTTTAAACTGAGATAATGCTTGTGTGCTGTAATTTCACTTTCCCAAATACACTACATATTACTATCTTGAATAGCTTAGAGATTTCAATACTTGTTTCTATATCAATGAAGAGTAAATTGCAAAATCTCATGGAATACAAACTTTATAATCTTTTCTATATTATCCCATTTGTATTTCTCAAACTTCTAGGATAACCTACAATAATTTGAGTGGAGTCTTGATGGTGAAGTTTTGTTAATTAAAAAAAAAAACTACCAAAGATAAAAAGATGCATACTTCCTGATTTAAAAACATTTAGTACACTTTGTATATTCAGTGTTGATACTGTAGATTTTTTTCTCTGCCTTTGACAAAATTCTTTCTTAGGAATTTTATTGCAGAGGTTAAATTAGTGATTAAAATTTTGCCTCATTTCTGTCAGGGAGTTATTTGATTGAAGACAATTGGTTGGGATCTAGAATAATTCATTTCCTTTACTAAAACTATATGCCAGGTCCAGGAAATAAGAAATCTTTATTCCTAGAGGCTTCCAAAACTGTAGTTTCTGGAGCCTTTCAAAGGTGCCAATTATTTAAGAAAATGAAAAATAGCTTTCTCAGTCCTGGACTATTTTCTTTAAGCTTTTCTAGATAAGTTGAAATCAGAGCTATTATTACAAGTCTAGGCACAACCAAGAGCATTGCCCTAAAAGTAATCCAATTCGAGTATCCAGTCAACTGATAGCTCTCAGATTTCCTTCCTTCTTTTCTTTGTATCTCTTGCAGAATATTAAAGCAAAATGAGCATAACTTTCTCAAAGCAGACTTTATTCAACAAGCATGTATTGAGCTCTTCCTTCTTCGGACTTGATAATCAATAAAAATAATAGCGCCATCTACTTCAAAAAGCTAGTAACCCAACGGGATAGAAAGAAAATTAATTTGAAGTGAAGTGTCATGATGGAAGTATGGACACAGTGCTATGGGAGCCCAAGGGAGGATATTAATAATTCTGCCTGGGTATCATGCCTATAAATACATACATGGATTCTCACATTTGTCCTAGAATCACTTGTCCTTTCTATTTCCAAGTTGCATAGTGACTGGGGAATTCTTAACCTCACATACCTAACATTGGCTGGACTCTTTTCAGTAACATGCTGATGAACAATAAAGATTTCTTATCAAGGGCACCCTATGCATCAGATCATTGATAGTCCCTCATCAATAATACCAGCAGTTATCAGTGTCACGCATTCACCAATACTTACCTGTAATCCAAGAAGACACATGTCAGGAAAACACAATTTCTCTGATGGCCATCCTATTAATATCTCCTGTCCAGTTACTAAGTGTAAATTATAACAATGATATCCAGGAAACTTTGATCTTTGCTCGAGGCTATATCAATTATTGAGAATGGGGGTTAAACCTGCCTTTGTCAACAAGTAGCCTTTCTTTAAGAAGAACAAAAACAACCAACTTTTGCCAACTGAAGCATTCTGGCTGAAAGTTAAGAAAGGCAGCTTTATCAATTTTACCTCACGGGATGAGTCAACTGTGGTTAAAGTACCATTTTGTTCCCTGTAAAGATAACAGATAAGCATTGCCATGGCAACTAAATGTACAGCTGTTTGTGTACACAGGTAAATAGTTCATGCATACAGCACTCAGAAATCAGGAGAAGTCACAAAAGTAGAATTTTTCTCTCTTCTATGCTTGACACCATTTATTAGAATATGACTGCAATGTTACAGTAGCATTGGTGGCAGTTTAAGAACAGAGGGATGCTAGTCCAAGAGAGTTACTTCACGCTGCTCCCCTAAGTGTATCTTACTAAAGACAGTTACTAAAGTGTCTTTTCCTATTAATTCTGATGGAGATGAACATTCCCATGGTTCTGGGCTTGTATGCCTTTGCTGAATACCACCGGGGTTAGATGGGGCTGAGAATGGCTTAGAATAATGTGATGGAACACCACCACAGTCACATCACACTAAGTAGGACTTCAGTAACTTACTGGTCAATCCATCAGGAAACCATGAATATACGTGAGACGAAATTTTCTTTGGCATTGACTACAAAGAGAGAGTTCGTTAAACAAATCGATGGTGTAAATAACATTGTACATTACATACTTTCTTGAATAATGTTAAGGACAGAGGGTTTTAGGTGACTTGAAACACATTTGAAACAAAAACAAAAATGCTCTTCTGACATAAAAGCTAAATATGATGAACAGGAAACAGAAACAATGCTTTTCCAACCTAATTAATAAATGGCTTTCTGGAAAACCAAAACCAAAACCAAAACCAAAAACCCTTCCGATTATCAATGCCGAAATGCTTTGTTTGCATTTGCCATAGGGCCTTCACGTACAGCCTCTTCTACCTGGCTCACTGTCCCTCACCCCTCCTTCACAGCATTTGCCACATTTTAAAATCATCTGCTAATCTGGGTAATTATTTGGTTAATACATCTCTCCCCCAACAAACTAGACATTCACTTTTGTATTTATTCACTGTTGCCTACTTATCACTGTTGCCTGGCTCACAGAAGTGACCCAAAAATTATTAAAAATAAATAACTTAATACATACATATGAACTTTTTGTGGTCTTTTTCTCTGGGGAGTATCTCATGAGTAATTAATTCCTTTTAATAATTTACCATCAAACTTTGTGAGAGAACAGTTACGTAGGCGTTATATTTACATTCTATATTATAAAGGCTGTGTAGAGTATGAAATAAACTTCACAATTAGTTTTTCAGTTCAAAGTTATGGAAACCCATTTGAACTAAGTTTAGCAAAAGTGAGCTTATTAAACATATACACAGCTATCTCACACAACCCAAAGGCAGAGATCCAGCTGAGTAATGGGGTGAACTGGAACCACTGATCCAAACACTGTAGAGAAACAAGACGTTGATTTTTCATATCAAAACTCTGTCTCTCTGTGTGTGTTTCATTCTTCCTTCTTCTCTCTCTTTTTAGAATAATATTTCTATTTTTAAAAACAACATATCAGAAAACAACTTCTGCCAACAGCTTGTGAGTTTGCATCACTTTTACTTAAGAGCTCAGAGTTTCAGTGGGTGAATATTTTCTAGTTCCAACTTTAAAATCCTGAGAATGGACTTATATTAATTCAGCTTATGTAATGAGCAAACCTCTGTCTTCATCTCTATGGGTGAGATATGGTCACCTTGTAAAAATGTGGTTGCTTCCACTGTAACCACTCAAAAAGAGGAGCAGAAAGAAAAGCCAGTTACCAGAAACATGAGCATGCTCTACAGAAGGGTTTATGAAGAATGAACCTGCTGATTCTCACTTGCCACTTGCATTGATACACTTCCAATCATCTCTTATTTGGGGCTAATAAAATAGCAGGCATTGAAGACTCAGTTGCGGAAAAATAGTTGTATCTCAATATGAGTAATCTCTGCACTTCAATGAGGAAAAACAGACGCAATGGAAATAAAAATATAACATTTAGGAAGCAGCTGCATGACCCAAATCTTTCTTCTTTATATTTTAAAATGATTGTTTCCTTATGCACAATTACATAATGAGATGAGACGTGAGATGATTTTCTAATTATGCCCTTTATGACAATGTCGAATCTATAATAAATTTAAGACGGGAGCAGGGCTGGTGAAATACTGAGCACTTGGGCATAATACTAACGAATCTTTTTAGGATATGGCAATAAAGGCAGGCTGCCTTCTTACATAAGAGTTATAATGGGGGCATTTTACAAATTAGAAGTGGCATGGCCAGAAAAAGCTACCCCTCTGTCCTTTCAAATCACATGGAAGGATCATCACAGAGATAACCATCTTAGCCTTCCAATGATAAATAAGGCATCCTGTAATCATTATATCACTGATTAACTTTCACTGGTATTGATTTTAGAAGACATTTTTTATATAGAAACTAGAAGTGACTTTCAAAAAGAATATGATCACTTGGAGAAGTGACATTCTCAATGAGAGAGTTTTAAAACAACACAACAAACAAGGGCACCAGTCCTACCGGCAAATGATATGACACTCACAGAAATATAGAATTGTGTAGTTTGAAGACACTTAGCTAAATCAAGACCAAACATTTATTTTGCAGTCATTTAGCCCAAAGTTCAATAATAAGGAGGTATTTGTCCAAGAGTCCAGTACATTCTAGGGAAAATAATTTTTAAAAATTAAGTTATTGTATAATTTTTATAATAGCTAGGCTTATGGTAAGAACAGGTAGGTTTAGATCAATATATTTAAATCAAATATAAGAAAAAATCATCATGTATTTCCATTCAAATCATCAAATAAAATTTACTTAGGTTATACTTTCAGATGACTTACATTTTTCTTAAAAATATTACTGATGTTACAAATTATATAAAGAAACTTAACAGACTTTTATTAAAATTATATGATTCTTAAAATTAGGCCAAGTCAATGAATTTATTAGGGCAGGGGTCAACAAACTATGGCCCATCCTTATTTATTGTAAAGAAAGTTTTATTGGAACAAAGCCACGCACATATTTTTGCATTCAGTATTGACTATCACTGCTTTTGTGCTACAAAGGCAGAAGATAGTAGATAGTAGTAGCACTAAATTTGTGTATCCCACAAGCCTAAAATATGTACTATCTGGTCCCTTCAGGAAAAGTTTGCAGACCCCTGTCTTAGGGCATACCTTCAAGTGGCCATCTTGTATTATTCATAGTTATTTCATAAATATAGATGTCAATTAATTCACCTCAATTATAATAATATTTTTTTGAGACAGGGTCTTACTCTGCTGCCCAGGCTGGAGTGCAGTGGGGGCAATCTTGGCTCATTGCAACCTTGACCTCCCAGGCTCAAGCAATCCTCCTACCTCAACCTCCCTAGCAGCTGGGACTACAGGCATGTAGCAACCAAGCCCAGCTAATTTTTTTTTTTTTTGTATTTTTTGTAAAAAACAGGGTTTCCCCCACGTTGCCCAGGCTGGTCTCGAACTCCTGGGCTCAGGTGATCCACCTGCCTTGGCCTCCCAAAGTGCTGGGATTACAGGCATGAGCCACCATGCCAAGCCAATAAAAATTACTTAAAAATCAAATGTGTGATTACATGTGACATGAATATCAGATAATAAAAATAGTCAAGCTTTTCTAAGAAAACTAAATTGCAATCTCCTATTCACTTTTTAATGTTGATTTACTTATTAAAAAGCCACGTAGTTTAAATAGTGAATACTAAAGTAGTTGTATTTAGTCAAGTCAGGAATCTTGCTCTTATACATAATTGAGTATCATTACAATATTTCTCATATAAGGAAAGAAATCCTGTAGGCAGCTCTTGGAACACATAAGCAATGAAAACTGTCAAAAAAATATGGATGCTACAGTCAGTTGCTTGTGCCTTGATGATGTTCAGACAATAACTGCCCATCCGAAGCATTAACAACAACAAAAATGTTTAAGAAGTTATTTTCCCCAAAAATGATTTAGCTTGCATCACAGCTCTAAAGGAATATAAAGCAAAGGTAAGAAATCTATGGACTACACATCAATTTAGTTGAGAAACGATAGGATAAATAAGATTATTCTAAAATAGAATAATTTTCAAACCTGATGCAGGCAAACCTGACTTACATGCCAGTTTGTCAGTATTCTTATTGACTTCCTAATATGTCCAAGCTCCAGCTAACTATGGGGGCTACATAAGGACTAAGATGTTATCTCTATTTTTGAAGCACTGACAATTGTATGTACTTTACATTTCCTAATAACTTCTGAGACATTAACTAGCAGTTTTTTCAGTTCACAGGAGCTGCAGCTCAGAGGCGATGCACGTGGAATTCCTCTCTAATGAATTTAGGCTTGCGGAATGCCAATATTTTCTAGCAAACCAGGTGTTTGCTTTTATCACAAAATTATTTACTGGCATCAAAATGTGTAAAATCTTATCATCTTGAAGAATTAAAAATATTATTCCTATATTAATGAGTTTGAAATAATCTGGGAATCTATTTTCTTTGAAACTTTACTGTTAACAGTAGAGGAACGGTATTTCCAAGAACATCAAATGGCACATCAAGGTCATGGCGAGACTGTTTTCACCAAAGAAATTGATCCAATGTGTACACCATGTCAAATAACTATCAAGAGAATGTCTTTATAACCATAGGATACTAAGTGTGAATGGGATCTTACAAATCATCTTATAGCTTAAGAAACATAAGTAAACTGAGGTGAGGTCAGAGCCAATTCTATGGTATTTGAGAAAGGATGAAGGGCAATATGCTTCTTGGCCATGCCTGAGATGCAAGAATTCTTTCTTTCTTTCTTTCTTTTTTTTTTTTTGAGACGGAGTCTCAGTCTGTCGCCCAGGCTGGAGTGCAGTGGCGCATCTCGGCTCGCTGGCAAGCTCCATCTCCCGGGTTCATGCCATTCTCCTGCCTCAGCCTCCCGAGTAGCTGGGACTACAGGTGCCCGCCACCAGGCCAGGCTAATTTTTGCATTTTTTTTTTTTTTTTTTAGTGGAGACAGGGTTTCGCCATGTTAGCCAGGATGGTCTCGATCTCCTGACCTCGTGATCCGCCCGCCTCGGCCTCCCAAAGCGCTGGGATTACAGGCGTGAGCCACCGCGCCCGGCTGCAAGAATTCTTAAAACATAGATAAATATAGATACAATATCATTTATGAATATGCTTATATACTCACTCAAAGAGCTAATGACAGAACTAAAAAAAGATATTCATATTCTATATATTTGTGTTCAATTATAAGCCCATATCAAGTGTGTGGTACAATAAATTGATGTTTTTAATAAATCCCACAATTTTCTTCTAATAGTACAATATATGTCATTTTATGGTAAATGAGTTAGTAAATTACACAGAACCATTATAAATATAATATTTGATACTGATTTGGCTTGTAATTAAAAAAATACTCTTCAGAAATAGTAGTGGTCTTGGGTTATCTAACTGTTAAGAGGCCATAGGTGAAGTGACATGCTAAGGTGACATGGCCATGAAGGAATGGGACTGGAACTGGAGCCCCAGATTCAAATCCAATGTAGCACGAGGTCCCTGCAGTTATGCATATTGATCTTAGGAACCCAGTGAAACCATATTCTGGTTGAAGTAAGAGATTATGTCTTACATGTCTATACCTACCCATCCCTCCAGTACAATATATTGCACACAGCAGATGTATATTAAATATATGTCTGGTTCATTCATCAGTTAAATTCCCCAGTAATTTGGAATGAGAGCAAACCAAGAAAATAATCACTTAAACACAACTTAAAGTCAGACAAAACAATGAATTGTCAGAAGTCAAATATCCAAACCACAGAGATTTGATCCACAATTGTGATGTCAATGAATGAGAAATATTTAATACAATAACACATTCAGGCCTATGCTATTGATTACCACAAGTAGAGAGCTATAATTATAAGCTTATCTAAAGTCAATCCAGGCCTAAAACCCCATTTAAAATTCAGTTCTGGCAGATCACTGGAATATTATTCAGACATAAAAAATGAAATCCGTCTTTTGCAGCAACATGGATGGAACTGAAGGTCAATATGTTAAGTGAAATAAGCCAGCACAGAAAGACAAATATTGAATGTTCTCACCCATATGTGGGAGCTAAAAATGTGGATCTCAAGAAGATAGCATATTGGTTGTTACCACAGCGTAGGAAGGAGAAGGAGATAAAGAGAGATTGGTTAATGGGTCCAAATATAGAGTTTGATAGAAAAAAATAAGACCTAGTATTTGATAGATCAGTAGGGTGACTACAGTTTACAATAATCTACTGTATATTTCAAAATTGCTAGAAGAGAATATTTCATGTATTTCTAGCATAAAGAAAATATAAATATTTAAGGTGACAGATATTCCAATTATGCTAATTTTATCTTTACAAATTATATGAATATATTAAATTGTCATGTGTACCCTTAAAAATGTACATCTATTACATATCAGTAAAAATTACATTTAAATAAAGGAAAAGATAAGCAAATCAGAAAAAATCTACACTTCTCCCATAAGTATGAACAGCATAACTCTGAGAACTTTCTTTTTTCACTTGGGTAATTAATTTAATTTTCAATATTTTATTGATAGTATAGACCTAGACTTATTCTCAAAGAGGAAAAAATGAGAAAAATACTCATGACATACAGATATAAAATATGTATCATATATATCCAATTACACAAATGCAGCCATATATTTATATACCTTTATGCATTTATTCTATATATATGTGTACATATACTCATCTGCATCCATATACTTATACATGTTCATGTATGTTTTGTATGCATATAAATATATACACATGTATGTATATATGGAACATATTGTTTTAAACTGCTAAGCAATAATGTAACCTAAATTTAATTTTAATGTGGATTTTTACTTTGGAACCTCTTCTCTATTGTTATATACCAATCTTTATTAGTTGTAACCACTTGAAGTACATTTAAAGAATAAAAACTTGCTTATGCCTATTAAGAAAAATTTTAAATTACTAAGATATGTTCTTAACATCCACTGTAAGCAGAACATCTCAAGTTGTTAGGAGTAATCATAGCCATTTTTCATTTCAATAATCTATGGCAATTACCACGTACTGCAAGAGAATTCTTTCTATTTAAAGAAGGTTCTAACAAAGGAGAGTTCCAGCGATATAGAAAACAGCCCTTTGTTAACTTATAGCAATGACCCAGCTATGGCAAAAGCCATATTAAAGTATTTAACAGACAACCCAAGTTAAGAAAGACTGACGTAAGTAAGTCACTGATAATATTTCAAAGGATATTTTCTACTCATATGGAATGAGTAAAATATTTTTTCTCTCCAGGCATTTTTATTTGTCTTCTTAAAATCAACTATCCCAGGCCACTAGTTCAACGCTTACTGAAGGTTTCTTCTACAAGTAATGGCGGCCCCCATCAACTGACAGCTGCTGCATTTTATTTGTCTGAGTTCTGTCTTTATTGTCTTATTTAGTAAACTAATAATATCAACAATATTGCAGTATTTTAAAACATTTTTAAACATAATGTCTACTTCTCAAAAAGGAAATAGCTAGTCAAGTGGGAAGAGGAAATGGGTTACTTTAATACATTTAAAATTAAATATGACTGTACCTTTTCTATGTTTAGATACACAAATATCATTGTATTACATCTGCCTACAGTATTCAGTACAGTAACATGCCGTGCAGGTTTATAGCCTAAAAGCAATAGGCTATACTATATAGCCTAGATATTCAGTAGGCTAAAACATATAGGTTTGTGTAAGTACACTCTAGGATGTTCACACAAGAATGAAATTGCTGAACGACGCATTCTTCAGAACACATCCCTGTGGTTAAGCAGTACGTAACTGTATAGACTATTGTCTTAAAGCTAGTCATCATTTAGGTTTATTGGAGGTGTAGCTCTGAAAACGCCACGAGAAATTTTGATATGATAAGTAACCACTAGAAACTGGATTCACAGAACAAATGAGAAAGGAGCCCTCACATTTTGACCCTTACATTTAATTTTTTGTTGTTCCACAAAGATAGGGTTTCAAAACTTCCACCATATCCAATAGGCTTGGCCTCTGATATACATGAATTATTTAGCCCATATATGAATCACTTATGTCAGATATTATGTTCAGTTCTAATAAACTGAATGTGAAGGAGGGAAAATTGTCCAAAAAATTGTACAAAATAATATCAATATGAAGCCTTTTTTCCTGTGGAAGCCTTTCAGAAAATGTAGTTATGATTTCAAAACTTTGTTTATGTCTCTTCAATGCATGAAGTATTAACAAAAAAACAGCTCACACATTTTAATTTAAAATTTTATTATGATCATTGATATCAGTTGCAAATTATTAAAACTGGAAGGTATTGAATGAAATCAAGAAAACTACTGGCTCTAGTGGCATTGATTAGCATATCCTTCCCCTCTAAATATATCTGTCTATTCTAAGGAGCTATATAATGCACAGAAACACAATTTTAAAGTGCTTTTGTAGTAACAGAATGTATTCATAGCTGAACTTATGTCTTTGGCACTCAAAAAAGATGCAGATGGGCTATAATTCATAGGGTCTATATATCTTCCAAGTTTATTTGTTTGTTTGCTTTATTTCATATCTGCTTCCAAAAAAGATTTTGAGATAGATTATAATAAAGAAAACCCATGCAATAAGCTTGTTTAAATGAAGATAAATTATCAAAAGCATCCTAGT
Organism: Homo sapiens; assembly: GCF_000001405.40. NCBI lineage: Eukaryota > Metazoa > Chordata > Mammalia > Primates > Hominidae > Homo > Homo sapiens. The sequence goes on along the minus strand of NC_000023.11, from coordinate 29,619,370 downwards.
AAGGAGTAGGAGAAATGATTATTGGGGTTGGGGTGAAGAATATATAATTATACAAGAAATACTAGCTAAGAATAGTTACTGTAATTATATACTAAATTTAGTCTGTACTTCCTGGAAGCCAAGACAAATTTTTAAAAATCAGGATTAGTTATATAGCTCTAGTTGCATATCAGTTCATCGGAATATACAAACCCAAGCACTAAATCGAAGGGGAATAGATTTCTTAAAAACATGATTTTTTCCACGAAGACCACTCAACAACATGATGTATGACATTTTAAATATTCAATAGGGTTCTAGAGAAGTCACTGAAACATTCTGCAGTTGACCATTTTGTATGTCAAACATTGATAGAAAGCTAAAAATGATACTGTTTACTGTGGCTCAGCAAGCTGTACATTATAGACCTACAAGAGTTCCATCTGCAATAATTTTAAATTTGGCAGCTAATGTACTTGAGAAAAAATTAAAACAACTCAAATAGACTAAAGGAGTTAGATTATATGAGGATCTAGATACTTCAGATTAAGATAATGACTTCATTACCTAGTGTGATAGGCTGATTCCTGGTCCCCAAAGATATCCAGATCCTAATCCCTGGAATTTGTGTTGCCTTATAAGGTAAAAGGGACTTTTTAGACATGACTAGGTTAAGGATTCTGAGATGGGAAGATTATCCTGGATTATATAGGTGGGCAAAATTTAATCACACATCTCCTCCTAAGACGGAGGCAAAGAGAGACTTGACTACAGAGACAAAAGTCATTGGGACGACTGCAACAAGAGGGAAGACGAGGCTAAGAAAATGCAGCCTCTAGAAGCTGGAAAAGGCAAGGAAAATGATTTTCCCCTAGATCCTCCGGAGGGAGCACAGCCCTGTTGACACCTGATTTTAGACCAGTAAAAGTGATTTCGGACTGCTGACTTCCAGACATGAAAAAAATTAAACGTGTGTGGCTTGCAGTCACTAAGTTTGTGGCAATTTTTAAAGCAGTCATAGGAAACTAATCCATCTAGGATTACATGAAAAATATTATCTTACAAAAGATATAAATATTTGAAAGTATTATGTGTCATAGGACACTTACCTAGTATGCAAGGAAATCAATTGTTGAGTGCTTGGGAGAGGGAAGAAAACCTAAAGGCTAATGAGCAATTTTGTATCTAATATTAAAATCCTAAGAGAATACTTTCAGCCTAGTTATGAATTCTTTTGGTTTTTCTTATTATTATATTTTAGATAACATTTACAGAATTCTTTTGTTGTATTTTAGATAATGCTTTCACAGTATTCTCTTGCAGTATTCTTTGGGAAATTAAGTAAATGGCTGACTCTAGAATATAAGACCCAGTGGGAAAAGAAGGCCTCTTCCTAGGCTCCGGGTAGAAAGATTGGATCTTTATGTAATTTGCATAATCTGTAGTTTGCAGTGCCGCTGAACCAGCAGCAGGTGACACCATTCTTATTTGAGAGCTGATTTCTTTCCATCAAATCTCAATGTTGGAAGCAGTAAAATAGGCAAGGGACAACAGATTTTCAACTGAAATGTATTAATAGGGATCTAGGGAGTGAAGTGGACTACCTCGGGCATTCTTACTTAAATAACTGATGAAAACAACTCTAGGAACGCTAAAGAAACAAATGCAGTAGTGCATAACCATAGAGAATCCTGGTCTGTTTTTCACGAGGTTGAGGCAGGATTGTCCATTGCAGACACATGAGCTTTAGTTTAAGAACTGGTTCATCAAGCCTCTAGTGAAGTTTCTTTCGTTGCCGGCTTTTCAATACAGGGCTCAGACTGCCCAGTCCCACTGTTGGCTGCTCACTAATGCATGACAGTTAATAGCTCCTGACCTAAATAAACTGCGAGAGATTCATTGACTCACCAGAGATTGCTGTCATTAAGGACTGTGCTTCCTTTCTGTTCCCAGAGGACTCTGCATCTAGCCCTGCACATTTCTCATATTGCACTGAAGTTACTCACTTATGTTTCCTCTATATTCATCTTGGCTCACTTAGTTTTGTATCTCTAGCAACAACATAATGCCTAGTGTTTAGAATAAGCTGAATAAATACTAGCTCTATCAATGAATGAAAGGAAACTCTGAATAAACCTTCTTCAGAATTCTTAAGAAATCATTATCCAGAACAATTAAATCCTGGGCACCTTTAGGCTAATAGGGAATTTTACAATTCAGGGATGAGGCTGTAACCAGTTGAACCCACTAATCGATCTTGGCATCATTAAAAGAGTGATGATAATCAGACAGTGAGTCAGCGCTACATGCTCCTATATATCCTGTGGCAGTTCTCTCACATCATTGGGGTTGCTTGGACTGGAGGCTCCATGAGGACAGGGACTTGTTCTTAGTGTTGTATTAGGAGAATACAGCGTAGTGCCTGCTGTATAAATGATCAATAAATGGTTATACAATTAATGAGTAAACTTAAAAGACAGACTTCCAAAAGAAAAAAACTGATAATAGAGATATAAAAAAAGAAGCCCTTATAACAGTCTAGGTAAAAATGACAAAAGCAATGAATCCATTCCCCTTTCAAGTGCTTTTCCACCTAAACTGTGGGCTTTGCCACCCTCAATAGAGTTCCCCAGTCAGCATCGTCTCCTGTGGCAAGTTTAGTGCACACCTCTCAGGTACTATGGGATAGACTTTCCTCCTACATGACCACTCCCACTTGCCTGGCTTCCCTAAAGAATCCCTCCTGGTAGGGACATGGATGAAGCTGGAAACCATCATTCTCAGCAAACTACTACAAGGACAAAAAACCAAACACCGCATGTTCTCACTCATAGGTGGGAATTGAACAATGAGAACACATGGACACGGGAAGGGGAACATCACACACCGAGGCCTGTTGTGGGGTAGGGGGAGGGGGGAGGGATGGCATTAGGAGATATACCTAACGTTAAATGACGAGTTAATGGGTGCAGCACACGAACACGGCACATGTATACATATGTAACTAACCTACACATTGCGCACATGTACCCTAAAACTTAAAGTATAATATAATAAAAAAAAAAAAGAATCCCTCCTGGATCATCCAGTTGTGCCCATTCATACTGTTTTCCTCCAAATCAGTGCTACGATGAGTCTAAAGTGACCCAGAATGAACATGAAATACTACATTATGCCACTAACATTGATAGCTATACTATAGAAATAAACCAGAAAGAATCTTGAAGACTTTGCTTCTCTTGGCATCACAAGATGAGTTTTCTCATTTTCTGCTCCAGTATCCAGTGATACTTTTGGGACCCTGTCTCTGTTCCTACAAAAACGGCATGTGTGATTTCTAGAATATGATGATCTCTGCAAACTCCATTAAGCCTCACTTATTGGAGGGTCCCTTTAATGCCCATCCCTTCAAAGCACCTTGCCCACAATCTAGCAGTGAGATCAAGTGTAGGCATAAGATGTTGGAACCACACATTTTACAGATAAGAATCCTAGGCTGCCTCCCCCAACCTCTACTTCAAGAACTCTCTCAGAACAATCCTTTCTGTACTTCTACAGTGCTTTGACTATAAAGGAGAAACAAAAATAGATACATATTATTTTTATGATTAAAATATTATGCCACATAATACTTTGGGTATATACTATTTAGGTGTGTTTTTCTTCAGCTTAATTTGGATTGAAAAACTTTTTTTTTTAAGTTTAGTAGTTCATATATGTAAACTGTTAAGGCAGAGTGAACTGCTCACTTCTTCCTCCCTGAGTTACCTCCGTGAGACAAATCCTACTGTGGGATGTCCTGGAACTACCATGTATCTTTGCCCTCACTTAGTTTCCCAAGAATTGTTGAAAGCCTTTGCTGCAGTGGTCTGGGCAGGTGTGCTGTTGCTGCTGCAAAGCATACCCTCAGAGCTGAACTGCTTAGGAAGCTAGCAGAGAACTTTTTTCTCCCGTCCCCTCTCCTCGCCTCCCCTCCCCTCCCCTCCTCTCCTTTGTTTTTCTTCAGCTTAATTTGGATTGAAAAACTTCCTGTTCTTAAGATTCACAAGCAATGGATATTTTTGATGGAAATAATCTTCTGTTAAACCATATATAGTAACTCCTTGGAAAAGTCGTAATATTAGGCCAGGCCACACTACATTTTCTTCTCTGTAAGGAGATTTAGACTTACATTTGTTTTTCGATTTTTCCCGTGTGTGATACTCACATTTAGAAGAGCTATAAAACAGGGGCTTTTTGTATATACACCTATATTTTGCATCCTTCATTTAAACAATAAACTGTAATCTTTAGGTTGTTGGAGGTAGTGATTAATTTAGTAGAGCACCTTTGGGTACATGTCTATACATCTATGTATCATCCAGCAAGATTTTAGAATTCTGAGAACTTTGAAAATTATATTATTGTAAAGATTTTTTTTTTTTTTTTGAGACGGAGTCTCGCTCTGTTGCTCAGGCTGGATGGAGTGCAGTGTCGCGATCTCCGCTCACTGCAAGCTCCGTCTCCCGGGTTCATGCCATTCTCCTGCCTCAGCCTCACTATTGTAAAGAATATTCTTAAGAAAATGTTTCCTTAAAGACATCTATTGGCTTAAACAACAGACATACTGTATTTTGTTTTTTCCTTCCTTAGAATAACTTTTTTACTGTATAGGCATCACTCTTTCTCAGAAGAATAACAGATTTGTGTTTAGGCAGCTTTCAAAGGAAATAATGCATTTTCCTGTTTCTTTCCTAGATGTGTGGAGAAGCTTTACCGTACACTAATATTAACTATATGTGTAAGTAAAAGAAGGTAAGTCTTGCTGGTGTTGGACTTTTTTTAACTAAAGACAGAATGTTACTCAATGTTTCCTTTTAATCCAGTCAATTTGTCTTTCTCATTCGAATTCACAGAAGGATATTAAATGAGTTAGTTTACAGCATTTTATTCCAGTCTTTATGCACTAAATACTATAAAACAGAAATCATTTTAGACGAATAACTTTTAATAGAAACTACTTTTCAAAATCTTGAAATATTTCATCTTTATTTTCACTTCATTGGGTCACAGAAGCCCCAAAAGGAACTGTCACAATAAAGATCTGCACATACCAGAGTCTCATGTGGGACAGCTATTACCTTGAGAATCTGACAATTTGCCTAGGAATTGGAAGGTTGAGAAAACAAGGCAAGTATGACATTGGCACTATATATGCATTTGTCAGCGGATGTAATTACTCCAGATGAGTTAAATCTCTCAGAAGATCCTTGGTCATAATTTTGAGTATACCAGAGGACAAGTAAGTGTTCCATAATATAAGAACATAGCATTTTAAAAACCAGCTTCTCTGCCAGGCACGGTGGCTCACGCCTGTAATCCAGGACTTTGGGAGGCCGAGGTGGGCAGATCACGAGGTCAGGAGATCAAGACCATCCTGGCTAACATGGTGAAACCCTGTCTCTACTAAAAATACAAAAAATTAGCCGGGCGTGGTGGCAGGCGCCTGTAGTCCCAGCTACTCGGGAGGCTGAGGCAGGAGAATGGTGCGAACCCAGGAGGTGGAGCTTGCAGTGAGCCGAGATTGCGCCACTGCACTCCAGCCTGGGCAACAGAGCGAGACTCTGTCTCAAAAAAAAAAAAAAAAAAAAGAAACACACACACACACACACACACACACACACACACACACACACACACGAAAAAAACCCAGCTTCTCCCATTTGTCCTACCACACCCAAGTTTCGCTGACCCAAGCACGTTATCCCTTTCAGTCCTATCATTTATCTATCATTTATAGCAAACTGTTTTTGTTGTCAATGTTGAATTTATAACCTTTCATTGCCCTCCTAGGCAAATAGTTCATGGCAAGAGTCTCTTTATGAATTAAGACATTAAGGAGCTTGAGGAGGGATCGAATTGTTATTGTATTTTAGAGACAGGATCTGAGAAGGAGCTAAGTAGCTCTGCATAAGAAATGCTGAGAGATTGAAGCTCTCGGAGGAAGAGCAAGTGGCTAGGGTTGAACATTTTGGCCTGATCTAGCCAATAGTTAATCAGTAGCTACATGTAGCTGTTGAACACTTGAAATGTGACCCGAATTTAAAGACTTAGTATAAAAAAGACAAAATATCTCATCAATAAATTTTTACATTGATTACATGTTGAAATAACAATATTTTGTAAATACTGGGTTAACTAAATATACTATTAAAATTAATTTCACCTGTTTCTTAGTACGTGATTTTTAATGTGACTACTAGAATATTTAAAATCACATCTTTGGGCTGTCATTATATTTTTATTTGATAGTGCTGATGTAGAAGAGCCACTTCAGAAAGAATGAGTACAATAAATTTTAAACAAGTTAGCCAGACTTCTAAAACAGACAAATTAACAAAAGTATGTGGTGAATTTAACAGTTAGTAAATTAAGAATGTGCATTCCCAGAGGGCAGGAAACTTATGTGTTTACTCATTTGTTTATTCTCAGTACCTAGGACAGTTTCTGGCACATACAGAGGGTTCAGTGAATAATTATTGAGTAATTAAGAGCTAATAACTCAAATTAGAATTATAAAATAAGCAGAGAGAAAGTGTTAGGTAGCATGTCACCTAAGGATTAAAAAAGTAACCTGTAGCTTAAGTCCTTAAATATTACCAAATCATAAAGTAATTCCTAAGTAATAATTAAGGATCACTACTGTTGAAGTGTGAAATCAAATCAGGAACAAGTCTCAGAAACACACTAAAAACTTTCTTATTTAACACATACTACAGAAGGGAGATGGGTGGGAGGAGGAGTGATAAAGTCTAGGATCCTTGTACTAGTTCCATTTTAGTGAGATTTGCTGCCATATAACAAAGGATGAAGTCAGGTATTAGCTGAGAGATAATTTAGGAAAATACAGCAAAATTGAAAAGTGCACATTCCCATGAAAGACAGTTATCCTTTCTCCTGTGCTCTTTCATTGTAGTTCTAATATCCTTTTTTTTTTTTAATAAAATGAGTTTAAATCTGGCATCCATAGATGGGCTTCAGAAACATGTAGATCCTCTGAACTTGTATGCAAAATTGTGTGTCATTTTGCAAATGTATGTTTTGGGGAGAGAATACTGGGGCTGTCATCGGTAACTCTAAAGGGTCCATTGACTTAAAAAATATTACTAAAGGGTCCATTGACTCAAAAATATTACCCATTGCTCTATTACAAAATTAAATAGAATTGATACGGACAGGAGGCAGGGAAATACTGGGTAGAAGAGGGTGGTTCTTTAGCAAAGGCCTCATGTCAAGCCTGGAAACCTGCAGCCCTAAATGGGAACAGGCATTCCTGTTTTTGCATCCAAATGTTACCTTTTGTCCTACTATGCCCCCCTATCCTGTACACATATAAACCCCAAACCCTAGGCTCCATGGACAGATGAGCAGAAGAGCAGGAGAGCAGCAGAGTGGTATAGCAGAGAAGAAAAGAGAAGGAGTGTCTGAATGTCAATAGGAGTTAGGCCGGGGACGGTCCAAGAGGAGATCAGGCAAGGACAGCTGAACTCCAGGGGATGATCATCTTCCCAGTCCATACCCTTTCGAGCTCCCCATCCATCCCACTGAGAGCCACCTCCATCACTCAATAAAATCCCTGCATTCAACATCCTTCAAGTCCATGTCTGACCTGATTCTTCCTGGACACCAGACAAGGACCCAGGTACCAAGAGGGCAGGGTGCAAAAGGCTGTCACTATGACTCTCCACTGAGCCAGTTTAACACTGTTGAGAAAAGAGTAAAACTCTAAAATATTTTTAGAGATTTATTCTGAGCCAAATAAGAGTGACCATGGCGCATGACACAGCCCTCAGGAAGTCCTGAGAACATGTGCCCAAGGTGGTCAGGGTACAGCTTGGCTTTATATATTTTAGGAAGGCATGAGACATCAATCAAATATATTTAAGAAATACATTGGTTTGGTACAGAAAGGTGGCACAACTCAAAGCAGGGGCTTCCAGGCTACAGGTAAATTTAAACATTTTCTGGTTTAAATGTTTAAATGACAATTGGTTGAGTTTACCTAAGACCTGGGATTAATGGAAAGGAATGTTCAGGTTAGTATAAGACTGTGGAAACCAAGTTTTACTGTGCAGAGGAAGCTCTCAGACAGAAGACTTCAGAGGGAGAGAGCAGGTTGTAAAATGTTTCTTATTGGACCTAAAAGGGTACCTGGCTCTTAGTTGATTATCTCCTGGATCAGGAAGGAAAGGAAGGAAAACAAAGGGGGAAAGGGATTCTCTATAGAATGTGGATTTTTCCCACAAGAGACTTTGCAGGGCAATTTCAAGGTATGGCAAGGAAATATATTTTGGGGTTAAATATTTTTTCCTTGTCTTATAATGTTATGCCAGAGTCAGATAGAAAAGTAAGTCACAATATATAGGGTCAAATAAAACCCATCTGATGAGAATTCATGGTTTGTAGGGCATGACTCCCTAGGCCCCTTAGGTAGGAATTTGGGCAAGATAAAAAATCAGAGCTTAGTCCTCAACACTTAGCCATGTGCAGATGGCAACTGCTAAAAGAGCATTAATTGTAACACAACCCTAGACGCCACTGTGGGGCAGGAGCCCAAAAGTGCTTGCCCCGGCTCCTGCACCTGCCCATCTGTGTGCTCCCCATCCCGTAAGGGGTTTGTGCAGCAGCAATTGCGCAAACTAACAAACGAGTCACACCCCTGTCACAAGACCTGCAAGGAGTTCAGGGAATTCTCCAGTTTCACCGTCAGGTTAACAATAAAATGATGACATCTTCCCCTGCTTTTTAACATTAGGGACAGTTATCTTTTGGTGAGAATACATTGGATCCTTTTCTGTTATTCACACATTACCCAGGAGATTTAATTTCTGGAACTTTTCTTAGAAATTCCAGAGAGCTCAACTAGCATTATAAAACACTATAAAATAGTGTATTCAAGACAAAAATAATTTAACAGTTATCAAAATGCTTGAAATGCAAATTAATATGCTGTCTACGGGAAATATAGTATTTTTGAAAGCAATTCTGGCCACCATGAAGAGTTTAAAAGCGAGTCAAGAACAGCTTTTGAATTGTTCCTCTACTCCCACTTCCTACCATCTCAACAAAATAAATATTAGTCTTTCTACTGGAACTAATCTCCCTTGCTTTCTAAGTTATTCTCTCTCATTGTCAGGCTCTGAATATATTAAACACAGGTAAGTCATATGATTTAATATAAAGAAAGAATTACATGCTTGCCTAACATTTGCTTCCTTCTTTTCTGATAACTGCTTCACTAGTCTGTTTTGGAGAATTACCTCTCTCTCACTAGTCTTGATAGGAAGTCATTCAAGTTTTCATCAGACCCACTCCCCCTCATACTTCAAGTAGAAAGTGTGTGTGGTTGAAGCTCTGCCAATCACTCTCTCTTCAAATTAATTTATGAACAAAATGTATCAGAAAAATAAAAAAAAATGGTAAGATTTAATTCATCCTGATGGTCAATACCTGAAAATACTGGGAGGTTCTTGACACCTGGATCCCTAGATCTGCCCTGTCTCTGGTTCTAAAAGCAGATTCTTATGCTGTTCATTTCATTCCCAATAAGTTTGGTGGCAGACAGCAGCTTTGTATAAAGGAGATACATAATCCGAGACTGTTAATTTCTTTTTTCCTCAAAAGTAAAGAAAACAAATACATTGAACATTTATTTTTGACTAATTATATTGATGCATTCCAGAAGACTTTGTTACCTAATTTAAGACTCGTGAAACCTTAAGAAACAGTAAACTGGTTTACACTAAAAGCCAATTGGCTCTGATTTTAAGAGGAACATAGATGACTGATGATCATTGAAGGCTAGGGTGGTCCAGAAAGATATGTGATGGTACTTGAGCCAAGACACACAAAGAAGGCAGGATTTGGGAAAATTAGTATGAGGGAAGAACAATTCAGGTGGAGAAGAGCTTGACCAATTAAATACAGGAAACTCATCCAGTTGGCCTTATAGGGAAGTTTGTGTATAAGGGAGCTAGAAATAAAGTTAAAGCAACGATTTATAGAGAACACTCAATGCCAGGCTAAGATGTTTGGCCTGTATTACATAAGCAATGGGGAATCTGTGTAATTAATGTGTAAGATAGCTTAGATCCGGGATAGGCCATTATAAGATTTTTATAATACCTCAAATTTGAGGCGAAAGGAAAATACAGCAGAGTAGTGGTGACAGAAATTAAAATGGAGGACTTGACGGGAGGTTACACATAGGGAGATTCCATATGATTTGATGAATGATTCAATTGGTATGGAGAGAGAGGTTTAAACCATCCAAACCATGATTCCAAGGTTATCAGCATAAATTATGCAAAAGCAATAATACTTTGGACTTGGTAGCCCATGGAAGAAACTATATTGATAATTATAGCGTGTATGTCATCTATTTTCTTAAATAAACCCTTCTTGATAGATAGAAGTAGGATTTCCTAACAGCTGCTCTCACTTCAGACACTGATCAAGTGTCAGTGTCAATGACGCTGATTGCTGAATATTTGTTCCTCCTCTTATTTTATTTTATTTTATTTTTTTGAGACGGAGTCTCGCTCTGTCGCCCAGGCTGGAGTGCAGTGGTGAGATCTCGGCTCACTGCAAGCTCCGCCTCCCAGGTTCACACCATTCTCCTGCCTCAGCCTCCCGAGTAGCTGAGACTACAGGCGCCCGCCACCACGCCCGGCTAATTTTTTGTATTTTTAGTAGAGACGGGGTTTCACCGTGTTAGCCAGGATGGTCTCGATCTCCTGACCTCGTGATCCGCCCACCTTGGCCTCCCAAAATGCTGGGATTACAGGCATAAGCCACCGCGCCCGGCCTCCTCCTCTTATTTTAAGAAGCTGATTTGAGATTATTTTCTTTTCTTTTTCCATCTTTCCTACTTTTCCTCCTTTCTTTCTTCCTTTCCTCTTCCTTTCTTTCTCCCTTTCCTCTTCCTTTCTTTCTCCCATCCTTCCTTCCTTCCTTTTTTTTTTTGAAACCCCTTCTATGATGGTAATACCTACTTTATCTCTAAAACTTAAGATTTTCATAGGTACATGCACTTGGCTAAAGCAATGGGCTTCCCTGATCTGTGCCACTTCTGGGACAAGGCCTTAAGAGGCCTGGAAGCTTCTACTTTTGCAATCTTGACATCCAGCTGTAATGCTATTAAAAAGTCCAGGCTAACTTGTTAAAGAAAGAGGCCATATGAAGAGGCCCTGATGGAAGAGACATCATGTGGAAAGAGGGGACATCTTAGAGGTTCCAACTAGTCCAGCCTCCATCTGATGCACGAGTAACTCTACAGCCCACACCAAGTGGAGCATTAAAAACCACCCAGTCAGTGCAGAGAATTTTAAAATATAATAAATCTTCATTGTTTTAGCTATAATATTCACACGACAATAGATAATTGAAACATAAAGGTTGAGTTTGAAGTGTCCCTGAGACAGTCAGGTGGCAATCTCCAACTGTTAGTGACTACAAGGAGTTTATGGAGAGACTGGAGATAGAAATTTTGACGCTATCCACTCATACATGCTGGTTGAAGTCAAGAGCATACATGAGATTATCTTTGATAAGAATATAACATGAGATGAGGAAGAAGTCTAGGACATAGTATTAAAAAACTCTCATGTGGAAAGGCTAGTAAAACAAATATCAGCCAGCAAAGGAGACAGAGAAGAAAATCCAGAAAGGTAGTAGAAAAAGAGAAAGAGTGTGGAATCATTAAGTCCCAGAGAAGTGTCCCATGAAAGAGAAACATGCATTCCTGTGAATTTTGCTGAGTAAGTTGACAGGATACAGCTCATTACTGAAAGTAGAATGAGAAGTGCCCCCAGGAGGCTTCACGTCACTAACATCATTTGGATAATTAATTTCTTCAAAGAAGGCACATGTGATGTCATTAATCTATTCATATCATACCCATTTCATCTTCCACTGAGTAAATGCTTGTTCATATTTGATCTTGAACATATTCATTTCAAGATAGGAAAGGAACAAGCAGAGAGACTAACAGTTACAACTTAATTACAGTGTGTCATGACTTACTAGAAGACTATCTGTATATTGTAAGGATCATTTTAATCCTTTTCATGGCTCTCAAACTGATCCATGGAGACTAGAAAATGGTAGCACTGGTTTATTTGGTAAGTTGACTTCCAAAATAATTAATTCATGCCTTAACAGTGTGCATGTTACATAGGAGGGATGACCTAGAGAAGTAATAGGGTACCCGACTACGAAAGTGAATCATATTTTAACACCCTCTTCCTCTACATGATAAAATTAGTGTCACTAAAAATCATGCAAAACTCAGTGATAGTCATTATTTTCTGAATTTCTTCCTTAGTTTCAAAACAATAAAATAATTTTCACTGTAAATGTCTTTTTCCAATATAGTAACATATTTCATTCATTAAAAATGTACTCCTTACAAACAAAAATACTACCCCTTATAGGTCACATCCTGCTTCACTGTTTAACTTTCTGAACACAAAAATTCTAAAGGGGTGTCATACAATGTCAAAATTTAAGCAAGTCATGTTTTATGTCTTTATCTTTAAAGTTACTGTGCCATCATTCATTACATGAATTCTCCTGTTTAAAGAAAAAAAAAAATCTAGTACCACTGGTTGGAATACAGTAACTTCTCCCAAAGGTAGCTCAGGCAATTCCAAACTATTATGAATTTACTCTGAAAATAAATGCATGTAGTTGAGTCTGTGTGGTAGAGACTGTATGTGCAATTGGGAGGTCTTCAAGTTAACTGCTATGTAGAGTTAAATGTTTATTCATGGATGACCAATAATGTGCGAATTTGAAGTTCACATAAAGATGATTAAAACAAACAGTAGCCACATCAGTTGTTTAGAATATAGACCAGTAGAATATTTTGGGGGGAAAATACTTCATCACAGACATTGTTTAGAATTGCTGGTGTACGGTGATAAAAAGTAGATCACCTGTTAGTTTCCTTATTGTTTCTAAATTATTCTACAAACACGTTCCCCCTTTATTGTCTGCCTATTAGGAGGACCGCTCCCCACTACTTCCTACCCCATGCATCACTAATATGAATATTTAACATTTTTTTTCATTCATAGACTTTCACTGTGACCCTGAAATCTCATCTTGCTACATGAATGAAATTTGACAAGAAATTCGAAATTTGGCAGGTACATTTCTATGCATAACTTAAAAAGGAAAACCTTCAAAACTTCTTTGTAATATTTTTTCTTAAACATCCAAAGAAGATAAATTGGGGAACAGACATCATAGAAAATTAAGTAGAGAAAAATATTTAGAAGTAATCATTCAGATGTTAGATGGGTTATGAAACTGCAAAATAGATTTAGGTTATAGAGCTAGGTTTCTTACTACGGAGAAAACACTTCGAAAACAGTGTTTTTGGAAATGTTTCTGTTATATATCATTTGTCTTCGAAATCCATCTCTTTACTCCTTTAACAAATTTTAAGTATGTCCTTCATCCCTTTCTCTGTACTAGGTGTTGGGAGAAATAAAGAATATCCTGCCTGCCTAACAATGTTCTGCATAACTTCCCTCTTCAAAAAACATTACACATTTAATACATTTTAGAATTTTTTGATGAAAGTCTTTGTAAAATATACACTTCTCAGTCTTTATATAAAAAGGATAATTCAACTTTTCCCTTGATGTCTCAAAGCCATAATAACGAGTATCCATTTTGTGTATTACAGTATAAGTCTGTGTCTCCCAGCTCTTTTTCTTTTTAGCATCTTCTTCCTTCAAAAGTAGCCTGTCAGCTTTCATATCCCCCACAGTCATTTGTTTGCCTCTAACATCCTCTAATATCTGATATCCTGGCATTAATCTTAAGGATTCCCGCTTTGAAGGTGCTATGTGTAGGAAAACCAAACAAGCACATTAAAAAAAAATGTAGGTGAATAATACTCAATAACAATGAGTGAAGCCTTACCATATAACAGTATATAGTCCATGTATTGGTAAGTTATGATGTGTTAGTGGGTTATAAATTACACCAAACAGAAAACCTCAATTCAGCTACTTAAACAAATAAGGGGAAGTTATTAATACACATAACTGTAAGTCTAAAGACATGATGGCTTCCTTCCATTCTGTGATCTTCAGCCTTATTCACCTGCATCTCCAGGCATCATGTCCTTTGATAATATACAAAAGAGGAAAAGAGACCTTTCTCTTTCTCTCTGTCTCTCTCTCTCCCTCCTTCCCTCCCTCCCTCCCTCCGTGTGTGTGTGTGTGTGTGTGTGTGTGTGTGTGTGTGTGTGTGTGTGTGTGTGTGTTTAAGACTTAGGAAATTTTAGCACAGAAGCATCTCCCAAAAAGTCTATGCCTCTGATTTCATTAGCCAAACTGTAATACGTATCCATTCCAAAATGAATCACTGACGTTGGGGATGAGTTGGTTTACACCATGTTGGCCTGGGTGTGGAGAAGGGTCAGCCCACCCTGAAAGCACATGGGTTATGGGAGGAGGGTGGATCCTGAAAAAAATACGGGTTGTATTAGGAAAGGCAAAGCTGGGAAATATGATAGGCAACCAACAGCACCTTCTGTAGGAAGTCTTCTTACTTTAGGGTTAAAAAAGCACTTTCTATTCCATTCTCAGTTTGGGTTCATGGTCTGAAGAGTTTATGTCACTGGAATATTCAAAAATGACTTGTATGTTGTACATTCCTATGGTATCAGAAACTCTTACTAATATGCCACTAACAGGAAGTGAAAAGTGATCATCTAAAAGTAATAATTTGGGGCCGGGTACGGTGGCTCACGTCTGTAATCCCAGCTACTCGGAAGGCTGTGGCAGGCAAATCGCTTGAACCAGGAAGGCAGAGACTACAGTGAGCGGAGATCGCATCACTGCACTCCAGCATAAGTGACAGAGTGAGACTACCTCTCAAAAAAATAAATAAATAAAATAAAAGTAAAGTAACAATTTATTCCACTGACTTCCAAAAATGAGGCACACAAGTCAAATCCATTGGAATACTAGAAGAAAATATTAAGAGCTTTTGGTTTTCCTCTATCCATTTTATCAAAAAGTTTTCAAAGTTTTGCTAATATTTCATATATAGATTGATCCTGATCCTCACCCAGTTTACATCAGACACTTATAAGACATTCACATCATAGCAGCTATTCAGAGGAGAAAGTAGAAGTTTGAAAGGGGAAAGAGGTTGATGTGGCCTCAATCATTTGTACATCTTTAACATATTTTGATATATTGTCCATGTAAAGGAATTTATGGATTTCATTACCTTAAAAATCTGTAAAATCTGTACAATACTCTGCAATTAAATGAAGAGTGACTATGGAAATCCCTCAGGCCATATGGAGGCTTACTGGTTATTTCACTCACTGTAGAGTACTTCAAAGAGTTGTCAAATTTAACAGAAGTTATGTATGTTTTCTTTTCATAAAAATGAGGAGTAATTCAAAAGTTGCCACCTTTTCGTCAGTGATTTACTTCCTAGAATATATTAAATCAATAAATAAATGACATATACTCTATTTACTCAAAATGGAGGTTTCACTTTAACAATGAAAATATAGCTTTAAAAAATAAACTTTATTATGGAGAAAATATTTTGAAAATGGTATGTTTGGAAACATTTCCATTATTATGTGATGTGGTCACCAAACAGGATCAGTGTCATCTCCCATAATTCTCACATATGCACAATTAACAATCTAGAAACAGAATTCTTAAACTCTAAACTTTTGAAAACTTCTCTACAAATGTATTCCAGCAGTGGAGGTGGTGGGGGGTGGTGGAAAGATAAAAATAAAAAAACTGATTGGGCTGCGAGATCAGCTGGTTGACTTGTGGAAAAATGAAAATTGACTAGCTACATTTCAACAAACAAATCCGTATGTTGGAAAACACAGTTGAAATGCCTGTGATGGTTTCCTAAGATCAGCTAACAATGATGCACTTATCAGTTGCAGCATTTATTTGGGATTCCTGACTGCCAAGATTCTGGACAAAATAAAATCTCTTTAAATAATTTTAAAAAGTCATACTAGTGACATAGGCTACATTTCATAAATATTATTAAACATTTAGTTCAGTTTTTTTTTTTTTTTTTTGAGATAGAGTCTCACTTTGTCACCCAGGCTGGAGGGCAATGGCGCAGTCTTGGATCACTGCAACCTCTGCCTCCCAGGTTCAAGTGATTCTCCTGCCTCAGACTCCTGAGTAGCTGGGATTACAGGCGCCCATCACCACACCCAGCTAATTTTTGTATTTTTAATAGCGACAGGGTTTCACCAGCTTGGCCAGACTGGTCTCGAACTCCTGACCTCGGGTGATCCACCCGCCTCGGCCTCCCAAAGTGCTGGGATTACAGGCGCCCACCACCACACCTGGCCTTGTTCACTATTTTATCTGAAAATTTGATTATAACCACTGAAATAAATTATCAAAAATCATAATCTTTCTCATTCATTCACAAATGATGATTATATGATATATGCAAATTCAGGGTAGTCCTAGATATTAAGTAGCATCTACTTTTAATTGGACAATTATGAAACTCATCAATAGTAACATAACAAATGAACATATTTACTTCTATTACTTCTCCTTCCATCAGGCATAAAAGAAATCTTTGTGAATTTCCAGGGGAAAGTCTTTAAGATAGCCTGGGAAATATTAAAGAAACCTTAATGTGCCAAAGACACTGTGAAGGTTTTATATTTTTTATTTCCTTTTCCATTAAGGATTTGATTTGAGAAAGGCAAAATTAAAATTTGCCAGGAGATTTGAACACTTAAGATTGGGATCATGGGTGTCTTAGTGTACGAATGGCTGTGGCTTGGCTGCCTATTAATCAAAGTGACAATACAATATTTACATAAACAAAAACTCAACACTTTCAGTAATGAGAGTATTTGTGGGTTTTTATTTTTATTTTTGTATTTTTTTGTATTTTTAAGAGAATAATCAAGAGCATGACAAAGTCAAAAACACAGTGTGGAACGTCATTCTAGTGAGATATAGCATCTCTGCTATTTGGGCAAATTGGCCTCTAATGTGAAGAGCAAACTTTTACAACCTCTTATTAAGAATAGGCCACGCGCAATGGATTGCACCTGTAATCCCAGCACTTTGGAAGGCCGAGGCAGGTGGATCACATGAGGTCAGGAGTTTGAGATCAGCCTGATCAACATGGTGAAACCCCGTCTATACTAAAAATACAAAATTAGCAGGGTGTGGTGGTGCATGCCTGTAATCCCAGCTACTTGGGAGGCTGAGGCAGGAGAATCGCTTGAACCTGGGAGGCAGAGGTTGCAGTGAGCCAAGATCGCACCACTGCACTCCAGACTGGGCAACAAGAGTGAGACTCCGTCTCAAAAAAAACAAAAAACAAACAAACAAAAAAACAAACAAATGAATACTCCAAAGAAACTGTGACTATATTTGAAAAGAAACCAAATTCTAGGTTTGCATTTGGAAATCTTATGAATACACCCATCAAAACCGAACCAGGTTTTGCAAAATTTTAACACAAATTTGTGGTCCCTTTCAGATTCACTTTCTGTGAACCTCAAACAGATCTCTATATGTTGTGTTGCCCTTCACCATCCTCTTTCTTATTCTGGAACAAAAGTCATTTCACTTATAGACAGAAGCATTCTATATTCTTTTACTTTAATCAAAGCATGTCTCATTTTTTTAAGACTCCTAGCAGAGTCTCATTCAGATATTATTAATTATGACTTTTATACAAAGTCACATCTGTTTTATAAAGAAAACTAAAGGGTGGGTAATTGTGAACATTCTGTAATTTTGGGGAACCCATACAGCCCAGGTTTCTACAGCAGCACAATTTCCCTATAGAATTCTCAACATGGCAGAAAGGAACATGTTCACTGATAGACCTTAAAATACAGCCTCTCTGTGGGATTTACTACTAAAAAGCCAAAGTATACAAATTTCAATTTATGCTTAATAATTAATATTTCAGTATTTTATCTTACATAGGAATGATCTAGGCATCCAGTTAATGTTCATCAACTAATACAATATCAATCTAAGGATTATCTAAACAACTTGGAAAATTTCTTTAAGTTGACGTACTACTAAATGTTATAACTGGAAATAAAAGACTGTCATCACAATGGTTCAATTTAGTCAAACATGAATTTATATTCCTCATAATTTTAAATAATAACTAGAAGTATGCTAGTTTAGGTGATTAGTAAATCTATTTACTTTCAGGAAAAACATACCCAAGTTAAAAAATTACACCTTTGTGGAGAGAATCCACAGACCCTTTGAAGGAACCCGATCACTGCTGCAGGCTCCCAGAGACACCAGAAAAACTGTGAGTCTGCTTGCTTTTTCAGTAGGGAGGCTCATGGTCTGGGGCAAATTCTCAGCCCTGGGCACCAGCTGCCTGGAAATAGGCTCAGTGCTGTTGGAGGGGCATGGTGGGATTGAGACCAGCCTTTAGGACTGGTAGCTGTGTGGGAGCGGGGTGAGATCTGTGACTGTCTGCTTTTCCTGACTTCTCTGGCAACCTGTAGGACTCAGCAGAGGCAGCCATAATCCCATGGGAACTTAACTCCATTGGTCAGGGAACCACACCGCTATCCCCCACAGCAGCTTCAGCAAGCCCCACCCAAAGAGAGTCTGAGCTCAGACACTCCTATCCCTGCCCCCCACCTGGTGGTCTTTCTCTACTGCCCTGGTAGCCTAAGACAAAGGTCATAATCTCTTGGGAGGTCTATGGCCCTGCCCACCGCCTGAAAAACCTGAATACTTAACCACGTGTCTCCAGGGCAAGTTTGCATCCTCCTTATATTACCACAGCTGATGCACTCTTGAAAGCACCAGCTCCTGGCTGGAGGCCAACCAACACAAAACCAGTGCACTAAACAAAAATACAACCAAGGACCCTAACAGAGTCCACTTCACTCCCCTGATACCTCCACCAGAGAAGGGCTGGTATCCATGGCTGAAAAACCTGAAGACAGATCACATCACAGGACTCTTTGCAGACACTCCCCAGTACCAGCCCAGAGCCCAGTAGCTCCATTGGGTGGCTAGACCCAGAAGAGCAAAGACAATCACTGCAGTTTGGCTCTCAGGAAGCTTTATTCCTAGGGGAAGGGGGAGAACACCACATCAAGGGAGCACCCTGCGGGACAAAAGAATCTGAACAGCAGCTCTTGAGTCCCAGATCTTCCCTCTGACACAGTCTACCCAAATGAGAAGGAACCAGAAAAACAATTCTGATAATATGACAAAACAAGGTTCTTTAATACCCCAAAAAGATCACACCAGATGACCAGCAATGGAGGCAAACCAAGATGAAATCTCCAAATTACCAGTAAAAGAATTCAAAGAATTCAGGTCGATTGTTAAGTTAATCAAGGATGCACCAGAGAAAGGTGAAGTCTAACTGAAATAAAAAACATCATACAGGATATAAAAGGAAAAATCATCAGCAAAATATATAACATAAATAAAAAACAATCACAACTTCTGGAAATCAAGGGCACACAGAGAAATGCAAAATGCACTGGAAAGTCTCACCAATAGAAATGAATAAGCAGAAGAAAGAACTTCAGAGCTTGAAGACAGGGCTTTTGAATTAACCCAATCCATCAAAGACAAAGAAAAAAGAATTTCAAAAAAGAGAACAAAGCCTCTGAAAAGTTTGGGACTATGTTAAATGTCCAAACATAAGAATAATTGGTGTTCTTGAGGAAAAAGAGAAATCTAAAAGTTTGGAAAACATATTTGAGGAAATAATCAATGAAAACTTCCCCAGCCTTATTAGAGATTTAGACATCCAAATACAAGAAGCTCAAAGAACACCCAGGAAATTCACTGCAAAAGATCATCACCTAGGCACACAATCGTGAGGTTATCTAAAGTCAGGCAAAGGAAAGAATCTTACGAGCTGTGAGGCAAAAGCATCAGGTAACCTATAAAGGAAAACCTATTAGATTAACAGCAGATTTCTTAGCAGAAACCCTACAAGCTACAAGTATTGGGGTCCGATTTTTAGCCTCCTTAAATAAAACAATTATCAGCCAAGAATTTTGTATCCAGTGAAACTAAGCTTTATAAATGAAGGAAAGATAGTGTTTTCCAGACAAACAAATGCTGAAGGAATTTGCCACTACAAAGCCAGCACTACAAGAACTGCTAAAAGGAGCTCTGAATCTTGAAACAAATCCTCCAAATACACCAAAACAGAAATCTCACATGACCGATATAACAATAACACAATGAAAAGAAAACACAAGCTATTCAAACAGCAAACAGCACAATGAATAGAATAGTACTTCACACCTCAATACTAACTTTGAATGTAAATGACCTCAAAACTCCACTTTAAAAGATACATAAGAGCAGAATGGAAAACAATTCACCAACCAAGTTTTTGCTGTCTTTAGGAGATTCACCTGACACATAAGGATTCACATAATCTTAAGGTAAAGGGGAGGAAAAAGATATTCCATGCAAATGGACAGCAAAAGTGAGGAGTACGGGTAGCTATTCTTATATCAGACAAAACAAACTTTGAAGCAACAACAGTTAAAAAACACAAAGAGGGACATTATATAATGCTAAAAGTACTAGTCCAACAGGAAAACATCATAATCTTAAATATATATGCACCTAAGACTGGAGCTCCCAAGTTTATAAAACGATTACTAGTAGACCTAAGAAATGAGATACATGACAACACCATAATAGTGGGTGACTTTAATAATCCACTGACAGCGCTGGACAGATCACCAAGACAGAAAGTCACCAAATAAAAAATGGACTTAAACTATAACCTAGAACAAATGGACTTAAAAGATATTTACAGAACATTCTACCCAGCAACTGCAGAATATACTTTCTATTCATCAGCACATGGAACATTCTCCAAGATAGACCACATAATAGGCCACAAAACAAGTCTCAGTAAATTTAAGAAAACCAAAATTATATAAAGTACTCTCTCAGACTACAGTGGAATAAAATTGGAAATCGACTCCAAAAGGATCCCTCAAAACCATGCAAATACATGGAAGTTAAATAAGCTGCTTCTGAATGGTCATTGGGTTAACAACGAAATCAAGATGAAAATTTTAAAATTATTTGAACTGAACGGTAATAGTGACACAACCTATCAAAACCTCTGGGCTACAGCAAAAGCGGTGCTAACAGGAAAGTTCATAATATTAAATGCCTGCCTCAAAAGGTTTGCGAGAGCACAAACAGACAATCTAAGGTCACACCTCAAGGAACTGGAGAAGCAAGAACAATCCAAACCCAAACCCAGCAGAAGAAAAGAAACAATAAAGATCAGAGCAGAAATAAATGAAACAGAAACAAAAAATTACAAAAGATAAATGAAACAAAAATCTGGTTCTTTGAAAAGATAAATAAAGCTGACAGACCATTAACAAAACTAACCACGAAAAGAAGAAGGAAGATGCAAATAAGCTCAATTAGAAACAAAACATGAGGTATTACTACTGATACCACAGAAATACAGAAGATTATTCAAGGCTACTATGAACACCTTTACGTGCATAAACTAGAAAATCTAGATGAGACGGATAAATTCTTTGAAACCCTCCTAGATTAAACCAGAAAGATAAAGAAACTCCAAACAGATCAATAACAAGCAGTGAGATTGAAATGTAACTTAAGAACTGCAAACAATGAAAGTCCAGGACCAGATGGACTCACAGCTGAATTATATCAAAGAAGAATGAATACCAATCCTATCGACACTATTCCACAGGACAGAGAAAGAGGGAATCCTCCCTAAATCATTCTATGAAGTCAGTATCACCCTAATACCAAAACCAGAGAAGGACATAACAAAAAAAGAAAACTACAAGCCAGTATCCGTGATAAACATAGATGCAAAAATCCTCAACAAGGCCGGGCGTGGTGGCTCATGCCTGTAATCCCAGCACTTTGAGAGGCCGAGGCGGGTGGATCACCTGAGGCTGGGAGTTTGAGACCACCCTGACCAACATGGAGAAACCCCGTCTCTACTAAAAATACAAAATTAGCCAGGTGTGGTGGCACATGCCTGTAATCCCAGCTACTCGGGAGGCTGAGGCAGGAGAATCGATTGAACCTGGGAGGCAGAGGTTGCAGTGAGCCGATATCGCGCCATTGCACTCCAGCCTGGGCAACAAGAGCAAAACTCAGTCTCAAAAAAAAAAAAAAAAAAAAATCCTCAACAAAATAGTAGCTAACCAATTCTAACAGCATATCAAAAAGATAAGCCACCATTATCAAGTGGGTTTCATACCAAGAATGCAGGAATGGTTTAACATCCACAACTCAATAAATGTGATATAACACATAAACAGAATTAAAAACAAAAATCACATGATCATCTCAATAGAGGCAGAAAAAGCATTTAACAAAATCCATCATCCCTTTATTATTAAAACTCTCAGCAAAATCAGCATAGAAAGAACATACTTTAAGGTAATAAAAGCAATCTATAGCAAAGCTACAGCCAACATAATACTGAGCAGGGAAAAGTTGAAAGCATTCTGCACAAGAGCTGGAACACGATAAGGATACCCACTCTCACCACTTCTATTCAACATAATACTGGAAGTCCCAGCCAGCGCAATCAGACAAGAGAAAGAAATAAAGGGCATCCCAATCAGTAAACAGAAGTCAAACTGTCACTGCTTGCTGATGATAGGATTGTATACTTAGAAAATCCTAAAGACTCATCCAAAAAGCTCCTAGAATTGGTAAATGAATTCAGCAAAGTTGCAGGATACAAATTAATGTACACAAATCAGTAGCTCTGCTATATACACCGACAGTGACCAAGCTGAGAATCAAATCAAGATCCCAACCACTTTCACAAAAGCTGCAAAAAATAATCAAATACTTAGGAATATACCTAACCGAGGACAAGAAAGACCTCTAAAAATGAAATACAAAACGCTGCTGAAAGAAATCATAGATGATACAAACAAATAGAAACACATACTATGCTCATGGATGAGTAGAATCAATATTGTGAAAATGACCATACTGCCAAAAGCAAACTACAAATTCAATGCAATTTCCATCAAAATTCCAACACCATTCTTCACAGAACTAGAAAAGCCGTCCTAAAATTCATATGGAACCAAAAAAAGAACCTGCATAGCCAAAGCAAGACTAAGCAAAAAGAACAAATCTGGAGGCATCACACTACCCGATTTCAAACTATACTATAAGGCCATAGTCACCAAAACAGCATGGTACTGGTATAAAAATAGGCACATAGACCAATGGAACAGAATAGAGAACCCAGAAACACACCCAAATACTTAGATTTTTGACAAAACAAACAAAAACTTTTATAAACTGGGGAAAGGACACCCTATTTAACAAATGGTGCTGGGATAATTGGCAAGCTACACACAGAAGAATGAAACTGGATCCTCATCTTTCAGCTTATACAAAAATCAACTCATGATGGATCAAAGACTTAAATCTAAGACCTAAAACCAAAGATTCTAGAAGATAACGTTGAAAAAAACCCTTCTAGATGTTGGCTTAGGCAAAGACTTCATGACCAAGAACCCAAAAGCAAATGCAACAAAAACAAAGATAAATAGATGGGACTTAATTTAAGTAAAAAGCTTCTGCACAGCAAAAGAAATAATCAGAATTAACAGAAAATCCACAGAGTGGGAGAAAATCTTCACAACCTTACATGAAACAAAGGACTAATATCTAGAATCTACAAAGAACTCAAACAAATTAGCAAGAAAAAACAAACAATCCCATCAAAAAGTGGGCTAAGGACACAAACAGACAACTCTCCAAAGAAGATATATAAATGGCCAACAAGCATACGGAAAAATGCTCAACATCACTAATTATCAGGGAAATGCAAATCAAAACCACAATGTGATACCATCTCACTCCTGTAAGAATGGCCATAATCAAAAAAATCAAAAAATAATAGATGTTAGCATGGATGTAGTATAAAGGGAACACTGTAACACTGCTGGTGGGAATATAAACTAGTACGACCACTATGGAAAACTGTGTGGACATTCCTTAAAGAACTAAAAGTAGATCTACCATTTGATCCAGCAATCCCACTACTAGGTATCTACCCAGAGGAAAAGAAGTCATTATACAAAAAAGATACTTGCACACCATGTTTATAGCAGCACAATTTGCAATTGCAAAATTATGGAATCAGCCCAAATGTAAATGTTCATCAATCAATGAGTGGAAAAGAAAAATGTGGTGTATATATACGATGGAATACTACTCAGCCATAAAGAACAATGAAATAATGACATTTGCAGCAACCTGGGTGGAACTGGAGACTGTTATTCTAAGTGAAGTAACCTGGGAATGGAAAATCAAACATCGCATGTTTGCACTCATAAGTTGGAGCTAAGCTATAAGGACACAAAGGCATAAGAATGATACATTGGAGTTTAGGGACTGGGAGGAAAGGGTGGGGGTTGGTGAGGGATAAAAGACTACACATTGGGTACAGCGTACACTGCTCAGGTGATGGGTGCATCAAAATCTCAGAAATCACCACTAAGAACTTATTCATGTAACCAAACACCACTTGTTCCTTAAAAACCTATTGAAATAAAAAATAAATTAAAAGTAAATAAATAAATACAAATAAAAAATCCCCAACTCATTAAAAAACACACTTTTGTAATAACACTGACATCAAAAAAGATATAGCTGTTTTTAATAAATTCTAAAGTAAACCATTCATTTTTGCCAAATATTTATTTAAATTATGTGTAGTTAAATTTTTTATTATGGTTCTGAATGGTTTCATGAAGAATATATATATTGTATTCTAGCACATTTAAAGTATTAGTTCAATTTCATTTATTTCAGAGAATTTTAGGCAATTTTTATTTATATAAGCAAGTATTCAGATATACCAATCAGAACAGGGCTCCTTTAATTTGAGAGACTTTATAATATATATTATTACCACATGGAACTAAGAAACACAATACATTCACACAATCAAAGGTGAAGGTATCCCTACAGGCACAGAGAAGTACAACTTATAGCTTCGATTCTTGTTCAGACATGGGTCAAAATTCAACACAGAAACAGAAAAACTCCCCAGTCTAGATAGAAGAGCTGTTTTCCTGTAAGAGGACATGGAATTCTTCACTGATTTGAGATTTAAAAAAGACAGACAAAAAGAAAGATAAGCCAGATTCTCTGTTCTCTTTCACTCAACAGTCATTAGATTTCTATACACCATTTATCTACTTAGAGGGATCTCCAAATCGTCAGACCCTAAAATCAAGTTCACAACGATTGCTGCCAACAAAGGAGAATAACTTATTGGCTGTAAATGAAACAAAACCAAAGAGAAACACAAAATTAGTAGAGAGGGAAATTAAAGCTAGAAAAATAGAGAGTGAACAATGTTCTCTCATTGCTTTGGATTCACCTAAAGAGGGCCAAGAAAAGACACATTTGGGTTTTAACCACATAGGAGGTGCAATTTCTTGTCATTAAAGATAATCTGGATCTGGCAAGCGAATACATTGGGCATCTCACTGGGACTTCCAAAACAGTTAAAAATATTTTTCAAACAGAGTAAAATCATGATACTCATACAGATATGAAATGAACATGTATTTAAAGAGTCTATTTAACTAATGAGTAAATGAGTAGAAATTGTGGCTGGTTCAAAAAAGAATATAAAGAATACATACTAGAATATTGATCAAGGATATTGAAATGAACGTGTAAATGGAGGCAAAACTGGTTTTATTATAACATGAAAGGAGATACAACTGAACCTCCACTGTACGAGATATTAAGCATGTCTGTCAGTGACCTACAACTTACAAAATGATAGAAATGAGCTCAAAGACAAATGCAAGGTTAGTGTCAGAGAACCTAGAGTGATGTACTCTATACAAGGCAAAGTTTTCCACTGAAACCCTCATTTACTTTCCTACAATGTAGAAAGTCAAGGCTTCCTTCTAAAAGTGGATTCGGCCATTAGGGTAATCAGGTTTCCACCACGAACCTGGTAGGAACCATATGCCAAGATCTGATCAGAGCCCAGTGTCACCAATGACATCACAAAGTTTAGGAGTCATGAAGCCTGACTAACGAGGGGCTGGAGAATGGGATAAAGTGGAGGAGGAGGGAGGAATGAACACTGGTGTCCTTAGACACTCAGGCTAATACGACAACCAAGCAGGGCCCATCTGAGCAAAACCTAGCAAACACCATGGCTGGGGAAAAGAACTGTTGGAGCTCCAACGGGTATGCAAAACTGACTTGTTTCCCACTCTGCAAGAACAGAAGTGAAGTTCCCTGTAAGCAGCGTGGATCACCTTCTGCAGGAGGAACACTATCCTCCAGAGACCTTGAAAGAGGGATAGAAGGTGGCATCAGCATGGGATGGTTAAACCAGAGATTCAGAGAAGGCCAGCAATTTCTTACAGTGACAGTGTAAACTGTGGGCCTGGTGCAAGGAGCTGGCTGAGGAGGAAGGGGAGAGAGGACTGCCTCACTGGCTCTGAGGAAATCAAGGCCTGTGAGGCCAGGACATTGGTGAGGGGGGCTCCTCTCGGCACCATAAAATCTCAGAATCATGCTGGCAGTTGGGGTGAAGCTGAAAACGATGACAAAAGTGCTGAAGGCATTATTCATATAGGGAACTTCTAAAGGTCAGAAGGTGATGGCAATGGGAAAGAGAATGTGGCATTGCAGTTGATATGAACTTAATGGAGCAAGAACTTTCATATGAAAAGAGAGGTGAAACGAGGTAAACCAGAAAGAAATATACAAAAGCATGGTCATGTTGACTTCATTTACTATTTATTTATATATACCCCACCTCATTCCAAAAAAGAACCCAAGACAGGGATTATCAAATAGTGTTGTGATTCTTCCTGTGACATGTGTTGCTCTGTCCTCTCTGTGGACACTGGTGAATTAAATGATAATATTACATATAAGCTACTATATGGTCTAAGACATGAAATTCAAGCAGTTCTTAATGGTTATTATTAATGAATGGAATTTATGAATATATCTTATTGCAAACACAATTATCAATCTCATTCACAGATGATACAACTAATCTAAGAATCATAATATTTAATAAAGCAACAGAGTTATCAATGGCTGAATATATGTTTTGAAAGATATATATATATATTCTATGTAAATTCTGTCCCACGTGATGTACCCAAGAACATACAATTCTTATTAACACTCTCATGTTCTTTGTTAAGTTAAAACTTAGAAAAATGGTGTCACCTGAAGCATTGTAGAAAATGAACCCATCCTGTGTGAGTTTCCCCATTTTAGGTTTTCACCCGTTCATCAGATCCTCTAGGGCCACACTCTGCTGCCTGCCAGCCTTTCATAGACAGCTGGCCAGAGGCTGCCCAGCCAGATTCAATAGCAGGTCAGAGGATTTGGGTTGGAGATCCCTGTTCACCACTTTCTGGCCATGTGATCCTGGACCTTCACTTACTCCCTGTGAGCAGGTTTCTTCCTGTGTGAAATGGCAGTAATAAGAATCCATCTAGCTCTGTGTTTTCCCAAAGATTGAGTCCACTTGGGCCTGCAAATTGCTGCTCCGCACAGTGGATGCACAGGGTCACCCTTAATAAACAGCTGCATCTGTCTCCTTCCCTAACAGCAGAGGGCTTCCCCCAAGGTTCAGTGGGCCTGGTTCTCCGGTGACTGCTGGGCACTTAGGCCACTGGCTGTGAGAACCACATCCTGCTCAGCCCTGTGGAGAGACAGGAGAGTGCCCGGCAGAGGAAGAAGACAAGGGCAGAGGGACGAGCCAGGCAGTCCCCACTATGGTGCCCCCTCTGCTCCTCCCGACTGGTGACTTGCTCTCCCTCTACCTCTGTCTAAGCAGAAGGACTGGGTTTGACCTTTGGCTAATTCACAGAAGTGTCCTGAGAATGAAGGAAACAGCGTCAGGGTTGTGCTTAGAGCTCTTTGGAAGAAGTGCTTGTCTGAATCGCAGAAGTCTTTTTTGCCACATCATGTGCACTGAACTTCATATTTACAGGCACCTCGTTGTCACAATGCCTACCCCACAAGTTTGTGCTTACTTATAGAGAGCCATGAAGCATTCCTAGCATTAACTAAGCTCATCTCTTAATTTCCTGTTCATTTGAGTAACAAACAAGCCTCTCCCTAGCAACTGCAGGTGAAGAGTCACCTTTATGTGATCACAGGATGGTACTAACACTTCCATCTCCCCTCCCACTGCTCTGAAGTAAAAGTATCTGTTTGTCCAGACCACTGATATCTCATATTCTGGTGTCCTTTACCCTACGGTGCATGCCTCGAGGATGTGTAATGCCAGAGAACTAATCATTAGCCTAAATCTTAACAGGTTAGTTAAGTAGCTATCTCATTTTTAAAAACTTTATTTTGGTTTATGGCTATGGCACGTTACAGCACAAAACATAATTCCTGAATACTTCACAGCACAGTACTGCAGAAAAATTCCTTCGAGGCCAGAGAAGCTGTGGTAGGTGAGTTAATGATGTCAGGTTAGTGCTACTCTGTCGTCAGGTGGTCACCTTATAGTTTATGCAGTCATCAACTCCAATGATCACTGTGACTTCTATAAGGAGCCAGGCTTCCTTGGGCTCTTTCAGACTCCATTTGATGTCTGAGGTGGAGTTTTGAGGTTGACCTTGGATGAGCCCCTGTTACAAGCCCTCTGCAGAGTCAAGGAGCATGGGCGGGTCAGCAAGAGACACTGCCATCCTATTAAGAATTGTGCTCAACTATTCTTGTGGGTTTCACAGGAAACATGGAGGCCATGACCAGCATAGCGTCAGGCTAGTTCAGCATCCTGCCAGATCTCCCTTCCACGTGTGCAAGGAATCACTCGGGAGAGGCAGGGAGGAAGAGGGAAAATACCTGCCCTTGGGAAGGCATGAGACTACCCAAATTTAGGCCTTTTGTACATTTCTAAAGTGTCTAATTTTATTGTATCTAATAGAGCTTCATTGGATTTAATAAACTGGCCCCAAGCAAGTTCATGCTGTTTCTTGTATAAGCTCTGATGTAGCTTATATATTTCTCCCCACCCAAATATCATGGTGAATTATAATCACTGGTATTGGAAAGTGGGCCTGGTGGGAGGTGACTGGCTCATGGGAGTGGATTTATCACAAATGGTTCA
The DNA here is from genome assembly GCF_000001405.40 of Homo sapiens. Taxonomy (NCBI): domain Eukaryota; kingdom Metazoa; phylum Chordata; class Mammalia; order Primates; family Hominidae; genus Homo; species Homo sapiens. The sequence goes on along the minus strand of NC_000023.11, from coordinate 29,590,174 downwards.
GCACCATCCCCTTGCTGCTGTCCTTGCGATAGTGAGTTAGTTCTCGTGAGATCTGTTTAAAGGCAGGTAGCACCTCCCTCTCTCTCTCTCGTTCCTGCTCTTGCTCCTTGCTCAGAAGTTGTTGATGCCCGGTAAGTTATATTAATGTAAAACCAGGCACCAGCTGAGTGAAAACATACATAATTCAATAGAAAGCTTCTATACGTTAATCATAAGCCATGTGACGTGTCCGCTCCCCCTTCACCTTCTGCGCCGATTGTGAACTTCATGAGGCTTCCCCAGAAGCCGAGCAGATGCCAGCACCATGCCTCCTGTAAAGCCCGCAGAACTGTGAGCCAATTAAACCTCTTTTCTTTAGAAATTAGTTGGTCTGTTGTTTCTTTATAGCAATACAAGAACAGCCAGAGTTGTTCTTCCTCCAATTTATTGAAAGTCTCTTAGGCCACATATCCTACTAGACATTTAATATATATTATTTTATTTTATCCTACTAATTAATATATAATAGCACAGTTTAGGAAATTGAGTCGAAGAGATTAAGTAACTTTCCCAAGACCACATAGCTAGTAGGCTATAGTATATCCAGGACTGTAACAAAAGTCTGTGATGACTCAAAGCATTCTGTTCCTTCAATCTCAGTATAATCAACTTTATTCTGTCATGCTACATAACATTTTATACCAAAAATCAAGAGCAATGATCTGAGATCATAAAGAATACCTGAAAATAGGAGTGCCATGGAAAATATGATAATCTAAAATCTTCATAAAGTCAGGGATATGGCCTGTTTGGATTACTCCTCTATCCCTAGCACCTAGAGCAGTGACTGACACATAGAAGATGCTCGCTAACTATGAATACATTGAATGCATGAAAGTATGAATGAAGGATCTTAAAAAGTGATGTTGAATGAGGGAAAAATGATAAGCCCAGAGAATGCTATAAAATGAGTTAAAAAGGTAAAATTGATATGAGAATCAATGGCTTGGAAAATGCATTATCAGTAGATCTAAGAGAGAGTCAGTTTACTAGATCTGTGCTTCTCAAACTTTAATTAAGGTTCTTCCAAATACCTGGGGATCTTGTTATAATACAGGTTCTGACTTAGTATAAATGTGGCCTAAGATTCGGCACTCTTAACATGCCTACCAATTATGTCCATCAGGATGATTCAAGGACCATAGGAGTAGCAGAGCTGGACTCTGCTAGGTATCCTCAGTGTACCTGTCTCGTAGGATCTGGAGCACGGCTTGCTCCAAATAACATAGAACCCAAGTAGCCTAAATGATCAGACCTGATGTTATTGATTAACATATAGAAGTGTTCTATTGAATTATGTATGTTTTAAATCAGCTGGTGCCTGGTTTTACATTAATATAACTTACCAGACATCAACAACTTCTGACTATTCGCCTAGAGCTTCACCTAGATGATCCCCAGGCACTTATCACTAGAAAATATCAACAGAGGCCAAGCCTATCTTTGTTGCCTCCTAATAATCTTCTTGTTATCCTCTTTCACTTCTTAGAACTCTCTCTTCCATCGTAGTATAGTAGTTTAGAGATCATTCCTTAAATGTGTTCTCTACTGAGAAGCCACAAATTCCGAAATTATATTTCCTCTTTTAACCATGACATCCACATACCACTGATGATGACAAGGTAATGATAATGCAAAACAACTTAATCTCTCAGGAACAGCTTCTAGACTATTTCAGTGGTAAAAATACTTCAAGTTTAAGTTGCATATAACTCATAGCTTCTATCAATTTGAGGTACTACAGCTGTTCATACTACATAAAAATGTGAACATGTCCTTAGCTGCCTGGTTCATTATAATTGTGACTTATTCAAGGAAAGCCTTATCCATTACACCATAAATTCATAGGGCAACAGCCTTATCCATTGTTGCTTCCCATTGAATCTCCAGTGCAAAGTACAATGCCTGACACATAGTAGGTGCTGAATAAATATTTACTGAAGGAATGAATGTTTGCATGTTAAAAAGAGAATCATGTTTATGTTAGGTCTCTAGGGCAGTATCTTTCAAATTGAGGCTTGAGGGTTCTCAAGAACAATTTAAAAATAGTGTGCTGCTTTCATTTTGAAGATAATCCAAAAATATTAACCACTGTAAGCATTGCCACAAGATTTCAGTGCATGGGGATATATCTGTGCTTATGGTAGAATTGGAGCCAAATAGTAGCACTGGGTGGATAAAACAAAACAAAATGTACAAGTGAACTTCCTGCAATAGTTTGAATAGAGAAAAGCTGAGGGAAAATGGAGCTATAATTTGGCATTCGACAGTACACATGCAGGACACAAAAGCACTACTGCAGTTGGTGGATTGTAGGCAGGAGATAGTTTCTAACAGAAGCCTGTTGGTATCACGTATCCATTTGGAACATCTGGCATATTATTTCGCCTTTGCTAACAGTTTCCCCAGATAAGACCAATAGTGCAAGGGGGAGCCCAGTGGTTTCCTTTTCTATAAATAGTTATTTATTATTTTTTAAATGGAGAAATACAAGTTGTTTATATTTATAGTTATAACATGATGTTTTGAAGTACATATACATTGTGGAATGGCTAATCAAGTTATTAACAGATGTATTAACTCACAAACTTATTTTTTGCATTGAAAATGCTTAAAATCTACTCTGAGCAATTTTCAAGAATATTGTTAATAACTACAGTCACCATGTTATACAATACATCGTTTAAACTTACTCTTCCTATCTAATTGAAATTTTGTGCCCTTTGACCAACATACTCCAATGCCCCCCAACCCCCCGCCCACAACCTCAACCCCTGGTAACCACCATTCTACTCTCTGTTTCTATGACTTCTAGTGGCTTCCTTCTTTCAGACTACATTTTACTAAATATTAACTTTCAAGGAGGAAAGTTGAGATTGAGTACATACAGAATTTTCCCACATTCTTTTTATTCTGTTAGTTTTGAGATGGCACTCAAAACTGAGTTTCAATAACACATGAAAGAATAACTGACTAAACTCCTCTGTTGTTTCTTAAAATTCAAATGGCACTTTCAGCAGTCCCAGCTTTGCATAAGACCTGTGAATTTCATGGCTAACGATGTCTGCAGACTAAATTATATGGTTTTAAAGTCCTGGCCAGAGTAATTAGGCAACAAAAAGAAACAAAAAGCATCCAAATCTGAAAGAAAAAAACTGTTCCCATTAGCAAATGACAACATTTTATATAAAGAAAATCTTAAAGATTCCACCAAAAACCTGCTACAACACGAATTTGGTAAAGTTGCAGGATTCAAAATCAGCACACAAAAATTAGCTGTGTTTCTATATACTAACAAACAAAATATCTAAAGAAGAAATTAATAAAATAATCCCATTTACATTAGCACCAAAAACAACAAAATACTTAGGAATAAACTTAAGGAGGCAAAAGAGTTGTACACTGAAAAGGGCAAAACATCTATTAAAAAAAATAAGCAAGGCACAAACAAATAGATATCCGTGTTCATGGATTGGAAGAATTAATATTGTTAAAACGTTCATACTACCCAAAGCAATCTATAGATTCAATGCAATTCATATCAAAATCTCCATGGCATTTTTACAGAAATAGGTAAAAAAAATTCTACAATTCATATGGAACCATAAAAGACCATAAACGATGAAATCAGTCTTGAAAGAAAATGTTAGAGGTTTCACACTTCCTGATTTTATAACATATTACAAATCTACAGTATTCAAAAGATATGGTAATGCCATAAAGACAGCCATATAGGCCAATCTAACAGAATAGAGAACCCAGAAATAAATCCATGTATATACAACCAATTGATCTTTGACAGGAGTACCGAAAATACACAATGGAGAAAGGACAGTCTATTTAACAAATGATATTGGGGAAACTAGATATCCACATATGAAAGCATAAAATGGGATCCTTGTTTTACACTATACAGAAAAATAAACTCAAAATGAATTAAAAACTTAAATATAAGACCTGAAACTGTAAAACTACTATGAAAACACACAGGGGAAAAGTTTCATGCATTAATCTTACCAATTGCTTCATGAATATGACACCAAAAGCATAGGCAACCAAACCAAAAATAAACAAGAGGGACTACTTAAAATTGAAAAGCTCCTACACGACAACAACAACAAAAAACAATCAAGAGAATGAAGAGGCAACTTATAGCACGGAATAAAATATTTACAAGCCATTTATCTGATAAAGAGTTAATCTCCAAAATACATAAGGAACTCCTACAACTCAATAGCAAACAAACAAACAAACAAACAGAAAAACACACTAGTAATCTAATTTTTAAAATGGGCTAAAGACTTGAACAGATGTTTAAAGAAGACATACAAATGGCCAACAGGTATGTGAGAAAAATGTTCAATGTCACTAATCATCAGGAAAATGCATATCAAAATGACATATGACATCACCTCATACCTGTCATGATGGTTAATATAGAGAAAGAAAACAAGTGTTGGCAAGGTTGTGGAGAAATTAGGACCCTGGCACACTGTTAGTGGGAATGTAAAATGGTACAGCTGTTATGGAGAACAGTTTGAAGGTTCCTCAAGAAACTGAAAATAGAACTACCGTATGATCCAGTAATCCAACTCTGGGTATTTATTCAAAGAAAAGGAAATCAGTATATCAATGACCCCAAGCTCATCGCAGCATTATTTACAATAGCAAGATGTGGAAACAACCTAAATGTGCATTAACAGATGAATGGATAAAGAGGATGTGATACATATATACAATGGAATACACCTTTTAAAAAGAAGGAAATTGTGTAATAAATGGCAACATGAATGAAACTTGAGGACATTATGCTAATTAAAATAAGCCAGTCACAGAAAGACAAATAATGAATTGTTCCACTTACATGAAGTATCTAAAATAGCCAAATTCATAGAATCAGAGTGGAATGATGGTTTCCAGGGGATAGAGGTGGGGATAAATGGGAATTACTAATCAATATGCATAAAGTTTCAGTTAAATAAGATAAAGATCTGTTGTATAACATTGTACCTATAGTCAACAATACTGTATTGTACATTCAAAAGTTTTTAAGAGGGCAGATCTCATGTTAAGTGTTCTCAACACAATAAAATACAGTTTAAAAAAGAAGATGAGGAAATTAAGAGAAACCAGTAAGAAAAACAAATCTGAGAATGAGCATTTAGATACCTAGAAGGAAAAACAGGCAAGTGATTATGTTGGAAGCTAAGAGGATAAAATGTTTCACAGAGAACAGATTGATCAGCTGTGTGTGAAGTGTTCTTGAAATTTTAAGTAGGATGGGCCAGGTATGATGGCTCATGCCTGTAATCCCAACACTTTGGGAGGCCAAGGCGGGATGATAGCTTGAGTCCAGGAGCCAAGACTAGACCGGGCAACATAGTGAGACCCCATCTCAACAAAAAATAAAAAATACCAGCCAAGCATGGTGGTGCACATGTGTAATCCTAGCTATTCATGAGGCTGAGGTGGGAGGATCACTTGAGCCTGGGAGGTCCATGCTGCAGTGAGCCATGATCTTGCCACTGCACTCCAGCCTGGATAATTTTAAGTAAGATGAAGACTGAGAATTACTACTGAATTTAGCAACATGGAAATCAAGACTCAACTTCACCAGTACACTTTGAGCAAAGCGGTGGAGTTGAAGGCCTGATTGGGGTAGATTCAGGTAAGAATGGGAGGAGATAAATTAATTAAAGAAATTGAAGAAATTTTAGGCATATTGCAATTATGGAAAAGAGATAATAAGGAGTTAAATATAATGGAAATTGGAGTCAAGAAAGGTTTTCTTTCTTTTAGAATGGGAAAAACAATGGACTGTTCGTATGTTTTCAGGAATATTCAGTAGAGAAGAGAAAATTGATGATGGGAGAAAAAGGAGAATTGCTGTAGTGATGACCTTTAGCAGGCTTTTGGAAATATAGTACCATAAGCCACCTTGGAGCAGTGATATGGACAGAGTATGGACAGTGGTTACATACTGGGAAGACCGCATAAACAAGTTACCAAACCAAGGATATGGACTGAAGGCAGGGATCAGGGCTGTAGGCTGAAGTCTGAGATGAAGTCAGCAACAGACAGGCCAAGCACAAGTAAGCAAGGGACCAGTGCCAGAGGAGCAATCTTAGACTCTATCTAGGAGGTTACTATGAAGTCAAGGCAAAGGAAACTAGAAAGCATGCACTGTAGGACAAATGATATGGCACAGAGATCACTTTGTTGTGCCACAATTACTTCTGAGTGCCTGCAATCCTTTCCCATAAATTTTCTGCCTCTAGTTCCTGAATCTGATGCCCAATGTATCCTTTTAAGATGCTATCTTTGAAGTCAGGTAGTGTGATGCCTCCAGCTTTGTTCTTTTGGCTTAGGATTGACTTGGCGATGCGGGCTCTTTTTTGGTTCCATATGAACTTTAAAGTAGTTTTTTCCAATTCTGTGAAGAAAGTCATTGGTAGCTTGATGGGGATGGCATTGAATCTGTAAATTACCTTGGGCAGTATGGCCATTTTCACGATATTGATTCTTCCTACCCATGAGCATGGAATGTTCTTCCATTTGTTTGTGTCCTCTTTTATTTCCTTGAGCAGTGGTTTGTAGTTCTCCTTGAAGAGGTCCTTCACATCCCTTGTAAGTTGGATTCCTAGGTATTTTATTCTCTTTGAAGCAATTGTGAATGGGAGTTCACTCATGATTTGGCTCTCTGTTTGTCTGTTGTTGGTGTATAAGAATGCTTGTGATTTTTGTACATTGATTTTGTATCCTGAGACTTTGCTGAAGTTGCTTATCAGCTTAAGGAGATTTTGGGCTGAGACGATGGGGTTTTCTAGATAAACAATCATGTCGTCTGCAAACAGGGACAATTTGACTTCCTCTTTTCCTAATTGAATACCCTTTATTTCCTTCTCCTGCCTGATTGCCCTGGCCAGAACTTCCAACACTATGTTGAATAGGAGCGGTGAGAGAGGGCATCCCTGTCTTGTGCCAGTTTTCAAAGGGAATGCTTCCAGTTTTTGCCCATTCAGTATGATATTGGCTGTGGGTTTGTCATAGAATGGCAATCATTAAAAAGTCAGGAAACAACAGGTGCTGGAGAGGATGTGGAGAAATAGGAACACTTTTACACTGTTGGTGGGACTGTAAACTAGTTCAACCATTGTGGAAGTCAGTGTGGCGATTCCTCAGGGATCTAGAACTAGAAATACCATTTGACCCAGCCATCCCATTACTGGGTATATACCCAAATGACTATAAATCATGCTGCTATAAAGACACATGCACATGTATGTTTATTGCGGCATTATTCACAATAGCAAAGACTTGGAACCAACCCAAATGTCCAACAATGATAGACTGGATTAAGAAAATGTGGCACATATACACCATGGAATACTATGCAGCCATAAAAAATGATGAGTTCATGTCCTTTGTAGGGACATGGATGAAATTGGAAACCATCATTCTCAGTAAACTATCGCAAGAACAAAAAACCAAACACCGCATATTCTCACTCATAGGTGGGAATTGAACAATGAGATCACATGGACACAGGAAGGGGAATATCACACTCTGGGGACTGTGGTGGGGTCGGGGGAGCGGGGAGGGATAGCATTGGGAGATATACCTAATGCTAGATGACACGTTAGTGGGTGCAGCGCACCAGTATGGCACATGTATACATATGTAACTAACCTGCACAATGTGCACATGTACCCTAAAACTTAAAGTATGATAAAAAAAAATAAAAAATAAAAATAAAAATAAAAAAATAAAAAAATAAAAAAAAAAAGATGCTATCTTTATCATTAGTTTAATAGAGCTATATTTGTATACCAAAAATTAATTAATTAATTGATTAATTACATAGTTTCCAATTTCTGAGTGTTATTTAGAAATGCCTCCTACATATAACTTGGGGTTTACCCAGTTTCATTTTTAGGATTATGTAATAATGACCTGTCCATAAGCAAATATTAAAAACTGATACCACTATGTTTTCCCACGTTAAGCAATTCTGGGAAGATGCATGCTTTCCTCGTCTTGCACTAAAAATACTGGAATACCTTACCCATCACTAATCATATCATGGGTTCTTGTAGTGTTGTTCTCACCCATTCAAACCTGTTAGGACATAAACTCAGCCCAAGCCTCAACTAACTACCCATTTTGCAAGACCAACCCTAAAATTATACAGCCTGGGCTTGAAACTCTTAAAAATATCATATTTTGACACATTACCAAGACTCCATTCAGATGGTGCTCTCTCTTACTGTAGTTGATCTAGTAAACTTGGCTGTGCTCAATCAACAGTTTATTGTGTTCATCTTTCTGGGGAGTTGTCAATAATATTAAACAGCCAGAACTGCCCTAATCTCTGTGAGAGGGTGCAGAAGGAGCAAGAGATATGCTTCCTATTCTTAATGATTTTACTATCCTCACACCAAAATGTTTAAGTGTTACAAGAATTCGAAGATTTAAAAAAAAAATCAGTGTCCATTACAGGATACCAGGGAAGATTTCGGAAGGACATGCACTCAGCTTTGATGTGCCTGCAAAGCTAGGTTAGGAATTAAAACACATTTTTAAAAATCTCAACAATAATAGAATCCAGGAAACAATTGTGTCTCATTTCCCCATCTGACAGTTCTGTGGCACTCTGTCCTGGCAGAGGCCTAGGAGATATGGCAATAGGATGGAAAAAGCCAACTGGGTAGTCAGGAGAGCTGGAGTTCATTTCCAGGTCTTCTACTAACTCACAGTCCAACCTCTGATAAGCCACTTGACACATCTGAATTGTACTCCCTAATGTGACGAATGTGGGAGGTAGAATATATGATCTCTAAAATCACTTTCAGTGTTAATAGCAGCTCACATCTTTTACTTAAATAAAAAATATTTATAAATTTGCTTTTAAGTCGACACAAATAAAATCCAAAAGCTATAAAACAATTTTAAGTGTGTATCGTGCCAGCATCTGTGCTCTGTTTGCATTTATAGATCCATATCTGTGTGACATATACAACTTATATAAATGCTAAAGGAATACTTGACATAATGTATGTGGAGAAAGAAGATGTATTGCAGACCTGCTGTGCTTGCTCAGGAAGAACCATCTCATTTAACCTATTTTAGACTACATTGAGATGTAAGATATTTTATTTCCACAATATAAAGTTATTTCAGTTTTAGATTAAGACAGAATGAGTCATACAGAGATTCTATAAATTGATGAGGAAAGCTCACATTCACAAATAGAGTAGAAAATGCAATAGTAGAGGAAAATGGAATTGCTGTCATCTGTTATAAGTCAATAAAGGTATATTTGCATGTTGTTTCCTGTTTCACATCTTATACATTGAGATGTCTAGTCATCTGCGTTCAAATTGGCAAAGAGAAAAAGTGCTGTCAGAGTCATCTTCCTAGACCATACCATGTTCAAACCTATGATGGGTTTAAAGAGAATGAGTTATATGACACAGACCGAGACTCAACCTACATCTTAGAGTCTAACTCAGCTAAGCCCCTTACAGATAGCCAACCCCCAGAAGATCCACGGATAACGGAGTGAGAATTAAGGATTGTTATTGGAAACCACTGAGTACTTAGATAGTTTATTATGCAGCAATAATATGGAAGTAGCAAAGTAACAGATCAGGAAAATACTGTAAGAGAACAAAAGTAAATAATTATTTATGCCTGAGCTAGTAACACAAGCTATCCTGTCCAGTAGAGCTAGCTATCCATGTGGAGACATCTCCACAAATCAAGGCTGGTAAAATGTATTCAAGTTAGTGAGAGAGAGAGGGGAATATTAAAAAGTCATTTAATTATTTAAAAGCACATTTTAAGTAATGGCAATAATAAATAATAATCAATTTTTAAAGCACTAGGTTAAGTGGTGCTGGGTATTTATAAATGAATATTAAAGACTATTAATTTAGGAAAATATGCTATTTTTAAAGTACCTAACGTAATGCACGTCAAAGTGAAAAAAAAAAAAAAGACTTTCTGAGGGAAAATACCAGTAAAAAGGAGAGACCATCTTGCTATAGCAAAATAATTGTGAATACTAAATTGGGGAGAAGGGGTAGTGGTGGAAAACATCTACCTTTATCTGATTTTATTTCACAGTCTAGTGGCCTATATAAAGTGACAATATAAGAGTAAGGCAATATAAAATTAAATTCATGAGAGCAAATCTGTAACAAAAAAGTCTATAATTTTTATAGAAGAATTCTATACAGATTCAATAAGCACATATGTAAAGATAATGTCTCAGTGCCACTGTCTTTTATTCTCATAGATTTCTCTCAGATTCTCTAGAGATGCTACACAAATCTTGGTCTGAGCACAGAGTTAGATATGTTGGTTTTCATACTTTGAATAACCTGCTTTGGAGTTGATATTAGAGGAATATTCATTTAAAGCATAAAGTACATACACTATTTATACATTTTATTATTATTCCAAAAGTTCATGAAGGAGTCAACTAAGAAGTAGAAAAATCGAATTGGTCATTTGAGTCCTTAACTAATGAATTTTAAAACACATCTTGCCCTTGGGAAAAAATGGTTATTAAAAAACAAAAGCAATTTTAGAAAAGGAATACAGTACAAAGTTTTCTGTAAGAGAATATATAGGTAAGCCTCCGTGCTACTTTGTCACCTTCTGGCTTTCCTATTTTAGTTAATCAAAGTTCAATTCTCATAATTACTAAGTCTGCAACTTCCACTAATTTTTTTCTATCTCTCACCACACATACCCAGTCATCTGCCAAAGCCTATCTATAATATGACTTTTATATGTCCAATGCTATCAGCCTCACTGTGACCTCATTTCCTCCCATTTGCTTTATTTCAACAGGTTATTGTCAAAGATTACCAAAAAATGGCCATAACGCTTTGAAGCAACTCTCATCTTACTTTTCCCTTGGATATGCGCTAGCCTTATGATTTTTTATGCCCAAAAGAAATTGGGAGAAGTATGCAGTGCTGGTTATCAGCCTTGATCTTAAAAGCTTCCAATCTTCCACTCCTGGAAACTGTTTCCATCATGTAAATAAGCCAAGGTTAACTAGTTATATAATGAGGGACACATGGCTCAGTCAACCCCTTCATCCCAGCCTCAGCCAGTCCATCCTGAAATAAAGAGTGTCCCTGATGACCAACAGCTGACACTGATACATGAGTAAGGCCATAAAAACAACCACCCAGCAGAACACAGCCCAAATTGCCCATTCATTAATGAGGCACAAACAAAATAGTTGTTTTAAGCTACAAAATAATTATTGTTTGTTCTGAGGTAGTTTACTACACAGCAAAATCTCAACTGATACATCTACAAATTCACCCATTTATGTTAGCATATCACTTCCCATCTTTTTGATGTATAGTGAAACTAGAGGTACAAGATTATAAAAGAACAAGAAATGGCAGGAAATAAAGACAGTAAGAAATTCTTGAGGGCTGAGGGTGGGAACAAGGGGATAGAAAGCCTTTTTAAAAATTTAAAAATCTTAAAAATTTAAGATCATTCTCAGAACCATTTGATTATCATCTCCCTAGCTCTTGCTTCTCTTCCTTCTCTCTCCCTAGATTGGAAGCCAACTTCCTACTGAAAAGAAGACAAGTGAACTCTAGTATTTCAAAGTTGATCATCATAACAAAATAGTTCAAAAGTGTAGAATATGTTTGTTACGTGCCCAACATAATGCTAAGTGATTTATGCTTATGATTTCATTTAATCCTCACAACAACCTTAAGAGATAGGTATAATCATCATCCTCACTTTGCTAATAAGAAAACAAGTACAAAGAAGACACTCATTCAAACTCACATAGTGAAGGGCAGAAAAGTACTTTAACCTCAGGGGATCTGCCACTAGGGCTGATCCTCTTAATCATCTTGCTCCTTCCCTCCCATGGTGCAACACTTGGTTGGAGCTCAGTAGCCACTGTCTTTGCTCTCCAGTTCCCAAAGGGTCAACCATTTCCAATTTTTCTCACATGGCTTTTTCTTATAACTATTGTCTTCTGTAAGCATCAGAGATCTACTGCATTCCTCATCCTCATTTAGATTAGTGGGCCTCACAATCTAATTACCTGGGAACTTTATATATACTGATACCTGGGCTCCATCCCTGGAGATTCTGATTTAATTGGCTTGGAGGATGGCCTGGACACAAGGATTTTTTTAAAGCTCCCCAGGTGATTCTAATGTACAGCCAAAGTTGATAATAACTGATACAAAAGCATGAGAGATTATTCATTTCCCCTCCCACTCTTTTATGTTTCCTGAAGAAGGCAACTTATAAAAAGCACTCTATAAATAAAAAATCATATCAGGTTATAGCAGAACCAGCAATACTTGGAGGCAGAAAAGGAGGTCACCTCCCTGAGAGGTCTTTAGGTTGCTATTGAAAAATACCTTTGCCATATGTCCCACTACCTGAAATTTGAACATTGGGAAAAGTTAGCATGTATATATCACTGTAGTTTTCCATCACCATCTTTTAAAATACAAATCTCCCCAGTAAGGGTAAACTTGTTCATATATATCATACAGCTGCATCTCTTCATTTCCCAGGTAACTCTCCGCAGGATAGCAAGCTCAGATTGGGGTACTGAGCGAAAGGGAAGTTTAATTGAGAAAGGGAAGCCTACTTTTGGATCACGGGAGTTTGGGGCAAGTTAGGGAATATAGCAGAGATGTCTGAGGACTTCTGAAAATGTTTGTGGCAGGATGAGGATGAGGAGTGGAATTAACAGGCTTGGGTAGGGCATTGTAGTATATGGAGGATTGCTAAATATTGCTTTTTACTTTATCCTGGAATCTGATAACAGTACTTTTTTTTCATAACATCTATTTGTTCACTCATTTATAAAATGTGCATAAATTATCTGCAGTATAAAAACACTACTGAAAATGCAAAGATGACAAAAGATATGTGCCCTCGAGGAGTATAAAATCTTAAACAACTTTCAATAACATTTTGATAAAACAGAGAAAATAGTATTGAATCTCATTCAGTTTTGTTAAATTTAAGAGCCTAAGATGAATGCATAATTTTGAGTGGCTTGGAAATACTGTATAATAACCTTTCATAATTCACAGCAAAATTTCCTGTTTCACTCATTATTGTTAAGTCCAGAAATGGAAACTAAATCACTGAGAAACACATCTTTTTCTAAACTAAAGCACTGCCCTTGAAGTAGAAAAATTTACTGAGGATTTTTTTTTTGTAACCAACAAAGTCTTTATGAAATATAAATCAATATTAGAAACCAAAATTAAATTCATAACCCCAGAAACTTAACCTAGACTAATGGAAGGCTTGACAACTTCAGCAGAACAACAAAGGGAATTTTTCTTTCATCTCGAGTATATATGAAACTCATTCTCCTAAAGAGAGTGAAAATATTGATTTTCACTTGTTTGGTAAGACCTAATATAATCTCTGACCTTCTAGCAAGTCACTACCCTACAGTCAAGGCAACAGTGACAATGGTGATAGCATGTTGAAAAAAAAGAAAAGCCAACAGTTTAAACAGAATCGTTATATGGTGCTAAGGACCTGTATGTTTTAATAATCATAAGGATTACAGGGGACCAAAAGGATCTTTAAAAAAGTATACAATTACAACAAATTGTTCCAGGGGTTTCTCAAACCTGACTTAACTACAGAGATTTTCCCTAAACTGTTGCCATTTCTGAAACTCCCAGTTATTTATTCCTTGATGGTCTTCTGAAGAAATGAGATTTGAATTGCATTAAGACATTATGTAGAATGGGAGGAACAAATCATTAGAATTATAAGGTCAAGGGCTAAAATAGAAAATAAACTAATGAGCATCTTGTCCAGCTGTGTATTCAAGTACCATGGGGAGGAGAAGGTGTTAAAAAAGAAGATTACAGGACCCTAACCTCAAAGATCCTGATTTAATTTCTCTTGGTTGAGACCTGAGAATCTGTATCCCAAGTGACTCTGCTGAGGATTATCAGAGATCCACACCTGGAGAAAACCAGCTCTAGTCTTTCTATTTTATAAATGATGATGCAGAGGGTAAGAACGAAGTTGCATATTTGGAGAGTAGAGAAATATCATTCAATCACCCTCCAAGGGGTCACTGTAGATTTAATTAAACATTCAGACACTCAAAACTATGATAGGCGCTGTTGCCATGAGTCTTCTCAGAAACTACGTCAGGTGATAGAGGTCCTCTCCATAAGAGTCCTTGCTGCATTTCATGTGTATGACAGCTCACACAGCCCTCTGGAAGCTATACCCTCAGAGACACAGTTTAGGTTCAAGGAAACAGATCCACATTATTGAGATGGGGAAATTGTTCTGATTTAGAAGAGCTATCACCCTAACAGGTACAGGCCAACGTCATTCAGGACAACACCACTGACAGCTTCTGTAGTGGTTAATATTAGGTGGCAACTTGATTGGATTGCAGAATGCCTAGCTAGCTGGTATTGTTTCTGAGTGTGTCTGTGAGGGTGTTGCCAGAGGAGATTGACATTTTAGTCAGTGGAATAGGAGAGAAAGATCCACCCTCAATGTGGGTGGGCACCATCCAACTGGCTGCCAGTGCAGCTAGAACAAAGCAGGCAGAAGAAGGTGGGATAAGCTGGCTTGTGGAGTCTTCTGCCCTTGGACATCAGACTCCAGGTTCTTTGGCCTTTGGGCTCTTGGACATACACCAGTGATTTGCTGGGGGCTGTCAGCCCTTCAGCCACAGACTGAAGGCTGCACTGCTGGCTTCCCCGCTTTTGAGGTTTTTGGACTCGGACTGAGCCACTACTATTTCCTTGTTTTCCCAGCTTGGAGACTTTTGGGGACTTTGACTTGGGTTCATGTGAGCCAGTTCTCCCTAATAAACTTCCTCTGATATATACACATATCCTATTAGTTCTGTCCCTCTGGAGAACCCTGATTAATACAGAAAAGTGGTACTGGGAAATGGGACATTGCTATAAAGATACCTGAAAAGGTGGAAGCAGCTTCGGGACTGGTTAATGGACAGAGGGTGGAACAGTTGGAGGGCTCAGAAGAAGATGGGAAGCTGAGGGAAAGATTGGAACTTTCTAGAGACTTGTTAAATTGTTGTGACCAAAATGCTGATAGTGATATGGACAATGAAACCCAGGCTGAGGTGGTCTCAGATGAAGATGAGGAACTTATTGGGAACTGGAGCAAAGGTCACTCTTGTTATGCTTCAGCAAAGAGACTGTCAGCACTGTGCCCCTGCTCTAGGGATCTGTGGAACTTTGAACTTGAGAGAGACGATTTAGAGTATCTGGTGGAAGAAATTTCTAAGCAGCAAAGCATTCAAGATGTTGCCTGGCTGCTTCTAACAGCATATGCATGAGCAAAGGGATGATCTGAAACTGGAACTTATATTTAAAAGGGTAGCAGAGGGTAAAAGTTTGGAGAAGTTGCAGCCTGATCATGTGGTAGAAAAGAAAAACCTGTTTTCTGGGGAGTACTCAAGCTGGCTGCAGAGATTTGCATAAGTAAAGAGGAGCCGAATGCTAATAGCCAAGACATATTGTATCTTGGAATTAACTAACTTGTTTTTTATTTTACAGGCTCATAGGTAGAAGGGACTCGCCTTGTCTCACATGAGACTTCAGACTGCGGACTTTTGAGTTAATGCTGGAATAAGTTAAGACTTGGGGGACTGTTGAGAAGGGATACTTGTATTTTGCCATGTGAGAAGGACATGAGATTTGGGAGGGGCCAGGGACGGAAAGTTATGGTTTGGATTTGTGTCACTGTCTAAATTGCATGTCAAATTGTAATTCCCAGTATTGGAGGAAGGGCCTGGGAATTACAATCTGACATGCAATTTAGACATGATCATGGAGGCAGATTTTCCCCTTGCTGTTCTCATGATAGTGAGTAAGTTCTCAGGAGATCTGGTTGTGTAGCACCTCGCTCTTTGCTCTCTTCCTCCTGCTCCAGCCACATAGGACATGTTTGCTTTCCCCTTCGCCTTCTACCATGATTATAAGTTTCCTGAGGCCTCCCCAGCCATGTTTCCTGTACAGTCTGTGGAACCATGAGACAATTAAATCTCTTTTCTTTATAAATTACCCAGTCTCAGGTAGTTCTTTATAGCAATGTGAGAATGGACTAATACAGCTTCCAAAGACCTTCAAGGGATATGCCCCATATCAAGAGTCCCTGCACCTAGGAACACCCAAAGCTGTGACTTCTTCTCAAGTATTTATGGTTCTTCCAACCTAGATACATCTCATCCATCCACGGGGGACATTTTTATCATAAAATAGTTGACATATACCATTTAACTAGTTTCTAGGATAATAGAGCTAGGCAGTTAGCCAAAAGTCCATTTCTCTTGCAACATGATTTTGTTAACACACCAACAATCATAAATACAATTCTCAAAATGGTAACTTTTACGAGGATCTACCTAAAGGGCTCTCACTGATAACATCTCACTTTTACCAAGATATGCCAGTGATGGGAGGATGATGAAGAACAAGACAGCATTTATTTTTTAAAACTGGTAAATCTTTCAAAAAACTCAGTGCATGTTGCTCTGCAGTCTAGAAGGTGCCTCAGAATATTTGCCTCACCTTTCTCTCATCTTACAAAATAGAAGTCTCATTTCATTAGGACACTCAAGTTTTCAAGAGATAGACAAGTATAATGGACCTAGTAAGAAATGAATTTTTATATATAACTTATTTGAGTTGGGGAAAGATAAGAACAAAGGCATCTTGATTATTGCTCATTCTTTGTTACTACCTATGAACTTGGGAAAGTCAATTGTATTCCTACTTTCCTTTTCAAATTCTTTCCAAATCCAAGCTTATTCTTGTTATGGTCTGAATGTTGTGTCCCTCAATGATTTATATGTTGAAATGCAATCCCAAATGTATTAATAGGTGGGGCCTTTGTGAAGTGACTATATCATGAGGGTGGAACCCTCCTGAATGGGATTAATGCCCTTATAAAGGAAGCCTGAGAGAGTTTGTTTGTCCTTCCATGATGTGAGGACACAGCAACAAGCCACCATCTATGAAGCAGAGAGCTCTCACCAGACACTGATATTGCTGGTGCCTTGATCTTGGACTTCCCAGCATCTAGAACTGTGAGAAATAAATTCCTATTGTTTGTAAATTACAAGTCTAAAGTATTTTGTTATAGCAGCCCAAACAGACTAAGATAACACTATTTTTCTGTTATTTTAATGTATTAATTTCAGGCAATTGAGAGAAGGTATTTACATTTGCATGCAACTGGAATGTATTGCTATTTGGGAAAAATTTAAAGACTGATAAAATACTTCTGCTGTCATAGTATTTTCTACATACTAATAAAATGTTTGAAATAGTTTTCATTTTCTAAAGGGAAACATAAAGATAAGCAAGATTCTCTAAGATTTTTCTGATACAGAAATGGGCATTATGAATTTCTACAGGGAGAATAAGCAGGCATCATTCCATAAACTTGTTTGACCATAGAACCATTTTTAAACAGAACATTCACTTGGTGTAAAATCTAGAAGATGCTGGAAAATATTTTTAAACAATGCCTCTAAATGTCAAGTGCCTTTGAAAAAGGGTTTTAATTTTATTATGTAAATGTATAAACAAATTTTCATTAAAAAATGCCAACAATTCTTAGGCAACACCATTCTCCTGTGAATTTAAAGACAAAGAAATTGTAATAGCCAGTGCTATTCATTCTGTATCAGTTATTTATATATTTAAATGGTCTCCATTAATCAGAAAATGACTTTGGAGAGTATCTGATACAAACTACGTCAAACACTGCTAACTTAAAATTTCAATAAATAATACTTCACATCCTAAAATAGGTTTTAAGATGACAAGCAATACGCTTTAGTTGAATGATTATATGCTTTAATTTTCATTCATGAGCACAGGAATTGTAAGAAACTCTAACTGTCTTAAAGTGAAATGCTGGACAAAAATAAAATCCCTTGATTCAAAACTGGTTTGAGAATAAAAATGAAACAAAAATAACTAGAGACACGAAAAATAAAACACAAAAACTTTTGTCACGATAAAAGTCTTAACCTTGTAATATCCTTATGTGAACTCAAATAAAATAATTACTACTAAGCCTTTTTGACAACTTATAAGATAAAAGACCCTGGGAGGACCTTAAAGGTCCTTGCCAGATTTTACAATCAAGAACAGTACTTGCCATATAGTTGCTCAATAATCATTTATTAAATAAACTAATGGACAAAAAGGGCATCGTTAAACTCTAAGACCTTCAGGGAGTCTCAATTCTGAGAAAAGCGTTACAGAGGATGGTGACATTGTAGGGAGGAAGGGACATAAAGTCTAAGATGATTTGGCACTGAAATGACCAATCTTTCATCTATATCCTTCATCACACTCTCCCAGAAAGAATATGTAACTGTATGCCACAAAACAATTACTGAAATGTAACTAGGAATATTGTATATTGCAATTATTTCTATGTTTCTCAGTACATTATATACTTTATATATGGGAGGGGAAATATACAAGAGAATAAAAGCAGGGTATGATATTTAGAGATTATGGAAACTATATTAGGAAGACATCTATTAGAAGAGCAAGGAAAACTTCAATCTATCTGAAAATGAACTACTATATTTTCTTTAATATCAAATGTTCTCAGGTTTCTTCAGGGAGTTAATTAACAAAGAGTAACTACTAGGAACTAATCTTATCTTGATGCCTCCTAGACTTTGCTAAAGGGCATTAGGTTTATACTTCTATATGCATTTGAGGATTCTACTCTTAAAGTATAATCTTTCCATTTTAATTTTAATGGTTACAGGCTTCAAATCAGCATTAAAATGTGAAGAGCACACTGAAGAAAGAACTCTGTTTAGACAAATTATTATTATTATTATTATTTTGAGACGGAGTCTTCACTCTGTCACCCAGGCTGGAATGCAGTGGCGCGATCTCGGCTCACTGCAAGCTCCACCTCCTGGGTTCACGCCATTCTCCTGCCTCAGCCTCCTGAGTAGCTGGGACTATAGGCGCCCGCCACCACGTCTGGCTAATTTTTTGTATTTTTTGGTAGAGACGGGGTTTCACTGTATTAGCCAGGATGGTCTCGATCTGCTGACCTCGTGATCCACCCGCCTCGGCCTCCCAGAGTGCTGGGATTACAGGCGTGAGCCACCGCGCCTGGCTAGACAAATTATTTTAAATGTATCCTTTGGACAGAAGACAAATAAGATACACAATCTGTTTTCCATATATTTTCTTCTGCTTTCATTTCTACAAGTACAATAAGGCAATTCAAGCATAAAGATTAGACACTCTTATCACAACCTTTTGTGGGCAAGTGAATCAATGTAACGTAGTGCTCAGTATCATTTGTCAGGGGAGACTCAAATGGAATAGGAATGGAATCCCCTCCTGGTACTCTGTGATATGCATCTATGCCTTTTGTTCAAGGCTGTGATCTTTGGCAGACTTACTATTTAATCAGCCCAGCATTTAGTAAATAAAGCAACAATCTTAGATGTTTTCATACTCATTAATGTCCTCTTCTTAACTGAGAAAACAAAGGAAGCCACCTAAGGCTACAATAAAAGGTATTTTGTTGAATTTATCAAACTCCCATACTTTTAAGTAGTAATGTATGAGAAAAAAATAGTAGACTCACCAGTGAAATGCGTGATATCAGAGCAGAGATTAAACTGTTTCGTTTTCACATTCAGTTCTTTTTCTAAGAAAGCATGTAATGTCTATTGGTATTAAAATAAAAATTAGCTTATATGCATTGAAAATATTTTTCCAATGTTTTATTTGTCATTTAAATTACTGACTTGTTTCTGAAGCAAATTTAGAATTAAGGAACATGAGCATATGTAGATGTACGAACAATTCTCAGCTATTTTTGATAATAAAAATCCATTTGATAAGTTTTCCCATGATATTTCTAGGAAATGTTTCTAAAATGTAAATCTCACAGTTCCTGACATCCGCTTATGGGTTCAATCTAATTTATCTTTTATTAAGAATGCATCCGTCTGATGAGGCAAATAATAGCCATTCCACTGTTCTATATGATAGTGACATTGCCATGTCCTTACTAAAGACTGGAAATGCCTTCACGTATTTCCATATGATGGATCATACTTAGACTTTAGTTAAATGCCTTCACATATTCATAGTAACACATGATGATTTATTAGGCTAACAGGTTCTAAATTACAAACTTACTGATTTCAGCTGCAAATAACACTACCTGGCTACAAAAAACCAGGCAGTGTTATTTGTAGCCCAAATCAGTAGTCTGATATTTTCCTGGAAATATATTAATTAAGCAAAGCTTAATAATCAAATCTTAACATGTTTCCATTTATCCTACATTGATAGACATTTTAACGCGACCATAAGTAGTTGCAAGGCAAACGTGAATTTTTCTCATTAAATGCCTGCTTTCTAATTAAAAATATAAATGGAAAAAATGGCAGTTGTTTTTTTTTTTTGCAATTTTATTCATGGTCCTCAATGATTACAAGAAAATTAATCATCCCAGATTATTCCACTGCCTTAACAGTCTATTGTTGAAGCAATGTGATAAAGTGAAGAGAGTTAGGCCTTGATGAAGTCATATAATATTTTTTGACTGTGGACTTTAAACGAACACTCAAAAAATATAAGGCATTTTCTTATTCTTAACCCGAAAATAAACCTTATTGTTAATATACCCTGAATGAATCATGTTATGTTCTAGCCATGTGGACTTGGGCAAGTTTCTCAGGCTCTCTGAGATTGGAGCCATAATCATATTAAGAGGTGCACTGAAAGAACAGTCTACAGAAAAGAGAAAACCACTCTAGTTACATTTTTTTCAATCATACTCTAGTCAGAATGTTTATACTATATTCCTACATCATTTTCAAGTTTCCATTCCAAAGCGTGGAATGAAGAACACTTCAATGGTCGAAATCACCAAACTAGAAAATATAAATGCCTTATATTTTCTAGTTCAGTGGTGCTAGACTGTAGAGAAATGAGGCATATTTCCATATTATCTACTAAACAATTTTTTTCCTTTTTGATAAAGAAGGGAGGGCATAAATTGCATCAGAAGGGATTTAAAGTGGCTATCAAAGCTCAGTAACAACAAAACCTATAGTCAACACTTTTTAAAGGTCAGTTTCAGTTGTCTCTATGGACATTCTAAAGGACTACAACATCTCTATTTTAATCAAGTGACACTGGGCTGGATAAATACTCTGCTTCAGATCCTCTTGACTTTCTTGTTCTTTTGCTTTTTTCCACATAATTAAAATTTTCTTGGTAATGAATGACCAGAAAACTCTTGGTCTCTATTATACCATATTCAGTTATAAAAATCCTATTCTCTCTTCAATCCTATGAAATTACCCTCATTGAAAATATTAATTAGGCCTAGTCTTAAATGCTATTTTTCTTAATAATGTCCTCCATATTTTATATAATTCCTGATTCAAAATAAATAGGCCCACTTGAGAATTCATTTGATCTCCATGTATAATTTAGTTAAACTAGTACAGAAAATTTTCTCAGAAAATCACCATTTCAATGCTGTTGAAATAACATTTATATAGAACTTTACAGTTTTCAACAGAACATAAAATCCGCTACTTTTTTCTCAAAAAGCTCCTGTGTACACAATTGGTATAATTATTCGTTTGTGACATTTTAATATCATTAACCCATGCATGGCTCTCTTTTAATCTATTTCATTATTCTTATATTAAACTGAATTAATTATCTAGTACATAAATAATCTAATGAATAATCTGTTATTCTTGATCTTTAAATCAAGAATAATCTGTTATTCTTGATCTTTAAATCAAGAATAATCTGTTATTCTTGATCTTTAAATCAAGAATAATCTGTTATTCTTGATCTTTAAATCAAGAATAATCTGTTATTCTTGATCTTTAAATCAAGAATAATCTGTTATTCTTGATCTTTAAATCAAGAATAATCTGTTATTCTTGATCTTTAAATAAGCTTAGTGGGTCGGGAGCACAAGATAATTGCTACTAGTTCAACATAAAATTGTTGAGTGCTCATTATATACCATACAATATAATATATTTCCTTTAGTAATCTGAAACAGATCATGTTGGAATTAAGGGTTATTTCATTCCCTTTCAATGTGCATTTGTATAAAAATGTTGTCTCTCAATCCAGCCAGTTTCTGGTTCTGTCCAAAACTTTTTCCTCACAAGTCCCTTTGAAACCTCCACAAGTCTCCCATTTTCAAAGGAAGATGTCTGCCAAACAAAACTTCAAATGAAAGAAAATCTTGATAACCTATGAACAAATGAAGCATTTGTATTCCTATCTAAAAATCTAGCTCTTCTTTTTAGAAAGAAGAAAGAAAATTCACGTGCCATTTTTACATTGCTTTCTATGTCAGCCTACATAGGGTTCCAAGGCTTCCAATTACTGCATACTGACATGAACTGCATCAATTTCATCAAATATTCGACTTATTTTGACTTTTCCTAACATTTTATCAAGAAACAGGAGGCAAAATGTAAAGATTTTCCTTACTTTATTTGTTCTCAAAAGGAAAATTACTGGAAATTCAATTGACTGTAATATAGAAGTTTTAACTTCTTTTCGAGAGGAGGAAGAAAAAATGCATTGTTACATGAATCCTATTTTTGTCTTTTGGTTTCACATTTGCTGGTGCTTTAAAAAACCTTCCTCTCCACTAAATTTATGGACAGAAGTTGTCTTAGTTAGTCAACATCAGAAAATTTATTTATTTTGTCTTCTTAACAATTGTTTAGGTAGGCATAGAATTTAAGGTTGAAATATTTTATCCTCAGTTGTTTTCTGGCATCTCTCCTTGCTAACGAGAAGCTTGGTGTCATTCTAATTGTCTTTTTTTTTTTGTAGGTAGTCTGTCTTTTCTTTCTGGTATCTAATAAGATGTTCTCATTAACCTTGATTTCTATAGGTGGATTTATTTTTACTTATCATACTGGGCATTCAATGCATACTTTTAAACAGTGGACTCTACTCTTATTTTTCAGTTCTGAAAAATTATTTGACATTATCAATTCAAATATTCCTTCTTTTTATTCTCTTTATTAATTTCTTATGAATAATCAGTTAGATCTATGTTGGAGCTTCAAAAGCTATACTCATCTCTTAACTGTCTTTTTAAGATCTCTTTGCCTCTGTATCCTGCTTTTGATATAAATTCCTCTGCTCAGGAATTTGCCCAGTGGCTCTGTATGTTCTGAAGTTAATCTGCTGCACTGTTTTTTAAAACTACTTTTTTTGGTATAATTATCCTGATAAAATATTTACAAACTTAGAAAACACATAAAAAAGAAATAATATTAATAACCTATATTGCTAGCTTCCAGAATTAACCACTTTTTATACTTTATTTAGTTTACTCATAAACACATTTCCCCCCATGTGCATACTTCACAAACTACTGAAAATATGAATACAGGTATATTTCGACAGAAAATAATTAGAGATATCACTCATCTAGCCAGGCTCTCTTCTATCCTCACCTCCTTTGATGATCCACTCCTCGTCTACACTGGTGTAAACACTATTAGAAATTTGCTATTTATCCCTCAATTAGTTTTCAAACTTCTGAACATATGAATATGTAGCCAATCAAATTATCTAGTGTTATTTTGTGTTTTAATTTTTTTTTTATGAGATGGAGTTTCACTATGTTGCCCAAGGTGGCTTCAAACTCCTAGACTCAAGTTATCTTCTGGTCTCAGCCTCCCAAATAACTGGGATTATAGGTGCGGACCACCTAGCTGGCTACAGAAAGGCTGTGCTTTAGTTTACATAAATATTTCATATCATTTACTCACTATCTTTTTTAAATTTCCCCACATGGGCCGGGCGCGGTGGCTCGCACCTGTAATCCCAGCACTTTGGGAGGCCAAGGTGGGTGGATCACGAGGTCAGGAGATCGAGACCATCCTGGCTAACACGGTGAAACCCCGTCTCTACAAAAAATTAGCCGGGTGTGGTGGCGGACGCCTGTAGTCCCAGCTACTCGGGAGGCTGAGGCAGGAGAATGGCGTGAACCCGGGAGGCAGAGCTTGCAGTGAGCCGAAATCGCGACGCTGCACTCTAGCCTGGGCGACAGAGCGAGACTCCGTCTCAAAAAAAAAAAACAACAACAAAAAATTTCCCCACATATTGAAACATACATTTAGTGCATTTCATTTAATTTCAGAATAGTATTTCTTCATTACATGTCTTACCACATTTTATTTATTTACTCCATTTTGATGGCCTTTATGTTTGTTTTGATGTTAATTTTTCCCTACCACAAACAACCATAAAAATAAATAATATCTCTGTGCACGTCTTTTTATATACATGTATTAGTATTTCTCAAGGGTAAATACCAAAAGTTTTAATTTCTGGGTGATTAGTTTTTAGATTTAATCAATATGCAAAATTGTAGCCATTTTTCATCAACCTTTCAATTGTCTGACAATTTAGAATTTACGCAATCTGGTGAGTAGAAAATAGTACATATATATTTAATTGACATTTTCATGATTAACAGTGAAGCTGAAAAACTACATGTGCTTATTGGCTGCTTTGATTATCTGCTTAAATATTTTCTCCATTTTTCTATTAGGTCATTTGTTCATTATTAATAAATAAGAGGTATCTGCATATTCCGAATAGTGATCTTTTGTTTTATACATATTGACTAGAATTTCTTTTACACACTCACTAGTTGTGTTCTTTTGAGATTTTTAGCGACTCTAAATGTTTGTGTTTTTTTTTTTTAGTAACTGCTATCTCTTTATATCTTGAGCAACCATGAATATAATTATTTTCTAATCACTTGTCCATTCATTTCATCTGGAGTAATTTCATACCCTGCGTATTGATTTGTTATCTGTTTTCTTTTTAAATTTTTAATTTGCTGTCATTTTGATAAATACAATTATTTTGATACATTATTTTAAGAAATATGATAAATTTTCTTTATTTAGTCATGTCACAGTCATTGCTTTTTCAGTAAATGAAAAGAGGGATGCATGAGGGTCAGGTTACAGACGAGAGAAGGCAGTATGACCACAGAAGCAGAGTCAGTGAAGTAGTTGTGGTAATGCTATACTGCTACTTGGAAGATGGAAAAAGGGGCCATGAGCCAAGGAATGCACGGAGTTTCTAGAAGCCTGAAAAGGCAAAGAAACGTGTTTCCTGCAGCCTCCTGTGGATACCTTGATTTAGCCCAGTGAGACCCATGGTGAACTTCTGACTTATAGAACCGTGACATAATATATTTGTGTTGTTTTAAGCCACTAAATTTGTAATAATTTATAACAACAACAATAGGAAATTAATATATTTGCTAACTCAGCCTCCTTAAAGTTACAGTCTGACAATTTTATTTCCATTGAGGCCAGCCAGGAGGCTGATGAAATGATTGCCTGTAACCTTTAGCTTCCCACGGACCATTAAAGCCAACTACCATTAATCCAATTGTGGTTCCAAACCTTGTAGCCAGAAAGAGCCCAAAACATCTCACTTAAGGCATAAAATGGTAACGTTAACTCTCCCGTAGCTTTTCCCATTTTTTAAGTTACAAAAGATTGGGCCCACATGGCCCATTTATTTGTCTCTAAAGCCAAGAACATGATAATTTTCTCTGTTAGTACTCCTTAGTCAGATTCTGAATCCTGCCACATCATTTTCCTCATTTTGTTGATTGCTATCATCAGAGCCATAGAAAAAGTTTTGACTATTTTACATTGCAACTTTTTGACAGCAGTGCATATTCCTTCTACTCAATCTAGTAAGCTTTTGCAATAATCATGCTTATTTGCTACTTCCACTCCCTCCTGGGTCATGAAATGCCCTTTGATTGTCATATATTTTTAAAATTACAAAGTGGAAATCAACACTTTCTGGTCAACTGGGTCACCTTTGAAGGTGCCATCAGCAAGTTCCAGGACACAGATTCTCTCCTTGTGCCCAAATTATGTAATGTCTCTTACTCACAGTTCCAATAAATTAACTCAGATCAGTTTAGAAGTGACAAACTCCTGATGAGAATAAGATTAATTTTTAAAGAACAGCCCAAAGTTTTAGGAAAGCCATGACCTTTCTATATATTTAATGAATACAACTGTCCATGCAGTAAAGAAACCCCTCTCCAAAGTAAAAGACAAGACAAAACAAAAAAATACATATATCATGATTTATAATATTAAGTGTTCAATTTCAGCCTCCCTTTGAAACTCCTTTTGTTGTTCCAAAGACACTAGCATTAGATACAGGATTGCCAATTTCACTTCTTCGAATCCATCAACAATGTCAGCACTAAGGCAAGTAAGTTGATAATAACTCTAAATAAGATGACCGTTCAGAAGTGAGGTTTGTGTGGAAAGTGATTAAAACAAATAGCCAAGAGCTATTTCAGTTCCAAAGCTGAAGTCCTACTTCTTGCAATTCAGAGATCTCATAAAAACAAGTTTCATTAAAGAAGAACTTTCATAAATCAACATTTAAACCTGAATCTCAATTTAAGTTGTATTTGAAACAGTTTGTGTCATGAATATTCTAACTGCAGAAACCTGCATTAGAACTTTACAATTTGAAAAACATGTAAATGGTGCCCTAACCTTTTTTCAACAGGTGTTGCCTAAAATCTGACTTGTAGATTACCAAGAAAATAAAAACCACTTACAGAAAACTAGGTATATCATCTCTAAGGAACCCTTTATTAACATAAAAGTGAATAAAAAGCTCTGAGTAACAGTTTTAATTTAGCTCTATTCTTAAAATTCAATTGGGACAAAAATTAAATTACTTGGAAATAAAAAAATAGACTGACCAAAATATAAATGTCTACATAAGTTATTTAGAAAGATTATCTGGAATACATAAAACTGCACATGAGAACATTAAATAATAGCATAATAATTTAACTATCTGAATCAGTTGTACTTTATCTCTATATCTCTATTTTGTACTTAGGTAGAGAGCTATGTATTTCTATAGATGTTCATCATGATGTCATGATCCTTAAATTTTGCAAATATTCAAATAACAATAATTTTTTTTAAGTAGGGTCATTTGTTACTGCATTACAATCTAGTCTATCCTGACAGAGATATCATTTCCTTACCATATGGTGCATAGCCAGAAAGAGCCCAAAACACCTCACTTAATGCATAAGTCATAATGGTCATGCTCTCTTTGTCATGTTCTATCTTGCCAATAGTATCAACTACTTCATCCATGCCACTCCTAATAATGAAAGCCTTTTTATCTGTTTTTATGATTGCCACTAACTAGAAAGTGAGGATTATGTAACACCACAAAGTTTAGTGAGAGATTTAGTGATGGAAAGAGTTTTAGGACGGAAATAGAATATCTATAAAAAGGAGTCAATTTAACTCTCTAATTTGCAAAACAGCAATATGACAGGTACAAATACTCTCTGACAACATGTAAAAGTAAATATTTATGTTTGGGTAATAGGTCTAATTTCTTTAAGCTCATCTTTTTGTCTTTTATTATAAACATTCACATCCCATTAATGTTAATATATAAATGATGGCCTAAGTCTTGGCAATATGTCATTAATTCACTAAGATCATAATTTTATACTTTTTTCTTATTTTTTCAAGCTTAACACTCTCTGCTGCTGATGCTGTAAAGTGAGAGACTTGTTAAACATTCCAAAAATGTCCATCCTTCTAGTGTCTCTCTTCAATGCCAGAGTACCCTCTATGTCTCTCAGGAAACTAGAATCCAGTGATGGTCTATGACTCCTTTTAAATAAACCCTTCCTTTAGAAAAAGAACTCATATCTGGCTGAGCATGGTGGCAGCATTTTGTGAGGCTGAGGTGGGAGGATCACTTGAGCCCAGGAGTTTGAGACCAGCCTGGGCAACACAGTAAGACCCTGTCTCTACTAGATAGATAGATAGATAGATAGATAGATAGATAGATAGATAGATAGATAGATAGATAGATAGATTAGATAGATAGATAGATAGATAGACAGATAGATTAGATAGATAGATAGATAGATAGATAGATAGATAGATAGATAGATAGAATTGAAAAAGAAAAAGAAAATATAAAAATAAAAAGAATTCATATCTAATGTTTTGCCTTAGGATTTATGAAAACATAACTGTCTCTCCCAGAGGTAGATTCCTTGTAACTACATCATTAAAGAAGGTGAACACCTTGTTCTTTTCTAATGTAATCCATTCAGAGAAGAGTGACATTAGAAAGATGGTGGGATAAGAGTTTTCAGTTCTTATCCCCATAGCAACACCAATTTTGACAACTACCCACAGACAAAAGTATATTAGGTAGAGCCCAGGGACCAGGGGAGAGGTCCCAACGCACCATGGGAGAAAAAAATGATCCACGATTACCTTGAAGAGGGTAAGGAAAACAGTTTCATTTTACTTGCATCACCCCTTTCCCAAGGCAGCACACAGCTCAGTGCCAAGAGAGACATTCTTGGCCCACGATTTGTTTCACAGGGGAAAGTGAAAGCATAGCTAGTCAGAATGTTGCCCAAGAGGCCTACTTTTATCTCACTTCACCCATAACACAGAAGAAACTGGCTCAGTTGAATAGTCTTGGGAAAGCTAAGAACAGGGAAAAGGGGTGAGAGCTCACAGCAACTTCAGTAAAGAACTAAACAAAGGGCCATTGTTTCTACTCATTGCATCATGAACTCCATGAACCCTGCCCATGAACATCAAAAGATGCAACACTTGTGGACCCATTTAACTTTCTCGTATGTGTCTCCAAGCACTCTGCATGCCCTTCTGTCCATCCCTACCCATAGCCTCTGCAAATCATGCACAAGCACACACAGACATCTGGCTTAACTCTCTGGGACTGGGAGAAGGCAATTAACTTTGAGTACTTCAGGGCAATGCCCTAGGAAAAACAAAAGAGAGGCAGTCAGCACCCAGCCTGGCTTTGCAGGATCAAGAGAAGACATTCAAACATAAAGCTTCTTCTTGAAGAGGAAACAAGAGGAGTGGGGCAGGTGTATCCATAGTAAAGGTCTGCGAGACCCCTAGAATGTCAGGCTGACTAATGAAAGTCTTTGTATCCTGAAGTCAGTTAGTAAGGATTGAAGGAGGAGGTGACTCCTTGTTCACATGTGAGGGCAGCAATGCAAAACTCCAAGGAACATGAAAAATCAAGGAAACATAACACAACAAAAACAACTCACAATTTTGGTAGTAACTGACACCAAATAAATAAAGATCTAAGAACTGCCTGACAAATAATTCAAAGTAACTCTTTACAAAAAGCTCAGTGAGGTACAAACTAACACAGATAGGCAAATGAACAAAATCAGAAAAACAATTCACAAAAAAAGTTCAATGAATATGGAAATCATAAAAAAAGAACCAAATAGAAATTCTGGAGCTGAAGAATATAATGAATACAATGAACAGCATAAATAGCAGACGTGATAAAGCAGAAGAAAATATATAAGAACTTAAGAAAGATTATTTGAAATTACACAGTCAGAGGAGAAACAAACATAGAAATAAAAAATAGTACAGAAGGCCTACAGAATTTAGAGCTTCCCATGAAGAGAACCGATACATTCACTACGGGAGTTCCAGAAAGATATAGAAAGGGGCAGAAAGTTTATTTAAAGAAATAATTGTTGAAAACTTCCCAAATATTGAGATAGATATAGATATTTAGATTCATGAAGCTCAAAAGTACACAAATACAAAAACTCAAAGATTACATCAAGACATTATAATCAAATTATCAAAAGTCAAAGAATTTTGAAAGTAATAAGGGGAAATGATTCATCACATACTAGGGATTCTTTATAAGGCTATCAGCAGATTTCTCAGCAGAAACCTTCCAGGCCATAAGAGAATGGGATTATATATCCGGAGTACAAGAGGAAAAAAATGTCAACCAAGAATACTATGCCAGCAAAGCAATTCTTCAGAAATGAAGAGGAGATAGACTTTGTAAGATAAACAAAAGCTGAGGGAGTTCATCATCACAACACCTGCCTTACAAGAAATGCGAAAAATACTTATTCAAATATAAATAAAAGGACACTTGTTAGTAACATCAAGACATATAAAAATATAAAACTCACTGGTAAAGGTAAGTACATAGCCAAATTCAGAATAATACTGTAATAGTGGTGCATAAGTCACTTGTAACTCCAATATAAAAGTTAAAAGAGAAAAGTTTTAAAAATAACTAGAGCCTTAATAATTTCTTAATGAATATATGATATAAAAAGATATAAATTGTCACATCAATTACATAAAATGTGAAAGGTGGAAATAAAAGTATAGAGCTTTTGTACAAAGTCAAAATTAAGTTGTCAGCTTAAAATAGACATAACTAACTATTAGATGTTTTATGTAAACCTCATGGTAACCACAATGAAAAAAAAAATTAGTAGATACACAAAATCTAAGAGAAAGGAATCAAAGCATACTACTGAAAATACATTGTCAAATCACAAAGTAGACTGTCTAACAGAAGGAATGAATAAATTCCTAAAAGCATATAGCCTACCAAGACTGAATCATTAAGAAATACAGAATCTGAGCAGAACACTAACAAGTAAGGAGACTGAATCAGTAATAAAGTAAACCTTCCAATAAAGAAAAGCCCAGGATCAAATGGCTTCACTGCGGAATTCTACCAAACTTTTAAAGAAGAATTAATGCCAATTTTTTGTTAATGTTAACTTTTCCAAAAACTTGAAAAGCGGGTAATACTTACAAAATCATTTCACAAGGCCAGCCTTACCCTGATACAAAAGCCAGAGAAATACACTACAAGAAAAGAAAGGTACAGGCCAAAATTCCTAATGAACATAGATGCAAAATTCCACAACAGAATACTAGCAAACTGAATTTACCAGCAAATTAAAACATGACTGAGTTGGATCTATTCCAGGGACGCAAATAAGTGGAAAGATATTCCATGTTCATCAATTGGAAGAATTAATATTGTTGAAATGTCCATACTACCTAAAGCCACATACAGATTTAATGTAATGCCTATCAAATTTGCAATAGCATTTCCCCAAATTCATATGTAACTACAAAGGACTTTGAATAGCCATAATAACCTTGAGCAAGAACAAACTTGGAGGCATCACATTTCCTGATCTCAAAATACACTACAAGGCTATAGTAAACAAAACAGTATGATACTGACATAAAAACAGACATACAGAGCAATGAAACACAATAAAGATCTCAGCAATAAATCCACATATTTATAGTCAACTGATCTTCAACAAGCATGCTAAGAAACAATGGGGAAAGGGCAGTCTGTTCAACAAGTGATGCTGGGAAAATTGTATATCCACACTCAAAAAAATAAAATTGGACCCTTATCTTACACCACATACAACAACCAACTCAAAATTGATTAAATACTTAATACCTGAAGCTTTAAAACTACTGGAAGAAAACATAAGGGAAATGCTTTTTGACATTGGTCTGGGTAATTACTTTTTGGACATAACTCCAAAAATATAGGCAACATGAGCAAAAATAAACAGGTGGGATTGTGTGAAACTAAAATGTTTCTGCATAGCAAAGGAAACAATTAGCAGAGTGAAGAGACTACCTATGAAACAGGAAAAATTTATTTCCAAACCATGCATCTGATAAAAGGTTAATATCCAAATATATATGGAACTCAAACAACTCAATAGCAAACAACAACAACAAATAAGCCTACTTAAAATTGGCTAAAGAATTTAATATATGTTTCTCAAAAGAAGACATACAAGTGATCAACAGGTAGATGAAAAGGTGCTCAATATCACTAATCATCAGAGAAATGCAAATAAAACCACAATGAGATATCACTGCACAACTGTTACAATGGCTATTATCAAATGTGAAAAGAGAAGAAGTATTGGCAAGGATGTGGAGAATAGAGACCTCTGTGCACTGATGGTGGGAATGAAAATTTGTACAACTATTACAAAAAACATAATGGAGGTTCCTCAAAAAATGAAAAAATAGAATTATCATATGATTCAGCATCTTACTTCTGGGTGTATATCCAAAGGAAATGAGATCAGTGATTGGGAGAGATATCTGCACTCCCATGTTCATTACAGTATTATTCACAACAGCAAATATACATAAACAATAGAAGTGTCATTCACAGATAAATGCGTAAAGAAAATGATATATATACACACACATGCACACACACAATAAAATATTATTTAGCATTTTTTTTTAAAAAAAAGGATATCATGCCATTTGTGACAACACAGATTAACCTGGAAGACATTATGCTAAGTAAAATAAGCCAAACATAGAAAAACAAACACTGCATAATCTCACTTATATCTGGAATCTAAAAATTAAAACTCCTAAGAGCAGAAAGTAGAATGGAGGTTACCAGTGGCTGAGAGTAGGGAAAATGGGGAGATGTTGATCAAAGTGTACAAAGTTTCAGTGATGCAGTATGAATAAG
The DNA here is from genome assembly GCF_000001405.40 of Homo sapiens. NCBI lineage: Eukaryota > Metazoa > Chordata > Mammalia > Primates > Hominidae > Homo > Homo sapiens. The sequence goes on along the minus strand of NC_000023.11, from coordinate 29,557,619 downwards.
TTATCTCAATTTAATGTACAGCTAGTAACTATAGTTAATAATACTGTATTGTGCACCTGAAATTTGCTAAGAAAATAGATCTTAAGTGTTCTCACCACACACACACAAAATATGGCTACTATGTAAGATGATCAATATGTTAATTGGCTTGATTATGGCAATCACTTCACAATGTATGCTTACATCGAAACATCGTGTTGTACACTTTAAATACATACAATTTTTTGTCACTACATCTCAATAAAACTGAAAAAAGTGGGATTCAGAATAGAATCTCTAAGAATAAAGATGGAGTATTTTACTGTGTCTTCTCATAGTCTAATCTGTGTCTTGAGATCTTGAGGATGTCAGTAAGCCAGAATAAAATTCTTGACCGCCTAAGACCATTCATTGGCTGGAATTTGTTTGGTTTTCTTATAAAAGGAATTGTCTTTCCAAATATCTTTAAAACCAGACAGCCAACAACTTAATTGTCATCAGCTGTATCGAGATGGCCCCACGCATACACAACATGTTTCTTTGGATTCTTATTATTTGCCACTTATGGAAAAATGACTATAATAAAGGGCTGAAGTACTATAATATTTTTAGGATGATGATGAATTTCTTCATAATCCTGGGGCAGTGATATTCAATCCTAAATCAAAAACAAAGTTGCTAAAAAATGTCCAACCTTTCTCCAGACTAAATGAATCAGAATCAAGGGTTAGGTTTAGGTATCCATATGTATTAATTGAAAGCTTCACAAGCAATTCTGATACATAGACTGAATTGAGAACCACTAATTTAAAGAATTCTGAGAATATATCTTCATAAAAATCATGCACATATAATAGAAAATACATATTTTAAATTAAGCCATTTTTCTCAAACCTATTACACTTTTCAAAAAGTTGTTCCCACACTGTAGACTCATCACAATATACATTCAACTTTGATCTTAAACTATGATTTTCTTTTTTTTTTTTTTTTGAGGCAGAGTCTTGCTTTGTTGCCCAGGCTGGAGTGCAGTGGCACGATCTCAGCTCACTGCAGCCTCCGCCTCCTGGGTTCAAGTGATTTTCCTGCCTCAGCCTCCCATGTAATTGGTATTACAGGTGCCCAACACCACACCCAGCTAATTTTTGTATTTTTAGTAGAGACAGGGTTTCACTATGTTGGTTAGGCTGGTCTCAACTCCTGACCTCGAGCAATCCATCCTCCTCAACATCCCAAAGTACTGGGATTACAGGCGTGAGCCACTACGCCTGGCCTGATCTTAAACTATGATTCTTAAGAGTTTCTCAGTTGATATTAACCTACTTAAATGTGTAACTCTTGTTTTCTTGCCAACAGACACCATATATAGTTCAAGAGAAAATTAGCCTTACTGGAGTTTCCTAACTTGCTTTAATCAAATTTCGACTGTTAACCATATTGGAGAAAAGCGCTAGTGTCAGTGAATGGACACATTATCCCCATGTTCCCCTGACTGGACACCATGGGGCTCTAAGCTGTGCCTTCCAGTCCTCCCCATATTACAACTCACGAGGGAGGTAGATGACATGTCCTAGGGACTACCAGGAAAGGAAAGGCTTTCCACTTCTGTGGCTAAGGCAGAGTGTGAACAAATTATGCAAATGAATACAGAGAGTGGGCTCCACTCTTGCTTTTTAGCCAAGCAAGGTCTCTGATGGAAGTAAGGAAGACACTGTGCTTACTTAACTTGTTTGCATAGTGCACATTCCTGCAATTCTCAGCATGGCCAAGTTAATTTTGTTTCCCCCCTCCCCAGTGTTCTTTTCCTTTCCTAAAAACTTTTCTTTAAGGGAAGCTAAAATGTGACATGCATAATATGGATCATTGAATTTGTCAATTACTCACTGAATAACCACACCAAATACAAATTACGTGTCAAGTTCAATACCAGGGATCTGAGGGATGCAGAAATGACTCATTATAGAGCTAATCTTAACATGTTCTCATACCATTTAAAGAACTGAAAGAGACAGATGTGCACACAGGTAGGTTTCAGTGTTATAAGGGCTACAATGAACTTTGAAGCACATTTGAGACATCACAGAAGAAATGGCTAGCCATCTCTTCAAGAGATGAGGATAGTGTGGCAAAAATTGCACTGTGCATGAACAGGAATTGAGACAAAACCTGAAAAACTGTCCTGTTCATTTTTTCTAACTTTGGGCTTAAGGAAGGCAATTGTCTGCCTTGAAATGGATGTATCAGTGAGGCATCAGGAGACTACAAGTTCAAAGTTCTTCAAACTCACTGTCTGTAAGTATTTTAAAATGGTTGCCTCACGGCCTTTTTCCTTAAGTTAGAGATACCCAAATATCTCTGTAGGTCAAACAGATCCTGTGGTGAAAATTTAGAATGGTACTATGTTGTCTAAAAGTACATTTATAAATGCAGGCATATGGTTATAATGACTTTATTTCTAATCCAAATGCCTTATAACATGACTTATTTTGGATTATATTTAGAGGCCTGGCATGAATTAATGGGAAAAGCTGTTTGTGAATTATTCAAATATAACAGGTGGTCTGGCAGGGCCTGTTAAAGGGGATTCTCAGTCTTATTGCCAGAGAGTAAACTCTGCACAGACTTGCAGGCCTGCCTGGATTCCATAATATCTGCAGCAAAAGGTTATTTCAATTTGTATTTTAGGAAGCCTTAAAAACTATTGAGAGGAGAAAAAAATATACTGTGAAAATCAATGGACAGGGTTAGCAAATAGTTAAACTAGGAATGTGTAGTGTGTTTATGTACATGAGTATACACATGGCCCACTCCCAGTTACCACAGTATTACAGTAAGTGCAGATTCACATCACTGATTTTTTTTTTGAGGCAATTTTTGAAGAAAGCTTAAGGCACACCATTATGGATCAACTGTATATTAGAGGGACATTAATGCTCTTTAGGGCTAAAAATTGTGGGCTTTAGGAGACTTACATAGCTCCTACTGTGGAACTTAAAATGCTAAGAGAGTGAATGAAGAAACATTTGCCATCTGAGAGAAGATACTTCAATAAATTATCTTAGGTGCACTGTTGAAGGACATGGCTAGCAGTAAGTTAGTCTGAGGTAATCTTTCTAATGAAGGCCTACAATGTTTCATTAGAAAGTTGGAAAATTACAAAGTTTGAAAAAAGAAAATACGAGTTTCCTTTCTGACTGAGAACAGATTCAGCCACTGTGGAAATGAGCCAAAGAAATGTCAAAATTGATATTCCATGAAGAATTTAAGAAGCCAGATCATTGATCTCACTCAAATATGTATGAATATTATTTATTATAATTTTGAATCTTTTTTTCCTAAAAGTTTACAGGGGCTGGTGATAAAGTTGCTTTTAGGACCTAAAAGGTCACTTGCCTTACTTACATTGTCTTTTCTACTCTAGATTGGATGGCGCGATTAATGGTCCAGGCTCTGTTGTTCCATCGTTTTTGTTGGTTTTACTGCATTCCATTCTACTAGTTAGTAGTTTAAAAGGCCACCCAAGAGCTCCAACATGTAAAGAGCTAGGAAGTCATGCTTACAAGAAAAAGCCAAAGAAACTAAAAATCATTGACTTTTCTTGGATCCATCAGAAAATTGAGGTCACAAAGCAAACTTCCACACTGAAATGCAGAGATACAGGCAAATACAGAGTCAAAGCAGCAATTAGTTTCCCTCGAATAAAAAAAAAAAAAAGGCCACTGGATCCATAAACTTGTAAGAATCCTTAAACCGTAATTTTTATGAATTGCTGGAAACTGAATGTGGATTAGTATGAGAGTCAGAAATTTCCTGGTGGCCTCTACAGTTATCTGTACTTTACCTCTAAGAACCCCACCCCTCCTGTTCTCACAGTGAAGAGCCAAGATTGATCCTCTGGTGGTTCTGGCAGGGGGACAGGATGAGAAAACATTGTGAACTATGCCCAGAGTATGAGTGTTCTCCATAATACAGTCCTATTTTCCAGGAGGAAAAAGCTTTATCAGAGCCTTATCCCATCTGAAAGAAGAATATTTTCCCAACTCCAGCTCCCTCTGGTTTTCCTGTCTCACCTAAGAGGGGAAGCAAAAAGCTAAGAAACGTTTATGAGTGTGTTTCACAGTCCAGGGACACAGGCCCACTAAAAGACTGTGATTTAATTTATGATGATAGAATGCTTCCTCTCCTCAACACTCTACAACCAAACTAACGGGGCCCCAGTATAATGACAGTGGATTACAGCTGAAAGAACCAAAAGTTACAGACTCTATCTGAGAAAAACTTCTTAGGGAAGACAAAAGAAAACTGGGAAGCTAAAAACAAACACACTAGAGGAAACGGAAGCCATGGGCACCTAACAGCTACAGAAATCATTAAATACAGCCCAACTCCTAGCCATATTAACATAAATCCTAACACTAAAGGCCTATTCAGCTCCTATGACCCAAGACAAAATGTCTGGCTTTCAACAAAAAGTGCAAGGCACACAAAAAAGAAAGATAAAACATTGTCTGAAAAGACAAAGCGAGCATCAGAATCAGACTCAGGTATGACATTGATGTTGGAATTACTAGAGAATTTAAAATAAGTGTGATTAATGTGTTGATGGCTATAGGAAAAAGTAGGCAAGATTCAAGAACAAATGAGTAATTAAAAGGAGATAGAGGCTCTAAGAAAGACTCAAAAGGAAATGCTAGAGATCAAATACATTATGACAGAAATAAAGAATGCCTTTGATGAGCTCATCAGTAGGCTTGACACAACCAAGAAAAGTCTATTGACACTTAATCAATAGAAACTTGCCAAACTGAAATGCAAAAAAAAAAAAAAAAAAAAAAAAAGGAGAGTGAAAAACATGAATGAACTTAGTACACCGGGATTTTCAGTTTAAAAGTATTTGCTAAGGTATTTAATTATACAATAAATACAGATTTAGGGCATTTACAAAAGGATTGCTAAACTATGAGTGAAAAGATTTTCATTACAACAATCAATAAATCCTGGCCAGTAGACAAAACATTCAATTTGGTAAAACGAGTGAAACTGTTGCACAACAATGTGAATGTATCTAATGCCACCGAAGTATACATTTTAAAATGGTTAAAATAACAAATTTTATGGTATTTATATTTAACTAGAGTAGTAAAAATAATTTTAAAAGAATGAGTGAAACCATGGTATGTAACGATATAGTTGTCCCATTTAGTTAGTAAAATCATCACAGAAACCTACGTACCCATGCACAAAAAAACAAATGTGCGTCTCCTGAAAAATAAGTTAAAACTGTAGGGGCCAAGGGTAATATTGACCCTTCACCTGTGAAGGTTTGCTGAAAATTAACTGACAAAAGGCATATTAATAGGAGAAATGGCATATAAAATGTATTTTAATGTGCATGGCAAAGGGGAATCACAGGAGAATGACCCAACAACACAGTGGGGTAAAAATGTTTATATATTCTTCTTCATAAGGGGAGGGGAGGTGGAGGAAATGTGGCAATTTGAGGGATAGTAAATATTTTTAAGGGAAAATGAGTGAACCTGGAAAACATACAATGGCCTGGAACAAAGCCTATTGGGCCTGCAGAGCAGACAATAGCTGGTAAATGATTCTCTTTGAAATCCTGAATGGGAATGAAATAGAAGACGATAGTTTTTTGAAAGTCTGTCCAGGTGTGCTGACAGACTTGTCTTTCTTCCTGCAATATGTGTTAAGTTAATGAAACTCAGGGAAGGGACCAGAGGTAACTGTTTTCTTCTTTGGTGGGTCCAGGCTTCAGGCTGATAAGGGAACTTCAGAGAAAACCTTCATCCTGTGCTTTGAGAGAGACAGAAGGTTGAGAGATGCTGGGAGGGGTGGGGTGGGGTGAAAGAGAGACCTTGAGAATGTTTCTTTAGTCCAACATGTCAAAGTGCCATATTGTGGGGTACCGGTTTTTGAACCCCAAGAAAGCATCTTTTAAAGAGATGAATATATTAATGAGCTTGATTGTAGTAATCAGTTCATTACGTACATGAATATCAAAACATCATGCTATATACCTTAAATATAAACAATTTTAATGAGAAAATTAAATAAAGCAAATTTGAAACTGCAGAAATAAGGCCAATAAAATTGATACCCTAACGGATTAACAGACATTTAAAGCAGTTTTTAAAGATGCCTTTCATGGACTAATTTATAAAATTATATTTATTGAGCTTCCATTATGTAATAGTTAGTATCCTAAAAGATCATATGATATTCAGAAGAAAAAAATTTTAAATCATATTCTATACTTTTGGATAGGTATTTCTGACAATTTATTAGTCTTCATATTCAATTCATCAGCACGTAACAAAATATATTTCAACTCTGTCCACTACTCCCACGGTCCTAGTAGCACTATTCACAATAGCCAAGACATGGAAACAACCCAAGGGCTCATTTATGGATGAATGGGTGAACAAAATGTTGTATATATACGCAATGGAATATTGTTCAGCTTCAAAAAGAAGCAAATCTGATACATGCTACAACATGCATGGGCCTTGAAGACATTATGATAAGTAAAATATGCCAGTACCCAAAAAGACAAATAGTGTATAATTCCACTTGTATGAGGTACCGACAGAAATCAAATTCATAGAGACAGAAAATAGAATGGTTGTTGCCTGGGGCTAGAAGGAGTGGAAGTGGGAAGACGTTGAATGGGTGCAGAGTTTCAGTTTTGAAGATATGACGGTAGTAATGGTTGTACAACCATGTGAATATTCTTTATACCACTGAACTGTAAACTTGGAAATGGCAAAAATGGTACATTTTATGTTATGCGATTATTTACCACAGTAAAAACAATCACCCACAAACAAAATCTGTGCACTTTTCTTGTTTTCCTTTTGCACCATCTAAATTTAAGTGATCATCATCTTTTCCCTGGACCAGTAAAATAGCTCCCACTCATTTGACCCACTTCCATCAACTGTACAATGCCATGAGAGCAAACTTTTAATTGGTATTTATTTAGTTAAGTGAAGAAGTCAACAGAAAAAAAAAAGTTAAGGATTTTTAAAGAAACCTTTGTGCTTATAATTTTTTTAATTGGGAATATGATTCTCCATTTTTAATAGGGCAGAGGTCTGGAATACATATACTTTACTTGGATTGAGTAGAATTTCTAAAATTAGGCCGGGCGCAGTGGCTCACGCCTGCAATCCTAGCACTTTGGGAGGCCGAGGCGGGCGGATCACGAGGTCAGATCAAGACCACGGTGAAACCCCGTCTCTACTAAAAATACAAAAAAGAATTAGCCGGGCGTGGTGGCGGGCGCCTGTAGTCCCAGCTACTCGGGAGGCTGAGGCAGGAGAATGGCGTGAACCCGGGAGGCGGAGCTTGCAGTGAGCCGAGATCCCGCCACTGCACTCCAGCCTGGGCGACAGAGTGAGAATCCATCTCAAAAAAAAGAAAAGAAAAGAAAAGAAAAGAATTTCTAAAATTAAATTAGTGATGCTTTTTAGACACTAAAATGTATTACATTAAAAGAAGTTGTAAAATCATATCTTGGTATATCAAAGAGAATTCTGTACATTTAGTTGTTCATGAGAATTTTTTGACACTGAAATATGTAATACTAAAAAATTATAACTTGGAATTTCTCCCACTCTTTAAGAGAGGGAAATATCTAAAGGCTCTAAGCTTCCCAGTAGGAATTACTGTATAATGCATACTTCTGTATATAATAATTCTTAAATGGTGGGATTGAACATTTTAAATATTTTTGATAAGCTGAAATATGGGGTTTCAAAGTTGTTTATCTTACACGATTGGCATTACAAAAACTAAAAACTAAAACTTCAAAGCATCTTTTAGAGTTAAAGAAGTCAAGTTTTCATCCCAACTTATTTAAAATTCCCCAAAAGCATTCTTTCTACCTAGAAAGCCATATGCATAACAAAACAAGTTTCCCACTGTTACAGGAAATATTTGCTCTGCTCTCCTTTTGTTAAAACTTTTCTAATAAAAATAATTTCCATTTTTCCATAAAACACAGTAGTCCCTCCCTATTCACAGGATATATGTTCCAAGACCCCCAGTCAATGCCTGAAACTGCAGACAGTATTGAAGCCTATATATACTATGTTTTTCCTATACATATGTACATATGATAAAATCAAATTTATAAATCAGGCACAGTAAGATATTAACAACGATAACTAATAATAAAATAGATCAATTACAACAGTATGCCGGCATCACTGTACTTGTGCTTTGAGGCCATTATGAAGTAAAAAAAGGGTCATTTGAACAAAAGCACTGTGATACCATGAAGGCTACTAAATGATGAAAGAGTGGGTAGCATGTACAGCTTGAATATGGTGACTAGACAGAGAGATGATTTATGTCCCGGGTAGGACAAGCAGGACAATGCAAGATTTTATCATGCTACTCACAATGATGTGCAATTTACATTTTAGAAATCATTTCTGTAATTTTCCACTTAATATTTCAGATTATAGTTGACTTCAGGTAACTGAAACCACAGAAAGAGAAACCAGGGACCAGGAGAGACTACTGTATATGCAAAGAAAAACCTATACATAAATAAATAACTACTAGTCTCACTTTCCCGCCAAGAATTCCAATAGACAGTTTTCAAGGCAATAACCCTCTATTCATGTTAATGAGGTTTTATTTATGATGTGATTTATTGAAAATAAGAACTTTGTAAAAACATTTTGGAAACCCCTTGATGAATCAAGGCAAACAGATAACAATATTGCATTCAATGTTCATAGCCTTTATTTCTCATTGGATTTCCATTGCCACCTTATCTGCACAGTAATAATATTTTCTATTCTTACTGAGATAAATCATTATGAAAATTCAGTTATACAATTTATCCAAAATAATTTTATTTTGTTGACTTGCTTTAAAATAACGAAAGTGAATTTATTTTTATATCCAAGGGTTGTTATTGAGAACTTTAGTGGAGAAAATGCAATCATTACAATCAGTATGCTTATTAAATGGTGCTCAGTGAGTAAAGATTCATGCTGATAAATATATTTCATAAAAAACCTTTCACGTTTAATTTTCTATTTTAAAAACATATATTAGTTATAGAAATGTTCATATATTAGTGTGGCATATTGCAATAGTCATAATGCATAAACCGAAAAGCTATTTTAACATATGGGTAAATTTAACAGATATATTTCTAATTTATTTCATGAAGTTACTCAAACAGCTAAACTTAAAACCAAACTGGTCCTTATGCGCAAACGTAAACCTGTGCAACCTTTATGTGATCTTCAGGTAAAAAGAAAATGACAGCACTGAAAATCCATTCAATAAATAAAAAGCTGAAACCAGATGATCAGAACTAGTTTCACACACATTAAGTGTTCCTTGTCAGCATAAAACCTGCAGCATAATACGAGAAATAAAACATTTAAAATGCTTAAACTGCTCTCTTCATTTGCATAAGCAAGGAACAAGTTAGGGTCAAAGGACAGGTGTTTCGTTTCAGATCTCATTTGCCAGACTTGCAACACTAATTAACTAATGGTGTCATTTGACTTGAAATGGAACAAGCGTATCACCTGTATAGCTGAAGACTGTAGAAGGCAAAGGTGGAGAAAATAGAGAAGTGAGCATGAATATGATTAATGCTAATGTTCTATTTTTTATCCTGAAATTTTGCAGCATTTATTTTGAAATCTTATTCAGAAGAATGTCACCCACAGTGACAGTGAATATGAAATCGATCTTGTTTCTCTTATGTTTAAGGACAACTTGTCTGTCATATCTTTTTTCTAGAATTAACAAAAACTTGTTCTCGACACAGATTATTGATCACAATTAAAAACAATGACTGTTATGGCTTCACGTTATGCTTGCTTTTCTTCATATTTGGAACCTTATTTAGTGAACTGATTGATATAGTGCTCTTTACTAAAATGCAAATTGTCTTTAAGAAAGCACGGAACCCTTTTCTTTCCAATGACATATTATAGATTTAGAGTTTAGATAATGCTACCGAAGATGAAAGTATTTTTAAAATAGGCCAAAATTGTCATTTCTCTATAATATTGGTTATCAGCTTAAATAAAATATTTCCCAAGAGCTTAAGTGTAGAACTAAGCTTTTCCAGCATTTTTCCATGATTCTATAATCATAGAAAGTACCTTTTTCTTTGAGAATCATTTTGAAAAATTAGTTATTCTCTCTTTTTACATCACTTATCATCAATGAGGTTCTCATTGTTATTTTAATATAGACAGTCCTTCATTTTATAAGACTCTCCCAAACATAGTAAGACTTTGGGCATCACGGACCTTAGACATCAAATATCAATAACAATGAGTAATGCAGTTAAGGAAGCAGAGTTAAAACATATTAATATGTAAGTTACAAAACAACTCACGAAAAAGTTAGTATGCTAAAAGCTGCACAAATATAATTATTTATAAAAAAATTTTAATTGAAGAGGTGATTTTATAGCAATGAAATGGGTTACATTCACATTTAATATGATTAATTACCTGTGATTTTCAATTTTCAAAATGAAAAGGGCAAATGCTGACTTTTTTGGTTTTCTAGTGTCAGGCACTACTAGTTCCAGCTGTCAGCCAAAAATATAGCAGACCACATGTCTTTAAAGCCCAAAGCCAACAAATATCATTCCTCCATTTCAATGTCACTGAAATAAATGAAGGCAATCACATCATTGCCTATTTGGAGAGCTAAGTAATCACCTCTGTCAGACCTATAGCTAGATGAATGATATAAAATCAGCAAAAAGTGCAAGTTACAATATTGCCCTTAAGCTCAGTTTTCAAAAGCAAGAACTGGCAGGAATATGGGAGAGGAGAAGGCTCAGGCTCATGGAAATGGAAATAACTTGATCATTTTTTTCTTTTAGGTACTTCTGATAACTAAAGTGAATATAATATACCTTCAGTTACTCTGAAGGTGAGAAGAGGTTGCCTGAGAAAACAATGGATGACATGCGGTCAGGGGAATGGATTGATCACAGTTTTTAGAGACTGGGAAAAATGACAGGAAGAATTTCAAGAATCTTCTGTAGACATTTTGAAATAGAACAAGTATCCATGTGCCTGGCTATCTTAGCTGGTTCTAAATAGAGGCAAAGAAATGGCATTTGCAATATATGTATGTATATTTTTATGTCATATTTATATATATATTTCTTCGCAGAATGCAACATCACCATCTTAAAAAGGACACATGCTATTTCCCTTTTCTGGAAATATTTATTGATAAAGACAAGCTCTGATGCCTTGAACTCACTAAAGTCAGGCTGTATAGTTTTTGAGAATTAATAACCCCAATAGAAAAGGGTGGAAAATGCTGCTGCCATTACTCTTTCTTCCTAAGGGTTCTAAAAAAGATGTATCAGAAAGAATATGTGGGTTGGTCAAGCAATGAATACCTACTCAGTAAAAATACAAAATTAAATTCTATTGGTCTAGATACAGGGTTTCTCAACAGCAGCACTATTGACATTTGGGGCCAGATAATTGACTTTGTTGGTGGTGGCTGTCCTGCACATTGGAGGATATTGCTGCAATCCTGGCCTTTACCCACTACCAGTAGCATCCTCCCCGAAGATGTCACAACCAAAAGTGTCTCCAGACATTGCCAAATATCCCCTGGGGAGCAAAAATGCCTGCCCCGGGTTAAGAAGCACTGAGAATTTCTAGTAGGGAGATTAAAAAGCAATACTCAGAAGGGAGAAAAATAGACTTTATCCTGTAAGTAACATTAAGATAGAAACATTTTATAGAATTCCCATGTACTTCTTACCCAAGAGAAAAGAGTGGTTTTGTCCACCAAAAATAGTTACAAGAATGTTCATAGCAACTTTATTCATAATTATAAATAATGGAAACTACAAAAATGCTCGACACCAAAATGAATAAATAAATTGGAGGATGTACATACAATGGAATACTGCTCTCAGCAATGAATAAAGTGAACATTTAACGCAGAGCAAAATGAATGGATTTCACATACATGACGCTATGTGAAAGAAGCCAGAATCAAAAGAGTGATGTATGACTCATTTATATGAAGTTCAAAATATATAAAACACAAGAAGTCACAAGTATTTACTGTGGGGAAGAGGAATGGCTCTTTACCTGGAGGAGCATGAGAGAGGCTGCTAGGGAACAAGGAATGCTCTAAGTCTTGATTTGGGTAGTGGATGCATGGATGTGCACATATGCAAAAATTCATTGGGATATACATTTAAGACTTGTGTTTCTTTATACCATGTAAGGTATTAGTAAAAAGTAAATAATAACAAACTATACACTGGAGGCAGTAAATGAAGAGAAAAAGACTCAGGAAAACTAGCATGTTATTTTCACTTCTATTTTACGAACATTTGTTGTCCAATAGATAGATAGATAGATAGATAGATAGATAGATAGATAGATAGATAGATAGATAGATAGATAGGATTAGTTTTCCAGGGCTGCAGTAACAAAGTACAACAGACTGAGTGGCTTAAGCAATGGAAATTTCTCATAGTTCTGGAGGCTAGGAGTCCAATATCAAGGTGCCAGCAAGTTTGGTTTCCTCTAAGGCCTCTCTCCTTGACTTGCAGATGGTCCCCTTTCTGTTGTGTCTTTATATGGTCTCTCCTGGGTGCATGCCTCCTCCTGGTGCTTCCTCCAAGTATCCTAATTTCATCTTCTTATAAGGATGACAGTCAGACTGAATTAGAGCCTAACCTAAGGACCTCATTTTTAACGTAATTACCTCTTTAAAAGCAATCTCTCCAAATACAGTCACATTCTGAGGTATTGGGGGTAGGGCTTCAATATTTGAGTCTTAAGGGGTTACAATTCACCCTATCACACAAATGCACACAAACACACACACATACACACACACACACACACACACACACATCATCTCCACATTTGAAAACACTAGTAGGCTTCTGCAAACCTGCTAAGTACCAGGCATTGTTCTAGGCAATTAAAACATATTGCTTTAATTTTAATAACATTCCTGAAAAGTAGTTATATTACGAATACCCACTCTGTAGATTGGAAAAAAGGTCCAGAGCAATAAGTGATTGTCCAAAGTCAATTAGCTTTTAGCTGGCTAAGCTGAAATTCAATGTCAGGTTTCTTCACCTCCAAAAACTCTTACTGCTCCATGCCATCTCTTCTACCATTTATATGCACACAGATACACACAACACTTGAAAGGTATAAGTGTCAGTATGTGAATTCTAAGTAGGTTAGATACTTTTTTTATAGCACTGAGCAACTTTTGATCGTTTACGAATCCAATCAACATGAATAAGTCGATATGCAATGAGTGGGGACATATATACTGCAAATTCAGTATTATTTTGGTTTTGTATTTTTCCATTAACTGAAAACTAGGTACCATAGCAACAGAACTGGTTTAAACCAAATTCCCACGAAAGAGAATTGTTTGGCAGGGATAGATTTTAAAATCTTTCTGCACATCCAGAGAGAGGAAACAAAGGGCTGGGTGACAAGCTAAAAAGTATAAAATTAACAAAGTCCCTGAACCCTTGCTACAGGAGAAATTTAGGTAAAAATATCTATGTAACTATAAGACTCAAAATACTTTTGAATGCTGCTATTGTATAAGCATATATGAGACATGTGAACAAAGAATCAACTTTTAAAATCTTTTTTTGGTGTGGATTTTGAAACCCAATGTTAATCATTTGGACTCTTCTGTTTCCTTTGAGATCTGCATTAAGTTCTATAGATTCCCACCCCCACACTCTGGCATGAATTTCTTACATTGTCTACTCCTTATCGTCCCATTGCTGACACCTCACTAGGTCACTACAATGGTCCTTTCCCTGACCTCTCTACCTTATGTCAGTATCTGCAGAAAGATGTGGAAGGGCTGCAGAATCATATGGCAGGGGTCAAAATTTTAATTCAACTACGAAACAGGTACAAAGAAGCAAATATTATCATCATTTTAGAGATAAGAGAATTGAGAAACAGAGAAAGTTAAATGACTGTTGAGTTATATATATATATATATGTCTTTTGTTTAAAAAGATATTAAATGCCACCCTGAAATGATTCAGACAGCTAGTCAAGTCACATTTTGTTCTCTAAAGTCATGTGTTTCAATTATTGTGTTCGCACAGGGAGAGAGCCTAGATTAGGTTTAATCTCATATATGTCTTTTAAAAAACGCTTTAGAACACCAGACAATCCAAGGAAGGAGGGCTACTTATTTTAATAAGATGGGATACCTTCTTTCATTAGGCAGTATTTTCATCTCTCATCCATCCATTCATCCATCCAATTATTCATTCTTCCAACGTATATATTAAACACCTACTAAGTGCTGGGCATTATACTCAGCAATAAGAATGCAATGGAGAAGAGAGCACAGTTACTGAGTATCATAAGGGACCCTGCAGACTCAGAGAAAAGATAAATATACCTAAAGATACTTACAGTCATCAGTAAATGCTGAGAGAGAGAGAGAGAGAGAGAGAGAGAGAGAGAAACGAACAGATTGCTATGGTCAAACAAAAAGGTTGCTATTGGGCAATTAGCTGACACAGCTGTATGAAAGACAGACTGGCCAATATTTGAAAACATGAACTCTGAGTTTTTGGCCTCTGGACCTGAGTTATGTCTTTGTTTATTTACCCTAAGTCATTCCCAGGGATTTACAACTCTAGTTTCCTTCTAAAGATGTTCCAGTTTTAGTCATTCAAATCAAGCGTTAAAGTAATTCAGAGGAGGCTGGAGAGGAATCTAGAAATGTTTCCTAAAAGACATGAGGTTTCATTTCTGTATTATGTTAACTGAAAGCAGCTCCCAATCAGGAGTCTAAGTCTTAATATCGGATAATCATAAACAACTATTTATTAAACAGGCATCAAATATGCTCAACACTGTTTATGGTACTGCCTCATAAAGATTAGGGCATGTTACTGCACACAGGGAATTTACTTTTCAGTTGTGGAGATAAAATTAGCATGTAGGAAATAATTAGAGAAAGATTAAGTGCTAAACTATGTGTTACTCTCCATAGGGATTCAGAGAGTTAGAAAGATTTTGGTGGGCTATGTATTCTGACATATGGTTAGATAGAAGAAGTAGTTTTATCTGAACCCAAATTATTCCACAAGCCCATTGGTCCAAGTATAAGGTTATTAGATATTTTTGGATAATAATCTCAGAACTACTTGCTGTAAAGTGCAGGCCTATTGAAAGTGAAAAAGTCATGCTTAGTACCCCTGGTCATAATTATGGGCTGCATGGACTGCTAACCAGAGACCTGACTGGAAAGCAAGAAGTGGAAGGAAATGAAGCAGCACGAGCTTTCCCAGGATGATGAAAGCTGATATCCCTGGTTTCAGTCTCACACTATTTGGACTAATTTCACTGGTGAATGAAAAGCATGTAGAACACCTGATTTCAGTTAGGCTTTCTTTCTATAATAATTCTGAATATAAAAGCATCTAGATGGCTATAAATTAGTGTTTTGAGCTTGGATGTTTTGGATGTTGGTGTTTTCTGATGCATGCTCTTATCCCAGCCAGTAAGGATACCGTGCCTCATGACTTTACCAGAGATCATTGCTTACTTTTGTAGATATATATTAAAAGCAAATATATTCCATTCCCAGATGTTCTTTTCTGTATCAAAATTATTTTTTAATTTTATGTCATTTTTTTCAACTTTTATGTTAGATTCAGGGGCTACACGTGTGGGTTTGTTACCTGGGTATATTGCGTGAGGCTCAGGTTTGGGGTTTTAACGATCCTCTCACACAGGTACTGAGCATAGTACCCAATCGTTTTTCAAAACTTGAACCCCTCCATCCTTTAGTAGTCCCCAGTTTCTATTGTTGCCTTCTTTATATCCATAAGTATCCAATGGTTAGCTCCCACTTGCAAGTGAGAACATGTGGTATTTGGTTTTCTGTTACTGCACTAATCAACTTAGGATAATGGCCTCCAGCGGCACCCACGTTGTTGCAAAGGACAACATTTAATTCTTTTTATGGCTGTGTAGTATTCCATAGCGTAGATAATATATATTATACTTTCTTTATCCAATCCACCTTTGATGGGCACCTAGGTTGTTTCCATGTCTTTGCTATTACCAATAGTGCTGGGATGAACATGTGGGTGCATATGACTTTCTGGGAGAATGACTTATTTTCTTTTGGCTATATACCTAGTAATAGGATTGCTGGGGAGCAAGGTAGTTCCATTTTAAGTTCTTTGAGAAACCGTCAAAGCACTTTGCCCAGTGGTTGAACTAATTTACATTCCCACTAACAGTTTATAAGCATTCCCTTTTCTCCACAGCCTCACTAGCATCTGTGGCTTTTTGAGTTTTTAATAACAGCCATTCTGACTGGTGTGACATGGTGTCTCATTGTGGTTTTGATTTGCATTTCTCTGACTAAGAGCGATTTTGAGCATTTTTTCATGTGTTTATTGGTCACTTATATGTCTTCTTTTGAGAAGTGTCTGTTCACGTCTTTTGCCTAGTTTTAATGGGGTTATTTGTTTTTAGTTTGTCCAACTTTTTACATTCCTTATGGATTCTAAATATTAGACCTTTGTCAGAGGCATATTTGCAAATATTTTCTCCCATTCTGTAGGTTGTCTGTTTACTCTGCTGACAGTTTCTTCTGCTGTGCAGAAGCTCTTGAGTTTAATTAGGTCCCACTTGTCAATTTTTGTTTTTGTTGCAATTGCTTTTCAGAACTTAGTCATAGATTCTTTGCCAAGGCCAATGTCCAGAATGGTGTTTCCTAGTTTTTCTTTTTGGATTATTAGAGTATGAGCTCTTATATTTAAATATTTTGCCCATTTTGAGTTAATTTTTGTACATGGTGAAAGGCAGGGGTCCAGTATTATTATTCTGCATATGGCTAGCCAATTACCCCAGCACCATTTATTGAATAGGGAGTCCTTTCCCCATTGCTTATTTTTGTCAACTTTGTCAAAGATCAGATGACTGTAGGTATGCGGCTTTATTTCAGGGTCCTCTATTCTGTTCCATTGGTCTATGTGTCTGATCTTGTACCAGTACCATGCAGTTTAAGCTACTGCAGCCTTATAGTTAATTTGAAGTTGGGTAGTGTGATGCCTCTGGCTTTGTTCTTTTTGCTTAGTATTGCTTTAACTATTCAGGCTGTTTTTGGTTTCCAAATACATTTTAGAATAGTTTTTTTCTAGTTCTGTGAAAAACGATGTTGGTAGTTTGATAGGAATAGTGTGGAATCTGTAGATTGCTTTGGACAATATGACCATTTTAATGATATTGACTATTCCAACCCATGAGCATGGGATGTTTCACCACTTGTTTGTGACATCTATGATTTTTTTTTTTTGCAATATTTTACAGTTCTCCTTGTAGAGATCTTTCATCTTCTTGGTTAGATGTGTTCCTATGTATTTTATTTTTTGTCACTATTGAAAATGGGGTTGCCTCCTTGATTTGGCTCTCAACTTGAATATTATTGGTGTACAGAAATGCTACTAATTTTTGTACACTGGTTTTGTATCTTAAAACTTTATTGAAGTCAATCAGTTCCAGGAGCCTTTTGGCAAAGTCTTTAGGGTTTTATAGGTGTAGAATAATATCATCCATGAGGAGATATAGTTTGACTCCTTCTTTTCCAATCTGGATGCCTTTTATTTCTTTTACTTGCCTAATTGCTCTGGCTAGCACCAGTACTACATTGGAGTAGTGAGTATATTAGTCCATTCTTGCACTGCTATAAAAAAATACCTGGGACTTGGTAATTTATAAGGAAAAGAGGTTTAATTGGCTCATAGTTCTGCAGGCTGTACAGGAAGCATAGTGGCTTCTGCTTCTGGGGAGGCCTCAGGAAACTTATAATCATGGTGGAACGCAAGAGGGGAGTAAGGTACTTCACATGGCAGAGCAGGAAGAAGAAAGAGACGGGGAGGTGCTACGCATTTTTAAATAACCAGATCTCCTGAAAACCCACTCACTATACAGTCCTAAGGGGGGACGGTGCTAAACCATTCATGAGAACTCCACCCCCATGATCCAATCACCTCCCAACAGGACCCACCCCCAATATTGGGAATTACAATTGAACATGAGATTTGGGTGGGGACATAGATCCAAACCATATCAGTGAGAGGGGGCATCCTTGTCTTGTTCAAATTCTCAAGGGAAATGCATCCAATTTTTGACCCTCATAGTATTTTGAGGTATGTTCCTTCAATGTCTAGTTTCTTGAGGGTTTTTAACGTGAAGCAATATTGGGTTTTATTGAAAGCTTTTTTCACATCTATTGAGATGATCACATGGTTTCTGTTTTTAATTCTGTTTATGAGTGAGTCACATTTATTGATTTGAGTATGTTAAACCAACGTTGCATCCCAGGAATGAAATCTACTTGATCTTGGTGAATTAACTTTTTGATGTGCTATTGAATTCAGTTTGCTAGTATTCTGTTGAGGATTTCTGCGTCTATATTAGTCAGGGATA
The DNA here is from genome assembly GCF_000001405.40 of Homo sapiens. Lineage (NCBI taxonomy): Eukaryota > Metazoa > Chordata > Mammalia > Primates > Hominidae > Homo > Homo sapiens. The sequence goes on along the minus strand of NC_000023.11, from coordinate 29,539,128 downwards.
TTGGTCCGTAGTTTTTTGGGTGTTTTATTCATTGTGTCCTTGCCAGGTTTTGGTATCAGGATGATGCTTGCTTCATAGAATGAGTTACGGAGGAATGCTTCCTCCTTGATTTTTTGGAATAGTTTCGGTGAAATTGGTACCAGTCTCTCTTTTCATGTCTGGTAGATTTTTGGCTATGAATCCACCAGATATTCTTTTAAGAGCAAAAGGAGTTTACAAAATCTGAAGCATCTTGCAAAAGAAAGGCAGCTATTTAGACTGAACTTCATCCCCGAGTGACCTATATCTTGCCAAAATTGTATTTTGTGCTTTTAATTTATAATCTTTTATGTTGAAGTTCTATTAGTTAACTAACATTTTTGACAGTGATCATACACTTAAGGTAAATTGTTTTCTAGCTGAAAAGAGGGGTGAAGACTACACATTTGTAAAATAAGAAATAGTGGTAATTTGGGAGGTTACTAAATTGCTTTAAAAAAAAAAAAAACCTTGGCCAGGAGCAGTGGCTTATCCCTATAATCCTAGCACTTTGGGAGGCCGAGGTGGGTGTATCACCTGAGGTCAGGAGTTCAAAACCAGCCTGGCCAAAATGGTGAAACCCTGTCTCTACTAAAAATACAAAAATTAGCTGGGAGTGGTAGCAGGCGCCTGTAATCCCAGCTACTCGGGAGGCTGAGGCAGGAGAATTGCTTGAACCCAGGAGGCGGAGGTTGCAGTGAGCCGAGATCACCACTTCACTCCAGCCTGAGGTGAAAGAGCGAGATTCCGTCTCCAAAAAAAAAAAAAAAAAGAAAAGAAAAGAAAAACCTTTAAGATTATATATATTACACATTTTGCTATAATATAAATCAAATTTACTTTGTGGTTTTCTAGGGACTTTATACAAAGTTGTACTGACTTTCAAGTTACTTTTAGTAATTGGCTTTTTTTTTAATGGTTTATTTTACAAAATAATATATTTTTAATATAAAAATCAATATTAAAGTGATATTAAAGTATGGACAAGAAACAATAAAGATCAGGTAACTATTTTCCCAGCTATCTCTAAAATCCATACAGAGAGATAAAGATAAAATATGATTTTAGTAAACACGGTCATATATTCTGAATGAAATATAGTTAATGTAATTGTATCTGCAAATAAATTAAGAAATAATATGAAGTGAAATAATTACTAGTTTCTTAATGGTCAGTTTACATGTTTTAGAAGTTTAGGAAAAATTAATATGGAACAGCATTAAGAAATCGGTTTTGCTACAATTATGATATTCTAAAATGAGTATTTCAATTTTAAGTCAGACTGATTTATTTCCTGCTGTGAAAGGAGAGAAAATAAGCTTCTTGCCTCCTTCAACATGTTCCCATTTTTATTATATTGATTCACTTTTTCAAAGTTTATAATATTTACATTCTGTTCTACAACTACAACCCTCATAGTCTTTATTTTCAATTTTGTATTTTTTGTATTCACAGCTCTTCACCAGGTTGTTTTTTTTTTTTTTACCAAATATTCATCATTCCCCAACTTTTTGTTTTGATCTGTTTTCTCTTGATTTGATCTTAATTGTTTGCATTTTATCATCAGGTAGTCCTTTTACTCCAATAAAAGGGGGTGCTGAGATCTTGTATGCTTGTTATTCTATTATCCTTTTATTTTCTGCATTTATTCCTTCCTTATATTGTTCCAAATAATAAAGGGTAGAATAAAATCACCCAGATATTTCTATTCTGAAGTCTTCCTTCCTTTTTTAACTGGGACAGATTGCTCAGTATTGGGACCCAACAAATAGCTATAATTGTGAAGCTTCTCTTCACTGCTCTCCTCTTTTTTGGTTTACTCTTTAGTTCTGATAGACAATATCATTAAATAATATTCTAAGAAAGGGTGCCATGAAAGAAAATATTCAGTGTTTCTGCATATCCAAATATGTCTTTATTCTGTACTCGCACAGGTAAAGTTTGAAAACAATATATTTGTACCTGTTTTTTAGTCTCTGACCACATTTCTAGCATGTTTAGAAGAACTGAAAACAACTTCATGATCCATGTGATTGATGGAAAGTAATAACACAGTTTTAAGGAAATTATATGTGTACTCTACATGCCAATTTTAAAATTATAAAATTTGTTTATATAATTTTATTATCTAAGCCTTTGTTTATATAATTTTATTATATAAGCCATTGTTTATATAATAAAGCCATTGCTTATATAATAAAATTGTATGAAGCAATAAAAAGCAATATATGCAGTTGCTTATATAATACAATTTTATCAAGGGTGTGTATTTTATCTTTCCTGCTTCCTCTAACACCTACCCACCTACTCAAATATTTTCCTAATATCCATATATATATATATATTTAAAGATCAGTTATTTGTATACTTGATAACTATTTCCTTTTATTATTACTTGAAGAAACTTGAATAAAATTTGTTTCAAAATTGCTTAGTTCAAAATATGTTTAAAGGTTCAAGAAGAAAAAGTATTTATTTAAGAAAAGTTTCTGACACTAGATCCTAGCATCAAGCTCTTTACCAGGAAATATTAATTTGTTTCCCCAGTGATATAATGGGATTTTATCCTACAATTTTTTTTAATATTCTCACCACAAACATTTTTCTTTCTTCATCATTTTACTTAAAATTACTGCAAAGATAAGCATCAAACCTTCACATTTTTCTGACAAACTTATTTCTTAATCTTTTGCCTCAATGCAGTGTAATGTTTCTTTTTCTTTTTCATTTTGTTACTTCTTTTCGCCTGAAAAATACTAATGAAGCTATTTGGAGTAGACATGTCATGAATAGATTTTTCTTGTCCATACATATCTCATTTGTAAAATCAAAGTAGATATTACTTTTCTGAAATACTGATATTTGTAAATTCATTAATGTTTCTCTGAAGTGATTCTCATACTTGTTTTAATGCTTCTTAGTAGTACACCATAAACGGTAGATTTCTTTTATTTACTTTTAAAAATTTTTCTCTTAAGTTCCTAAAAAGCAGGGACTGAATCCATTTAACAATAATTCTAAAGCCCTTAGCACAATGCATAATCAAAAAGGCTTTACTTTTTAGGTTAATGATTGTTAACCATTGGTTACAACCATAGGTTGTGCTCTTATACAACTATTAGAGCTGTAGAGGCTCTGGGAAGCCACTGATTTAGTTATTCAGTTCCAGAAGGACTGCAGTACATTTAAACTAACCCAGGAAAATAGCTATGCACATTTATAAAGTCTTCTCAGAAAGCAAGTTTGAAGCTTTTTCTGAGTAAATAGCCCATTCTAACATTTTCAAATCATGACAATCCATTTGTTTCTAATGTCAATTCCCCCTGGTTTAAGATAATTTTCTACTGTTCTTGTTTTTACCTTGATACTATCACTCATTTTCTTCACATACTAAGTACTAGTTCAATATTTTATCGAGATCCTCCTTTCTCTGTTTCTTGTGTTCTCCTTAAGCTAACCCTGAGATCAAGATTTGTGTACAAGTGACTCATTCCAAACAAAGAATGCTTCCAGGGAAAGCCAGTAAAAACATGAAAGGATTTATCAGTAGGAAAATTTCCAACAATTTACAGGAAATTCCCAGGCTTTTGATCTCCCACCTGGAGGAGTGGGTACAGCTTCAGTAGCCCTAGGATGGTACCCCACAAAGAGCCTTTAGTGCTAGTTGATAAAAGTGAGAGCACAGAAACCAGAGAGAGGGTAGACAACAAAAATCTTCAAAAGGGATCTGAGAAGATCTGGGCAGAGATAGGCAAAACAATTGTCCTTAACCTTATACATTTTTATGCATTAGATATTTTTAGTATCCTCTCAATCTCCCCCTAGTTTTACTTAATCTGTAAAAAGGTAGTATTAATCTTATTATCTGGGGGAAGTTTGCTCATCTGACAACTGGTAAAGATAATAGTGTCTATTCAGTGGGGTTCTCATAGGAATAAAGGGAGTTAATTTTTTTTTTTTTTTTTTTTTTTTTTTTGGAGACAGAGTCTGACTCCATTGCCCAGGCTGGAGTTCAGTGCCATAATCTTGACTCACTGCAACCTCCACCTCCTGGGCCCAAGCCATCCTCCCACTTCAGCTTCCCATGTAGCAGGGACTACAGGCATGGGCCACCACACTCGGTTAATTTCTCTTTTTTTTTTTGAGACGGAGTCTCCCTCGTCGCCCAGGCTGGAGTGCAGTGGCACAATCTCGGCTCACTGCAAGCTCCGCCTCCCGGGTTCACGCCATTCTCCTGCCTCAGCCTCCCGAGCAGCTGGGACTACAGGCGCCCGCCACCACGCCCGGCTAATTTTTTTGTATTTTTAGTAGAGATGGGGTTTCACCGTGTTAGCCAGGATGGTCTCGATCTCCTGACCTTGTGATCTGCCCGCTTCGGCCTCCCAAAGTGCTGGGATTACAGGCATGAGCCACCGCGCCCGGCCTAATTTCTCTTTTTTGTCGAGATGAGGTTTTGCCATGTTGCCCAGGCTGGTCTTGAACTCCTGAACTCAAGCCATCCTCCTGCCTTGGCCTCCCAAAGTGCTGGGATTATAGGCATGAGTCACCACACCTGGCTGGAGCAATATAGGCTATGTATTATCATCATTATTACTGTTGTGTTTATTACTAAAAAACAAGCAACTAACCTGAAAGCCCTCATAGACATCTAGCACTCAGAATATAGTCAGATTATCTCATGTTTACTCCACTTTTTATTCCTTATGACATATACATATTTTATTGTGCACATGGTATTACGATAACTCTAGGCATAGAGTTCTAATGCCTTTTGGTCAAATTGTTGTCATTTTAACTGAATGTTAAATGTCACTGTTCTTATGATTTTTGAGTTTTAACAGAGGGCTCGTAAGTCAGAAAAATAAAGCAAGCACAAACTATTTGCACATCCTAAAGAGAAGCAATGGTGTCTTAGTCCATTTTCTCTTGCTATTACAGAATATCACACACTGTAAATTTCTCTGTAATTTACAGAGAAAATAAGTTTATTTGGCTCAATTTCTGAAGGCTGGAAAGTACAAGAACATGAGACCAGCTTTTGGTGAAGGTCATCTCATGGTGGAAGGGCAGGAGAATAAGAGAGTACATGCAAGAGAGTTTGCTTTTATAGCAAAGCAACTTTTGCAATAACAACCTTAATCTATTTATGAGGGTGGAGCCTCCAAGACCTAATCCCCTCCCAAAGGCCCCACTTCCCACCATCACCAGAATGACAACCAAGTTTCCAAAACATGAACTTTGTGGGAACACATTCCAACTCTAGCAAATGGATTATCTATGAAAATAAGCTAAGATAGTATGAAACAATCAATTTACACCCAATAGAGTGGATATGATAAATAAAAAACGAAAACGAGTGTTGGTGAGAATGTTGAAAATTAGGAAACCTCACACATGGCTGATGGGGATGTAAAGTGGTACAGTCACTTTAGAATACAATCTAGCAGTTCCTCAAGAGTTAAATATAGAGTTAACATATGACCCAACAATTCCACTCCTGGATAAATACCCAAGAGAAATAACATATGTCCACATAAAAAGTGTGCAAAAACATTCATAGCAGCATTATTTCTACTAGCTCAAAGCAGAAACAATTGATATGTCTATCAACTGATGGATGAATAAAATGTGATATATCCATACAATGGAATATTATTTAGAAATCAAAATAAATGTTGATATATGCTACAATCAATGGATGACCCTGCAAATATTATGCTAAAATATCAGTCACAAAAAATCCACATGGTATATGATTCCATTTATATAAAATGTCCCCAATAAGTAAATCTTCAGGAACAGAAAGTAGAGTAATGTTTGCCCACGGCTAGGAAGAGGGAGATATGAGGAGTGACAGCTAATGGGAATGGAGTTTCTTTTTGTAATGATGAAAACCTTCTAAAATTAGGTTGTAGTGATGTTTGCATAACTCTCTGAATATACTAAAAAACAGTGTGCTGTGTACTTTAAATGGGTGAGTGGTGAAGTGTATGAATTATATCTCAGTGAAGCACTTTAAAAACAATGCATTTAGAAAATATTAAAAGATGAGTTCTGACAAGTTCTGCCAGGTTTTTATTAGACTGTTATGTCTCTAGGCTAGGCTGTTCATAGGAGTTTAAGAAATCTTTGGACAGATGAAGATGTTCAACAGAGTGGCTTTCTTTAGAGGGAGTTGTTAGTGCTCTGCATTCCTGTAATACCTACAATCTCCTCTCCATATTTGCCCATCGCTTCTTGGGAGTCAATGGGGTAGGGAAGAGAGGTGCTTCACCTTACTGCAAGTTAAGTAAGAGAACTTCCATAAGAAATGCTTGAAGAGTTTAAAAAGTAAACCTGAAAGGCCATCATGGGCACTGGTATCTGCCTCTTGAAAATTCAAGAAACAACTGTTTAAGGCTGAACTTTGACCAATAAATGCTTTATGAGATCGACCCAGCTGCACAGGACAGATTCATGAATTTATTGTTGGATCAGTGTCAATCCTGGGGAAGAAATTTTTATTCATTTCAAGAAAGGTTCCACTCAAGATGACTGCCTGGAGGATACAGAGATCCCAACTAAGCAACAGAATGAGACACCAAGGGTCTGAAGATTTGGTTATTAGTGTCAGAGGCCCTACCTGCATCAATTTAGCTACAAGTGAGAGATATTTAGAGTAGAGAGTAAGTGGGCTTCTGAGGAGGCAAGGGAACAACCTAATGAGAGTAAGAATCAGAATTTGGAATCTGCTGCCTCAGAGGACACCAAAGCCAAAATAATTCCATCAATCAAAATAACTCTTCATCCTTTTCTCCCTTCTCATTTCCTCCCAACCTTAGCTCACGCTTTCTACCTACTCTAATCTTGGAAGACTCAGTCATATCCTTGTCAGAGAGAGAGGAGGAGGGACAGAACAAGGTGGGGCAGGGAAATAAACACTCGGGTCACTCTCACTCCAATGCAGCCTTTCAGGCACAAAGTGGTCCTCAGCTAAGAAAGGGGGGATGTTTATTTTGGAGAAGATTTAGGGTTTGAATACTGATGGGCTTAGACTGTAATTATCTATGTGTTATTGGTTGAATTATGCGCCCCCCCTCTCCCCGCGAAGATATGTTGAAATCCTAATTCCAAGAACATCAGAATGTGATCTTCAGATATAAGGTCATTGCAAATATAGTCCATTAGGTTAAAATGAGGTCATACTAGAGTGGGGTAAGCCCCTAATCCAATAAGACTGGAGTCCTTTTAACAAAATAACCATGTGAAGACACAGAGATACAGGGAGAATGCTATGTGAAGATAAAGGCAGAGGCTGGAGTAAAGCAGCTATAAGCTAACAAAGTGAAGGACTGCTGGCAACCACCAGAAGTTAAGAAGAGGCAAGGAAGAATCATCCCTCAAGAGCCTTAAGAGAGAGCATGGCTGTGCCAACACTTTGATTTTGGACTTCTGGACTTCCAAAACTGTGAGAATACATTTCTGTTGTTTTAAACCACTCGGTTCATGGTATCTTCTTATGACAACCCTAGGAAACAAATACACTTTGAGACTGGTAAGCTATGGACTCTGCGTTCGGTTTCATTCATGGGTAGGAAAGGACAAGACCATGACTTGATTTAAAGAGGAAGTGAGAAAGAATAGGCAGTGTTCTGCTTGTACTCAACCAAATCTAGCTCATGCAATTAAACAGTTAAACTGTGATTATTTCATAAATATTTCAAAAGCATACTAAACATGGCTAATCCAGTCCTTACGATGCTTATTTTTCTTCCCTTTATGTGTCACTCACAACTTGTGTTTTTGATGATGCTTGACCTTCATTATTTGGTTCCAATCTCTCTGACTTTCCTTTGTATTTTTCAAAGTTGCTTTCCTAAGTAACTGATTGTCATTTTCAAGAACAGGTAGCAAATTGGAGTCCCTATTGTTCTGAGTCTTCAATGGCTATTAAAAAAAAAACAGATTTTTTTAAAGCCAAGGTACAAATTAATCTAGCAGATTGGAGTGCATCTTATAGTTCAAGATAAGAACAATCATCTCTAACAGACTGATTAAAAGTGAAAAGTAATAGTAACTATAAGAGATGCAAACATAATAAAACTAGCACTTACTGAGTATTTTCTAGGCCCAACCTTTCAAATGCATAATGTCTTTAATTCTAAAGTAAATTTATGAAGACAAACTGTTACTGCCCCTATTTTACAGATGAGGAAACCAAAGGTTCGAACAAATAACTCATCCAAAGTCGCTCAGCTAGCAACTGGAAAAAATAATAATTCAGTTCAGATCTGTTTGTTCCTAGAAACCTAGTTCCAGTGTAGATTTCACCATAATTATAGCTGCAATCACTCCACATGCTTCCTGGAATACCAGGGAGACTGATTCAGCAGATTTCTGCCTCACCAAAGCAGCAGATTCTGTGAGACACTTACCAGTATACCCTCAGAATTCATCATTTGCATGCATCCAGCCCTGTCTCCCACATGTCAGCTCTTGCAACCCATTGCCTAAAGGAATCTGATATGATACTGTAGCAGTCTGGAAGTGCTTAGAATTTAATTTGCATGCTCCAGAAGCCCTCAGTCAATGACCGATGGGGGTCAGTGTACAAATACCCTACCTCCATCCCTCCTTGGGCAGGCAAAGTCTGAAGCATGTATTACACTGTCTCCTAGATTTCCCCACCAGGATTAAGTCCCTTTTGCCTACAGTGGTAACTTGGTTAATAATGAACCCTTTATTCAATTCCTTCTCCTCACTTTCTCATCTCCCCACATCTAACATCTCCTGGTATTTCCTCTCACATAAACTATGTGAACTTGAAACCTTGTCTTGGGTTCTAGGGGTCAGCTTCTGGGGAACCAAAACTAAAACAATCAATTAATGCAGTGGCATTAAATTTGCAGGAATTCTGGTTACCAGTTACTCTACACATTTATATTATAAAATTATTTTAGACTTTAAACAAAAATACTAAGTATTCTTAAACCAAAAATACAATAAAAACCCCCAAGGTAGTGGCAATAAATAGGTTCATTTGATTGGATTCAAGTTGTAAGCAAGAATTAGGTAATAATAGTGATATTATTATTAACTGCCATTTACTGAGAACTTATATGCCAGGCAGGCCCTCTGCTAAGATGTTTAGGTGTAGTTTATTTTTTGTTTTTTGTTAATTTGATTTTTATTTTGAAATAACTTCAAAATTACAGAAAAGTTACAAGAACAATCCAAAGAACACTTCACAAATATTCACCAATCTTCAAAATTCTGCCACATTTGCTTTATCATTCTCTCTTCCCTTTCTCTCTCTTTCACACACAATCACATATAGTATTTTTTTCTGAACCACGAGAGTATGTTGTACATATTATATTCCTTTACCCCTTAATATTTCAGTATGTATTTCCTAAGAACAAAAGATATTCTCTTATATAACCACAGTTCAGTGATCAAACTCAGGAAATCTAACACTAATAACACTAATAGAATATTTTCTTTGTTGTTGTTGGGTTTTTTTTTTTTTTTTGAGACAGAGGCACTCTGTCTCCCAGGCTGGAGTGCAGTGGCACGATCTCGGCTCACTGCAACCTCTGCTTCCCGGGTTCAAGCCATTCTCCTGCCTCAGCCTCCCAAGCTCCCAAGTAGCTGGGATTACAGGCGCGCATCACCACACCCGGCTAATTTTTGTATTTTTAGTAGCAACAGGGTTTCACCATGTTGGCCAGGCTGGTCTCAAACTCCTGACATCAGGTGATCCGCCCACCTCAGACCCCCAAAGTGCTGGGATTACAGGCATGAGCCATTGTACCCGGCCCAAATACTTTCAACTGTAGTTCATATTCTAATTTTGTTAATTGATCAAATAATATTCTTTATAACAATATCTTTTTTTCAGTTTGGTATCCAATCCAGTATTATAGACTACATTTGGGTGTCATGTCTCTTTAGTTTCTCTTAATCTGGAATCCCTTCTCATTATTTCTATATCATTTATGACCATGAAATTTTTTTAAAACTACAGACCAATTATATTATAAAATGTACCTCGATTTGTGTTGCCTGATGCTCTCTTATGACTAAATTCAGGTTATACAGTTTGGGTGGGAATACTGTATCAGTGCTGTCATATCCTTCTCAGTGGTGTTATATCCTGCCAAGAGTATTGCATCTGGAGGCACACACAAGATGTCTGTTTGCCCCTTTTTGGTGATATTAACTGTCATAGGCCCAATTCAAAGAGGGGCTCCAAGATCCCCATGCCTTTGTACATAAACCCTGTAAAATCCCTACTCTAGGAATAACGGGTAGATGGTGGATTTCACTCCCTTGATCAAGTTATGTTATATAACAAAGGTGAAGAGGTTTTGCAGTATAAATAAAGTCCCATATTGGTTTCCTTTGCGTTAATAAAAAAGGAGCGTATCCTGGGTGAACTTTACCCAATCTGGCTTCAAAGGGGCCAAGCCCTTCCAGAGATCAGACATTGTAAGTGTGAGAGAGTTTATGGAGGAGGTCAAGTGTTAAGGATCTGAGAGAGATTCCAGTTATGTCATACCCAGACTTCTGTCCAACAGAAACTGAAAGAAAAAATAAATGCTATGTTAAGTTGCTAAATTTGTGGTAATTTTTTACACAGCACAGAAAACAAACATACTAATTTTGAGCACTTGGCTAAAGTGATGCCCAGTTTCTTATTTCAGTTTCTTTTACACACAAAGGCAGCATAGTAGAAAAACATTCTTTTACTTCGCTTTCACTTAGAAATTACTCAATATTAGTTCATCAAGAGATCCTCATTATTGCTTTAGTTGCCTAGTACTTTATTGTGTATATGTACTATAGTTTATCCAGCTGATATCTTAGGTTTGACTATTACGTAGTTTCCAATATTTTGCAATTACAAATAATGCTGCAATGAATAACTTTATATGTACATATATTTGCATTGTAGGAGATATATCTTCAGGCTAATTTCTAGAAATGAGATTGCTAGGTCAAAGTGGGATTGCATATGTAATTTTATTAGATATTTCTATTTCCCCCTCCATTTGTTTCAGAACATTTCGAAATTCCAACACTGTATGAGAATGCTTGTTTCTCTACAGCTTCTCAACAGAGTATATTGTGAAATGTTCATATTATTGCCAATCTGATGGGTGAGAACTGTACCTCAAAATAGCTTTAATTTGCTTTTACTTATTGTTAGTGAAAGCAATCATCTTCTCATATGCTTAAGGATCATTTATATATTTTTTGTAAATTGTCTATTTATATTTTTGTCCATCTTTCTACAGGATCTGTGTTCCCACTTAATTTTTAAAAGTTCTTTATATATTAAGGACATTAACTCTTTATCTGTGATATACATTACAATATATGCATTTTTTCCAGTTTTCTTTTGGCTTTTGATTTTGTCATGCGAAGTTTTTAATATAGTAAAATGTATTAATCTTTTTATTTGTGGCATTTGAATTTTTAGTCATACTTAGAAAGTCCTTCCCAGCCAGGCACAGCGGCTCACGCCTGTAATCCCAGCACTTTGGGAGGATGAGGCGGGCAGATCACGAGGTCAGGAGATCGAGACCATCTTGGCCAACACGGTGAAACCCAAATACAAAAAATTAGCTGGGCGTGGTGGCACGTGCCTGTAATCCCAGCTACTTGAGAGGCTGAGGCAGGGAAATCACTTGAACCCGGGATGCGGAGGTTGCAGTGAGCTGAGATCGCACCACTGTACTCTAGCCTGGTGAGAAAGCAAGACTCCGTCTCAAAAAAAAAAAAAAAAAAAAAAAAAAAAAAGAGTCCTTCCCTACATGCAAGTCCTAAAATAATTCACCAATATTTTCTTCTAGTACCTGTATAGTTTTCCTTGGTACATTTAGTTTTCTGATTCATTTGAAGTTTATTCTCGTGTATGGCTTGAGGAAGACATCTAATTTCCTCTTTTATACGAAACCATTTATTATTAAGTTCAACTTTGCCCCAGTTATTTGAGATGTCACCTCTATTATATATTACAATTCTATATGTATTTGGTTCTATTTCAGGACTTTTGATTTTATTCCATTGGTCTGTCCATTCATGTGCTATTGACACTGTTATTTGTTGAGGCTTTGTAGTACATGCTAATATCTGGTAGGGCTAGTCATAGCTTTTCCTTTTTAGTGTTTTTCCCAGATATTTTTGTTCATTATTTTTTCATTTTAACCTTAGTTTCAACTTGCCTAGCTCCATATAGCAAAGCATGTTGGTATTTTTATTGGCATCACATTAAATTTAAATTAATTCAGAGAGAAGTGGCATCTTAATGATGTTGTGATGTCCTATTGAAGAACAAGGAATGTCTTTCTATTTGTTCAAGTCTACTTCTGTGTGTCTTTCAGAAAGGCTTTATAATTTCTTATATGTTTTACACATTTTCTGTTAATTTTATTCCTATTTTATCTTTTCTGTTTATTTTGTGAGATTTTTGTAATTTATTCTAACTAATCTCCAACTATTTTAACATTATTAATTTTGCATATGGTAGCTGTCGAATTTTGTCTGTCAAATTTACATATTGCTAGCTTGTTGAATTATTTCATTGTTTGAGCTACATTTGCCATTTATTCTCTAGGGTTTTCCAGGTATACTATCATGTTATCTGCAAATAGAGGGAATTTTACTTCTTCTTTTCTAGTTCTTATGCCTCTAATTTATCTTTTCTAATTTCATTCCTGTCTTATTCCAGACTTTAGCATTACTGGAGTAAGGGTATATTTTTTTCTTAGATCTATTAATATAGTGATTGATATTAATAGATTTTCCAATATCAAACCCAGGTGGTCATAGTGAATGATTTTTATAATGTGGTGTTGGAGTGTATTAAATCAATTTTAATTTGGATTATTTCTAGATGCAGTATATTTTAAATCCTTAAAGAAATGATGAAGACATCCTGAAACAGAGTTCAACGGACTCCTAATTATAAACTCTGAGGCAAATATATACAATAACATATTCTATTTTAATAATTCCTTGTCACCAGCCTTGATTTTATCTTCTTTTCTTTTACCTCCCTCTGTGAAGATTCATTTGGTATTTCTTTCATTCATTAGACTCCTTTACATTAGGTATTTCCATGTATTTTACAATGACACTCTGAACTCCCATCTCTGCTGAAGATAATGTTTAGCTACTATATCTAGCACTGGAAGCTATGGCACCTTCATTTCTGCTGATCCTTGTCAGAAAAAAATTACCAGCCTCAGCCAAGATGTCAGGGGCTTCATGTGTGGGTTAGCAGTAAAACACACCCAATAAATCACCACCAGTGAACTGTCTAAACAAATCCTTATTTCAACCCTTTCCTCCATCTCTTTTGCCTATATCTCTCCCCCAGCACTAAGCCTTCCCATGGAGTTTTCTGTTCCACGTTAATATTCCACATCACCAATACAGTCACATCAGCAGATGACTTCTAATGGACCTATGGGCAGGTGAATAACCTCCTTGTGGGGCTTGGACTTTGGTAACGCAGTATATCCTGGGCCTACAAGACAAAAAGCTTATTCAACCTGCTCAAACTGTGTCTTCGAAATACATTTTAGAGATTAGAGACTTGACTGATCATAGCATGGCACCCTGCCTCTAGTTCCCATGACTTTCCAGACAGAATCTGCCTTCTCTAAAACCTCCAGGTATTTCTGATGAAAGCCCCCCTTCTAGTGCCTTCTCTAGAAAGAAAAAGTAATGATGCCATTTGTAAATACTGAACCTTCAAATATCATAGCTCAGCTTCTAGACAGTTTCAATGGCTGAAAGTCTTCATTCTTTTAAAGATTGCTTTGAACTTTAAAAACAGTTAAAATTCATTGGGCATCAGATTCAGTAAGGTATTCGTGGTATATTGGGCTATATCACTTTTGGCCAAAAATGAGGTGTTAACCAGAAAGAAATGAATCTTTATTTTCTGCTTCATAAACTGGCCTGTGAAAGCAATTCTAAAATGGGAACTTCAAGTGTACTTGGGCTAATGAATCACTGGAACAAAAAGTATGACTTATTTGAAATGACCCTACTGATTTGGATGCATATGTTCTACTTAGTGTGTTTGTTTTAAAAATCTAAAAGCAATAATGTCATTTGTCAATTTACAATAGTAGCCAAAGGTGAAACACTTCTGATATTATTTCTCTCAGTGCTCTATGTTTCTGGGTTTATACTGGAATCTCTATAAAGGTACACAAAGCTGACTACAATGGCAATGATAGTCATCTTAGAAAATGTACTAATAGAAAAGCAGAGATCTGTCTTTAATGGCCACTTTGAAAGCTGCATTACGACACTTTCGTTCAGTGTTAAACTGCTTCTTCACAGTGTTCAAATATAATAAATCAGAGATTAAAGTCAGGCTTCTGATGAACTTACGTGGTACAAAAATATTAATATATGTTTTTGAAGTTTGAAGACACTAAAACAGTTAATAATGTGTGAAATTCCATTTGCTCATGTACCCTTCTTTCCATATCTCTTTTACACCCTGTACAAAAATGACAGTTAATTAACAACCTAGCCCAAGAGAAGTGTTTCTAGTAATAAACAAAAGCTATTGTCAAAGAATATGAAATTTACCATGACCAGAAAAAAAAGAGTACTTTGCAGACAAATTAAACAGAAATCTTGCAATTAAAATGCTTAAGCTGATATAAAATATATCTGTAATTGCATATTATAAAGAATTTAAATCAATAATAAAAATCCATAATGTATATGTCTCTGAAAATGTGCTAAATGTATGTGTGTATCTACACATACACAAATATATCTCTTCTTATGACAGAGTTCTAAAACATTGAGTTCTTATCTATTGCATGGTTTGATTAGCTTACATAAATGTGTCTTGGAAAATATTTTAAGAATATTCTTAAGAACATATACTCAAAGTATGCAAAAAAAAAAAAAAAAGCCAAGTGAAATGAGAATAAACCAGACTTAAAGCATTGTCCTACATTACATACTTGGAAACACTCAGAAAACTACACATTTTAATGGTGACTTGATTGTTGCAATAGATTATATAATATTATTGATAATATGTCTATCTAATATTACAAAGAAAAAGATTTTTTTTTAGTTTATAGATTCATCCTTGTTTCAGCTAGGGGAAAGGCAAAAAGAAAAGACAGAAACAGCATATGAATAAACACTAAAAGAAATGGAGAAGAGTTAGGAATCATTTTCCTCCCATGGGTAGATCTGACATGAATTTACAAAGAAATAAAAAAATAATCTTCCCATATAACATGCACAGTTAGAAGAACTGAGCAGCTAGTAAATTAAACTATCATAGAAAATCAACTCCAATTTTAGGAATGCATGATGCCTACCTTATGGCTGAGAAAAATATATTCAGGGCTCATCAAAGAATAAAGTACTGGTCAAATAACTTAAAACTTGGATTCAAACGTGATTTACTATGCTGCAATTTGATATTTTTCAGGCTCCATTTTCTGCCTAGCACCTAGAAAAAGTGCAACCTTAAAAGTGTATATAATCAGTGAAAGCTACATTCAGTGTGTTTTTTGAAGCCCTAAAGATGGACTAATTTTCTCAGTAACAGTATTTAGTTTCATTTATCCTTTTACTATTTGGAAATTAATTTTATTTTCAATTTCAGTTTGAAATGACTTAACAAATTTTGAAAATAATCAAATTTAAATGCTTTAGGCTCAAGAATTCTCATACTTTCTCATATATTTTTCAGGTAAAATGTAGTACTTGGGAAAGGGGACAGTGCTCTTGGAACCCAAAAGAAATATTAGAGGATATTTTTCTTGATCAGATTGCACATTAAGAATGCAAGTTCAATAGTAAAGTATATGCTGAATTACCAAAAACCTGGCTCATAAAAAGCTATGTGAACGTGTGTTTCCAGGAGACTATAGCATATTAACTGTTTACTGTTAACCAAAAAGCACATTTTAGTAAAATTAAAGCTTAAATTATGATGCCACAAAAATATTCAGTCATAAATTATCTTAAGACAAAAGTAGGATAAGAATGTAACATATAAAGTTATAATTATAATGCATATTTAGAATTGGTTTAGAGACCCCAAAGTTATAATAGTATAAACACAAGAAAGGGGTGTTTCTAAAATTGTCGCTACAAGGACCTATAGCATAAACTAAAGTTTTAACAGCATGTGCTGAGAGAGAGAGAGAGAGAGAGAACACAGATGAGAGAGAGAGAGAACACAGATGAAAAGTTAAAACTTAATTGTTCATTTGGGTGTTGGAAATCTTAAGGGGAGTTAAAATGGAATTTGCATATCTATAACACTAAATGCCAGAAATCTGGTATAATAAGTACATACTCTCATGAAAATAGACGATAAGAAATATAACAGGCTCTGAATCCCTTTAAGTATGATTGGTTCCTTTGAGGGAATTATAGATAGTGAACAGAGAACTGTTTAATTGGAAATTAACTCTTCATAGATAGGTGTGATTAACTTTGCTGGGCAATAAAAATTAACATTTAAAATGTCATGCTTTTAAAAATGCTCTGAGGGTCTCCAGATACGGAGAGACAACAGCTACGTCTGTAACAGGGAGTTAATTTGTCATGGTGGAGCTTTTGGATTTCCCATGGCACAGACTGCAAGTCTAAATGAATGATCAAGGCCAGGCACAGTGGCTCAAACCTGTAATCTCAGCACTTTGGGAGACTGAGGTGGGAGGATTACTTGAGCCCAGGAGTTCGAGACCAGTCTGGGCAATATAATGCGACCTCGTAGCTACAAAAACCTTAAAATTTTTTCCAAGTGTGGTGGTATGCACCTGTAGTCCCAGCCACTCGGGACACTGAGATGGGAGGATTGCCTGAGCCTGGGAGGCAGAAGTTGCAGTGAGCAGAGATCACACCACTGCATTCCACCCTGGGTGAGAGAGAGAGAGTGAGATACTGTCTCAAAAAAGGCAAAAATAAAAATAAATTAAAAATAAATGAATGGTCAAGTTAGGCTAGAATCCACAACGACTGATAAATGCTGTAGTGGCCTCTTAAATGATATGCAATTCTGTTGTACAGACATAATAGAGCTGTAATTAGACAATGGTAATATTAGCAATCTGTCAGCTTGGCCACTTCCTTCTTGCAGAAGGAATAAGACACACACAATACAGGGAACACCACAGTAAAAGCAAACTTGCAGGTAATTGGAAAGAGACCTCAAGAGAAATCAGAATAGATAACTTTAAAAAGATTATGCATTGAGAAGAGGAAAAAAGCCTATTTCCCCCTCTTTAACATGATTACACTATAAGAAATGTACAGTAGAATTTAAAGTATTATAGGGAGCCAACAATATGGCTTAAGATTTGATTGAGAGAGTTGAACTCTTTGGGGACTGTGGAATTACTGGTGATGACATCTATCACCAAAATCCCAAAGCACTAAGAGCCAGGATTACCGCATCATATACAAAAGAGAGCAAGTTAGAGCTGAGCGTGATGGTGCACACCTTTTCTGCTACTGTAAGTGATCTGAAAGGCATGCAAGCAGGATTCTGGAAGTGCAAGGGCTTCCAGCTTTCATGTGCTGTTCACGGGCTTTGTGTTTTAGATATGTTTTTAGTAACTTGGATTTTCTGATAATCTTTTGGTAAGAATGCTAACAAGAAGACTGAGGTACTAATAGAGAAGCACTGGTAGTGGTGAGATCATATAACATGAATAACTAGAGAACCAATTAAGGCATACAATCACATTGGTGTGAAAGGGGGATGGGGGAATGATGGCTCATCCCAGCAATTTGGCTCCAATGACTCTAGGAGTAATTAGGCAGATCTATGGTCCATCGACATTGAAAATTTCAGGCATAATGCCTACTCACCGAGGCTCCAGGTATGAAGAATTATATTTTTAAATTTAATTTGAAAACTAGTTTGTTATATTTGTTTATGCTGACATTGGATGAGGTTTGAAAGAAATACGACAAATATTTTCAAATGAATCTATGTGTATTTTTACATATTAAATGTATTGTCTTAGATAACACTTCATTTTGGGTCACTTTCTAATTTGATATTCATATCTTTTCCTATTAGTTTATTTTTGATGTACATATTTACCATACCATGGATTACATTACAAACCATGAGAGCAACACAAAGCTGTGTTCAAAGGGTAACTCATAGACATTCCGGCACATACAAAGCAAATTCAGACACTACTCCCTTGCATACTGATCCTTTCTCCCTCTTCATGGCAAAACCCTACTTGTTAAGACCTAGATTAAGTATCATAGCCTAGTGACTAAAGCAGACACTTCCCCAACATGAAAAGTATATTTAAAGAAAGGAGTTCAATAAGCAAATGAAAGAAATAAAACTTAATTATAAGATCCAATAAAGATAATAATAATAATAATAAGCCTTTTGTTATTTGGGAGCAAGAACAAACTAAAATCCTAGAAAACACGGAAGTAAACAGGGATAGCTAGGAGACAAGGTAAACTATGGCCTACATTTGGCCATTAAGAACAGAAAGGCTCATTAATTTAAGCAATGATAAAAATCTTAGCTCATTACTGGTAGTACCTCTTAAAATGTAAATTCAAATATTTGTGTTAAAGACTTACAAGGAACCACTAAAAAATAGAAATAGAATTTAAAAACGCTAAATACCATAAAGGAAGAAAACAGAATGGGAAATTTTTAATCAGATAGAAGGCAGAAAATATGTAGCATCGATAGAACTCAAAATCATAAATTTGAGTGAAAAAAGCAAATTACATAATCACATGTATAAAATGATGTGATTTAGGTAAAAGTCAAAATAGCAGAAGCATACATACCAAAGTTTTAAGAACTCTTGTTTCTGGGAACGTAAGGAAAGAACTAAGATTGGCAGTGTTAGTGACAAAGGGGAATTTATCTGTGTCCTATTAAAAATATATTTGCCTAAAATAATAGTAACAACTACTACTATTACTTAATAAACATTAAGGAAAATAACAGTCCTTCACTGGTGTGGCAAATACTTATTGAGACTGCTTGCCAGGCACTGTTGTAGAAATTAGAAAGAACTATCATGGATAGACCAGTTAAGCACATTTCACATTATCACCTTTCTTAGATTAGCCAGAGACATGGACTTAGGTTCAGACAATTCACTTGGGAGGTGATCCTAAGAAGTGAACAATGAGGAATGTGAGGCAAGGATGCATGAAAAGCCAATAAATGGTATTAATGAACAGGTTACTGCTGTGAGCAACCGGGAATCAACCCTGCTGGGGACCTCTGAGAAATCATTTAGGCTATGCCTTGGAATTCCACTGGGGGACAGGGAGGCCACCAATGTTCATTTTACCATTCTCTACCCTTCCAACACTGAGAAAGCACACATTTCTTCGCTAGGACCCCAAGATCAGTGAAGACATGGTTTTCTTACCTTTAACAAGCTATGGCAGAAGTGACTTAGAAAAAACTGTCACACCCAGATGAACACGCATCTCTAGAACATATGGAAAGCTGCCAAGCATTGACTTAACAAAATCTGTCTATAGTAGCCAAGTAGGGAAGTTAAAAAGATGAACTGCCAACTCAATTTTTCTGCCTAAAAATATTTTCGACTTGCTCTAAGTAAACACATAACCAGCTGCAGTGACCAGTGTTGATTCTTTTTACTATTGAAGCAGAACAGCAGTGTGGCCTTTGGAGCTACAGATTGTCCTGGGGCTCTGCTCCACCTCTTACAAACTGAATGTTTGCTATATCCTCTGAACATGTTTCCCCAATTATAAAATGTGGATAAAAGATGAGCAGCAAGGGATTGTTTTAAGAATGATATAAGAGAAAATTTGGACCTCTCGCACGGTCCTTTCGCTGAATTCCAGGCTCTCATATACAATTGCCTACTCCACATCTCTATTTGAAGATCTAATGGCTACATGGGATTCAACACATACAGAGAATGAACCTCTGACATGCTCCTGAAAACCTAGCCCTTCCCCATTTCAGGTGATGCCAACTTCATCCTTCTAGAAACTCAGGTCAAAAAACAAACAAACCTTGCAGTCATCCTTGACTCCTTTCTTTCTTTCACAGCCTACATCTGTGTATATGCATATTTTAAGACATCAATAAGTTCACTAGGCTCTACCTTCAAAATGTGTTCTGAATATTAGCACTTCTCACCATCTCACCTGCTATAAACTTAAGTCTGAGCTACCATATATTTTGCAGACTCCTAACTGGTCTCACTGCTTCTATCCTGTTTTATAATAGTCTATTTTCTATACAGCAGTTAGAGTGATTTTTTAAATACGTACGTTGGAGCATGTCACCTCCCTGCTCCGAATTCTGGAGTGGTTCCGCATCTCAGCGTAAATGCCAAAGAACTTATAATGGTGTCCGAAGCCCTGCAAGATCTACTTTATTCCCACTGTCTCTCAAATCCGATCTACTACTACTCTTCTCATTCATGCCATTCCATCCACACTGACCTCCTTGTCAGGCACACTCCCATGTAACACCCTTCTGCACTGGCTGGTTTCATTGACCTAGATAAGTGTATAGCTAAATTCCCCCACCTTCTTCATATCTTTGCTCACTTATAACCTTTTCAATAAGGCACACCCTAATCATCATATTTTAAAGTGCAGCCAGTTTCTCTCCCACTCTCCACGCTCGACCCCCACCTCACTTGCCATATACTCTTTGCTACTCAAACTGTGCTCCCAAACCAGCAACATTGGCATCACTCAGAAGCTTGCTAGAAATGCAGCATCTTAGGACTCCACCCAAGACCTATGGAATCACAATCTGCATTGTAACGAGATCCCCAGGTGACTCACATGCACATTAAAATTTTACAAGCAGAGCCATATGCTATTTTGTATAGCATTTCTCAATTTCTAGATACCTCTAAGGCAGTAATCTGTCATATTTATTGCTTAAGCTCTACCAAAATCATGATTTTTGCCTCTTTGTCTGTTTTATTCACTGCTTTACCTCGATTCCTAGAACACAGCTTGGCACATAGAACATACTCAAAAAAAATTTGTTGAATGAATTAATGCATGAATGAAGAATATTAGAGGTCATATGGCCAGAATATTGCCTAACCTATATTGAGCGTTTAACCAATGACGGTTCCTCTTCCTCTTCTCTCTGGAAAAATTAGAGTTAACAGTAAGATCTTCAATATTTTAACAATTAAGCATATACTTTCCTAGAAACCAAACAGCAGAAGTTCATAAAAGACAGAATTTCTACTTCATCATTTAAAAAATAGAGAGGAACCATTTTCTAATCTGTTCCTCCTCACCACCTGCCCAATGATTACTAGATGTATTTTTTGAAAGGGACAAACACATTAGCACTAATGGAAGGAGCTTTTAGAAAGTAAAATTTGATCTATACAGTCAAGTGATTGCTACATATAATAATTAGTAAAACAAATCACACTGAGTGTGTTATTTTATTTCATGGGACATTTGGGTTGGAATCAATTGTGCAAAGAACAATAAATCATGAATATGATGATGTCTTAAAATATTAACAATTCCATAGTTTCTCTCATATCACTGAATAAAGTCTCAGGGTCTTTCAAAGAGAAAACTCAAAGACAAATGGCTGAAAATTCACAAAAATCATCACCGCTTCAGTGAAGTAGAAGTGTTTTCAGGAGCTAACTACAGCAATGTATTTTAAAAGAAAAGGTAGTTTATGCATGTTTAGGTCGATAGCTGAAATTAAAAACCTTAAAAGAAACTTTGTTACATATATATATATATATACATTTGGTATGTGTTTATATAAAAATCATAAGGATATATGTCTATAAATAGAAATTATTATGAAATATATATCCTAATAATTTTTAGATAAATGCAAGCTACTATTCAAGATAAAGAACATTATTCTGGTAAGCATTTTACTGATATAAAACTTAAGCTATAAACCCTAGTAAAATTCAAAAAGCTTTCCAAAGTACAAACTAGAAAGGAAAAAGATAATAAATGTGATTAAATTAAGGGCTTCGTTTGATCATAGGTACCATAAAGAGAGTAAAAAGATAAGCCATAAGTTGGGAGAAAACATTTGCAATATGTATTACTGTCAAACACCTAGTATCCAAAATATGCGAAGTACTCTTTTGAATCAATAAGCTTAAGACCAATAATATAAAAGTGAGCAAACAAATGCTGAGGGCCTGATTACAGATGTGAGAGAACACATGCTTGTGGCTATGTAAATTGGTACACCACTTTTGAAGAATAATTTAGTATTACCTAATATACTTTAAAATATGCATATAGACTCAGCTGTTCAACTGCTAGATATATATGGAACCTGGAGACATTTTTCCACATCTACACCAGGAAACAAGTATAAGGATAGTCATAGCAACACTGTTAATAATAGAAAAAAAATGGAAACAGCCCAAATGTCCATCAAGAATACAAGAGATACATTAAATTGGAGTATATTCATACAATAAAATATTATATAGCAATGGAAATTAATAAATAATGATACTGCCACCATCATAGTATAATCTGTGAAATAAGTAAAAAAAATAAGTCATAGAACAGTGAATATAATCAGATTAGTACATTTATATAACAAAATTGGGCAAAACCAAACCATATCAAATTGAGAATAGTGGTGACCTCCAAAAGAAGAATGGGAGATAACATCCAGAAGGCCATGCTCCAAGGTGTTTCAATATGGTGATGTACTACTCTATTTTTGAAACTCATAACTGATACATAGGAGTTCATTTCTCTAATTCTGTAAGTTCTCTCTATATGGCATATATACTATTTTGTATCTAGAACACATTCCATAGATTTTTAAGAATACATAGGTAAATAAAAGCCATTACAGTAAATCAAGATAATTTTTTCACAACCAATTAATATGTCTACATTTTCTAGTAGCCAGTATTTTGTATAAAATACGTAGCTAAGTAAGTATTTCCTACAGCCCAATATAGGCATGACCTTGTCAGAGATCTTTGTTATACTTTCTGTTGCAAATACTGTAGAATTAATCCACTGAAACAACTAAAATCAATTCATAAAACACTGAAAATCAGAAGGACAAAGAGGGCATCATATCACCTTTGAATTTAAAATTAATTGATTTGGCCAGGCACAGTGGCTCACACCTATAATCCCAGCACTTTGCGAGGCCAAGGTGGGCAGATTGTTTGAGCTCAGGAATTCAAGACCAGCCTGGGCAACATGGCGAAACCCTATCTCTACAAAAATACAAAACTCATCCAGGCGTGGTGGTACATGCCTGTAGTCCCAGCTTCATGGGAGGCTGAGGTAGGAGGATCGCTTGAATCCAGGGGGTGGAGGTTGCAGTGAGCCAAATCACACCACTGACAACACTGTTCTACAGCCTGGGAGACAGAGTGAGGCTCTGTTTTAGCAAATTTATTTGTAACACTCAAAAATTGGAAACAATCCAGATATACTTCATCAGGTAAGTGGTTAAACAAATTGTGATATATCCATACCAGAGAATACTACCAACAATAAAGAGGAACAAACTATTGATATATTCAACAACCTAGGTGAATCTCCAGAGAATTATGCTGAGTGAAAAAGGTTACAAACTGTATGATTCCATTTATGGAACATTCTTGACTTGGCACAATAATAGAAATGGAGAACAGATTAGTGGTTGCCAGAGATAAGGAGAGAGTGACAGCAGAAGGGAAGTGGTATGGCTACTAATTGGCAACAGGAGGAATCCTTGTGGTGATGAAAATGTTTTCTATCTTGACTATGTCAATTTCAATATCCAGGTTTGATATTGTACTATCAAGATGTTACCACTGTAAGAAATTTTTGGAAGATGTTTCCATTGAGGGAAACTGATTAAAGGATATATGAGATCTCTGTAATGTCTTTTGCAATTGCATGTAAATCTACAATTATCTCAAAGTAGAAAGTTTAACTAAAAAATTAATGAATACATCCAAAACAATAATTCTGCTGCTACTGTTTCATCAAATTCATGTCTTCACCCAGGAAAAATTGACTGAGAATTATTACAAATCAACATGAATAAATGAAAGTTTCTATGACTAGAACAGGAAATGTTACTGGCTATAGCTGCACTGAGGTGACACCTTCCACTACACTGGCATGGCATTTGCATAAATAATGCAAAAGGGAATATTATATTTCAAAGGAAATAGTGAATATCAAGGTTATGGCATTAAAGAAGTTCAGTTAAGCTCAACAACTTGATTGATTTCACTACAATTCTTTAGGTTTTAGACAGGAACTTTGATTTTTTTTAATCAGATTGTGCTTATATTAAATATGTGCAACTTGGATAAATATAGCTGCATATAACAATTCAACTTGCCAGGTGCGGTGGCTCACGCCTGTAATCCCAGCACTTTTGGGAGGCCAAGGCAGGCGGATCACTCAAGGTCAGGAGTTCAAGACAAGCCTGGCCAACATGGCAAAACCCTGTCTCTACTAAAAACACAAAAATTAGCCGGGCGTGGTGGTGCGCACCTGTGATCCCAGCTACTGGGGATGCTGAGGCATGAAAATTGCTTGAACCCAGGAGGCAGAGGTTGCAGTGAGCCGAGATAGTGCCACTGCACTCCAGCCTTGGCGACAGGGTGAAACTCTGTCTCAAACAAAACAAAACAATACAACTTGACTTTCTCCAAATTCTTTTCTATTTTTAAGTAAAAACATTTTAAAATGAAAACTCAGCACATCATTGTGTTTTCATTAAACATATGTTATCTGAAAGTGTCTGATTTAAAACAAAGTCTGAGGAACGTGTGAAGAAAATCTTGAAGACATTTATTTTAGTATACTTAGTTTCTGCTATTCAGGAAAAGTTAGGACAAATATTTTATATTTCAGAAGGCTGTTTCTATCTAACTTTCATAATTCTCTTACATAAGAGCAAATCTATCAAACATCACACAAATATATATGTATAATTTTTACGATAAATTATAAGGTGATCATTATCATTTTTCTTTTGTAATTGGGTTTGATTAAAATTGTGATAATATTATGAACCAACGTAACCCTGCACATCACCTATGCCCCAAAACATAGAAAATATATAGAGAAATATATTTCATATGTCAAATCAAACCAGGCAAGATAGATAACATTTTAAAGAAGCTTCCAGAAATTGTAAAAGACTACCTTTGACCTAAAAAAGTTTGTCATCTTTACCCATTGTTTGTATCAATTCTGTTGATTCTTTTTAAATAAAATTTAGTCAAAAATGTATTACATTAATTGAGGATATGAACAGATATTGGATCCATTTTAAGGTACCTGTGCTTTACAAATGCACTGATAAATAGTTCCAGCTATTCTAAAATAAGCAACTTTCATGCTAAGAAACATTAGTCATATGCAATAGCAATTCTTTCAAAGTCCAAATCTATGATTTAATGCAGGCATCTACAAGTTTCCATCTTATTCTAGCTAGCCATTTGTTTCATTACATTAACATGATTCTACAATTTTAAATAGATAACAGAAGTGTGCTCTTTTGAATGCCTATGTAACAAATATACACTCCTTACACGAAACCAGGCTCAGAACTGTATGCAATCATTTTAAAAAGGAATTTTTAAAACAATCTTTTTACTTCATCAAGAGACCAAAAGCAACTTAAATGCCCATCAATTGGAGATTGGTTAAATAAATTCTGCTGTAGCATATAATTTTATTACTTAAAAATAATATAATATGATAGGAGACTTTCTAATGGCATAAAAGTGTTCAGAATGCATTGTTAAAAGTGATGTTACCAAGCATTATGTAGGTGATAATCAAAATTTTGCAAAAAGACACTCTATAGATGCTAATAACAACCATTTATTTTCATTCTACTTAGTGGTCAAGGTGATAGAATGACAGCATATTTTTTCCTCTTTTCACACCTCTCTGTGTTTTTGAAATTTTCCTCAATAAAAACTATTACTTTGTAATAAATAACATATTTTAATGCTGACATTTTCTGCTGAAATTGGATAGTGATATTGGTAACTGAAACAAAATTAAGACAAGAGAGCCCAATTACTTGTCTGCAAGTACAGACCACTAACACAAATTGACAATATCACTACTGATTTAAAACCATTATTTATTTTATGTTCTCAGTATTTTCACTTTTAGGTTATATTTTCATGAGTCATTAAGTCAGACAAACAGTACAGAATTTCTAATAGATGAAAACCATTCAGAGATCATAAGACTGTCTTTAAAAGATGCTATAAATGTTTGGCTTTACTACAGTTTACAAGACAGCGCTTATCTACATTCTGACTGTGAAAGTGTGGTTATTTTCCTGATCCCTGAGGTGTGGAATCATTTATTCTTGGGAATATGTAATGCTAATCACCTGATCACAGGAAGAGACTCAGTAACAAATAACACTTGTTCTTGCTCAAGTGCTAAGTTGTATGCAATTATTTAACAATATTAATAGCACAAGCTTGTATAATTGTCTGTGAATTCATCAGTTTAACCTTCTAAACAGTCTTTTTCTCCAAAACAAATAATAAAACAACCTCAGCAACAGTACAACACACCTAAAAAAATATTAACGAGATTTGACATACAAATTATAGAAAATTAGAAAGTACTGATCATTTGTTTTATGTTGAGAGTATGATTCATCATTACATTATTTTATATGGCTCCTAATATTTTTCAGAATGTATTTTATTTTAGAACGAAGTAATAATATTTTTGAACGTTTTTCTTGAAATCTTACACTCAGCTTCGGAAAGAGTTTCTTAGTACTTATCCTACCTATTTTTCTTTCCTGGGAGTTACTCTTGAAAACTGTAGCTAAATAACTTTCTTTTTCATTGCAATTGAGTCCTTTCACATTAAACCACAATCAGTTGGTTACCTGTTATGCATAAGGTACACCATTACATGTTACGGATATACAGATTTATGTAAGACTCGATTTTGTAATTAAATAATTAAGAAGCTAAATAGAAAGAGAGATTATATATATATATAATAAAGATAACTAACAATTTGAACATGCCTGTGCTATGTAACCCCCGAAATGTTGTATGATTACATTGGACATGCTACATTTCTAGTATCAATCCATTTATTTTTAATAGTGCATGTCATTTCATTATATTCCTATCATGAATCTCATCCCACCAATTTTTATTTATGTGATAGGAACTGGCTAAGGGACTCTAAAATATGTTAATGGCTCAATTTTAAGAGAAAGAGGGAGAGAGAAAGACAGACCAAGATTGAGAGACTGACTTGTAATGCTAGGTCTCCAGCCGTTTTCATCTTCTATTCAATATTTTAAGTCAATAAAATGAATATGGTCACACCAGAAATTATTATACAATTTGTCAGTAATGTAAATCTGGCTCGTTTACTGAATAAGGAAGAATAGAGTCAAAATGCAAAAAGGACTTGATGGGGAGACTCATAGGCCTAATAGCATACATTTAATAAGAATAAAATGTATTCTACATGTGGATCCTAAAACACCAATGTTACAAAAACTTGGTAAGAAATATATGGCTTGGGGTAAAAATAAAAATAAGTCTTATAAGTAGTAATACTTGGGTTTGGATTTAATTGTGTATAAAGAAATTTTTGTCAGCAATTATGAAGCTATGGAAAATTGGAAAATGTGAACATAGGCTGCTTTTCTAGAAAAGAGTAAGAAGTAGGCTGTGCAGACCATTGTGGATTAGAAAGGTCAGACTATACCTGTGCATTTGCTCTGAGGCACATACGCAAACCAGGGTTTATACAGAGATGAATGGTTAAGAAAGTGAAAGAACCCCAAATGAGGTTTATTTATTTTTTAAAGTATTTTTAACATCTACTGCATGCCCAGTATTGTGTTAAGTATTGGGAAATAAAAAACACACTCTTGCTATAAAGAGGTTTATAGTCTAGTATCTAGGAACAGCTAAGTAAAGAAGAAATGATAATAGTTACATACAAGAACTTTCTACTTTCTAAAACTATCCAAAGACTGAACCTGATGGAAAAGTAATGAGTTCTCCTTTACTAGAGGTTTTCAAACATAATATCCATGGGTAGAGATCATCTCACTCGACTATAAAGAAGGAGTTCAAGCAGCAGATGCCTGTTGTCTTCAAGCTTCTTTCAGATTTGATCTCCTATCTGAGTTCAGTAGAGAAAGAGACCAGGCTTAATAAAGAAATCTTACAGGATCTGGGCTTCTAGATCGACAGTATTCACATATATGGCAAGAAGTCAGGAGTGTACTGTTAGGCCCACAATGTGAGCAGAGGTGTTGGTTGGTCTGGAAATATGTAGGATAAGTATGGTGGGAATGAAAGGCCCCGTATGACTAGAAGAAAGTGTTTGTATTGGAGGGTAGTAAGACCTAAGGATGGCATGGTAGTTTGTGATCTAGAAGAGATAGAATGGTTTTTGCAGTCTATGGGCAATGTCACATGCTGAGTAGAGACACAGTATAAGGAAAGTGAACATTTTCAAGGGAGGATATTGTCTTGCTCATTATAAATGGTTGGTTTTACAAAGAAGATAATGAAAGGAGGGAGGCTATGCAAGTATATGTATGGTCTAATTGGGAAATATTTTGATATTTGAACAAAAGTAAAATAGTGAAATTATGAAACAAGGCTTGCACAAATGATTTCAACTTCATGGACAAGTTAAAATAATGTGTCATTGGAAAATGTGAAACTCTAGAACAAATGCCACCTTTCAAAGAATTTTTTAGTGTTTGTACCTCTGTTTCCGCTTTATTTTTCTTTCTGCTTATTCTAGCACTCTGTTGACAGCCAATGTCCTCCATCTAGGCTTTCCTGTTTTTCAAAGTAGATACATACTTTACAGCTATCTCTGAACATACACAGCAGAATAAAATGTATCACAAATTCAATCAGTAATCTCAGAATAATAAATATTTCCTTAGGTGCTATTGTATAATGTGTTTGAGAGTAACTGTTTTTACAAATTTATGCCACTCATCCATTAAGCCAATATGCAGAAATCCAACAAATTAAATGCAATACTTTACAGATTCACATTTGTGGTTCATTACTAACTACCTCATTCTGATAACGGTAAAAATCAGATTCTGTTTTCCTCAGTTTAAACTGACAGTAATTACTATGAGTGATCCCATTGTCTTTTACAGTTTACTCTTGACATTTTATTTCAATTTTATTAAATGATGATTGACTGTCAAATTACTTCCAAGATTACTCTAATTTATAACGAACAGATCATTTTTCATGGCTTCCAAAAGGAAAATTAACCTAGCGGAATTAATGAAAACGCTGGTCAATCTCCGCAATATTAATACATGCATTCAAATGTACTAAATATCCCTTTATAATTTTTTCCTGAATAGCTGTATGGCAGTGGTAGTGGTGTGTGTGTGTGTGCGTGTGGGCGCATGCGTGTGTGTGCATGTGTGTGCACCAGAGCACACACAGCATTCATTTCTTTAATAGTTTAGTAGTCAAATGCCAACTTTCCATCTGGGTTTTATAATATGGGTTCTGGGTTTGGACAAACTTAGGTTCAATGTTCCATCATTTCTCAATTGTAGCAATTTACTTTAACTTTTTCAAAGTCAGTTTCCTGATTTTGTAAAATTAGAACAATAAAAGTTCATACCTGTGATGGTCAGTTTTACATGCCAATGTGGCTAGGCTACAATCCCATTAATTCAACCAAACACTAATCTAGGTGCTGCTGAGAAAATATTTGTAGACCAGATTAAAGTCCATAATCAGTTTAAGTAAGGAAGATTAGCCTGGATAATCTGGGTGGGCCTGATTCAATCTAGTAAAAGGGCTTAAGAGCAGAGCTGAGGCTTTTCTGAAGAAGAAATTCCATCTGTAGACTGCAGCTTCAGTTTGTACCTGAGAATTCCAGACTACATTTTCTGACAGCCTGCCGTACAGATTTTGAACTTGTCTTATCAGCCACCATCACTGTGTGGTACAATTCCTTGCAATAAATCTCTTAATATATAGCTTCTACAAGTTCTGTTTCCCTGGTAGAACTCTGACTGATATTCTGCCCTATAACATTTTTATGAGGATATGAACCAAGTGACTGGCATAAAGTGGTATTGCAAGTACTTAGTAAATGTTATTGTAACAGAACAAAAATGTTAAAGAATTTAAAGAATTATAAGTTACTCTTAGAATTTGTAGAGTACTAATTTTTGACTTCTCCATATAAAAAAGTGGTAAGACTAATAACACATAAATATCATTTAGCAATCAAAGAAAGGCAAGACTGTACCTAGAAACCTGTAGGACACTGCCAAGGAGTTACAGCATCAAAATCTCTAGTCCTCCATCAATTCTATTTTTATTTTTATTTTTTCTCACATAAAGACTTATTCCATATCATACTGGTTGATCTTAAGGGATTAGTGAGGGCTGACTCACCTCTAATGTTTCAATCCTTCAAGTTTATGAAGGCTCAATATTCTTGGAGAAATTGTAAATGATCCTGGATGTCTTCAAAAATTTATATAGACAATGTAAAGCACATAATATTCATTGTTTTTTTTCTTTGGGTATTAGGAGGCTTGGAACCAAATATGCAATTCAATTTTAGCCTCAGAAATCCTGTTTTATATAGTTGTCAAATATAAACCAATCACATTTTAGAAAATATCTTACAAAAATAATTATTTTCATTCAGTAACCATTGAATTTAAGCTAGCCTTTCAGACAGACACCCTTCTTTTTGGGAACAGTTAAGTCCACAAATTGCATACATCACAATTATTCTTACCTAACAGTTCACATGAGACTCAGATCCACAAACTGGAAAAATCCTGCTTCCTAAAGTCGGATACTCTTATTAAGTGTATTTGAGCTGGGATCAGGAATCCACTTATTTCATGTGTTTCTTATGTGCATTAATGAGTGACAACCACAGGTACACTTGACATACTTTCTATAGGACAGAGATATAAATCCAGATAATGTTTTTAAGTATTAAAAAAAACAGTAGAAGGAGGAGATTGATTTCACAATGAAGATTTGCCACCAAAATTGTTATCTGTCATGTGGGAAAATGTTTCTTAAAGTCCCTAAATCTTATAGCATTTCTAAGGAAACAAGTTCTCTCCAAGTACATACTATAGAGTTTACAGTGATTTTGTGCAGACTAATTGTCATGTGGTTTCTACCACAAAAGCTAAGTCCAAAAAAAAAGTAAATGAAAATCCCAGCTATTACAATTTTCAATAGACTTTTCTCTATTTTTTAAAGATTATAAGTATTATCAATACTGGAATAGGCACAGCTAAATCCTACTTATTCCTCATGTAAAATGCCATATTTAGAAACTTTGGCTTAAATTTGTCAGTAAAGAAAACAACAGAATGTTAGCTAGCTTCTTGAACACACTATAGGTACTATCTAAAATGGAAGCTTTTGAGGGTATCATATGTTTTGAGTCCTTCCGTAAGTTGTTTTTTTAAGAATAAAGATGCACATCCAGCCTAGGCAACATAGCAAGGCTATGTCTCTACATTTTTTTTAATTGTAGAGACGATTTTAGTCCCTGATACTTGGGAGACTGAGATGGGAGGACTGCCTGAGCCCGGGAGGTCAAGGGTGCAGTGAGCCATGATTGAGCCACTGCATTCCAGCCTGGGAAACAGAGCAAGATGAAGGAAGGGAAGGGAAGGGAAGGGGAGGGGAGGGAAAGGGAAGGGAAGGGGAGGGAAGGGAGGGGAGAGAAGGGGAGGGAAGAGAAGGGAGAAATGAAGGAAGGAGAGAGAGAGAGGAAGGAAGGAAGGAAGGAGAGAGAAAGAAAGGAAGGAAAGAAGGAAGGAAGGAAGGAAAAAAGAAAGAAAGAAAGAAAAAATAAAATATAAAATAATAATAATAAATAAGCACAGACTTCTGGTTTCATAATGGTGATGCAGAGCTAAGCTGGCTTTACTTCCTCCCCTCAACAGAAAACCAAAAACAAATGCACAACACTGAGATTATTACCAGCAATATCCCAGAACTCAAATATGAGGATGAGACAGTTCTTAGGGCCATAGAGAAGTGAAGAAACTCTGACAGAGAATAAGAGAATCAGTCTTTCACATCCATGACACTCCCTCTCCTCTAATCTACCTGGCACCAAGTATGCAAAAAAAAATGTCCCCACAACTCATGGTTTCCAAACTAGTGAAAGTGAGATTGAGGTGAGCAATGACTTTCCCCACCATCTTGGGTTTCTGGGCAGAACTGTCTCTGCCTCAGCCCACTGGAAACATCAGGAGTACCTGAAGACAGAAATATCCCCGAGGACAGCCAGAGATACAAAGGGGAGGTGAGACTACCATTCTCAGCCCTGGAAACTACTCTGTAACTCAGCAAAAAAAAAAAAGACAACAAATTAGGTGGCCATTCAGCAGTACTATACTGTAGGAAGTTTGTTCCACAGGTCCCTGGGCATGAAACCCAAGATAGCCTTCCCATAGTACTGCAATATCCCCTTGGATACCTCCCTCATTCAGGACAGGAAGCACTCTGATGGTTTACTAGAACCAAAGCAAACCTGTGCTTAAGGAACCACCTGGTGCTGAAAAGGAAGTAGCATACATGCACGCACGCACAAAGAAGAAGAAGAATGAGAAGGAGGAGGAGGAGGAGGAGGAGGAGGAGAAGGAGAAGGAGAAGAAGAAGAAGAGAAAATCAAATCAACAGGTAAATTAAAAGAATCTTTAAGCAAACACATCCAATAAAAATTAAAACAAGGAACACTGGAATAAATAACTGATCCTTAAATCCAAAAACATAGATATACATCCACAAGAAACAACAAATAGGGAACTATGACCTCCTCAAATGGACAATGCAAGGAACCAGTAACCGACCTTAATGAGATGGTGATATGTGAACTCTCTGAACAAGAATACACAATGGTAGTTGTAAGGAAATTCACTGATTTCCAAGATAACACAGAAAAATTTCTAGTGAATTCAGAAACTTATTAGAAAAATTGAGCAAAGAGAAATAATTTTAAAAATCAAACAAAAATACTGGCACTGAGAAATATATCTGCTGGACTGAAAAATTCATGAGAAGCTCTCAAGAGCAGAATGAATCAAGTAGAGGAAAGAATCAGTGAGCTTGAAGACAGAGTATTTGAAAATAACCAGAGGAGAAAACATAATAAAAAGAAGCATAGCTCACCCACAAAATATAGAAAATTACTTAAAAAGACCAAATCTAAAAACTATTTGTGTTCAAGAGGGAGTCGGTCAAGGGGTAGAAAGCTTATTCAAAGAAATAATAACAGAAAACTTTCTAAAATATGAGAAGAGACAAATATCCACATATGAGAAGGCCAGAGAACACAAAATACATTCGACCCAAATAAGATTACTCAAAGTTGTATAATCAACAAACTCTCAAAAGTCAAAGACAAATACCAGATCCTAAAAGCAGCAAGAGAAAAGAAGCAAATAACACATAAAGGAGTTCCAAGTTCATAAGCAACAGACTTCTCAATAAGGACAGGAAGGGGTGGGATGACATTTTTCAAAGAGCTGAAAGAAAAAAAAAACTGCCATTCAAAAACACTTTATCTGGCAAAACTGTCCATCAAGTATGAATGAGAAATAATGTTTTTCCCAGAAAAACAAAAGTTGAGAGAATTAACCATGACCCGATCTGTTTAATAAGAAATGCAAAAGAGAGTTCTTCGATCTGAAAAAAAACTAACATGCAAAAAGAAAATATTTGAAGGTGTAAAACCCACTGGTAAAATTAAGTACAAAAACAAATCCAGAATACTCTAATACTGTAATTTTGGTGTGTAAACCATACATAACTGTAGTATGAAGCCCAAAAGACAAATCTTTCATAATAATAATACCTACAGCAAGCTGTTAAGAGATAGGCAATATAAATCTATGTAAATTGAGAAAACAGAGTCAAACTGTGGGGGGATGTAGCTAAAATGTAGAGTTTATTTTTATATTTTCATTATTTGTTTCTATTCTTTTCTTTTTTATCTAAGATAAGTTGTCGTCTCTTCAAAAGAATGTTATAATTATGTTTCATAAGCCTCATAGTAACTATAAAGCAAAAACCAATAATACATTCACCGAAAAGAAAAAGCAACAAATTAAAACATACTACCAGAGAAAAATCACTTAACCATAAAGGAAGACAATAGGAAAGGAACAGAGAGGAGTTCTAAAACAACCAGAACACAAGCAACAAAATGGCAGTAGTAAGTCCTTACTTATCAATAATAACATTGAACGTAAATGGACTAAATTATCCAATTAAAAGGCATAAAGCTGCTGAATGGATAAAGAAACAAGTCCTACCCATATGCTGCCTTCAAGAATTCCACTTCATTTATAAAGATACACATAGACTGAAATTGAAGTGTTGGGAAAAGATATTCCATGCAACTGGTAAACAAAAAAGAGTAGCAGTAGCTATAATTACATCAAATAAAGTAGACTGAAAATAAAAGACTGTAAAAAGAGACTAAGAAGGTCACTACATCATGATAAAGGGTTCTGTTCAGCAAGAGAATGGAACAATTATAAATACCTATTTACCCAACACCAGAGCTCCCAAGTATATAAAACAAACATTAATAGATTTAAAAGGAGAGATGGACTGCAATAAAACAAAAGTATGGGATTCAACACTTCAATATAAGTAATGGACAGATCATCCAGACAGAAAATCGACAAAGAAATATCACAGTTAAACTACACACTAAACCAAATAGGGCTATCTAGAATTGAAAAATTATTTCACCCAACTGTTACCAAGTACACATTCTTTATTATCAGTGCATGAAACAGTAGCCAGGGTAGACCATCTCTTAGGCCACAAAACAAGCCTCAACAAATTCAGAAAAGTAGAAATCACATCAGTATATTTTCTGACAACAATGGAATAAAACTAGAAATCAATAACAAGAAGAACCTTGGAAACTACACAAGCACGTAAAAATTCAGGCTCGGGGTGCCTGTAATCCCAGCAACTCAGGAGACTGAGGCAGGAGAATCACTTGAACCCAGGAGGCAGAGGTTGCAGTGAGTCGAGATCACGCCACTGCACTCTGTCAAGTCTGCACTTGACAGAGCAAGACTCTATACCAAAAAAAAAAAAAAAGGATTCAGGCTGGGCTTGGTGGCTCCTGCTTATTATCCTAGCACTTTGAGAGGCTGAGGCAGGAAGACTGCTTGAGCCCAGGAGTTCAAGAGCAGCCTGGGCAAGATGGGAAATATAAGTCTCTACAAAAATTTTTAAAAATTGGTTGGGCATGCTGGCACATGCCACTAGTCCCAGCTACTTGGGAGGCTGAGGTGAGAGGATTGCTTGAGCCCAGGATGTCAGGGCTAGAGTGAGCTGTAATTGTGCCACTGCACTCCAGCTTGGGTGACAGAGTGAAACCCTGTCTCAAATAATAAAATAAAAATAAAAATAAAAATAATTTAGCAACATGCTCTGGAATGATCAATGAATGAATAAAGAAATTAAAAGGGCAACTGAAAACTTTCTTGAAATGATTGAAAATAGAAATACAACACCAAAATCTATGCGACACAGCAAAAGCAGTACTACTAGCAAAGTTCATAGTAATAAGTGCCTATATCAAAAAAGTAGAAAGACTTCAAATAAACAACTTAACAATGCACCTCACGGAACTAGAAAAGCAATAACAAACCAAAAACAAAATTAGTAGAAGGAAAGAAATAATAAAGATCTAAGCAGAAACAAACGAAATTGAAACAAACAAACAAACAAACAAAACCCTGGAATATAGGAGACCCTCTGGTAATGGTAGGACATAAGGCAAAAAAGTACAGAAGATCGACAAAACAAAAAGTTGGCTTTTTGAAAAGAAACAAAATTGACAAACCTTTAGCTAGACTAAGAAAAAAAGACAGAAGGCCCAAATAAATAAAATCAGGAACCAAAAAGAAAACATAACAATTGAGACCACAAAAATACAAAGAATCATTAGAGACTATTATGAACAACCATATGCCAAGAAATTGGAAAACTTAGAAGAAATGGATAAATTCTGGGACACATAAAACCTATGAATATTGAACTATGAAGAAATAGAAAATGTGAAGAAACTGGTAATGAGATCAAAGCCATAATCAAATGTCTCCCACCAAGGAATAGCCCAGGACCCAATGGCTTTACTGCTGAATTCTACCAAACATTTGAAGAAGAACCAATACTAATTCTATTTACATTCTTCAAAAAAATTGACAAAAAGAAAATACTTCCAAACTCATTCTGTAAGACCTGAATACAAAAACAAGACAAGGACACAACAAAAAAAGAAAACTATAGGCCAATATCGCTGATGAAAACAGATGCAAAAATCATTAAGAAAGCACTAGCAAATCAAATTCAACAACATATTTAAAAGATCATTCACCATGATCAAGTGTGATTCATCCTTGGGATGCAAGGATGATTCAACATATACAAATCAATAAATACGATACAAGGACATGAGAACAAAAACCACATGATCATTTCAATAGATACTGAAAAAGTATTAGATAAAATCCAACATATCTTTATGATAAAAAAGATTCTCATCAAACTGGGTATAGAAGGAACATTCCTCAAAATAATAAAATGCATATATGCTAAACCCACAGCTAATATTGTACTAAGTGAGAAAAAATTGAAATTTTCTCTAAGATCTGTAACAAGACAAGGATGCGCACTTTCACTACCTTTATTCGATATAATAATGGAAGTCCTAGACAGAGCAACTAGGCAAGAGAAAGAAATAAGAGGCATCAAAATTGGAAAGGAAGATATCAAATTAGCCTTTTTGCAAGCAATATGATCTTATACTTAGAAAAAACTAGAGTTCACCAAAAAACTGTTAGAATTGGTAAATTCAGTAAATTTGCAGGATACAAAAAAACCAAATAAATATGAATAGCATTTATATACACCAACAGCAAGCAATCTCAAAAAGAAATCAAGAAAGAAATCTCATTTATAATAGCTACAAAGAATATAAAATATCTAGGAATCAATTTAGCCAAAGGAGTGAAAGTTCTACACAAAGAGAACTATAAAACCCTGACGAAATAAATTGAAAAAGCATAAAAAATGAAAGATTTTTCATGCTCATTGATTGGAAGAATTAATATTGTTAATATTGTTAAAATGACAATGCTACTCAAAGCTATTTACAGATTCAATGTAATCCCTATCAAAATATCAATCACATTCTTCACAGAAATAGAAAAAAACTTAAAATTCACATGGAACTACAAAAAAAAAAAAAAAAACTCAAATAAGCAAAGCAATCCTGAGCAAAATGAACAAAGGTGTACGCATCACATTACCTGACTTCAAAATATACTACAAAGACATAGTAACCAAATCAGCATGGTGCTGACATAAAGATAGACACAGATCAATGGTACAAAATAGAGAACACAGGCATTAATCCACACATTTAAAGACAACTCATTTTTGACAAACGCAACAAGAACATCCAATGGGGAAAGGAGAGTCTCTTCAATAAATAGCGCTGGGAAAACCGGATAACCAATCACATCCAGAAGAATGAAAAAAGATTTCTAACTCTCACCATACACAAACATCAAATCAAAATGGATTAAAAACTTAAATCTAAGACCTAAAGCTATAAAACTACTAGAAAAAAAAATCATTGGGGAAATGCTCCAGGACATAGCTCTGGGCAAAGAATTTTTTGTGTGAGACCTCAAAAGCCCAGGCAACCAAAGCAAAAGTAGCAAAAGTAGACAAATGGGATTACCTCCGCCTAAAAAGCTCTGCACAGCAAAGAAAACAATCAACAAAGTAAAGAGACAACACATAGAATGGGAGAAAATATGTGCAAACTACCCATCTGACAAGGGATTAATAGTCAGAATACATGAGGAGTTTAAACAATTCAACCGCAAAAAAACAAATAATCTGATTAAGAAATGAGCAAAAGATCAGAATAGACATTCCTCACAAGAAGACATACAAATGGCCAACAGATATATGAAAAATTTTCAATATCATTATTCATCAAATAAATGCAAACCAAAACAACAATGAGATATCATTTCACCCATGTTAAAATGGTCTTTAAAAAATGACAGGGACTAACAAACACTGGCAAGGATGTAGAGGAAGGTGGGAATGTAAGTTAGCATAGCCATTATGGAAAACTGTATGGAGGGTTCTCAAAAAAAACTAAAAATAGAGCTACCATATTATCTAGCAATCCCACTACTGGGTATATATCCAAAAGAAAAAAGACAAATATATCAAAGAGAGATCTACACTTCCATGTTTATTGCAGCACTATTCAAAACAGCCCAAATATGGAATCAGTGTAGGTACCCATCAATAGATGAATGGATAAATAAAATGTGACATATATACATATACATAATATAATGAAATATTATTCAGCCATGTATTGTGTGTACATATTATATAATATTATTCCGCCATAAAAAATAATTAAATCATTTTCAGCAGCATGGATGAACATGGAGGTCATTAGTAAGTGAAATTAACCAGGCACAGAAAGATAAATATCACATATTCTCATTCATATGTGGGAGCTGAAAAAGTAGATCTCATAAAGATACAGAGTAGATTGGCAGTTACCTGAGGCCAGGAGGGGTAAGGGAAAGAGGGGATAAAGATAAGTTGAGTAATGGGTACAAACACACAGTTTGATAAAAGAAATAAGACTTAGTGTTTGATAAATCAGTAGGGTGACTATAGTTAACAATAATCTATTGTATATTTCAAAATAACTACAAAAGAATAATTCTGGCTGGGCACGATGGCTCACG
This sequence comes from Homo sapiens, assembly GCF_000001405.40. NCBI lineage: Eukaryota > Metazoa > Chordata > Mammalia > Primates > Hominidae > Homo > Homo sapiens. The sequence goes on along the minus strand of NC_000023.11, from coordinate 29,500,259 downwards.
CCTGTAATCCCAACACTTTGGGAGGCCGAGATGGGAGGATCACCTGAGATCAGGTGTTTGAGACCAGCCTGGCCAACATGGTGAAACCCTGTCTCTACTAAAAATACAAAAAAAATTAGCCAGGTGTGGTGGCATGCACCTGTAATCCCAGCTACTCAGGAGGCTGAGGCAGGGAGAATTGCTTGGACCCAGGAGGCAGAGGTTGCAGTGAGCCAAGATCGTGCCACTGCACTCCAGGTCTGGGCAAGAGAGTGAGACTCCATCTCAAAAAAAAAAGAAAAAGAAAAAGAAAAAAGAAGAATTCTAATGTTTCTAGCATAAAGAAAGATCAAATATTTAAGGTGACTGTATCTCAATTACACTGATTTGATCTTTACAAATTATATGAATATATTAAATTATCACATATGCCCCCAAAATATGTACAGATATTATATATCAATAAAAACTTGTTTAGAAGGAAATAAACAGCAAAGATTATAATTCAATAGACAAGTTCAATTTCTACTGGTTTATTTACCATAGGTTTTAAAATCCATTACATTACTTTGAGGAAGCAAACAGAAAGAGGGCTGGGTTCAACAGATTTGGGGGAACAGTTGTACCGGGATTAGAGAATTGATTATATTAAACCTTCCACTTTTAAATGTGAATGACAAATGAACTGACCTATGTATTTGTATTTTATATTCGTATTTGACATATAGCCTAAAGTTGTGTGTTCTGCAATGAATCTCATCTGATATGTGTGTAGTAGCAAATATGTGAATAACAGTTCTAGGAGGGGATCCAAAATGAATAAAACATAAACATTATATTTGACAAAATCATAAGGCTGAAATGCATGCTACATTAACACTTCCTGAATAAAAGAAAAAAAAAGTGAGGAAACGAAGCCTCATTAAAACTCATAGAGCCAGAGTATACCACAAACCTTTCAATCCGTTAACACTGAATCTGTGACTAAATGGGTTATTACTCCTAAGCACAATTCTTTTATATAAATATCCATTTCTTGATTAAATCTGTCAGTAGACTGGCCAACACTCAAACAATATTCAAATCCTCCCAGATTCAATTAGAGGCTGTTCTATTTGTATAGATATGCATTATATTCACACACAAAATTCAATTAGCAGTGACAAATACTTTGCAAAGCATGATATTGTTGAGACCCAAGATATTATCTCCAGTAATTTTATTTAGAGTAACACTTTACAAAAGAATAAAATTAATGCACACATATTTTTGTGTTTCAGTCAACAAAGAACCTTTGTGGTTTGATTCTTATTCAGGATCTGAATTTATTGCTGCTATTCATCTGTTTAATTATGATGAATTCAATAAGGTTTATTTTTTACATCCCAACATTAAAAGTTTTCTCAAAAACAGTTGGCTTTTAATGATATTCTTAATGCCAAAATATGTAACCTAGGCATATGCAGAGTGAAACTTATAAGATGGCTTTATACATACACGACATACAACATACAAAAAACAATATGTTTATTCTGAATTTATGGGACAGAATGGTATGGTGTTAATCAGTACAAATAATATAAAATAACGGGTTATTTAATGACATATTCAATATTTGTGTGCACCTAATCTAAGGAATATTCTATCTGTGCTAATTTTTAAATGATGAAAACTAAAGAGAAAATTTTTTTTAAAAAAGAAAAAACCACAATTTAAAAAACAAAAAAAAAGAAAACAATTGAAACAATAGAAAATGAATGAATTCATTAAGAATGACAGAAGAAGAGGACTAAGCGTAAGGAATCAAATAAAGAAAAAAATCAATAAAGATTAAGAGGCAAAAACAAGAAAGGAGAGTAAGAGACAATGAAGAGGGCAATGAAAAGAAATGAAATAGAAATGAAGCAAATGCCAGACAATGTAACAGGCAAAGTAAATGGCAGGAGCCTTTACAGAAATCACATTTCCATCCTCCTTCACACATGGCCAAGAGGGGGAAGAACTGTTTGCAGCCACCTAGAGTGAGGAAGAATAGAACTTGGGCATACCATAGAGAGGGACTAAAAGAGGCTCATCTGGAAGCAATGGTGATGTAGACTGACAGAAAAATCACGACTGTCAAAGGAGAAATAATAGAAGAACTGAATATTTATTGATATAAATGACCATTTCTTGATTGATTAATATGTCATCATGGTTAGCGTCATTGGCAAGGACAACCTTATTGCGTGCCAAGTAACTAGTAAGAAATTTTTTGGTGACTTCTCACTAAACTGTTTTAGTGTCTCTGTCTCTCTTTCTCATTAAGATTTTTGTGAGAAGGCCCATGGCAGAATGGGATGATGTTAATCAGTACAAACCATATAAACTAATGGATTGGTGTTAGCTCTATTCTTGATTACTCAAACACTTTATTCTGACAATTATTAAACTATAGAGGATCACCAAATTTAAGATGAACCAGTTAGCAGTTTAGATAGCATGAAAATAAACTGGTTTTAAAATATATTGAAATAAATGGCATAATGTATCTCCTTAAATTATTATATTTTCTCCAGAACCAGAAAAGAATGCTACACAGTTTTAATGTGGAAGGAAATTAGTCAAAAAGTTATCCATTTTTCATATACAAAATAATATAAGCAAGCTGAAAAAAAGCCAAAGCTGCATGAATGACACTGAAAATGAATTCAAGTTATGAATAAATTAACAGCTACATGAATGTTAGAAAACTGACAGTGCTGAAAAATAATATAATGAAATATTCTTAACAAAAAAGTGAAAAGAATTTCCTGAAAAATAATTAATTGCCATGTAGCTCCTACATGGAAGAATATTATTAATTACTGTCAACAGCTATTCTTCTTTCAATCTTCTTATTAAATTTAGGAGGTAGCAATTCTTAATGAGCAAAATATACTTAAATCATAGTTTAAAGATGTTGAAAATTGTTGAATTATTATAATATGGGCTACATTAAAAATATCTATAAACCTAGGAGCTGAAAAAAATTATAGAGGACAAAAAAATCAAACAGGAAAAGCAAGTTATGTGATCAACATGCAGGAAATTTTACATCTAACTGACAAATCAGCTATAAATAAATCAGAGGGCCGTGGGGTTTTTCCAAAATGTATGAAGAAACTCAATAATGAAATTATAAAATTTATTATCAAGATACACAATTTACTTCTAAATATGGAGAATTCATCAAAATTACTCATATCAGGGTTATGTTGCCTCATGCCCTATGGGCTTAGCATTGCAAACCTCAAATATTGGAGGATTTGCTGTTTAAAAGTAGTAAGTATTTTCCAAACCTTATGAAAGCCAGATGGCATTTTTAAATAGAATACTGTTTGCATTTCCAATCACTGAGAAGTTAAGAGAGTTGTTTATGTCCAGTCTGTTTCACTGATTAAATTGCAAGCTTCTGGAGGTCCCAGACTTTGCACAAGTGCATCCTACTCTCCGTGGTCATAGTAGTAAAACTCTCATTTAGCATTTTCCCAATAAAAGTTTCATGAACAAAGGAAAAAAATGGAGACATCTGCACTAAAATAATAAAGGAATTAAGTGCTCAGTTAAACCACAGGTATGAGGCCATTCTTGCATTTTAATAAACAAATACTGGAGACTGGGTAATTTATACTGAAAACGGATTTAATTGGCTCATGGTTCTGCAGACTTTACAGGGAGCGTGGTGCTGGCATCTGCTCACCTTCTGGGGAGGCTTCTGGAAGTTTACAATCATGGCAGAAGGTGAAGGGGGAGCAGGTACATCACATGGCAAAAAAAAAAAAAAAAAAAAGGAATAAGAAAGAGTGTGGAGGGAGATGCCATACACTTTTAAGTGACTGGATCTTGTGAGATCTCATTCACTGATGCAAAGACAACACCAAGCCATGAGGGATCTGTCTCCACGATCCAAACACCTCCCATTAGGTCCCACCTCCAGCATTGGAGATTACAACTCAACATGAGATTTGGATGGGGATAAATATGCAAACTATATCACCGTATAATTTAATTGTATCAAATTATGGTGGCTTTAAAAGAGAAAAAAATACATTTTTACTTCAGTAAATTTTAATATTCTATATGTAGGGAGCTACCATATATAGGTGAAAGGTAAATTTAGAAACATTGAATGTAAGAAACTTCTCTATAATAAATACAGTATATTAAAATATGGTTTCAAATAAAAGTCAAATAAAGGTTATGCATGGTCATAGCTGCAGTATGATATAACTGCAAAGCTTGCTGGATGTTCTAGGAGGTCTTCAGATTTGCCTACTTAGGGACTGCAGAAAAATGTCTGAACTTATTGTAGAGAATAGGCCTGGAATTAAGGACCAGGTTGTTCAAGGGGAGAGACAGACAGACAGAGAGAGAGAGAGAGAGGAAGACAGAGACAGGGACAGAGACAGAGACAGTAGGGATGGAGACTGAGTGCAATAGCGATAGTATGTATTTCAATTGAAATGATTCGATCATGTTGTTTGGGCACAAGGGCTAGAATGCAAGCCATGTGGTTGAATTCAAGATCACTAGTGATTTCGAGAACCTGGCCGAGGGCTCTAAATCAGAACTAAGGAGAGAAACTCAAGTGTGTAAACAGGGCACAACTGTCGGGGGAAACAAGCAATAGTGATCACTGGGTTATTGCCTGCCACACCTTATCGCTAACACACTAGAATCTTGATTAGGAGGTCAGCAAAAGAGATTTGGGCATGGATGAACAGCAACTTCAGCTGGGTCTGGAGACTTGGTCTGGAAAGGTGATTAAATGTAAAGTCCCATTAGCTGAGATTAGATTACGAGATAGATGCACAAAACTGACAAATTCCTGCGTTCTGTGTTCTCATTTCTACTTTCTTTGCCCTAAACTATGCTATGACCTGAACCTATACACCTTTTGAATTAAGCAGAGAAATAAATAAACTTAGTTTTATTTGTACCTGAGCATTCACCTATTTCATCCTAAATGTAAATATAATGTCAGTTAACATTTACCTTCCATAAATAATGGTAAACTCTAGTTGTATTTTCAAACCGAATTTGAAAATGTCAAGATAAGGTTACAAGGAACAGCTACTGAAACAGGATACAAAGGGAAGCAATAAAGCATTTGCAACTAATATCATTATCAGATAGGTAGATTTAACATATGGGAGCTGGGAATTGAAAGACCTCAATGACTATAATTTGGAGTAAGAATAGTGTTTATGTTTTGCAGTGTACCAGAGTCCCAGTAGACCTTAATTTTTCTTTTAGAAACTGGAAATGTACTTTTATATGGATCTTTGTGCTCTTCTGAATTTTCACAGGTTAGAAAACATTTCATTAGTGAACTGAGACATAGGAACTCGAACAATAAGACACAAGCAAAATTAAATGGAAATTGAGGCTTAATGAAGCATAGTCCAAATAAAGACAGTATAAAATAAGCATTTAAATGGAAGTTAATCAACAAAATGAAGACTGTTTTCCTAAGAATGAAAGAAGTAAAGCTAAGTTAAATTTTCTGCATTTAGTAAGTTTAGAGCCATATGGCTATCTTAAGCCTATCTAAAGGGAATTCACTAAAGAGACACAATATACTTTCATACTTTCCTGAAGGCATTAGTTAGTCTAGATATTAAAAGAAACGAACTCATTAAATTTACCTCATATGGGAATTGTCACACATAACGGCATTAGAGACAGCAGGTAAATCTATATGCTTAATTTTAATGGTATATCAAGCTACCTGGTACTGTATTTCTCACAAAAGGCAACTATATACAAAGGACTGATTAAACCTAACAATATACATTTCAAAAGAAACCATCTAAAACCTAAGGAAATGTCCAGCATCTTGCTATTCATAATAGCAAAGACATAGAATCAACCCAGGTGCCCATCAACAGTGGACTGGATAAAGAAAATGTGGTACACATACATCATGGAATATTATACATCCATAAAAAAGAATTAAATCATATCCTTTACAGCAACATAGATGCAACTAGAGGCAAACTAATGCATGAACAAAAAAATCAAATGTTGCATGTTCTCACTTATAAATGATACTAAGCAGCCGGACGCGGTGGCTTACGCCTGTAATCCCAGCACTTTGGGAGGCCAAAGCGGGAAGATCATGAGGTCAGGGGTTTGAGACGAGCCTGACCAATATGGTGAAACCCCGTCTCCACTAAAAAAAAAAAAATACAAAAAGTAGCCGGGCCTGATGGTGCGTGCCTGTAGTCCCAGCTACTCGGGAGGCTGAGGCAGAGGAGTCACTTGAACCTGGGAGGCAGAGGTTGCCGTGAGCTGAGATTGTGCCACTGCACTCCAGCCTGGGCAACAGAGCGAGACTCTGTTTCAAAAAAATGATACTAAGCATTGAATTCGCAAGGACATAAAGATGGACAAAGAAGACACTAGGGACTTCTAGTGTGGGGAGTGGGGGAAGGGGACAAGGGCTGAAAAACTACCTAGTGGGTACTATGCTCGCTACTTGGGTGACGGGATCATTCACACCCCAAACCTCAGCATTATGCAATATACCCATGTAACAAACCTGCACATGTATCCCCTGACTCTAAAATAAAAGTTGAAATGATTTTTAAACATATTACTTTAACCTATAAGTGCACATTAGTATTCTCTGTTTATTAAGGTTATGCAGCAAGCATTAAAATATATTTTCCCTCTGGGTGGATTATTAAGTATTTTTAGACTAAACTACATGCATTTTACCCTGATTTATTTAGTGAAATTCACAAAGCACTTGGGAGAGGAAAAAAGTAAAATGTTGCAAAATAAGAGATATTCCTTAACGGTATAACTATAAGCATGTCATGTATTAAACAATTCCATAATAAATAAATCGTATTTACATTGGATTATACATTCATGTAACATATTAAATATGAATATTAAATAAATCAAACTTGATATGAATTTCTAAAAGTTCTCCAATCTGTATCTGTGGTATCCCCAAAATTAGTTAACAAGAGTTGCCTAGAGATTTGGGTTCTGTTCTCACCAGACAAAACTTTGATCTCTTAACTCTTGGTCGTACCTGGGAAATCTGTCTCAAGAGGGAGAATTCCCAAGTGAGAAAAACAGAGCTCATTGTCCTGAATAAACACAAATTTAACTGGACCCTCAATCTTTTTCTGTAAAATAAACAGATTTAGTGATTTCTTCAGTAGTGCAATGCAATAATGCCAGTGCAAAAAGAAAAGGCAGCTCTATTATCAATTTTCACTGAAAAATAATAATAAATGAAAGGAAAAACAAGCAAACCAAGGCTAGAGATGAAGCGTGGCTCTGTTCAAGCTTGCTTCAACATTAACAGGCAATGTCTATAATGCTTGACTTCATAAGCCTAACTAATGTCACATGTTAAGAAGTCCAGCATCCCCACACAACTGCACTAGACATGCTAAATAATAAGAGACCATATGTAGTAGGCAGAATAATGGCCCCCTGTAGATGCCCACATCCTCATCACTAAAATATATGAATATTTCCTTGTACATGGCAAAGGGACTTTGAAAATGTGATTAAGGCTATAGACTTTAAAGTGGGGAGGTTATCCTGAATTATACAGATGGTCCCAAACTGATCACATGAGTCTTTAAAGATGAATAATCTTTTCTAGCTGCAGTTAGGGAGAAAAGGGACAATGAAAGAAGAGTCAGAGTGATGCCACGTAAGAAGGACTCAACTGATAACTGCTGCCTTTAAAGATAGCAGAAGGGACCATGAGCCAAGGAATGTGAGAAACTTCTGGAAGCTGACAAAGATAAAGAAATAGATTCTTTCCTAGAGCCTCCAGAAATAAATGAGGCCCTACTGATACCTTGATTTTAGCCAAGTGAGACCTGTGCCAGGTTTCTGACCTATGGAACTATAGGATAATAAATTTGTGTAGTTTAAGCCACTGTTTGTTGTATTTATTACGGCAGCAATAAAAAATTATACTTTTTGCAAAAGGCTAAGAGCAAGTGAATCATTTAGAAAATACACGAAGCATAAAAAACACATGTAAACATGTAAATAAGACTTCACTTACGGTTACAAGACTTCACTTACGGTTGTGAATAAGATTTCACTTATGCTTACAAGATAACTCAGAAGCTAGGTGATAGTTTTATTTAATACTGCTGTCTCATAGTAGAGGATTTGATGTTAAGGTCAGAATGAGAATTAGGATAAGAAACTACAAACTAGACTCAGTGTAACTGCATGTTTGTCATTCCAAATGTACCTGACATTTACCAATGCAGACACGTAAAGTTACAAATAGAAACAAAGATTATTGTAGGGGTTTGGTATGTGAGGTTAAATATTGTAAGATTTTATAGTGACACCTTTAGAAAATAGTAAAGTTATTAGTCAAGTAGACTTATTAAGATCATGGTTATGACCACAACTGAAGAAGAAGGTGATAGACAGGATACAGACTTATCTAGAATGCTCCCATTTTGGCCATCATTAGTAGAAAATAAAACTTTTCATTGCAACTGAAACGCCTGGGCGATTTTGCTTAGAGAAGGAACAATAAGTGATTACAATCTAAATTTATTTGTCATTCAACATCTTAAAAAAAGGAATATGCTATTATTCTAGCAATAGAAACAATGCAATTAAATACTGCTAGATGAGATGCAATTGTCTCATAATGAGAAATTAAGAAACTAAATAGAGACATTACCTGTGTAATTGTAGGCAAATGAGCACTGTATGTATAATATTTACTTGTTCTATACAATTAGTCCTTTTTTGTTTGATTATTTGCATTCATCAATGAGCCATAATTTGAGGCTAATCAAATGCAAGGGACTTTCTGTTTCTGTAAAAATGGTGACATATACTGAAGTAGAAGTTTGATATTAAGTGCAGAGCTTTTAACACAGCTGTTGCAGAAATTAATCAGGTACTGCATGTTTCACTTAAGTGAGGAATAAGTTTTATCAAGATAGCTTTATCACAATTAATTCACCTTTGGCAGAGAGTAGTGTCCTATTTATAGCTTGTGATAGCACAGTTAAATGGCAGACAATTTTGATATGCTTCCATTGAATATGGGATGAATCAGAATACTCAGTCACTTCAAATTGCTAAAGGCATTCAGATAAGGAGATATGTATACCGAAATTAGAATTTAATTAGAACACTGAGGTGAACATTCAAAAGTGTATTTGAAAGCATCATGTTTTCAATGTAATGGTTCTGATTTCTTTAATTTCTTCATTATATGATGCTTGTTGCCCACAAGGAATTTACAACCTAATGATGAAAATACAACAACCACATATTTATTTATAACTTCTGACAATTACATTAAGTGCATACAAATGACTACGAGGGGTGAGAAACACATTTATAAAAAACTAGAGCTGCAAAATACACACTCAGAATATATATATATACACACACACACACACACATACCTCAGATGAGTAACTGTGTACTTGAACTTCAAGGGACTTACATAGCGATGAGTGTGTGTATGTGTAAATATTTGCTATTTGTATGAAGGATGCAAGGCCAAACAACTCCCTTTGCTAAAGGAAATGCCAATATATTATAGAATAATAAAAGAAAAAGGTTAGAAAAGAAACAAAAATAAGGAAGAACAATGTCTTTCCTATTTTGTAGCTTGAAATACAAAATCACAGTAGGTACATTATTCAAAGTATTTGGTGAGCGACTTCCATTTTTGTCAAATTATCTTTTTTTGTTTTTGTTTTTGAGACGGTCTCCCTCTGTCACCCAGGTTGGAGTGCAGTGGCACAATCTCGGCTCACTGTAACCTCTGCCTCCCCAGTTCAAGGGATTCTCCTGTATCAGCCACCCATGTAGCTGGGATTACTGGCATGTGTCACCACACATGACTAATTTTTGTATTTTTTTGTAGACACGGGGTTTTGCCATGTTGCCTGGGCTGGTCTTGAACTCCTGGCCTCAAGTGATCCGCCCACCTCGGCCTCCCAAAGTGCTGGGATTACAGGTGTGAGCCACTGCCCCGTGCCCAGTCTCAAATTACCTTTTTATGGCTTTTTTTTTAAATTTTAATTTTATTTTAATATATTGACCATGTATTCATGCATTTATTCAATAATTTTTATAGAGTTCCTATGTACCATGCTGCCTGGAATTGTCACAGACATTAAAGATACAATAATAAAATGAGAAGTGTCCTACCCTCTTGAAATTGAGAGTCAGAAAAACTGTTAAACAAGGATGAAACCACCACATGGTATCAGAGATTAATAAGTCCTATGTAGAAAATTAAATAAGGTGATCTTTGAACTTCTTTAACTGTGTTGGTCACAGAAGTTAGCTCTAAAAAGGTAATAATTAGGCTGAGACCTAAATCCCCTCAAATGCCATTCTGCTAGCTGTACAGACCTTTAAAGAAGTAATTTTTATATAAGAAACCATTGGCCTAATGAAAGCATCTCCTTGTATTGCATAGTATTAAGCCTATACTAGTAACTATCTGCACGACCATTAGTTTGCATACTATTTTAACTATAAGATGTTGGTGGCAGATATCACAATAAAAATTTATCAGAGGAAATTTAAATAATAGAAAATAAATCCCCTTATAAAGAACATTATAATGATGTAATTCGGTGGATTACTAATTAAAACAAAACTATACATTTTTATAAGAAACTACTCTTTGAAGAAAAAATGTATTACTTGTACACTGGGTTAAAATGAAGAAAACATCACATTTGTCATTCTGTAAAATCATTAAAGATGAATTAATGGAAATCTAATAAAACTTTTAATAATTTTTGTGTATGACATTTTTAAAATCATTTTTTGTTTAGCTTAGCATCTTATAATTAACCAAACATTACATGTAGTAAAATATTCATTAATACTTGTCTTGTATTCCGTTTCTCCTTTTACCCCCTTGCCTTTCTTCTTATCTCCAGCTTTACCAAAATGTAATGGACAAAAATTGTATAATGTACAGTGTACAATGTAATGTTTTGAAGTATGTATTGTCAAATTATGCCCCAACATATAGATAAAATAAACCCCCTGTGGCTGAGATGCTCAAGTTAAAGCAGAACTGGGAGGCCACAGCAAGATGAGGAGGTAGTCACATACACTGTGTTCTCAAAAAATGTTGCAGAAATGTCACGAGACTCCCCTTTCTGCAATCAAGCTAAACCAGTTCCTGTTATCAATCTCAAAATAGACTACAGCTGGAAAATCCTCATGTGACCAACCACTGACCACCTAGAGTCAGAAAACAAAGAGAGATTTGTGGTTTTAGGCTTAAATGTCATCTAATCAAGACTCTGATCCCTCTCCCCAGTCTTGCAGTTTTTGCCATTATAATCTTTAACTCTCCAGTGTCTCCTTGGAGCACACTTTTGCTCTGTCCCAAAGGGGCGTCTCCCCCACCTACAAATTTCTTTAGGAAAGTAAAGCTCTCCTTTTTGCCCCTGCAAATTTCATGATCTTTTGTTAACAGTATGCATTGTGAAATAATGACCACAATCAAGCCAATTATATATGCACCACCTCTCATAGTTATATGTGCACCACCTCTCATAGTTATATATGCACCACCTCTCATAGTTATATATGCACCACCTCTCATAGTTATATGTGCACCACCTCTCATAGTTATATATGCACCACCTCTCATAGTTACATATGCACCACCTCTCATAGTTATGTTTGTGGTGAGAACATTTAAGATCTGTCTTGTCAATTTTCCAATACACAACACATTATTATTAACTATAGTCACCATGCTGCACAATAGATCTGCAGAATTTATTTATTGGCTTCTGTTTTTTTGTTGTTGTTGTTGTTGAGATGGAGTCTTGCTCTGTCACCAGACTGGAGTGCAGTAGCATGATCTCAGCTCACTGCAACCTCTGCCTCCTGGGTTCAAGTGATTCTCCTGCCTCAGCCTCCCGAGTAGCTGGGACTACAGGCGCACGCCCCCACACCCGGCTAATTTTTGTATTTTTAGTAGAGACGGGGTTTCACCATGTTCGCCAGGATGGTCTTGATCTCCTGACCTCATGATCCGCCCGCCTCAGCCTCCCAAAGTGCTGGGATTACAGGCGTGAGCCACCATGCTCCGCCAGCTTCTGTTGTTTCTATGTGTGCATGTATCAGTAAGGCCTATACTCTGATGTATGGAGGTGAGCTATGTGATCTGTAGTGTCCTTCCTTGTTGAATTGTGAAATAAAGACACAGGCTTAGGAAAGGACTTGGTTCTGATCTATATACCCCTGTGAAAAAAACTGAGAAGCCCTTAGGAAGACTAAAGATGAAAAGGGGAACAAAGAATAATGAGTAAAGGGACATAAGAGAAGAAAGATACCAGAAGATGATTACACAATACTCAGTATGAGATGTGAAGGTCACGTCCTGCAGAAGAGAACTAGCCAAGGAATGATGGGTATGGAAATCCAGCCCATGCCCCACTCAATGAGCTACATCTACCCAGGAGATTGGATTTTTTATGCCTTTTTCAACTACTGTAGCAAACCATTAGGCTGAATAGATTGGATTTTCTCCTTCAAACATCACATCGGGGTGTTCTTCAGCATTCTGTTGCTAAACCACAACATGCTAGATTATTTTTACCCAAATAAAAGCATAACTGTAGTGGTTATAGTGGTAACCAATTCAGTTTTTTAATAGTCCTCAGCACAGGACTATTACGGTTGCAAACAGCTTGTATCATATTGACCAGTGCATTTCTGTGACTACATTAATCAATAGCATGCACGCCCATCTTCTTTTCTCTCCTCATGAGCAACACTTGTACATATCTGATCCAATACACTTAAGAATAAGATTCCCATTGACTGATTCATTTAATCTGGCAAGAACAGCACACTCACAGGCCAGTTCAAAAAGAAGAGTGAAAGGAATTGTAGAGATGAAAGAAGGTTGGGGGAGGCAATTTATGATATGAACACTGACAACAAAACTCAACAAAACAATTGCTCATAGTTAGAGAATTATAACTGGATATGAGTATATATAAAATATGCTCTATTATATGTAAGCAAGAAAGAGGAGGTACAGATCATATGTGAGCTACAGGGCAAAGGCAATCAGGGTTAAAAGAACAGAAAAATGTTCAGGGCAGACTCGTGAATGTTATCATAGGCAGGATTCATTAATCACACTGGCATCTGCAAAATAACAGGCCTAATTATTGTGTATGTTTTAGCCCCTCGCTACTCAAAAGTGTGGTCTACGAATCAGCATTGTTGCCATCACCTGGGAGCTTGTTGGAAAGGCAGACTGTCAGCCCTCACCCTAGACTTACTGAATCACAATTTGTTGTTGTGATTCAGTATTGTTTAACAAGATCCCCAAGAGTTTCATGTGTACATTAAAGTCTGAGGAGCACAGCTTTGGAGTTTCAGAACTATCATCATAGATACTCCCTTTTTCTAAAAATTTCATGAGATTATTTTCCATAGGCTGTCCCCAGTGTATCTCATTAGCACTTTTTCAGCTGACACCACAAACAAATAAAAAGCTGCAGTCCCTGTGATGTCTGAGAACTTCTGAACTTCTGATCACTTATCCATAATTACACATCAGAGCAGAGCTGCATCCCACCCTCAGATAGACCACGAGCTTTTTTTTTTTTTTTTTTTTTTTTTGTATAGCACTTGAGAATTCTCAAGTGCCTACTCTCACACTCATTTGTTCATCTCAACAATAGTCCAATGGGAATAGAGAGGTTACAATTTCCCCTTTTATGTATTTTTCAATGAGGAAAGAGACATAGTGTCATGCTGAAGGGCAGAAGTGGCAGTTATATAGTCAGTGAAGGTAACTCAGGTGTTTAGATTAGTCCTTTGGGCACTATTTTGGGGAGATTCGAATTTCTCCTAAAAAGTAAATCCCTTGAGAGTGGTAAAATACTGATCTTCTAATTCTATGGCAATGATTTTTAACACTGAGGAGCCCACAGGAAAACAAACAAACACAAACGAACAACACACTAATGCCATGGTCCCATCCTGCAGATTGGAATATAGTTGAGACCAACTATATTGGAATGGAACCTGGGATCTACAAGCTTTCCAGGGCATTCTCATATGCAGACAGACTTGAGAATGACTGATTTATTGCAACAGGTCGGTATTGCTGATGTCAATCCCGAGAAAGAGTAACTCTCTAGGAGCATGCATTAGAATCACCTGCAGGGCTTGTTAAAACAAAGATTCTTGGGCCACATTCCTGGAGCTTCGGGTACAAATAATGCATTTTTAGCAAGGTCCCAAGTGTTGCTGATGCTGGCCTAACGCTGCGCTTCTCAAACTTTAATGTGCCTACAGATTCCATGGGGATCTTGTTAATACTCTTGTTGAGCAGATTTGGGGATGCTGCTGATGCTGCTGGCTCCTGCTCACACTTTGAGTCGCCAGGGCCTGTTCTGCCTAATGAGAACTAAATGCTTGATGACTTCAAAGAAGTGTGATGACATCAAGGAGAAACTTGCTCTAATTCACAATTTTGACAAGAACAGACACTAACCACAAAAATCAAAAAGCGTAAATTGCAAGGGTTAATTGTAAAAAGGCTTTAGGTTAAAAGGAAGTCCTTTCATGCTATTTGTGGTACATATAGCATGAAAGGACTGTGGACACCATGGAGAAAGTGAATCACAGGAAGTTTCAGAGTCCTGTGATAAAGATTTTCACAATTAAGAGTGGGGTTAAAGGAGCACAGTACTTGAAATCACATAGACCCAAGACAGAATCCTCTTTGACACTGACTCAGGCTACCTAGGAGGAAGAATAGTACTACATACCTTGCAGAGGTGTATGAGTCTTAAATGGATTAGTGTTTGTAAAATCCCTAGTGTCCCACCTGGCACACATCAAGCGTTCAAACAAATGCTAGCTATTATTTTCCACTCAGCAAGTATTAACAGACATCTCTTAAGTGAAGTTTTATGTGCTTTGCCAAATGCATCATTCAGTTTCTACTCATTTGGAGATAATAAAACTATAGGCAAAGGATTATTTTTCTTTCATTTCATGATGCATACTGTAATATTTATTATAATAAAGTAAAATACTTCTGCAGCTCATTTTGGTTATTTTTCTAAAGTACACCTAGTATTAGGTAGAATTAAATTTCAGAAATCATTATTTGAACTTTGTCAGAAAAAAATGCTAACAAGATTTTCCCAATATTAAAATAGCTTCAGAATAATAATCTAATTCTTGAATTCAGGAAAACGCTTACACAATGGTTTTTACCTTCAGTTTGTGTTAATCCTTTAGTGATTGTACAGGCATTTATTTTGTAGTGTATCATTTAGGTCTGAGGGTAAGGGTCATCTCTCCAGAGAAGTCTCCTGATTATCCTACTTAATGTTGTTCCTTCCCCCATTGTTTACTCTCTCTTCTTTTATTCCATAACACTAATCTCAACCTGACTGCATATTATTTATTTTGCATTTGCTTTGCGTTCTGTCTTCCCCACTAAAAAGGAAGCATAAGGAAGCCAAAGCCTTATCTAGAATATGCCCATGATATATGTTCCTGCCTCAGGACATTTGCACCTGTCTTTACCTCTGTCACCGATTTCAACATGCACTTTCTCACTTCCTTTAACTCTCTACTCAGATACCAGTTTCTTCCTGGAACACTGTATCTGAAATAACAATAACCATTCTTCCCCTCTGGTACCTCCTACCTCCTTTATTTTGTTGCATCAGTCTTCATGTCACTTATTATGATCTAATATAGTATTTTTTGCTCGTTTATTGTGTGCTATGGTGTGAATGTGTTCCCCAAACTTTATGTGTTGGAAACTTAATTCCCAAATTCATATGTTGATCGTATTTGGAGGCGGGGATTTTGGGAGGTAATTAGGATTAGATAAAGTCAAAAGGGTGAGCCCCCATGATGGGACTGGTGGCTTTATAGGAAGAAGAAAGATCTTGCCCTGTCACCATGTGATACCCTTCGACATATTATCACATAGCAAGATGGCTCTCACCAGATGCCAGCACTATGCTGTTAAAATTCCCATCCTCCAGACTATGAGCTGAATAAACTTTTTTGAAAATAAATTACCCTGTCTGTGGTATTTTGTTATAGTAACAGAAAATGGACTAAGACATTGTGTTTCTTTCTTTCTCCAAGAAAAGCAAGATCCAGTAGGAGAAACAAGTATATTTTATCCCTAGCACCTACAACAGTACCTGTTACAAAGTAGGTGCTCAATGAGTTTTTTTTTTTTTTTTTTTTTAATGGACTACTGGGCCAGGTGCAGTGGCTCACGCCTGCAGTACTATCACTTTGGGAAGCCAAAGCGGGTGGATTGCTCGAGGCCAGGAGTTCAAGAGCAGCCTGGGCAACATGGCAAAACACAGTCTTTACTAAAAAATACAAAAATCAGCCACGTATGGTGGCGTGTGCCTGTAGTCCCAGCTACTCAAGAGGCTGAGGTGGAAGGATGGCTTGAGCCCAGGAGGTAGAGGTTGCAGTGAGCTGAGATCGTGCCACTGCACTCCAGCCTGCTGAGTGACAGAGCCGGGCCCTGTCTTAAAAAAAAAAAAAACTACTACTACTGTAGTACTTTCTGCTAGAGCTCCCAACAATATTACATGCTCATGCTTATGTTATATATCATAAGAATAATTTATTTCTATCTTAGTGTCTATTAGTTATAGCTTCACAGTTGTAGTCTCACTAAGGAAGGTTACTTCCCTCTTATAATTTTAACTTCTGTGTGGTGCCGAATATACTACTGTAATGCAAAGAAACAAACCGCCTAGAAAATAGCATCGCAGAACGTATGACTTTGTCTCTAATATGGTAGCATACGGACATCACCAACATGATATTTTTCACACGGGCTACCTGGGTACCATACTTCCCAGGATAGAGAGTGAAATTAATCCACGTGGAAGGCCATACATTACTTCCTCAAGTTTACTGAAGCCTTTGCCCATTTTAATTCAGTTCAGTAACTCTCCATTCTGAGATCAAGAGGCTTTCTATCATTTTTGGAATGAAATTTCAGACTCTAAACATATGGGCTTCCAAAATATGTCAGTGGAGAACAAGAGGATTTCAATTACAGTGGCTAAAATAGCTCTGAAAACTGCACTATATTTAGGAATATAGTGTTTTATCCCACTGGCATCTTCTAAATTATTCCATTTTCTTCTCAGATATATCAGAAGGAAACAAGATATAATGAAGGATGTTCACTGGAGTTGAATAAAGGAACTGATCTTTTTAACTTTGGCATCAGATAAAAGCCATTATCTTGAGGACAGAGTAAGGCATGTCTTTCTAACGTAAACACAAATACCCTAATATTGTTGCTTAAGATGTGGAAGCTCTTCACTTTAAGACCATTATCTTAGTCTTATCAGAATCGATGGAATAAAATGAGTATTTAAAATATATTACAAGGAATGACCATGTGTTGGTAATTATTGTACCTGGGTGATGGGTACAGGAAGGTTCATTATACTGTATGATCTACCTTTGTATGTTTGGAAAGTCCCGTAATAAAAGTTGAAATGTATTATAAACAAAAAATGGAATGACATAAATGTATGAAAATCAGGAACTATGCTTTATCCACAAAATGAAATTCTATGCAGCTTTTAAAAATCAATAGCATAGATGTGTATTTACTGATGAGGAATGTTTATTCCACATTCTTAAGAAAGCATGTTTTAAAATACTGTTTATCCTATTCTTTGATTTTTCTTTTGAAATGTAATTATTCTATTTAATAAACACTAACTTTGTGCATACTATGTACCAGGAACATTTTAAGTTCTTTAGAAAGCTTAAGTCTAAGTGATTAAATATCCTCATAACAACCCCATGATTAGTAAACACCAGTATCATACCCATATGTATAAGATACAGGGAGGTTAAGAAAATGAATCAAGGTCACACAGCTGGTAAGGGATGGTGGGGGAGAGGATGCTGAGACTTGAACCTGAACAATAGGTCTTGAGAGCTTTGGTCTTCATTAATATGTTATGCTGCCTCTGTGCTAATCACCTGTGTATAATCAGACATATTTACATAAATTGAACAGAAAGATGCCTTGAAGGTTATATTCCAAGTTCATAGTGGTTAATGATGAGTAGAAGGAACATGGATGGTTTTTTAAACTAATTTTCTGTATGTTTATGTGTAATTGTTCCATATCCTTCAGGTATTATAGAATAGGAAAAATTAAAATGCTTTAAAAGTATAATATGAATGTTAACAAATTCTCGGTTGTTTTTTAAAAAGGTGAAGCATATACATATAAATGTTTTCCTTTTCCTCCCTCTTCATTTAATTGTTCCTGTGTCCCAGAAGCCCAGCCTTTTGTGAGTCAATTTGCCTGCAAATATTACTTTGCCATTACTTCCAATGGCAAAAACCTCAATTACATTTGCACCAACCTATAGTTAGAGGCCATGATGTGATAATTTACAAAGATGTTGTGATTTAGTTATCTTCTGTCATGACCATGCAAGTAGACTTCTCACATCAGGGTAGTTGCACTTCTTAAGTGGTGGTTAGTTTCCACGAGGCAGGAAAAACAGGAGCAACCAGGCCATTTAACAGCTCTGCCCACAAAGGGGTGAGGCAGAGTTAAAATGGACTCTCTTTATAACACCACATCCCTCAGAACACCTCTAGATCTCCTCCAGTTCTCTCTTTTGAAGCAGGCTGTGCAAGGCTTATACAACCTAGGGCAGATTCTCCACACCAGCACCTCATTTCAGCTAAGCAGGCAATGGCCGTTGGCTCTCTGAGCTTAGAATACCTTTAGTGCCTTGGTCCTCAAGTGTGAGTCTTTGCCAAAATTCTTGAAACACCCTCTCTGTCACAGAAGTGCATGGATTGCTATTGCCTTGGACTATTAGATGCTACTGCTTTTTTAAAATGACTGAAGGTTTGTTGGCCTATGTGAATACATTTTGAAGGAACCGTAGTGACTAAAGTTATCATACTGATGCAATTAATGCAAAAAGCTTTGGCACATGCCTCCCATTTGTCAATATATCTTCTATACTAAGCCTCAAAGGTTATCATTAATTGACAAATGACTATCATTTTATCTAGTCATTTTAAAGATGTATTCATTTTAGCCAAATGAAGCAGAGAATGTAAAGACAAACTTAAATTATTGGCTGATTTTAGAATATTTTAGTTTGTTATTTATCATTAAACATCTAATAATTCAACAACAACAAAATTTAAAATTGGATTATATATTAAATTGACTGAGTCACCAAGTATAATTTGTATTAAGGATGGATGCTATTAATATTTACTTTTGCAATAAAGAAAACATAACTAAGAAAGCTGCTAGAACAAGTAAAAGATTTTTTTCAAGGTTAAAAATGGCATTTTCATTCAGCCATAAAATGATAGCATGAAAGTATACATAATAGCAAACTATTATGTTAATAACATTAACTATTATGTACTATATAAAAAATCAGCTTGTAAAACAGACTCCATTAGATGAAAAAATGGAAAAAAGGAGATAATAAACATCAAACTAATAAGAGATGTGTAGAGATGATGAGATTGCAACTGATTTTTACTTCTTTGTGTTTACTTTTTACATAAAATATGGATTACCTTTAGTACACATTACCTCTCCCCGCCAAAAATAGGCAGTTCTGAAAAGTTTGAAACTTTCATTACATATATTATTATGGTTGAAACTATATCAATGAAAGGCAAAAGTGCCAACACAAGGATTACATTAAGTGATATAATGAGTGGAATTGTCTTTCTTTTAAAACAATTTTATTCTTTTTAATAAGAATAGGCATAGAAGGATATCAAAAGAGGAGGGGTAGATCAGGCCAAGATGGCACATTCTTTTGGTTATAACCGATGTTGTGAGTCCAAATTCCATTGGTAGTTTGTACATAAATAGATCCATTCAAAGGTATGCATATATATATATATATATATATATATGTATATGTGTGTGTATACATATATCATGCTTCAATTAATAAACTGTCTAATTTATTGCCCCCAAAAGTAAATATTGATATTGACAGTACTAAATGGAGTTTTATGGTCAGAAATATATAGAACAGCAATAAAGCCATTGAATTTGGACAAGAAGTGGTCATCGAACATTTGTTAGGGATTGAGGGAACATACGAGGACAAAGAAAGATTGATTTCTGTGAAGTTGTTGGCTTGAAGCCAAACAAGAGAGGGGTAAAAGTGTCTACCCAAAGGAAAAAAAAAAGTCATTATATGAAAAAGACACATGCATGTGCATGTTTATAGCAGCACAATTCGCAATTGCAAAGATATAGAACCAACTTAAGTGCCCATGGGCCAGCGAGTGAATAAAGAAAATGCGGTATATATACACCATGGAATACTACTTAGCCATAAAAAGGAATGAAATAGTGTCTTTTGCAGCAACTTGGATGGAGCTGGAGGCCATTATTCTAAGTGATGTAACTCAGGAATGGAAAACCAAATACCATATGTTCTCACTTATAGGTGGGAGCTAAGCTATGAGGATGCAAAGACACACAGAGTGATATAATGGACTCTGGGGACTGGGGGGGAACGTTGGGAGGCGGGTGAGGGATAAAAGACTACATTATAGCGTACACTGCGCAGGTGATGGGTGCACTAAAATTTCAGAATTCACCACTATGGAACTAATCCTTGTAACCAAAAAAAACCTGTACCTCTCAAACTATTGAAACTTAAAAATAAATAAATAAATTGCTATAGGTAGTGTCAAATAATCCTCCAAGAAAGTTGTGAAAATTTACTTTCCTATACATTTTGCAACACTTACAATGCTAATTTTTTTTTTTTTTTTTGAGACAGGGTCTCGCTCTGTCACCCAGGCTGGAGTGCAGTGACGCAACCATGACTCACTGCTACCTCTGCCTCCCAGGCTCAAGCGATCCTCCCACTTCAGCCTCCCGAGTAGCTGGGACCACAAGGCACGTGCCACCACACCTGCTAATTATTTTTATTTGTATTTCGTAGAGACATGGTCTCCCTATGTTGCCTAGGCTAGTCTCAAACTCCTGGGCTCAAGTGATTGTCCCACCTTGGCCTCTCCAAGTGCTGGGATTACAGACGTGAGCCACAGAGCCCAGCTGATGCTGAATATTCTTTTGTTCATTTAAAAGATACTACATGCTAAGGGCTAATGCTAGGAATGCATTAGTGAGAGACAGAGAAAAAGAAAAAAAAAAACTTCTGCTTTCAGATATTATAGTCAATGAAGGAGTTTAAGGGGTAAGAAGAGAATAAACAAATTAACAATTTAATATATAAAATATTAAGTAGGATGAAGCAAAATAATGCAGGGAATGGCGGACAGTGAAGGGTGTGAGGACAGGATGCTATCTTCAGGAACAGTCAGTAGGGGGAGCTCTACTCAGGCGGTGACCTGAGACGGGGAGGCAGTGATGTGAACTGCATGGAGCTCTAAGAGAAAGAACACTCCCGGCAGAGAGAAAAAGCAGATGAGAAACCAACTATAAGAAAGATCAAGGCAGTCATCGCAGTGGAGAGAAGGACCTGGGAGAAGAGGGCTGGAAAATGTGATGAGAGAGGCAGGAGTTGGGGCTGAAAGAAGGGGATGGGGTTAAGTCTGCAGAGTCTCCAAGACCACGGTAATAAGGACTCTATATTTACTTTTAGTGAGATGGAAAGACCCTGGGGGTGTTCTGACCAGGGACTAGTGATGATCTGTCTTGAGACATAAAGGAACGACTGGCCGATTGGCTGTTGAACGGAAGACTATAGGAGGGCAAGGGCTGAAGCAGGGGGAGATGTAACAGGGGGACACAGCCATCCAGCCACAGGATGACAGAGGCAAGAGTGGAGGTGCTGAACTACACGGCAGAATTTTGGATAAATTTTGAAAATGGAGCTGAGAGGATTTGCTCATGGGTTCACGTGAGTTGTGAGGAAGACAGGAGTCAAAGAGGGCTCTAAATATTTTTGCCTAAGCAACTAGTTGAATGGAGCTGACGTTTTCTGAAATAGAGAAGTCTGTAAAAGGAGCAGGTGTGAAGGGGAATCAGATGCTCAATTCTGGGTGTGTTAAACTTATGATAACTATTGCATATCCCTGTGGAGATACCAAGCAGACATTGAGTAGGTAATACTAACAAAGTCCTATTTTTACTTTCCTTTTTTGTTTTGCTCTCTTTTCTTTCTGTTTTATTTTTGCTTGTGAGGGTAAAATTATCTTGTTTTAATTTGCATATCTTTAAAGGCTAGTGAGGTTGTTTGGTTATTTTTAACTATTTGTATTTCTTCTGTGAATTACTTGTGGTTTGTTCTTTTGGTTTGCTGCAAGTCTTTATGTATTTTGCATAGATATTTTTCTATTAAATTCAACTTCCTACTCTGCCATCTGTTTTTAAAATTTTGTTTATGATTTTTTTGGTACAGAAGTTTTAAATGTACTGAGCAACATGGCATAGGAACTTTGTAGCCAGACTGCCTGGGTTCACCTACCAGCTGCTCTGCTTACCAGCTTATTGACCCTGGACAGGTCACGTAACTTCTCATAACTACTCAGTATCTCAAGTTTCTCTTCTATAAAATGGGGATAATAATAGTGCATTTACCTCTTTGGGTTTTTATGTTAATATATATAAAGTACTTAAAAGAGTGACTGACATAGAGATGCACTAAAGAAGTGTTAGCTATTGCTGTTTTCAATGTAATCAAATCTTCAGGGTCTACACATACCATTAAATGCCACCTAACCTAGGAATACTTGGAAGATGGAGTGTGCTTACGAGGATATAGAGATGAGGGGCAGAAATGTAAACACAACAAATAGCTGATGACACAAATAGCATTCGCTTTCTCTATTCTTGTCTTCTGAATTGTATAACCTCTCTTATGCCAACTATTGGAGGAGATGGTTAATAATAGCAGCAATAATAATAGTCTTAATAGTAAAAATATCTTGAAAACTTCTGCTATGCCAGACGCTAGGCCAAGCATGCTTCAAACACTGCCTTATATAATATTCACAGAACATCTTAGGAGATGAATCCTATTTTTTCCATTTTCAAATCAAGTCACAGATTTACTGAAAGTACAGCTGATCTATACCATGTAGAGAGCCCATATTTTGTATTAGTTAAGAATATGGGATCGAGACCATCCTGGCTAACAAGGTGAAACCCCGTCTCTACTAAAAATACAAAAAATTAGCCGGGCGCGGTGGCGGGCGCCTGTAGTCCCAGCTACTCGGGAGGCTGAGGCAGGAGAATGGCGTGAACCCGGGAAGCGGAGCTTGCAGTGAGCCGAGATTGCGCCACTGCAGTCCGCAGTCCGGCCTGGGCGACAGAGCGAGACTCCGTCTCAAAAAAAAAAAAAAAAAAAGAATATGGGTAAAAAGTAAATGAGTCACTGTATTTAAAGTGCCTAGAACAATGTGTGGCACATAGGAAGTGCTATATAAATGAAAGCTATTATTGGTTTGTTTTTTCGAGTATTTTTGAGTGCCTGCTATGTTTCAGGTAACGTGTTAAGTTCAGGGATGCAGTTTAATACTGCCCTTGCCCTCTTGGAATGTATAATGGGCTGTACAAATCAGTTAATATTAAGGCATCAAATACTTTGAATAAAATAATATTTTGGGACTTGTCATTTGTTACTAATGGGGTATAACACTTTTAATTTATTAGTTCATTAATCTAATGATTATTGATACATACTGTACCAGATACCCTGCTAGGTCCTACAGAGAACAGATAAATAAGACTTACCTATAACTATTTACATCACATAAATACACGACAATAATGTAAAATGGCAAGTGTGATAATAGAACTATACATTTACAATAGAAGTACACAGAGAAAAATGTATAGGGTTATCTTATAAAAGATGGAGTGATGCCATTCACAAAATACTTTTAGCCTCACTTATACTTGAAATTTCTAACCGACATATTGTTTTTGCCTTTATTATGAGCTAACCTGTAATTCTACATGATTTCCAACCACATGGCCATCTTGTCTCTGGTTATACTCAGTAGCCTAATAACATGAAATCATAGAATTTGTAGGTACCTTGAGATATCTTGTTCAGTCCTTGACCTTCAGGCATCTGGATGGCTAATCCATCCAGATTAGGTAATGACCTCGATGTCTGCTTTTACGTTTTACTCCATCTTGGCTGCTTTATTATGCAAGACACGGATGCCCTTATGAGTCCTAAAGTGCTTCAGTACTTGAGTATAGCAACTCTACAATGAATTATTCTTAAAAATCCATCCTTTAATTCTCTTTCTTTCTAATGAAACTAAAATATAGTCATGCTAAGTTTCCAAAAGAAAACTTCTCTGTTATATGTAAGTCTCCATCATCAGATATATATTAAAGGAAAGCTTAAAAGAAACTACATAAAAAAAAAAAACTTCATAACGTGTGATGAATTATTATAGGAAACGTGACTAGTGGTAGGGACATAACACATCAGAAACAGAAATAAGCGCTTCGTCTTAATCATCATGTTAATTGAAAGACCAAATGAAGAACATGCCCATATGTTGTAGGAACGCATATAAAACTTGCTCTGAAATGCACATTTTGAAACAATGTCAATATTTTAATAAAAAGACATTATGTGATATTTTATGATTTAAGGAGTTTCAGTTCAGAGAGAACATTAATGGTATTAGATTCATTGGTGCCTTCCTATCATATTTAAGCAGGAGGATTATAGTAAAAGAAATAATTTTTCCATGCCTTATCTACAGGCTCACAGGGAGAACGCTATGGTAAACCTAATTGCATTCACAATAAAGTCACAGTAGAGTGGTGCAGAGGTGAAATTTTCATTAAAACAATTACTCATATCTTTATATGCTAATTCACACATAGATGCTAAAAAGCAGGAGTACTTCAAGTTATAAAATATAAATCAACTGTATTTGAGAACTAATGAACATCCTACATACTTGTCTCAAGTAGGCTTGTATTCAGAGGCTCAGTGAGTCCAAATCAACACCCAAATTAAATTTAAAATGTAATATTTTTCCAGACCTGCAGTGTAGTATAAATAGGCACTGGTACAATAAGCATAAACAACTAAATCTAAAACAATGAAAGCAACTCTTTGTAAATGAATTAAGAAATGAAAGAATAAATTAATGAATATTCACGTAACAAATATTTCTGGAGCATCTAACAGGCATGGTGCCATGTCCTGAGGATGCAAAGGTGAGCAAAAGAGACTTCTTTCTTGTGAGGCATATAAAAGGATAAACCATGTCATTCTAAGTGCTGAAATATTTCTTTACATATATTACTACTTCTAGTCCTGTTAATTCTATGTATTCTCCTCCTCCTTCTACTAGATAACACTCACCTGGTGCTTACTACCCGATATGGTTTGGATGTGTATTCCCTCCAAACCTCATGTTGAAATGTAATTCCCAGTGTTGGAGGTGGGGCCTGCTGAAAGATGATTGGATCATGGGGGCAGATGTCTCATGAATAGTTTAGCAACATCCTCTTGGTGATGAGTTCTTTCTCATTCAGTTAGTTTCACATGAGATCTGGTTGTTTAAAAGAGTCTGGGACCTCTCCCTTCTTTCTCTCTTATTCCCTCTCTGACCATGCGATAAACAGGCTTCCTCCTTCACCTTCTTGCCATGATTTTGAGCTTCGATGTTGATGCCATGCTTGTACAGCATGCAGAACTGTGAGCCAATTAAACCTCTTTTGTTTATAAATTACCCAGCCTCAGGTATTTCTTTATAGCAACACAAGAATGGCCTAACATACCCCGTGCCAGACACAAATATTAGCTCCTTTAATTTTTACTATCACCCTACAGGGCAAATACTATTACTTCCTGAGGCAGTTTACTCCAGGTTGCATAGCTAGTAAGTGTAGAAGTTGGGATTCCTACTACGGAATTCTGGCTCTAGTTAAAAATTTCACATTCAATTACATTTTTGGAGAGTAAGTAAAAATGTACATACAAAGACACACATTAGCCAACACACATAGGTTCAGGATTTCAGGGGACAGAAACATGGCTTGACTCTAATTGTCTGTTATTCTTGGAAATCACCTTGAACATAATAATCAGTTGACATTATAAATATCAAACAAAGAAGAACTATTCAGTCAACTTTTCTGTGTTGGGAATAGAACACCTGATGAAAAATGCGTCCTTTCTTAAACCTTCCCTCAAGCAAAAGGATGCAGTCAAGTGAAAGGATGTCAAAGTACATGCAATATTATTAGAGGAAATGAGGTGTTAAAAATGAGGGGAAAAAAGTAGCTGTTTACAGTGAATAGTAAAGATCTTGATTTGTCAAAATAGCAATACTTAAGTAATGTTTGGATTTAAGAAATACTGATTGAGTTCCTGTTATATACTCAAAAGGATCTGTAGATCAAAGGGTAAGACAAATCATTCAGGGTGAAATAGGCAGGGTGAAAAAAAGACATGTAATGGATGTACAATTACGAAGCAAGATAAATGCTTTAGGGGTTACATTCTTTGATAGATTCATAATCCAATTGATCCAGCCTAGAAGATGAGAGAATTCCTCACTAAGTGATCTTGACCTGAAATCTGAATGATGAACAGAAATAAGCCATGCAAAATGGCCTGTGTTCTGAGGGGTCGTGGGGGGTGGGGGGCGGGGCAGTGAGATGGAATTAAGAGTGTTCTAGCTGAAGAAATATCTTTTAGAAAGAGGTCTGGAAAGGCTGGAAGATTGTGGCCCATTTAAAAGAAGGCTACTGTGTGGATGGCTAGCTGAGAGGCTGAGAAAGCATAGAGTAAAAATGTACCTGGAGAGGCTGGCAGAAGACTA
Source organism: Homo sapiens (assembly GCF_000001405.40). Classification (NCBI taxonomy): domain Eukaryota; kingdom Metazoa; phylum Chordata; class Mammalia; order Primates; family Hominidae; genus Homo; species Homo sapiens. The sequence goes on along the minus strand of NC_000023.11, from coordinate 29,473,415 downwards.
ACCAAACGTGACAGGCTGAATTGTGTCCCATCCCTCTCAAATTTATATATTGCAGCTTTAACCCCTAGTACCTCAGAATGTGATCTTATTTGGAAATAACGTCATTACAGATGTAATTAGTTAAGATGAGGTCATGCTGGAGTACGGTGGGCCTCTAATCTAATCTGACTCATGTCCTTATTATAAAACAAAAATTTGCACAAAGAGACACACATAGAGGGAAGAAGATGTGAAAAGACACAACAAGAAGATAACAATGGCTTTCTACAAGCCAAAGACAGAAGCCTAGAACATATCCTTCCCTCATGGCCCTCAAAAAGAACCAACCCCACCAACACCTTGATCTCACACTTCTAGTCTCCAAAACTGTGAGAAAATTAACTGATATTGTTGAAGCCACCCAGTCTGTGGTATTTTGGTATAGCAGCCCTACGAAGCTAATACAACAGGCCAGGCTACACATTTTAGCCTTTATATCTAAAGCACCGGGAAGCTGTGTGTCTGGCTGGCTTTAGACATAAAGAAAAGAATTAGAGATGGGAGATGAGGCAGAGGGAAAATGGTGAACATTTAAAGTATTTAGTTCACGCCAGGCATGATTCTAAAATCTTCAGCGTATTTACATTTCATGTTATCATCTCATCAACCCTGAAAAGTACCCATCTTACTGACGAGGTAACAGACACAGAAAGGTTAAGTGACTTCTCCAAGTTCACACGGGGAGTATGTGTAGACTTTGGATCTGAACCCAGGCAGCCAGTGTCCAGAGCTGTTAACTATTTGATTATTATCCATCAGAAAGATTTTTTAAAAATGTTGTGCCTTGTCAAGCTGAGTGAGTAATGGAAATCATCCTCTAAGAAAATAAAAAAATGTAAGATGGTTATATATTCAGGGTAAATAAATTAGTCTGGCCTTGACAGGTATACAGTTCCAAAATCTAACTTATAAACATAAATTTGTAGTTAAAAGCACATACATGATTGTTGAAGGCATAGGTGGAGGTCAAATTACCTAGAATGGGTCTTGTGAGTGAAAAGAAAAGGTGCCCAAGGACTCAGTCTTGAGTAAATCCCACATTTACTAGCCAAGGAGAAAAAGTGAGTCTGCAAAAGAGACAGAGAAGCAACAGCCATGGTGACAGGAGGAAAACCAGAAGAGTGTACTTTCATACATATCAAGGGAAGACAGGACATGGTCTACACTACAGTGTCAAATTAGAGCTGTGAGATATAGGTAGCAACATACACTGAAAAATGGGTAGGATTTAGTTGTATAGCCATCACTGGTGACACCAGAGAAAGCCATTTTAGGGAAGTGACTGGAGCAGAAATCAAACTGGAGTAGGCTGAAGAGTAAATAGGAAATGAGGAGAAAAAGAAAGTGAGTATAGACAACTCTATCAAGATGACTGGCTATGCACCATTATTCATAGTAGCCTCAAAATGAAAGCAATTGTAAATTTCCATCAACTGATGTGTGCATAACAAAATTTGGTATACCCAATGGAATATTATTCATCTATAAAAGGTAATAAAGTACTGAGACATTTCATGGATGAGCCATGAAATCCTGATGATAAGTGAAAGAAACCAGACGCAAAAAGTCACATATTGGATGATTCCATTTATATGAAATATTCAAAATGGGCAAATTCATAGAGACAGAAAGTAGATTCGTGCTTGCCAGGGCCTAGGGGGAGGGGGAAAGAGGAGTGACTGCTAATGGATATGTGAAAGAAAATAGAATCTTGGGACTCCAAACTTACTATGCCAAAGGCAAAGTTAAGCTTGGGAACGGAATCACAATGCTGCCTTCCTTTTTGTTCCCAGATAGCTGTAATTCAGCAACACCGTGTCATAGCCTCATCTCTAAGCCAGTTTCCCATAACTATAGAAGGGCACATGTCTCCCCAGATGGCCTCCCTCACAAGGAATTGCCTCGTGAGCACCTAAATCTTCCAGGATACATACCCTTCCTATATATACTAGCCCTAAAACCCAGTTCTATGAAATCTAACCCTGACAATGTCAATTGCCAGCTTATCAACCCTCTGCCTACCCTGAGACAAATGCCTAATTGACTTTTTCCTCTAGTTCTTCTTTTCACATGTAAAATGTAGATTTACTGAAGCTAAACAGAGCCTCACTAGAATTTAGCCATTTACCTCAGGGGCTACCCTCTCTCCCTTTCTTTTCCCTCCTATTTGCTCTTTCCCCTTCAAATACTGAAGTTCCCCCACCCCCTCCTTTGGAAAAAGCCCAGATCACAGATGCTCCTGTGATTTGTATATTTTCCAAGGTACTTTCTCGACTTTGGGTAAATAAACTTCTATTGATTGATACCTGCTTCAGTCACTTTTTGGTGAACAGGTGCATGGTTTGTTTTGGGGGTGATAAAATGTTCTGGAATTAGACAGTAGTGATAGTTGCATAACTTTGTAAATATATCAAAAACAATAAATTGTACAATTTAAAATGGTAGGCCAGGCACAGTGGCTCATGTCAATAAACCAGGCACTTTGGGAGACCAAAGCAAAAGGATTGCTTGAGGCCAGGAGTTCAAAACCAGAGTGGGCAACATAGAGAAGACCCTGTCTATGCCAAGAAATAAAAAAATTAACCAGACACGATGCATACTTGTAGTCCCATCTATTCTGGAGGCTGGGGCAGGAGGATCTCTTGGGCCCAGGAGTTTGAGGCTGCAATGAGCTATGATCATGCCAGTGCACTCTAGTCTCCATGACAGAGTGAGACCCTATCTCTAAAATAAATTAAATAAAATAAACTTTAAACTTAAAGTATTTTAAAAATAAATAAAATGGTAGATTTATGGTATGTGAATTGTATCTCCATTAATAAAATTGTATAAGAAAAAAAGATGCTTGGTTATGAAGGGTATGAGAGATAGTGGATGGTGGGTGAAGGGGTATGTGGTATTGAGGTATCACTTATCATGGTCCAATAACTATTGAGAAAGATAGGTTACATAAGCCATAACTATTATTATGATTATTATTATTTACTTTTTATATCAATGTATGATTTACCACATACAGAAGCCTCTGGTAAGCTAGAAGTGAAAAGCTTTAAATTCCCTAGATCACAAATGTAGAACACAAAGCCTTATATGGAATCTGGCCAATAAAAGATCTTGGAGACTTAGGAGAGTGAGACATTTCTTTAGCAAGATGATGATGAAATAACTTGCAACAACAAGAGGTATTCTCTTTCACATGACTAAACTAGCAGTGGGAGAGGTCCTACATGGGTGTGTTGCCCTGAAGAGAGGGACTGCAGAATAAAACATTACTTGGGAAATTGTACTTCTTCAAATTAGTCTGTTCTAGACAGTCTGGTGAAACTTCGATGGTACTACAGTTTGACAGGTAAAATAACTATTAATTCCAGCAAACTGAACAACAAGATTTTCTCCTGAAGTATTGAAGTCACGATTTTCTTGCAGTGAAATTCAGCTTTACAGTCTTCTTTCTGCAGTCTCCATATCATGAACCATATTACTATTACAGAATAAAGCTACCCCCTGTTTTCACTAGATTAAAAATTTTAAAGGAACGTTGTGGAGAGAGTCTAGTTGAGAGATGGTATATGTCTTCTGATTAATGCCAAATAAATTAGCCCTTTTCAATAAGCCAAGGTTACCAAGAAGGGATTTTGCTAAGATCTCAAGAGAGTAGAGAACAGAAAATATGTAGCCCCATAACAACTCTTGGTAGTTCCATTATATTATACCAGGATTTGCACTGTATTTTCTGAGTAGAGTTTGGAAATTGTCATCCACTAAGAGATATATTGGTACTTCAAAGGCAATTGTGTTTAGGATGGAGATGCTATGAAAAAGCACACCTGGGGAATAGAAAGGCAGTAATAATATAAAACCTAAAAATTGATTTCTATGGTAGCTGTACCCAAGCTTATATTTTTTTCTTTTATAACAGCAAATGAAATATTGTACAAAATGTATTCAGCCTCTAGCTACAATATATATGTACATAGTTGTCCTGGATTTCCTTAATATGGATGGTGCATTGACCTGTAAAACTCAACTTCATCAGAGCCAACTGGTTCTCTTCGTTCATCCAGCAAAGTCAAATTGATGATGCAGCACATTATATGGTTTATTATGCAAACAGATTTGCCATTTTGCTAAACTGCTAAGGTGTACCATCATATTGTTAAGCAGAATATAAATATGAAATGCTATGAATCTTTTAATACACCAGGATCCACCTACCAAGGACATTAGTGGATTCAGGCCAACAGGAAAAGAAAATTTGGCACAAGACTAAAGAGAAAAGAGAATTCTTTTGCTCCCACCACAGGGCATGACTGAGATGTGTAAAATGTTGGAGGCAGACGTTATTATCTTTAAAGACAGACTTCCCGTTATTTTTTTCACGGACTCCCCCCAAGTTTTTGTGAAGAGGTGCCAATGCTACATGGCTTTACAAAGATGCTTCCATTTAGGAGTACCCAGTAGCTAACGAAAGTGATTTTGTATAACCCTTCTGAGAACCCCTGATGGAAGCTTAGGGAAGTCCATTTAAACTGAGCAGTTCTCATTGGGAAAATTATAAGAGAGAAAAATTTGCCCAAGATATTGTAACTTGGCTAAATTATTTCTAGCCATGAGGGGAACCACAAATGTGCCCATCTTAATCAAGCATTCTGGCTATGAAATAACCTATTATTAATCTTGATTTTTTAAAAGTCACCCTGTGATTAATTGACTTTAGCTCAATAGACACCACAGAGTGGCTTCGTAGTGTCTGCAAAGAAGACCAGACAAGAGAAAATGAATTAAAGGTCACCGTGATGAGCCAAGACAGCAAAGTAAAAAAGTCGAAGAATTATCGCCACTATGCCTAGGAGGATTGTTTTCCCTAAAACATACTGTAATCAGTGTTACACCTTCGGTGGACATAATAAAGAAGGATGGATTAATACTGCAGAATTGCAGAAATATCTCACCCACCAAACAATATTAATGTAGATACTCGGGTAAGAGATTTGGTTGGATTTTTCCTTCACTTACATGTTTGCACATTGCTTTTCCTGCTTTGAAGGAAAAAGTAAGCGATACTTTCCATTAGCAGTAAATACGCTTCCTTCAATCTTTACTTTATAAATACAAAATTCCATATTAATAATACCATTCAATATAAAAAGTTAAAGTTTTGTAATAAAATAATGAAATTAAAAGTAATAATTAAGCAGAAATAAAGACAGCAGAATTGGCCAGACGTAGTGGCTCTCGCCTGTAATCCCAGCACTTTGGGAGGCCGAGGCGCTGGATCACTTGAGGTCAGGAGTTCGAGACCAGCCTGGGCAACATAGTGAAACCCTGTCTCTAACAAAAACACAAAAATTAGCCAGGCGTGGTGGCAGGCACCTGTAATCCCAGCTACTCAGGAGGCTGAGGCAGTAGAATTGCTTGAACCCAGGAGGCAGAGGTTGCAGTGAGCGGAGGTTGTGCCACTGCACTCCAGCCTGGGCCGACAAGAGCAAAACTGCATCTAAAAAAATAAAATAAATAAAAATAAAAATAAAAGACAGCAGAATTGCACTGGTGACATTCCCCATGGTGAGATTTCAAGCATTCTTCACAGGACACTGTACTCAAAACCTTTGCATATTAAAGGGAATAAAGGCATCAGAGTTCTAGCCCCAGCTATTGAAGTATTTTATTGCGTAGATACAGACTTTACCACTCACAAATTTACCTTCTTTATGTATACAATGAGAGGACTGAACTAGATAAACTAAGGTGCCTTCCAGGTACTACGTGGTACTCTGCCACAGGCCAGTACAAGGTTCATTCCTGCCGGTGCCCAAAGGCACTTGGCCCTGGCTCTCCCACATCCGCTCACCTGTGTGCTCCCCCTCCCTCAAGGGGTTTGAGTGCTGCAGGCTGAGTAAGTGAGCGACCCCTTCGCAAGTCCCACTAAGGGGTCAAGGGAAATATCTAGTCTCAATATGCCTGTGGATAAATTCATGCAGTCAACCATTTTTCTTCCCATTAGCTGAGATTCTTCAAAAGAGAGAATGAGCGAAGCAATGGAATTTTCTAAGCACAGGACACTTCTTTTAAGGCAAGGCATGGCAATGGAAGCCCCCATATGTGGGATTCATGCATTCACTCGTTCTAGTCTTCATTAATTTATTTTGCAATATTTGCTGCATATCTATTATATACCTAGGCAGTGTGACACCATCCCTGACCTCACAGCCTTTAAACTCCAGGGGGACAAATAAACTATAAATTAAATAAATAAACATTAGTATTAGTAATGTTTGAGCTGGGACCACATACCCCTGAAGGCAGGGGTTTTCAAGCTTGACCATGCAACAGAATCACTAGAAGGCTTATAAAAACACAAATTACTGGGCCTATCCTGCAGTTTCTAAGTCAGTAGGTTTGGGGTAGGGTTTCAGAATTTTTGTCTCTAACAGGTTCCCAGGTAATGCTGAGGCAGTTTGTCCAGGACCACACGTTAAGAAATACTACTCTAGGTCAAGGCAACACTTTCCTGATTCTAATTTTCCTTAGTTATATAATGGATATCATAACTTCCCTGCCTACTTCACAGCATTGTTGAGAAGAACCAATGAAAAAGTGAGCTTCAGAAATGCAAGCATTTGCCAAATGTGAGATTATACTTGCCAGCAACTGCTGTGTAACTCTGAGGGAATTGGCTGTCACTATAAATGCGACAGAACCTCGAAGTTTAACAGTGGCTGCTAAGGCTATGAAGTTCAGCCAGTGATCAGAACTTCAGCACTAATCTGTTTTTTTTTCTCTTCTATAATTACATGAAAATATTTGAGAAATTGCATAAGTAAAAACAATAGAAACCCACAGGATTTTTGTTTGTTTGTCTTTTTTTAAGTCATAAGTTTCAGTCCCATGATTTCAGCTTATGCTGCCAATAGATTTAACACTCTCTGTTGCCAAAAGATTTAACACTGATGGGACAGGAGGTTTCAGGTTTTTTCTGTCTGTCTCCTACATCTGTCCATTGCTTTTGCTCAATAAATAAGAGGGATGCTACAGATGAGACCGCCTAAAAGTAGTATTATGGGATAGAATGGTTACTCTGTGGCAGCTGGGGGACAATAAGAATATCTTAGTTCTGTCCTGGAATATGGATTGAACACCATTGTGGTCACACTTCATATAATGCATTATTTGGGCCTTGCTCTGTCTCTTGCCTAAATTATACTGTGTTTAGAGTTGCCAGATAAAATACAAGGTATCTGGTTAAATTTGAATTTTAAATTAAAAAAACTTACTTTTTAGTGTATGTCCCAAATATTGCATGAGACATACTTACACTAAAAAAGTATTTGTTGTTTATCTGAAATTCAAACTTATCCAGGAAAAGTTATTTTTATTTGCTGAATTTGGCAACCTGAGCTGTGTCCCAATAGTAATGATGTGGTAACTGAGGCTGAGTGACACATATATGCAGAAAAACATTAATCTGTAAACCCAGTATGAGCATCCTATTGGTGGATCTCAAATCACAATTAACTAGTGAGCATTTTTAAAAGTACCAAGAGGACCTACCCCAGAGCAATTAAATCAGAGTCTCTAGAAATGGAACCAAATCACTAATAGTTTGCCAAGTTCCACAGATGATTCCAATGGGCAGTTGAGTTTGAGAACTACCTAATTAAAAGAAGAAATACATATCAGTTGTTCTCGGTTGTGGCTGTCCATTAAAACAATTTCAGATCTTTAAAAAATCCCAATGCCCATTCTGTACCCCCGATCCATTAAATCTGAATCCCTGGGAGTGGGAACCAGACATCAGTTGGTTGTTAAAACTCCCCAGGTGATTTCAATGTATAGCCAAATTTGGGAACCATCAGTTTATAGTTAGTCAACTTGGCATATTCTCATGACACGCACTGAAGTGTCTAAAAGCATTAGAAGAATAGCATATGCATTTACAAAGTATTGCATACAGTGCAATATAATTTTTTTGAGACAGGGCCTCACCCTGTTACCCAGGCTGGAGTGCAGCGGCACAATCATGGCTCACTGCTGCCTCAACCTCATGGGCTCAAGCGATCCGCCCATCTCAGCCTCCAAAGTACTTAGGACCATAGGCACATGTCACCATGCCTGGCTGATTTTTGTATTTTTTTGTAGAGACAGGGACTCACTATGTTGCCCAGGCTGGCCTTAAACTCTTGAGCTCAATCTATCCTCTTGCCTTGACCTCCCAAAGTGCTGGGATTACAGGTATAAGCCACTACTCCCAGACTAAAATTTTGATTATATTTTGCATTAAATTAAATTGAATTCAACTTTTATTTTAGGATAAGGGGTACATGTTGCAGGTTTGTTATACAGGTAAATTCTGTGTCACAGGTGTTTGGTGTACAGATTATTTTGTCACCCAGGTAATAACCATAGTACCCAATAGGTAGTTTTTCCATCCTCACCCTCCTGCCACCCTTCATCTTAAAGTAGGCCCTTGTTCCCTTCTTTTTATCCATATGTCCTCAAGGTTTAGCTCCCACTTATAAGTGAGAACATTAGGTACTTGGTTTTCTGTTGCTGTGTTAGTTTGCTTAGGATAATGGCCTACAGCTACATGAATGCTGCTACAAAGGACAATATCTCATTCTTTTTTATGGCTGCATAGTATTCCATTGTATATATGTAGCACATTTCTTTATTCATTCTACTGTTGATGGGCATTTAGTTTGATTCCATGTCTTTGCTATTGTGAATAGTGCCATGATGAACATACATGTGCCTGTGTCTTTATGACAGAACATTATATATTCCTTTAAAACTTCTTTGTTACTTTTACATTCTAACTAAATTGTTTTCACTTTTGTCAACAACAGAGTACTGTAAAGAAGTTTGGAAAAGTATAAAATTTAGTAGTATTCCTTACCACTCATATATACCAATCCTGAGAAGCTTACCAGTATAAGAATGGTTATTACTAAAATAACACTTTATGTCTTATCTTTCCAGTGACATCCCATTGCACAACTCAAGGGAGACCATTTACATAGACTATAATATGAATGGTGTGCTCCAGAGTTTTGATACTTGATGATCCTGCATCTACTCCACTGACAATTGTATTCTTCTAAGGCAAGGACTGTGATTTAGGCTTTTTAAGTCTCATGGTAGATAGGCTGAACAAGTGTTCCTAATAGAAATTCAATAATTATTTAAATAGACACATAACAAACTGAATATCCAAAATAAACATACAGTTAATATCAAAATTACTGAGTGACAGTAGTTTTACTATTACACATATATTAAAGATATTCTAAAAATTTTGTGAGACAAATATTTGAGAAGGAATTGGCTGAGGAGTTCTCACTTGGCACCTCTCAGGGGACTGGAGTTAAATATCAGGTAGGTTTGTAGTTACATAAAGACTGGACTGGGCTGGATATCCAAGATGACTCACTCACAGGGCTGGAAGTGGAGGCTAACTGTTGGTCGGTAGTGTCGGCTGAAATTCCTACACGGGGCCTCCACAACATGGTGGTCACGGGACAGCTTTTTACATGGTGTTGGTTTCCCCCAGAGTATGTCTCTAGACAGAACCAAGTAGAAGCTAAATGACCTTTTCTAACTTAGTCTGGAAGTTACATAACATCACATCAACTTTATTCTATTAAGTGGAGTAACTATAAGGCCGCTCACAATCTACCTCATAATGGGAGGTGTGTCAAAGAGTGTGGGGGTCGTGATTTCAATTAATTTTAATATCTCACTTAAGCCTTCTAACACATTCCATTAAATTTTTATCCAGAATGGGTAATTAAGTTATTCTTAAGCAAATACATCTTTTAAACCCCAAGTAAGTCCAGAAACAAGGGACCAGGGTAAAAAAGCAAGAAAAAAATAAACCCTGACTTATTACAAACCTAAAGACACTAGACTAGTTCAGTATCTATACAATAGGCCATGCCTAATTGGGTTTGTTTCTGCCGGTACTTTAGTCATGGTCTACACTATGAGTAAACCACATGGTGAGAAGTTAGAGAGTTAAAGGTATTATACCACTTTCGAAAGTCATTTCTTTTCTGGAATTCACCAGCAATTCACATGAAAGTTTATCTTCTTTTTCGTAAAGCTATACCATCCAATATTACATACTATGAAGGCTATTTGTCTATCTTTCTTTGGATTCATAATGTGGGTTTTTTTTTTTTTGATAAAGCATCTGGCATTCCTTTGGTATTTCTTGTGTGAATCTCTCTATGCATTTGTCATAAAATAAAGTAAAAAATTAATGCTTAATTATTTGCTTGACATCTAAAGCATCTATTTTTTCTATGCACAGGGCAAATCTGTTATTAGAATTTTCGATGTTAGCCAAATGAAGCATATCCACTTCCAAAATACCATCTTAATTCACATGGCTGAATCTTTTATTTCATGCAGGTTATCTACAGAGATGTGAGATGCCAAACAATATTAAATGTCAAGCTCCAATACAGTCTTTTCCTTATCCCCAAGGGAAAGACCTTTCAGTTACCCCAGGACGGTTAGATCAATTGTCCCCCAAATACCGACAGACACATATACACATGGCTCTAGAGAAACCATTCATTTTCTCTGTACTGGGGAATCTCTTGTGGGATGATTTAAGTCCATCTATCACATCACTAAGGAAGAGTTTTAAGGCCAAACTGACTATGAGGTGAAAGAAGGAAGGGAAGTCAGTCAATATCCATTGTGGCTAGTCTTCACCAGCTGGATTTGCTTCAGCTGGCCTGGAACTGTCAACCAAAACTGCAATTACTGACCTTGCTAGAGGCTGTGACTCCCTGGAGGCAGCAGGGGAGAGAGGGAATGATGGATGCCCATGGTGTTTTCTACAAACAGGAGGAATAATTATGAAGTATTCATGCTGTCACAGACCATAGTGCCAGGTCTCAGGAGGATCATAAGATTAAAATCATAAGATTTTTGGAATGAAAATAGGTTCAGTGAGAGTTCACTCCAAGTTCTCATTAAAATTTTTATAAGAGAGAAGGAAAGCATACGCCTTTATCACAGAGCAATTATAACTTATAAGCCAGTGAGAATGCTGGTGACAAGCGGTATGAAAGAACTCCCCAAGCAATATTTTATTTCATGGAGCTGTTTTTCCCTTGAAAACTATGAACATAGTTTCACTGTAAAAAGTTTCCTTCTGTTTGCCATAAATAGAACCATACAATTTCACATATGCATGCCTGCAAAAAAAAAGTTTTACTTATATGTACTCATTCTATGATGTGCCAGTTTTATATTTTAGACATTATAAAATCTTTCTAGAAAAATCACCTTTAAACAGAAATAATCTCCTCATATAACAGTATTCTATGCTTTCAACAGCTTTTCTGTTACATATAATAATAAAATTCACCCATTTTACATGTTCAGTTTAATGAGTTTCAGTAAACTTATATACTTGTGCAACTATCACAATAACCCAGTTTTAAAACACTTCCATCACCCCAAAGTTTCTTCATGCCAATTTGTAGCTAATCTGTGATTCTACCCCTGGTCCCAGGAACCCACTGATTTTGCCTCTGTCTCTATAGTTTTATCCTTTCTAGAAATGTCATATAATGGAAATAATAAAATACCTACACTTTTGTGTCTGGATTCTTTCACCCAGTATAATGCCTGTGAGATCAATCCATGTCTTTGCATATATCAGTAATTTATTTCTTTTTGGGGAGAGTAGCATGCCATTGTATGCCTATATCATATTTTGTTTATCTATTCACTAGTTGATGGACATTCGGAGAGTTTACAGTTTTGGGCTACTCTGAATACTGCTAGTCTAAACATTAAATTACAAGTGTTTGTATAAACATGTTTCTTGGGAAGATATCTAGGTGTGGAGTTGCTGGGTTTTATGCAATATACATATATTTCCACATATATACACAGTACATTTTTGTATAGTTATATATGTATATAGTGTATTTATAGTTACGTATATAGTATATCCATAGTATATTTAATTTTAAAAATATATTGCAAAAGTGTTTTCCAAAGTGGTTATATCAATTTACATTCACACCAGCAATGTGTGACAACTTTAGTTTCTCTACCTCATTGCCAATATTTAGTATTGTCAGTCTTTTGGATTCTAGCCATTCTAGTGGGTGCAATGTGGTATTTCTATGTGGTTTTAATTTGCATTTCCCTAATGACTAATGGTATTGAATAACTTTTTATGTGCTTGTTGGCCATTTGTATATCTTCTTGCGAGAAGTGTCTATTCAAATATTTTGCTATTTTTTTAAATGTGTTTTTCTTATTATTATCAAGAGTTATACATTTTCTATGTTCTGGATAAAAGCCCTCATCTGATTTATATTTTGAAAATACTTTTCCCAAGTCTGTGGCTTGGTTTTAGGTTGTCTTAATAATATCTCTTGAAGAAAAAAAAAGTGTTTAATTTTGATAAAGTTTAACATGAATATTTATTATCTTGTTCATGCTTTTTGTGTCATATTTAAGAAATATTGGTCCACTCCAAGGTCACAGAGATTATCTCTTATGTTTTCTTTTGGACATTTCATAGTTTTAGCTCTTCTCTTTAGTGTTTTTGTGAAGGTTTATTTCTGTGTCACAGGCAGGGCTGATTTTTCTAGCTGGTAAGCAAGCAGTTATTTATGTCTGGCAAGTGTTTTGATGGGTCAATGACCAGGCTGTTAACTATTTTGAATATAATTTCAAATTGTATGTAATAATATTAATAGACAAGTTGCATAGTGGTATTAGTACACATACAAGGAGGAGTAGCTCAAATGTCTATAATTCTTACTCCTCAGTTTTTAAAAAAAGCTGAAGTATGGCAAATCTCAGTATTCAGGCCTGTAGTATGGGTAGTTGCTTACAAGAGGCTGGAGTAAGTAGAAATGGGACCTGATGTTTGTTTGACATAGTGGGATACAATAGTTGCAGGAAGAAATTGCCCAACCACAGGCTAAACGTTACAGATCAATATGATGGGTCGGCACAATGCCGCCCAGCAAATGTGAATGTCTCCAGTGATAGTTGAGCAAAGACCCAAGATGCAGTCCACTCCAGGTGGGGAGATATAAACTAATCTCAGGGGAGCTGATTCTGCTACTTAAAAATTCATAGAGGCCAATATTACAAGATAGTTAAGGCGGCTTGAAGCACTGGGCACAGGGATCTAGGCAGGGTTCTAGTCCCTAGGTAACGACTTAGGAAAAATACATAATACATAGAAGACGGCTGTTTTACTGAATAGTTTTCTAGAAACAGGAACTAGGCAGGCTCCGTTAAAAGTACTGGTGCATATGGTGGGACTACAGCTTGGAAATAATTTAGGTTCCCAGTTGTTCATCCTTAAATGTTACAGCCAAAGAAAGACAAATACCTCATGACCTCACTTATATGTGGAATCTAAAAAGGTTGAATTCTTAGAAGCAGAGAATAGAATGGTAGCGACCAGGGCTGTGGGGGGCAATATGTTGGTCAAAAGATACAAAATTTTACTTAGATAAGAGAAATAAGTTCAAGAGACATACTGTACAACACGATAACTAGAGTTAATAGCAATGCATTAGATTCTTTAGAATTGCTTAGAGTAGACTTTATGTGTTCTCACCACAAAAGTGATAAGTAGGTGAGGTAATGCTTATGTTAATTATCTAGATTTAGGTATTTCACAATGTATATATATTTCAAAACATGTTGTACACAATTATATACAGTATTTTTGTCAATTAAAGAAATAATTTTTAGAATGTTACAGTTTACCTCAACAACCTCTTTTTTAGAAATCCTCTTACCTGACTATGTTGGGGCCCTCATTGTCTCCTTTTTAAGCTATTATGACACTCTTCCAATCCGCTCGCTTGTTTACAGTCCCTTACTTCTCTAATTTATTCCACACACCACTCCTAGAATGACTGTCTTCCAGTGTGGTTTCTACCAAATCCCATTGTGATATAAACTATTTAATGGTCTATAATTGCCTGTCAAGCTAGGTACAAGTTCCTCATCCTGGTACTGAAAACTCTAAAACATGAACAAATCTACATTCCTAACTCATCTAGAGTCACTCCTCTACACAGAGTCTATATTTCTGCCATAACGAAATGCTCAGTGTTCATAAAAATTCAATTTCTTAAACTATCCACATTCTGTCCACCAGAAATCACCCCACAATGTCAGCTTACCTCATCTACCAGGCTTCAAGAATAATAGCAAGTGCTACCTCTTCAATGAAATACTTTCTCATTGCCCCAATTTGATGTCATATCCTCCTCCTTTGAACCTTTATGTTGTCTAGATAGTGTTTGGCAAACTATGGACCACACGCCAAATCTATCCCCTCATGTTTTATATAAACACAGCCATATGCATTTATTTACTTAGTATTTGTGACTGCTTTCAAGCTACAAAGCATGACTGTGAATAGTTGTGACAGAATGTGAATAGTTGTGACAGAAACCACATGACCCATAAAACTGAAAACATTTACAATCTAGCCCTTTACGTAAAAAAGTTTTCTGAGGCTGGGAATGGTAGTTCACACCTGTAATCCCAGCACTTTAGAAGGCTGAGGTAGGAGGATCACTTGAGCCCAGGAGTTCAAGACCAGCCTAGGCAACACAGCGACACCCTGTCTCAAAAAAAAAAAACAAAAACGTTCTCTGATCTCTGATCTAGACCATACCGATCAGAGAAAGGCTAATTATTATATCTGCATGTCCTAATAAAGAGAAACTATTTATTAGGTTGGTGCAAAAGTAATTGCAGTTTTGCCATTTAAAAGTTTTATGCGATTACTTTTATGGATTTTATATTTCATCCTAATCTAATCACCAACTACTGTTTACTTCAATGTGATTTGACATAGTCCAAGGACCCATCTGAACAGTGTGTGTGTGCAACTTGACTGGGCAGTCAAGGAGTAGAACTCTCTTTGTATATATTCTTGTATCCATTTGGCAGTAGTCCATATTTCAGGATGTTGAGCTAATTATTTAAATGTGTTACCTAACTTACTACAACAAAATATTTATGGTACGTGACAGAATTTTTCAGAATAGAGGCAAATTCAACAAAAGCAAACATTGAAAACTGGGACCTAATTAAAGAGCTTCTGCACAGCAGAAGAAACTATCAGCAGAGTAAACAATCTACAGAATGGCAGAAAATATTTGCAAACTATGCTCTGACAAAGGTCTAATATCCAGAATGTATAAGGAACTTAAGATTCCTAATCAAATCAACAAGTAAAAACCACAAAGGGCATGAACAGACACTTTTCAAAGGATGTACAAGGCCAGTCACAGTGGCTCACGCCTGTAATCCCAGTACTTTGGGGAGGCTGAGGCAGGTGGATCACTTGGGGTTAGGAGTTCGAGATCAAAGGATGTACAAGCAGCCAACAGACATAGGAAAAAATGTTCAACATCACTAATTGTCAGATAAATGCAAATCAAAACCACAATAAGATATGATCCACACAAGTCAGAACAGCTATTTGAAAAGTCAAAAAATAACAGATGCTGGTGAGGCTGCGGAGAAAAGAGAATGTTTATACACTGTTGGTGGGAATGTAAAATAGTTCAGCCCCTGTGGAAAGCAGTTTGAAGATTTCTCAAAGAATGTAAAACAGACCCAGTAATCCCATTACTAAATATATATCCAAAAGAAAACAAATAATTCTACCAAAAGAAAACAAATAATTCTACCAAAAAGACACATGCACTTGTATCTTCTTCACCCATGCTATTCACAATAGCAAAGACATGGAATCAACATTAGGTGTCCATCAGTGGTGGATCAAATAAAGAAAATGTGGTACACCATGGAATACTATGCAGTCACAAAAAAGAACAAAATCGTGTCCTTTGTAGCAACATGGATGCAGCTGGAGGCCACTATCCTAAGTGAATTAATGCAAGAACAGAAAACCAAAGACCGCATGTTCTCACGTATAAATGGGAGCTAAACTTTGAGCACACATGAACATAAACATGATAACAATAGGCACTACAGACTACTTAGGGTGGGGAAGAAGGGTCAAAAAACATCCTATTGGGTATTATGCTCACTACCTGGGTACAATATACCCATGTAACAAACTTGTGTATGTACTCCCATATCTAAAATAAAAGTTAAAGAAAAAAAATTAAAGGAAACACATGCTTTGGACCAAAAAAAAAAAAAAGAATAGAGGTAAATAAAAGCTGGTATACATTACTATTTCATTTTATTTTATTTTATGACAGGGCATCACTCTCTTGCTCAGGATGGAGTACAGTGGTGCAATCACGGCTCACTGCAAACTAGATCTCCTGGGCTCAAGTGATCTTTCCTCCTCGGCCTCCTGAGTAGCTGGGACCACAGGCGCATGCCACCATGCATGGCTAAATTTTTTATCTTTTTGTAGAGACAAGCTCCCACTATGTTGCCCAGGCTGGTCGTGAACTTCCAGGCTCAAGCTATCCTCTCACCTGGGCCTCACAAAGTGTTGGGATTACAGGAGTAAGCTACCGTACCAGCTTGGGCTCAAAATTCTTCCATAAAACAATTTAAAAACGCAATTTCAAGTGTTATTAGAAAAAATATCTTATGTAAATAGTGATATAAATATGCATGTAAACATTCTTTCACTCCCTTTCCTAGCCAAAATGGGTTAATAAACGGTCAATAAAAAGTGGGTGGTATTAAAGCTTTGGAAGCATTGAGTCTTCCGTAACTGATAAGCCCCTTTTCAATCTGGCGACCATGAGAATCACGCTTTTGGCTGGTTTTATTATTATATCTTCTGCACCTAGCACAGATTACAGCATTTAGTAGATGTTCAACACATGTTTTAATGAAATAAAATGAATGACTCCCTTTTTCTTTCTTGTATTCTGTGACTGGCAAATGCCTACTGGAACACTTCCAAGTAAACAACGTTCCTTTCAACAAAAGTCTTAGCCCATATCCAATCTCATGTCATCCAAATGGGTGGCATCAATAGAAGTTTTATAACAGTTAGCCATGACCACTAGCCCCCTACCCGATGCATCTCTCTGTACTCCCACCCCAGAAAACTGATCCTGGCTTAGACAATGATTATAATTCAAATACTCTTTACCTCTTTCATTTCTTAAAACTGAGATTTCCAAAAAGCAAGATGTTTGCCACTTCAAAAACGTGCAACAAAATATTTTAATGAAATTCAACTTAGAGTTGAAGATGTCGTAAGATGTTCTAATTCCGGGCTTTTGAGAAAACATTTTTTTCTATTTTTGGGTAGACATGGGCTTCTAAATAGAGGAAATTTCATATCAGTTTTTTTTTTAATTTTCTAAAAGGAAAAAAATATTTCAGCTGTTTGTTTTCGATGATCCTCAAAGTGAGCAAACTCCAATTTTCGGTGTTTCACTGCCTTTCAAAGGATAATGTGCTATCAGTGGTTTGTTCTAGACAGACCTTCATCAATAATGTGAATAAATAAGGAAGGAAAGAGTGATGACTCAGGATTTTCTTCTTTTTTTCCCTAACAATTTTAACGTTTTTAATTAAATTAAAAGGAGAAATAAAACTACTTTTAAATGGAAAATTAAATGAAAAACCCCATGGCAATACAATAGAACTGTGGGGTTTTTTTAATTAAAAAGACAAATGCCATGCAATATAAAAATGTAAGGGCCTGAAGTGTGAACTCACATCATGTATTTGTGATAACACTTTGGATAACTACTTAATTAAATTAATATTCTGGAGGGGGTTTTGTATTAATCCTTATCCAGTTTTCTTGGGTAGGGGAAATTTAAAATATCCTCCCTAAATACCATAGAACTTTCAAGCTTATTTTGATGCTAAAGAGTAAAGGCTTTCAAGGTAAAAGTTCCTTTGCCTGAACACTTTCATATAATTAACAATTAACACTCTACTTCTCTTGCTTTTATAAAGTTGTTGGAGTGTATATTATAACCTCACTGAGTTGGAAAAAATAATCCTCTTTTAAAATTTCAAGTACCACTTAAAGCTTAAGGAGATGCTTTCATTTACTGAAGAGATAACTGTTGGAACTCTGTTTTGGTTAAAACAAAAACTAAAGAAATGTATTGAAAAGAAAAAAATCTCTGGTCTCTGTAAGATATTTTTTTTCCCACATACTTTCTTTTTTTAAAAAATTTTAAGTTCCAGGATACATGTGCAGGACGTGCAGGTTTGTTACATAGGTAAACGTGTGCCATGGTGGTTTCCTTTATCTATCAACTGATCACCTAGGTATTAAGCCCTGCATGCATTAGCTATTTATGCTGATGCTCTCCCTCCCCGTCAGACTTTATTTAAAATGATTTCAGCAAAAAAAAGATCTGTGAATAATTTTTGTGATTCTATATTTCCAGCCAATGTCATCTATAGTTGGATGCTGTATGGCTTTTCAGTGAACATAAGTGCATTTCCTGTGCACTCGGGATCTACCCACTCTTTCCTGCTTTCTACTCCACACTGAAGACATGGAACTATCAGATGCTGGTTTTTGCCTCTACTATGCATGAGAAGTTGTTCCTACTCCAAAGGGCAGACACAGAAAAAAAAAAAAATCAAACGGAAGACAGGCGAGCTTCATGTATTCTCACCTCTTTGGTGATGGCATCTCTCATTGGTGGTGTAGTCATGTTTATTGTATTATTTTATTCCCCATATAGCTTTGCTGATTTTTGAACAATTTTTCTACTTCATTCTCCCATCTTTATTTGCCCTTCAGAATTTTTTCCTCTTGATTCCTGGCTACCTCCCTCGTTTCTCTCCAACTCTGGTTCTTCTGCTGTTATAAATTTGTGCTTAGATTGTTGCTTGTCTGCTTAGTTTTGAACTCCTATTTTGCTATGATATGTGGTGCACACATGGCCCTCATTAAAAAGTTCTCACCTTATTCCCAACCAACCTATCAACCTGCTGGTCAGTTTGGAGATCCCACCAGGGATTGGCCAATTCTCATGCCTGTCCCCTTGTCTCTGTCTTCCCCAAAACTACCAGCTCCAAGTTTAATCCAGCTACCTTCCAACTGAGGTACATACACTAAAATATGAGGACTTTTCAAGGAGTACACAGACATGAACATATTTAAGGGAATCTATTTCCAGATCTTCAGCTTTCAGACACATCTAAAATTGATCTGATAATGTGCCTATTCTCTTATCTAACCACACTTTTCTTACTTTGAAGAAGAAAGACGTACCTCACTATGGCAAATCTTATCAAAGCATATTGCTCCAGGGAGTAAAACCCTCCAGGGCATCAAACAAAAGGACCATTAAATAATGCGCTGAGCATTTGGGATAGTCCATTGAAGATATCTTAAAGAAAATATTGAAAGGTACAGATCTTTATTTTGTCTAAGGAAAAAAATTCAGGGCAAGCCTCTGTCTTAATGTTATCTTTTCCCACAAACAAAATGAGTTAAATACCCAATTCAAAGATTCAACCAAAATATATTTAGAACACATAGATGATGCAGAGGAATGTATATTCTTTGAAACTGTTTAAACATATGCTGAAATGTTTTATAGTTGAAATATGGGAGATAGTGCACGTTTTTTCAAAATTCCTTTAAATTTATCTGAGTAAAACAATTTGAAGAGCATTCGATCGTCTCAACCATAATTGCACAATAGAATCACTTGGGTTGCTTTAAAAATGTACAGACGTCCAAACAGTGAAGAGTCTCCGAAGGTAGGGCCTAGATCTAATAAAAAAAATTTTCTAAAAGCTCCCCCAGATGATGTCAATGTGCAGCCAGAGTTGAGAGTTGTTGGACTGTGATCTTCTACTGGGGATGATCTTATACTCATTTCAAGGTCAACAGTCATATTTCTCCCTGTGTAATGCTGCGGTTACAGTAATTGGTAATGGCTGTTCTCTTACAACTGCTTACTAATGTTGAAAGTAAGCTACAAACACAATAGCTAAAAAATCCGATTATGTATGTGTCTTGGAATCGTTTTCCTCATTAATGACTTCCTGAAGTATTATCATATAGTCATATATACATGTAAACCAAAACTACATTTTACTTCACATATTGTATGTGAAGTAAAACTACCTTTTACTTCATTTCTTTAAAGTAATAGTCATAAAGACACTATTGAGTAGGAATGGGATATTCTTACAGCATATAGATTGCACTCAGCTTCTCATTATGTGAGAAACAAAATCTGCACTTTGGGAGGCCGAGGTGGCGGATCACTTGAGGTCAGGAGTTCGAGACCAGCTCTGGCCAACATGGTGAAACCCTGTCTCTACTAAAAATACAAAAATTAGCCAGGCATGGTGGCGGGCGCCTGTAATCCCAGCTACTTGAGAGGTTGAGGCAGGAGAATTGCTTGAACCCAGGAGGCAGAGGTTGCAGTGAGCCGAGATTGCGCCAGTGTACTCCAGCATGGGTGAAAGAGCAAGACTCCGTCTCAAAAAAAAAAAAAAAAAAAAAAAAAATCTGTAGTCACTCTCAGAGGAACACTCTCCGTGGTTTTACAAGGATGAATTCCCAGACCCACTGTGGGGAATGGTAAGGTAGTTATTTATTTATAATTGCTCTTTCCACTTAATTTAATCGTACTTTTTGATTATCCACCATGGCTTTCTCCTAAGTTTCTGCTGGCAATCGGCAATGTAAAGGTTAATCCTGTGATTCAAAAGTATTTATTGAGCATGTACTCTTGTCCAGGCACTGTTATAGGCACTTGTGATATGGCCAAGAATGAAACATACAAAAACACATGTTCTCATTGAGCTGATAAGCCTGGTCTCTACCCTAAAGCATCTCAAAATCAAAAATTAACAAAGCTGTACCATCCACAAGAAAAAACATATCATTTTCTGTATTGCTAGGTATAATTTCTGGAACTGATAAGTCACAAAATCCCCTCCCTAAATTGTCTCATAAAAAATTAAAGAGAAATATATTCCCTGGCAATGACTTCAAGGGGACTGCCATCTCAAAGAGACATTGTCTCAATTACCTGCTGCCATATATTACATGCACATGTAATAGATGACCTCACTGGAATGGGCATATTTTCCACACCAATAATTTTCTGCCTAGACCTGAGTGAGAGTCAACTCTAGAAAATTAATCTAAAACATATAAAGAAAGAATCAGATAAGTTAGCCATCTTCTTAAATAAAGCAAATTGTATGCATATACTGCATATAATTTAGTATTTAGAAAAGTAAATATAATTCTGCTTTATTTATGATAGCTTTACCCACTTTAGAAATGATAGACTTTAGATACTTGATAAAATCATTTTGTTATCTTTATTTCAGAACTCCCAGGTTATATTTACTTACTTGACGTTTCTTATTTTGTTATTTTGACTTTGACTAACTGAATAACTTTTTCCACGACAAGTGTTTCTTTTCCTTTTTAAAAAAACATGAATCCAAATTCTGATATGCACAAAAAGTCTTAGAACAATGCTGCATTGAAACCTGTACTCCTTTCTTATTAAGATAAATTATAGGACTACTGGGAAAAATCATATTTAAATTTATTTTCCTCTCTATTTTTAAAATTAATTTTCTATTTTGTTGAACCACCAAATACTGTTTTGTTCTGAGGAATGACAAACAAAAATGAGAACCGTTTTTAATGTGGGCCACTGTTTCACAAAAAATTTTTTAACATTTATGTATTCCAGGTTGTCTAATGGAACAAAACATATAGAGCTACATAGAATATACATATATATATGCATATACATGTATGTGTACATATATACACACAGAGAGAGAGACAGAGAGAGAGAACAAATTCAAGTAACTCCTTGGAGATTAATTCATAAAACAATTCAATTCTGCATCCCAGGTTACTGTAAAATTACCAATTAAAATGCTTTTTAAAAATTTACTGTAGGCCTGGTGTGATGGCTCATGCCTGTAATCCCAGCACTTTGGGAGGCCAAGTCACGCAGATCTCTTGAGGCCAGAAGTTCGAGACCAGCCTGTCCAACATGGCGAAACCCCGTCTCTATTAAAAATAAAAAAATTAGCCAGGCATGGTGGCAGGCGCCTGTAGTCCCAGCTACTTGTGTGGCTGAATCAGAAGAATCGCTTGAACCTGGGAAGTGGAGGTTGCAGTGAGCCAAGATCGCACCACTGCACTCTGCACTCCAGTCTGGGCAACAGAGTAAGACTCCTTCTCAAAAAAAAAATAAAATAAAAAATAAAAAAATAAAAATAATAAAAAAGAATAGAAGAAAAGAAAATTACCATAGATTCTTTTTTTTTTTTAATATTAGGTATAGAGAGAGTCAACCATTTTCCGTCTTGTACCTAAAGAAACTTCACTATCTTTTTTGAACGTGCTTCCTTTGAACTTGACTATTTCTGATCAATTATTAGTGTCACTGTGGCTCCTTAAGATAAATGCCAACCCCCCTACTACCTAACTTGCTATCATACACAGATATCGGCACCTTAGTTAAGCTAAATCATGTATGGGAAGTGGTAAATAAGTATTCTGCAATTATTTTCCAAGTTTATTTGACAAAATTTAGGATCTATTTTATGAGAATTTTTCACAGATTCTATTTGAGGCACTGACAAGCATGAATACATTTAAAGTAGATTTGAATATGAAAATGCCACTTCATTTTAACAACTTTCATTTGAATTAAATATTAATAGGAACGGTTGCATCAGATAAAATATAAAATATATGAATTTTCAAATTTTTTTAAAGGTTGAATGATTGGATATGATTTAGCTCTTTAAGGGCTTAAAATGATGCACACACCTATTACTACTGCTTGCTAGTAAAAGCTATCCCTCTATATGAAACATATGAATATGTATTAGATAAGTGCTTATCAAACTATGGCTTGGGGGCAAAATCTGGCTCTTTGCTTGGTTTTGTAAAGAAAATTTTATTGGAACACAGCCATGCTCATTTGATTATATATTGTCTAAGACTGCTTTCATGCTACAACAGCAGAGATAAGTAGTTGTGATCAAGAGTGTGTGGCCCATAAAATCCTAAAATATGAACTCTCTGGCCCTTTACAGATAGTTGGGAATGTATGTGTGTGTCCACATGTGTGTATCCCCTCCTGGAATCTTGTTAAGACTTGTTACACTTTTTAAAACATGTCAGCACACTGAAGCCATCTCAGAATGTATTCAAATATAAATTATAATTTTTTTTACCTCTAACATTAGCTAAATGTCCCTACTTGATAATCTATCTATTATGCTAAAATTGACTTATATTTGTCAGGCCTTAATTACAAAGCAAAACATTTGAAATTTTCCTTTCCAGTTTGACATTTTCTATCCAGCTTGCATTTCCCAAGTCATTAAGATTGTAATAGTAAAAGTGCTGATATTATCAAGGAAGTCAAATTAGTAATGCTAAAAATAATATTAGCTGTCAAGAGGATTTCCTCAATATAGCTTTCTTCTCCTGACTGTTTTTTTTTTTGGTCCATTTTTAAATTATTTCCTTCCTCTTTTTTTATTTTAGTCAAATACTTTCTCATTTTCAATAGATAGAACACTGGAACACAGCTGGTGTTTTGTAAAATAAGATGATTTTATTCTTCCTTATATTCTCTCTCTCTCTCTCTCTGTGTGTGTGTGTGTGTGTGTGTGTGTGTGTGTGTGTGTGTGTATGCATATGTATGCATAAGTTACTCTTGTTTAAAACAAGCATTCTTTATTGATCTTCACCAGTTGGTTTCTCCACTGTTAGAAAGAGATTCCTGGAAGAAAAAAGATGCACTTTACTCAGCGTGCCCAATATAGATTTCAAAGACTTTTTTACTATTGAGATATACTGTTACAAGAGCTGTGGGAGTTTACAAAATGACCACCAAGTGGGTATGATGAAAATAATCAGGTTAAAATTATTCCTTTTAGTTACACATCTAGAACAGTACACCCACACCTCATAGTAAGAGTGGTAAATTACTATCCTACCTTCTGTTATTATTGCTTATGCTCTCTCTCCCTGCCTCTTCACTCTCTCATTCACTCAGATAGACAGATAAACACATTCACACACTCATACTTACATATAACTGTTACCCCATCATCATTAAACTGCTAATACCCTACTTAAACTCAGAGAATGAGTTAAGAATATTTTTCCTAGGAATCTGTTTGGCTTCAAACCCTGGCTGCTTCTCAACACCCTCACCCTGCAGCCACTAATCTTGGGAAAGTTTTAAAGCTATCTCTATCGCGGTTTCCTTATGTATAAATGGGAAGAATAGTACCTTTCATTGGATCGTTGTAAATATTAAATATGGTAACACCTGTTGTTATGGACTGAATATGTTCCCTCAAAATTCATATATTGAAGCACTAACCCCCAATGTGATGGTATTTGGAGGTGGGGCCTTTGGGAGATAATTAGATTTACATGATGTCATAAGGGCGGGCAGGACTTCATGGTGGGATTGGTGCCATTATAAGAAGAAAAGATACCAGAGTCCTCCTTCTCCGCCATGTGAGAATGAAGAGAGAAGGAGTCTATCTACAAGCCAGGAAGCCAGCCCTCACAAGGAACCAAATCTATCAGCACCTTGATCTTGGACTTTCCAGCTTCCAGAACTGTGAGAAATAAATCCCTATTGCTTATGTCACCCAGTCTATGGTATTGTTGTGGAGCAGCCCTAGCTAGGACATCTGTAAATGACAAGTTCTATACTACTATATAGGACTGCTGGATAAATGCTAGCTATTCCCATTTCCCTCTGAGAACTGAAATACCTGAAACTTCTATTAAAAGTCTTTGTATTCCTCAACCACCCATTGCGTATTTTCTTTCTTTTACGCATTTACTTTCATGACTCTGATTCTGTATTATGCATGTCAAAGAGTCTTAGTAAATATTAGTATATGTATATGTTTAAAATTATTTTGAATCAAATTCTTCACATTTTTACTATTTCAATCAACAGATTAATGTTGACAAGTGATAAAACTGAGTCTCTACTATACTCAATCTCTGTAATATGGACATGGAATTGAGAAATATGTTTGCCTAGGAAGAAGGTCTAAAACATTTTCGTACTTGGGAATAATTTTGCCTTCAGATTATTCTTTAGATTTCAGCAGGGAGACTGAGGACACATTTAAATAGCAGAGAATCTCATGGAACTAAGTCAACCAGTCCAGGCTTTCGCTTCCTTTTCCCACTCTAATTTCACTCCTGACACAATATAAGAATCTTTCTAAATCAAGTGTTTTGGTAAAATCTCAGTGGTTCCCCATGACCAACAGGATTAACTTTCAGTCTCTCCTATGACGTAATGTTATTCCAACTCTCCAGAATTAACTTCAGGGAATCTTGGCTTCAACCATCCTGGCCCCTTACTGAACTTTAAATGTACTTGAAGTTATACCTCAGCATGCTTGCTTATGCAATTTCTTCTACCAAAAACATTTCTTGTCTTTCCACTTATAAACTCCATGTTCATGAAAGTCTTACCAAAGCAATGAAGTCTACCCTAACTGTTCAAGTACATGCTAGGTATTCTCCTTTATTAATGAATGGATTTCTGATTTATGCCACTAATTTTTGCTCTTAGTATTCATTCATTTATTCTTCAAATAATGACAAATGAGTATGTGAACAATTCTGTACCAGGGTGATACTTCCTATAACCTGATTTGTGTTATTGGAGCTCAAAGGATATTCTTTGAATAAAATTATTCTAAGTTTCGACATCATAAGTGAAAATATGGTATAAGGACTCTTTCTATAATAAACTTCATGAGACAAGACACCTGCCTTATGTTGAATCCTGCAGTAAAGCAAATAATACTAGAGCAAAGCTCTATGACCTGCAAACACTATTCACTCTTTAATATCACTGCTTTTTATACCAAATTATCCTAGGTGCGTAATTACAAAGATATCTTATTGTAAAAAGTGTTTCTAGGACAATTATAATACATATATCAATTGTAAACTTCATGAATAAACACTGAAATTCATGTCCCTCTTCAGAGGAAATAAATTATTTTGCTTTTTTTTTTTTGGAAAGCAATGAATGAAACATCTTTTTTAAAAAACAATATGAGGCGCATATAATTACCTCAATGTGAAAGTGTGAAAGGCAGCTTTGCAATAAAAACTAATCAACTGGAAATTCTATTTTCAAAGGCAAGATAAAGCATGTCTTTTGGGGGGAGCAAAAGGGTTTCCACATACACTGGCATAATAAAAATGCATGTATACTAATGGGCACTCTAACTAGGAGGTACAATTTGACATAATAGCAAATATGCACAAGGATAGATGGATCATGTTTTTTAAGATAAATTATTTTTATAAATGTATTTAGTTGATTTCAGGAACTTACACTGAGAGTCCACAGTAAGAATAAAAAGATGGATATTCATTCAAAATAAGATCATGTAGAATCCAATCGTTTTTAAACTATATATAATTAAAAATTCAGTAATACACTGATGAATATTTAATCACTTTTTTTTCTGAGAGGGAGGTAGGTCAGTGATTTGTACCATTTACCAGTCTCTTGCGAGCTGATACAAGTTGTCTTCAGCACACCACTGGTTTAAATGTTCTAAGGCCATTCTAAATTATACTGGGCATTATTTCTTGAGGAAACGGCTACACAAAGTATAACTGGTTTCTCCAAGAGCATACTATATGTAACCACTTGTATGTTGCTAAATGATTATTAATATGTTCATTGCAATAAATTGTCAGGTGCTTTGTTAGTCCTAAAAACATATTCCCTCCAAGTAGCATCTCACAGAAAGAAAACTGCTACCTGACATCATGGTATGTGTTGTTCCTTAGTCACTAGACTGTATTGGCCATATATGGTTTAATTAAGCCTTAGGAAATAGCAGAACCAAAATTGCTTTTTATTTTTAGATGATTATTTAATGTAGCACATATTGGTCTTTTTCCCCCTTAAAAAATGGTTTTCTAAGTTTCTAAACAGAACAGTCTAAGTATTGTCTGATACACCCTAATTTAAAAGACGCAATATACAGCATGACTTACTAAAAATAAATTATAAAAAAATGACTGTCAAAGATCTTTGGTTTCATTTGTTTTTTGTCGCAGATGTAATAAAATGAGGTTCCTACTCACCGGGGAGGCTTTCAACATTTCACAGTTTTTCAATGTTTAACCAGCTTGCTCTTTATTGTTTTTCAAGATATGCTTTCACTTTGACAGGTCAAAAATTTCAAAGTGAGTTTTCTAATTAAAAAAAATATATAGGACAAAAAGTCTTGAGAACCGTTTGGTACTGTATCATACATCTTGGACAACTGTACTGTTTTCAACTAAAAGTTGTACTCAGTCAACTGGTAGTTATTTCTAGTTTAATTTTCTCTCAATTTGAGCAGTTTTCTACAGTATGTCGTGTACTAGAATTATTAAAAATATATCATGTGGTTTTCAAATTGATTTTGGAATTCATAAATGATACTTAATGAACAGCAACTTTGTTACAGGAATTCTACAATGGTAAAGGTCATCTTCCCCTTTAAGTCAAAGGAGTGTTTATCCTGTTCAACTCAGAACTCAAAACCTTCAGGCCATAAGCTTTTCAGGGCTCCTATGACTGAACCAGGGCAGAGAATAACAAGTATTGCACTCAAATGAATATAAATAGCTATTTTTAACACACAAAGCCATCATAATTATTTTATGGAGGATAAAACTTAAATACAGCCATATAACGGGTCAGGCAGTGGTCAATTACAGTTTACTTCCTTGTAGGTTTTCTCTTGTAACAACTATCTCTAAGGAATACCAACACATTTTTATATGCAATTATATGTTTAAAAATAAGGACATTTCTGTATATTGTATAAAACTCCTAACTCAGAAACAGCAAGGGCCTGACCCTGCTGGTGAAAAGGGAGCTAATGTTTAGGCCAGTGGGGTTCCCAAAGAGAAAATGGCGTCCTACTGGTAAGTAAAAGTTAAAGCAGCTACAGAAACTCAGCAATTGATTTTCTGCTCACTAGTAGAATCCCTTCTCTCCCTGGGAGTGAATCTATACAGAGTGAAGACTGGAGTGTTCACTTTTTGAGACTATTAAGCCTTTCAGAACCAAGGTGTGCCTTTTAGTGCATGGAAAGAAGTATGGCATCCTGCTGACCTCATAGAGAAATCTGTTTTATGGATGTGTCCAATTCTAATATCTTAGAAACATTCCAGAAAATAGAGGTTTATATGACTACTTTTAAACGGATTTTCCACCTTTACACAGCAAAGCATTAGCTACTGGGAATTTACTGCTTCTGTTTACCCAATCTAAAAGCACAAAGTGGGCAGTAACTGTGCAATTTTCAAGAGAAATTAAAAAATGTACAACTTCAGCCCACAGGGCTAACGTGAAGAAAGGAAAGCTAGAATAAATTCCCATTTTTCCAACACTGACCCCAATTAATGTTCATGGTGATGATGTTTTTGTCTTTTCTCCCAAAGTGGGTTCTTTCACATCAGGAAGTATACCACCTTTTTAATTTGTCTGTACTACAAAACCACCATCAGGGACAATGATATTCAATCATTATCTAGTCTTAATTAGACTACAATCAAAGGACTGACTGTGGATGGTAGGTGTGCCTTTTATTTATATACTTTCCTCAACCTGTTTCGTGACTCTCGTTGAGATCATTATAATTATTAATAAAATAAACTGCATCAATATAAATGAAGTATAACACCCTGCTGATCTCATTGTATCAGCCACATTCTGGAGCTACTAATTCACAAGTCTGGCTGGGGAAATGCTTGTCCACATCCCCTTTTGTCCTAAATAGTTATGTTCTACGTTGTAACACCCAGGTTCCCTATATTAGTGTGATAGGTTTTTTCTGTTTTCTGTTGTCCAGGATGGTCTGATTCCAGGGCTCAAGTGATTCTCCCGCTTTACCCTCCCAAAGTGCTGGGATTACAGCCACCATACCTGGCCTAGAATGACAGATTTTTCAAAAGGCCACAAATTCTTCCATTTCTGTATGCATATCTCTTTTCTTTTCTTTCTTTTCTTTTTTTTTTTTTTTTTAGACAGAGTCTTACTCTGTCGCCCAGGCTAGAGTGCAATGGCATGATCTAGGCTTACTGCAACCTCTGCGTCCTGGGTTAAAGCGATTCTCTCACCTCTGACTCCCAAGTAGCTGGGACTACAGGTGTGCACCACCATATCCGGCTAATTTTTGTATTTTTAGTAGAGATGGAGTTTCACCATATTGGCCAGGGTGGTCTTGAACTCCTGATCTCAAGTGATCCGCCCGCCTTGGCCTCCCAAAGTGCTGGGATTACAGGCGTGAGCCACGGCGCCCAGCCACATGTCTCTTTTCAATGTGTTGTTGCAACTTCTTCTAACATAAGGTAAAATCTATTTCTCTATACCTTGAATCTGAGCTTGCCCATGTAACTTGCTTTGGTCAATGGGACATCGGCAAAAGTAACACAAGGAGAGACATAAAAGGTACTTCTGTATTGTGGATTGCTCTCTCTTGCTGTTTCTGGGACCCCTTTCATCAACATAAGAATGAGCCTAGACTAAGCTCCTTGAGGATAAGAGAACACATAAAAAGAGAAGCTCAGCCATGATACTTGAACTTGCAGACACATAAGTTGACCTCATGTAGAGCAGAGATAAGCCATTCTGAGTCCAGCCCAAATTGACGACCCCACCATACTGTAAGCAAATGAATGATTATTATATAAGTTACTATATTTGGGGTAGATGGTTGCAATGTAGCAAAGACTAAATGATATAGCTAGTTTGGTTTAGTCAGAGGTAAGAACCTGACATAAGGGATGAAAGGCATCGATATACAAGCCAGTGACACATCAGTGGTCTGCCCTCCCAAAACCAGTGATGTTCAGAAATTCCTCTTTTGCATTATGAACAGAGTCACAAAGGGAAGTTTCTAGGCTATGGCGAATAATAGAGCTGGAAGATGACTTACTTTGATTATGATGGTCATAATGTTGCCATTTGTAAGGGGAGAAAAAAGTTTTGTAAAAGAGTTATATAGAGACAAGAAGAAAAAACTACTGAGTACTGAATAAATTATTAACATATTCAGTATTCAGTAGGTTAATATTAAATAATTTGTGAGCACTAAGATTGAGACAGAGAGAGAGAGAGAGAGAGAGAGAGAGCAAGCGAGAGCACACACTTCAGTTCCTAATAAATTTCTTGGTCCCACTTCCACTCTGAATGAGACACATTACACATTTGGTTCCTGTGCAAGAGTTTCCATATATATGATTCTACTAAGGATTCTTAGTCTTTAGGTTGCAAAGAACAAAAACTTGCTAAGGTTTCATCGTATAATGGTGGGGATTGCTCTGTACAATGAAAATAGTCAACTAGGATGAATAATAATTAGATAAGTAAAAGATAAAATTTTTGAAAATGAGAATAAAATGAAAAAATATTTTAGGTATTTTATTATTTTACTTATCCATCTAAAGATCAGTAACTATTTTCAAGTGCAAAATTTCTTTTCCTTCTTTTTTCTTTTTTTTTGAGATAGTTAGGGTCTTGCCGTGATGCCCAGGTTGGACTGCAGTGGTGTGATCATGGCTCACTGCAGCCTTGACCTCCTGTGCCCAAGTGACCCTCCTACCTCAGCCTCCTGAGAAGCTGGGACCACAGACATGGACCAGCACACCCAGCTAGTTTTTTAAATTTTCTACAGAGACAAGAGTCTCCCTGTATCGCACAAGCTGGTTTCAAACTCCTGGGTTTAAGCAATCTTCCTGCCTAAGCCTCTCAAAGTGCTGGGATTACAAGCATGAGCCACCACATGCAGCCTACAAAATTTCTTTGTTTTAAATTAAGTAAAAGCAAAACTTTGTGTGTTTTTGTTTTGTTTTCATTTTATTTTTCCATAAGTTATTGGGGTACAGGTGGCATTTGGTTACAGGAGTAAATTCTTTAGTGGTGATTTGTGAGATTTTGGTGCACCCATCACCTGAGCAGTATACACTGCACCATATTTGTAGCCTTCTATCCCTCACCCCCCTCCCACTCTTTCCCCCAATTATCCCAGCACCATTTGTTGAAAAGGGAGTCCTTTCCCCACTTTATGTTTTTGTTTGCTTTGTTGAAGATCAGTTGGCTGTAAGTATTTGGGTTTACTTCTGGGTTCTCTATTCTGTTCCATTGGTCTATGTACCTATTTTTGTACCAGCACCATGCTGTTTTGGTGACTATGGCATTATAGTATAGTTTGAAATCAGGCAGTGTGATGCCTCCAGATTTGTTCTTTTTGCTTAGCCTTGCTTTGGCTATGCAGGCTCTAAAAACAAAACTTTGGATAAATGTAGTGAATATACTAATAGTTGAACATTACACTGTACAAACCAGAACTAATCTGTAAATTAGTTAATAGTATAAAATCAATGTTCATTTTCTTATTTCAATAATTGTACTATGATTATGTAAGTTAAAATTTGGAGAAGTTATACAAAGGGTACACAGGAACTCTATGTATTATTTTGTGAACTCTTCTAAGTTGAAAATTATTTCAAAATAAAGATGTTAAAAATATATAAAATGCTGAAATAAGAACATTTATCTTACTTTATTTCCCAAATGAAATCATACTGAAATGGCAGAAACTGTATAAGAGAATGAGTCTTTCCATTCTCACACCAAAATAAAATAATAAGGTGCCATCAGCTAACTATGAAATTTGAGGATTTTACGGATATAAGTAAGCACGTGGAATCATTTGCCTGAGGATAAAGTTTTGAGAAAATATCCACCGCAACAGGAAAAGAAGTGTGCAGTATAGGAAAGAGCTATTCTTCCCACCAGATCTTCAAGACTAGCAGACTAGCACCAGTGAGTACAGGGACATAGTTGTGAAGAAGTAATCATGTTAATTCATTCATCAGTGCTTCCCAAACATTTCCACATCCCAGTATACATCAACAATGGTTACATTCATGTGGAACAGTAAAATGACACAATGAGAAGTGTGTTTCAGGTACATTTATCTGATAGAAGTTTGCACAAACATATTCAACAAGGAAGTGTCTGCAGGCAAAAATCAAAGACAATGGTGATTTTGACTTAAGTGCCAGAATTAACTAATTAGAAAATCAAAAGCAATGAGTTGATTTTGGTTACTTAGAGGGAAGGGGATAGGAGACAGGACACAACATAAAGGAGGGGAGATGTTAGGGTAACATGGACATATTCCAGTGAACATGTCTAGTAGGTAGCTGGGCATATTTGTAGGATGGGTTCTTTGAAAGAGAGGCCAGTGAAGGATATGCAGGGTCATTGTTAAAGTTGTAAAAAGTAGATAATAACAGAAGAAAAAAGGTAAGAGGAGGCAAATCAACATTGAAGGAAAATGAGAAAAAAGGAGGATCATGACACAGACATCAGTAGAGAAGAATGTTTTAACTGCAGATACTGCATACATTAATCACATCCAGTGCTGAGCTCTTTACATATTGTTTATTGCCATATTACCAGAAATGAGAAGTCAATAAGGGAGAGAAAATTAGAAGAAACAAGTAATAACTGTAAAATTTATTTACTGCCAATATTTCAACTATTTCCCTTTCTTGCAACTGACAAAAGTCAAACAGCAATAAGCATGTTCTAAATGGTTTCCTTCATTGATTTTCTTCACTGAAATTTGCTCTTTTTTATTTGACAAATATTGGAAAGGCTCTAATTGAATTATAAGTTAGCTGCTTTTATTTTGTTTTGGTAATTGTGTTTCAAATGTCATTCTCCTGAATGCTTGCAAACACAAACAATTTTTAATATGGCTTATCATTTTTCTTGATCTTGAACTAAGAAAACTATTAATGAGGTAGCTCCTCTCTTATGAATGATTGGTTTGAATTCAAACCATTTTGACAAGGAGTGATTGAAAGTAATTACTGGCTCCTTCTGTGCTCAATAGTCTGTGTTTATGTTTTGGTGGCTCCAGGTCAATTCTTGGGGAACAAGTGTCCATATGATTAAAAGTACTACTTCAACTGCAACCAGTTACTGTTTTGAATGGACACTAAACAATCACTGCCATCATTCCATGCAGGTAAGGATGGTTTTCTGTCATTCTGTGAATACATGGAATATCAGGTACTACATGCCTGCCCTGAATTTAAATTAAAATTTCTGTCCCCAGGGTTCTTTTTTTCTCTTATTTTTTAATGACTATTATATCTCTTCGAATAAAATTCAAGTTGTGACCTGCAAAACCCTGGACATATATCATTTAATAGGATTCCATGATCTCTATCTGAAATACCAAATAATTTATAGGTTTTTGATTCACAAAAGTCTTTCGAATATTTCCAAAAATTGATGACAAATGCAGATGTTTTACCACATTCACACACACACACACACACACACACACACACACACGTGTCAAATTGATAAGGTTGAGTCCTATTTTATATTCATATATTTAACGTAGCTGTGCAGGCTTGCAATGGATTCTCAAAAAGTCCTGTCAACAAAATGCCTACATATAGTTCAAAACCAAAAAAAAAAAAAAAAAAAACCAAACAAACAAATAATACAGCCTGGATTTGAAAATACATTGCCTTTGATGTACTATAAAGTATATTCTGAAGCATTTTCTCATTAATTTACTAAAACCATTTCTTCAAATTATCCAAAATATAATATATAAGACTTAACTATATGTCAAGGGAAACATTCTTTATAGTTTTCAATCCAAATAGGGATTTTCATGTGGAGCATTAGTTTTCCTGTGGAGAGTTAATTTTCATTTTCCTGATCCCTGTGTAGAGTAGAAAGTCCTAAAGATTGAAAGTCAAAGGAAAATTGAATAATAGCTTCCAGTTCTTCACTCCCTCATTGTAATAGACTTATACATCCATGCCTTTTGCCACGCAATTTTGAAGTGTTTCCTACTGGAATAGGCAGAGTATATACCTTTAACGCATTAGCTTTGGACTTTACTGTGACTGGCTTTGGACAATGGAATACAGGTAGAAGTGACATTGTGCCTTTAAGAGATATTCCAAGTTTCTGCCAGCTCTCCTGAGGCTTACATCCTTTCCCATGAAAAGAACATGATCTAGACAGCTATTGCTCCTTCAGTATGAATCCTAAAATTTAGATATATGGAACAGATTTGAATCTAACCCAAAACCTAGAATCCAGGATAGTCCAGTAGAGCACAGGTAAGCACAGACAAGATCAATTAAAACCAAGCCAAACTCCAGACCCTTGACCATGAAATAAATGACTGCTATTGCAAACTTTTTAACTTTGGGTTGTTAGTGATGCCACACTATCACTGTAGTCTGCCTAAGCTGCTTGCCTTTCTTCTGGAAATTTTAACAGACCACAGGAGAGGTATATGTGGTAACAGGAAAAAGGGTAATACTATGGCAGGTCCAAACAGTTTAACAAACCCTTCATAAGCACCAACTGTGTACATGGCAAGATTCTTCAGGATCTAGAGATCCAAATCTACTGACTGGGTACAACATCATAAATCAACAGCATCTGGTCATTATTTATAGAAAAATCCACTCAAAGACATCAGAAAACCCATTCTTTTTAAGTTCCCATGGATCATATACCTAGATAGGGGATAAAACAAACCACAATTGATTTAAAATAATTGAAATCATACAAAGTGTTTTCTTTGGCCACAATGGAGTAAAGCTACAAATCAGTAACAAAAAAGATAACAGGAAAATCTCCAAACATTTGGACACCAAACGACTAGTAAATAATCTATAAGCCAAAAAATGTTTCAAGGAATGTAAAAAATGCATTGAAATGAATGAAAATGAAAACACAGTATATCAACATTTATGGGATGTAGCCAAAGCAGTGCTAAGAGAAAATTTTACAGTACTAAATGCTTACTTAGAGAAGAAGAAAAATCTCTAGTCACTATTCTAATCTCCCACCTCAAAAACCTGAAAAAAGAAAAAGCACGATGAACCCAAAGCACACTGCACAGAGGAAACAACAAAGACAAGAGCAGAAATCAATGAAATTCAAAATAGAAAAGCAATAGAGAAAGTTAACGAAGCAATGAACTGGTTCTTTGAAAAGATCAATAACACTGATAAACCTCTAGCAAAACTGACAAAGACAAAAAGAGAAAAGACACAAGTTACCAATACGAAGAATGAAACAGGCACTATTGCTATAGACCCTGTAGACACCAAAAGCACAATAACGGACTAACGTGAACAATTCTACACTTTGTAATTTGGCAACTTAGATAAAATGGATCTATTCTCCAAAATCATGAACTGTGACAACTCACTCAATATGAATTTAATTATTTGAATAGCCCTATAACCATCAAGAAAACTGAATTCATAATTAAAACACTACTCCAAAAAAAGAAATCTCCATGTCCAGATGATTTTGCTGGAAAATTCTATGAAACATTTAAAGAAGAATTAGCATCAATCTTATACTACCTCTTCTCTCCAAAAGAGAAGATGGAATGCCTTCCAATTAATTTTATGAAGCTAGTATTAATCTGACGTCAAACACCCCTCATTGACAGAAACACAAAAATCTTTAACAAAAGATTAACAAGTCATATTGAGTGATATATGAAAGAAGTATACACCAGAGCAAAGTGGAGTTTATTCTTAGGATGGAAGGCTGGTTCAATAATTGAAAATTAGTGTAATCCACCATATTAACAGACTAAAGAAAAATCACATGATTATTATCAATTAATACAGAAAAGAATTTGATAAAATGTAACACCCATTCATGATAAGAATTCTTAGAAGAATAAATATAAAGGGATTAGGGGACACATCTTCAATGTGATAATGAGCATCTATAAAAAACCTACAGCTAAGATGCTATTTAATGGTGAAAGAGCAAATTGTCTGAATGTTTTCCCCCTAAAATCAGGAATAAGACAAAAAAATGTCTGTTCTCACTACTCTTATTCAACATAGTACTGAAAGATCTAGTCTGTGTAATAAGGCAAGAAAACGAAATAAAATATACGTAGCTAGGAAAGGAAGAAATAAAACTGTCCTTATCTGCAGATAAAATGACTGTCCTGTGCTAACAGAGGCTCACATATATTGGACTATCTTAGCTTTCCACTATTTGTATGTACCTCAGTCTCAGTAATAATTATTAACAGCTATGTATTGTAAACTTACCCAAATGATTGAATCTATAATAGAATTATAAAATTTAAAACACTCTGATTTGGAGGTGGAGAGGCATCTCAGCATTTATAAAAAGTCCCACAAATAAAATATTCTCTGTTTATGTAGGAAGTAATAAAAATTAAATAATTTTCTTATTTGATCTTACTTTAAAATTTTGCATTTGTAGAGACAAATTTTAATATATTTATACATGTATTAAAATGTCACTGTGAAATATTCTGCTTGTCGCTTGGAGGAATTTCTGCCCAAATTACATGGTACTAATTGCTGTCACGTAAGATATAAAGAATTGAGAGCAAAAATCTCCAAAAAATTGTAACACACACACATGTACTTTATAAAAATAGACAAACATGAAGGCAATTTTAAATAACACAGTATGATAAAGTAATATCTTTTCTAAAATCTCCTTTAGGACCTATTAGAGTACTCTGTATATTCTCCTTTGTGAACTCTTTATTTTTGACTTTGCCTTCAGTCACTTCATAAAATTTTTATTTCATTCTCAAATAGCTTAAGTCTTCATCACTCAGAACCCAGTAATTTTAGCTATTCCTAGATTGACTCTCTTTCTCAAGTGATTAAAGAAAAGGAAAGGTTTTTGCTCCTCTCCATCACCTCCTGGGTTATGTCTCCTACACAAGTGGGAACAAAAAAAAAGGGCGGGGGAGTATGGGAATTATTATAAGATGTTTATATTCTTTTGTATTTTTTTCTCAGAAGTCCTCAAAACTTTAGCAAATACAATTTAAGCCCTAACTTCTATCTAGGTACTTGAAAATGCAGGCAAAATCACGGTACTTAGTAAAATCAAAGCTGCATTTGCAGCTTTTGCAAAATGTCCCAGTAGCAGAATTCCTAAGAAAATGGTAGAAAGAGGCTCATTTTGTTACTAAAACTAAACAATTTTGAACAAGATTTTTGAAAAGTGATGAAAATTACTATAATATAATCCAAATCAAAGGAGTTATTTTTATTCATCAGTAAGAAAAATCTAAAACATACTATGACTGTGACTTTCCTTCTCCTTCTTCCCCATATCATTTTAATTAGTTTTATCTTTTTTGTTGCCTTGCTTCCAGGGAAGCAAAATGTTTCATGAAAATATATTTAACATAATAACTGCCAGTCCAATGGACTTAATGGAATTTTTAGATGTGTTTGGCTTACCCTGAAAGAATGGTTTATATATTGGTATTATGTAAATATATTTTTCAATCGGAAGTTATGTTTTTTCCCCTAATGGAAGCTCAGGTCAAGAAAATTTCTATAAAAGCATGATCTTTTCCCCATTTCAGAGTACTTTAGATACTAGACTTGAAAAGAAAAAGTGACCATTCCATTAACATAGAAATGTATTAGTACAATTTTTAAAAAACTATTTTTGCAAATTTAGTGAGGCTGGGTCTTCAGAGGTTGAAATACTCTGCTGTCAATAGTGACTTAGGTTAAAGTTTAATACATACAGTCAGAGCCTCAACTTCATCAGCAGGTTTTTTCTTTCGTAAATGTAATAGAGAACCATTGCCAACTTTTTGTAGTATGTCACAAGACACATACCATGTTTGAAAATGGTTTAAATAATTTTGACCTTAGCAATTCTATTAATAAAACCACAAATGCATTCATAAATCAAGCAGTTTAAAAACAACGGCACAAAACCACAATGAGGTACCACTTCGCATTCACTAGGATGGCTACAACAATAATAAAACAAACAAAAAACCCAGAAAACAGGAAGTGCTGATAAGAATGTGGAGAAATTGGAAACTTCAAACACTACAAACATACGGATTGTAGTATTTGAATATAAAATGTCCAACTGTTGGGGGAAACAATTTGGCAGTTCCTCAGGAAGTTAAACAGTTACCTTATGATTTAGCAATTTCACACCTATGTATATACCCAAG
This sequence comes from Homo sapiens, assembly GCF_000001405.40. Lineage (NCBI taxonomy): Eukaryota > Metazoa > Chordata > Mammalia > Primates > Hominidae > Homo > Homo sapiens. The sequence continues at coordinate 29,435,303 of NC_000023.11, read as the reverse complement.
TAAATTTAAAACATGTTCACATTATCAACTTGTACACAAATGTTCATGGGAGCATTATTCATAATAGCCAAAAAGTGGAAATAACAGAAATGTTCATCAATGTGATGAATGTCTAAACAAAATGTGGTACATCCTTACAATGGAATATTATTTAACCATGAAAAGGAATAGAGCGCTGATAAATGCTACAGTACGTATGAACCTTAAAAATACGCTATTGCATAAGCTAGTAACAAAAGATCACCTATTGTATAATTCTGTTTACATGAAATATTCAGAATAGGCAAATCCACAGACAGAAATTGCCAGGAAATAGGGCAGGAGGTAGAAGAGGCAGAATTCAAAGGTGTGGGGTTTATTTTTGGAGTAATGGAAATGTTCTAGAATTAGACAGTGGTAATGGTTGCACAACACTGTGAATATACTAAAATCCACTGAATTGTACACTTTAAAATGGCTAAAATAGTGTATTTTATATTATGTGAAATCTATTTGGATTAAATAATGCTTTTGTGAACCTAAACTATAAATTAAAACAATAATTGATGAGTATTTTTAAGTATACTCTGTAAGGTATAATGAAATACTATCAAACTATATCGATGATTCTCAACAAAAAGTCCCCAAATCTAAAGCATAATTATTGGCCTTCATTTGTTTTACAAATATATATTATTCCACTCAAAATATTAGGAAAATGTTGGCATTTGCAAAGTATTAAGATGTATCAATAACAAATCTCATAAATAACTTTGGAGAAGTGGACAGCAGATTAGATGGCAAAAAACAGTGTGACAACTATGAAAAGAAGTATTACTTCACATGACCAGCACGTTAAAATATTTGGAATGAGCCTAACTGGAACGAGAGCAATGATCATATTAATCTGATGTGTTCACACTCTCCTGAGTTTTCTCCTTGATTTTTACCTTTCCATAAAATCTGTTTTTTTAAAAAATATCTCTTCATGGACTCATTATATTTTTCTCAGCCTAATGACATTTTACAAAAGAGATAAAGATGAAAGAAATCAAATAAATATGTCAGTTCAAAGTCTATAGAGCAGAAGTGATTGAGAAGGGAACTGAGAAGGTTTATAAATTTCAGTATGAAAAGAATACATTAGAATGTTAGAGCTCTTTTTAAATAAAAGAGAATTATTTATGATAAATAAAAACTGGAAATTATTTAATTTTTTAAAAAAATACCTACACATAAAATTAATATAAAATATCTATTTTATATACAAATATTTTCTATAAAGCTTACATGCATTAATGTATCCATAGTTATCATCATCTTTATTTTTATATGAAGTCAGTTCAGAAGAAAGCAAAAATAATTTGTGAAATGAATAGGCACAGAGCCCTATACAGTTCCCAAAGGCACAACTGTAAAATGCATTCATTACTGTACATGATTATTATCTTTTAGGCAATGTAATTAATAAGGACTACAAAGAAAAAAAGTAAAAAAAAATGACAAAAAGTTACAAGATGAGGGAAATCTTTAAATATGCAAATAGCCAATATGCTTACTTAAAAACTCAATGAATTAGTTATCAAATTAAGGATAAAAGAATAAAGAATTAAAACAATAGTGAAGACTTACTTTGTGTCTATAAGTTTGGCAAAGATTAAACAAATTGATAATACCCTATGTTGTAAACAGGCATTCTCATGCAGTATATGAAAGAATGTATATTGGTAAAATCTTTTGGGAAGATAGTTTGGAAATTTTTATAAAAACAAATTAAATGTATGTGCCTCTCTATCCAGAAATTGCATTTTGAAAAATTATTTCTAAAGACAGCACATCAAATGCACAAATGTGATACGACATGATATTCATCAAAGTATTACTTAAAATATAAAAATCGAAGGAAGAATGTATGTCACAGGAAATTGGTTAAATAAATTATATATACTTGAAAGGGATGATGTCTATATTAATATGGAAACATTTCCATATTGTTATTAAAGCACAAAAACAAATTTTAAAAGCACATAAAATATGGTTAGAAAGATCTCTGGAAGGATGTTTGTCTAAAGGCAAACAGTGGTCACCTCTGTGGTACGGGATTTTAAGTGATTTTTACTTTGTGCTTTAAACCATGCATTTTCAAAGAGGCAATATTATCCTAATGGTGCAAAAACTGGTTCTTGGGTGGGAGCAAACAAATCTTAGATACTGTAAGGGTTTATGGCACCCCAAAAGGCAGCAGTACATAAACAGACATACCATGTATTCATGGTATTAAAATCTCATGGGGAGATGAGGCAGGAAAAAATAACTAAAAAAGCTCCTTAGCGGGGCAGTAATGATTTTTAAAAGGTTGAGAAACACTGCTTTAATCTGTGATTTGCAGTGTCTTATTTTCCACATGTACATTTTTGTTTAAACACACACAAAAAACTACTTTCAATTTGAGAAACAAATCTTCATTTTGAGAAAGAAACAGAAGGCTTGCTACTACATTTTAGGAATATTTCCATCATGAATGATAAAAGTAGAAGGAGAAGTATTATGGTTTAAAAGGGTAAGGCAAGTGATGGCAGGTAAATGAGTCATTGCTATATCTTAGAACATTCATTTAAACCCTTTTAAAAAATCTCTCCACTTATCTATTCCTTTACTCTGCACAGTAAACTTGGAGTCTAAATAATGTCATAGAAAAATTGCACAAGGCAGAGTTAAACAGGCAAGAAAGATTTTATTAAAGACTTGCAATAGGTGACACAGACAGAACTCAATTCCACTAGTACAAAAGGTGGGATAATTTTTAAGTATTGGGGTGAGCTAGTGGAAAAGTACTAGAGGACTTTGTGTAGGGAGAGTTGCTCAAAGAGATGAGGCCATATGTGCAGATTGTCACTTATCTATCAAAGTTAGGCTCCTACTGTCCCAAAGAGCCTGAGAGGTAGGGGTACTATCTTGCTTGATGATTACATTTCAAAGGGCTAGCTCCCAGATCTTTGGGAAAGACATTTCTGGGGTGTAAAACTGGCAAGAGACTGAAAGAAGATTTACACCTTAAAGGGGCAGAGAAAGAATTGACCATTCCATATTTTCTAAAGTGAATGCTCTAAGCAAAGGGAGGTCGGAGGCCAATAATCATGAAAGGATCTATCTAAAGTTAGTCAAGCTGAGGGGAACATTAAGGCTTTCTGGTCAATAAGCACATCTGTAAACCGCTTTCATTCATGAGTCACCTAAGTTATGTGGTTTACTAAAATTATTTTTTTATTGTTGTCCTATGGCTAACAATTAATGCAATGTTCCACAGTGAGTCCAAAAGAGATCAGCTAAGTTCTTATTTAATATGAAACAAACTGAGTTGTAAAAGTTTCTAAAATGTTTAAAGAGTAACATAGGATACTGTTAAAACTTGAAATAAAATATTTTAAGCCTTTAAAAATAGCATTATATACACATTTAAGGGGGCTCCTTCTAATTCCCACTAATGATAATTTGCTGTGGTAGTACTTAACATAATATTTCTTATTAGGAAGACTTCACTTTTCCTTTTCTTTTTTCTTCTTTCAAACCCTCTGCTACTTTTTCTAATTAGGATAAATGTAGTAGCAAAAAGGGAATGATGTTGGTAATGGGAAAAAAAATTACAGAGGTTTTGAGAATCTTTAAAATATTTTCTCCTATTTAAGCATTACATTTGTGAATTATAATATTATTAACGCTTTAGACATATACTTAGATAATATGAACCAAAATATCAAGAGAAAAGGAATAATATATTTTCTTGATTACAAGCGGATAATCGAATAAATGTATGCTGATAATTCTGGGCTAGTGTGTTCATCACCAAGCACCTTGTGTGAGGATGAAATACTTATTAACATGCGTACTGCAGCACAAGAAATCTACTAAACAAAAAGTCATTAGCATACCTTGAAGAATCTCAGTGTTCCATGTAGTTCTTAGCTCACTATGACTATTTATTTGCAATATTCTATGTGCTTTTTTATTAGCATGGTCTTCAATCAAAAAAGGAAGATGTGAATGTTTTTAATGTGAATATTTTGAAATGAGAATTACTGAGGTAGAGCACATTCAAGTCAGACTTCATACACTGTAAAATCTGAATACTCACATGCAAAATTGCTGCAAACAGCACTTTGAGTTTTCGGGACAGTTCATTATGGTAGGCTCTGCTGCCTATGTAATCTTGAAGGCAGCAGAAAAACTGCATTGTGTTATATTGTAGACCGCATCATAATTGAGTGCTACTGCTGTGTTTGTGGCTTCCAGAAAAGTTATTAACAGCAAACAGTCTGTCAGATAGTTACAAACATGGATCACGCAGATATTTATTTTAATTTGCTAGAATTCGCACCCTAGTATAATCATTCTATTCTCCTTGGTATTTGGGGGATGTTATCTTTACTATGACATCTATAGCACATCTAACATCTTATTAATAGACAAACCTATACATTTACCAAGAGTTTCTCTTCTGATCTCTTTTTCATGTTAATTATTTTAATTATTTTATTACAAGAAATGAAAATATAGGTTTATATATACATATACACACACGAAATACAAATATATAGATTATAAGTATACATTAGACTTATTTACATATATACACACACACATTTATATATCTATCATGTAATTTATGTAGATACAGACCAAATCAACCTTATATACATAACATACACATACACACACACACACACACACACATATATATATATACACATATATAAAGTGTCATATATTTTACACTGAAATACAGACTAGCCCTATTCCTTATATTGTGCCTTTGAACAATAAAGAAACAGAAAGCCTAACAAAGATTTGTATGTACTAATAGTAGAACCACCCTGTGGTGGAAATCTGAGGACCCATTTTCTCCTATACACAGTCAGAAACACAGTTAAACCTAATGGAGAAGAGGCCTGTCCATTTCATAGAAAAATTATTTTTCGATGAAACATTTTTACCACTCTCTACCTTGGATGCAGTGACTACTCCACAGCACTTGCTCTCCAAGATTCTGTTTACCTGTCGTAGGTGAGACAAGGTATGGGGATATGGGTAGTAAGGGGACCCCAGGAAGTTTGTGTTATTTTTATTTTTCCATTTTTATAGTCCATGCAACTACAAACCTTTGGAATAAAATGACTACACGTTGGGGGAGAGAGAGAGAGACAGACAGAGAGAGACATAAAACAAGATTAAGTCTCTACTTAGATGTTAAAAGACAATTCTTGACTGTATGCAGTGGCTCATGTCTATAATCCCAGCACTTTGGGAGGCTGAGGAGGGAGGACTGCTTGAGGCCAGAAGTCCAAGAGCAGAGCAGCCTGGGCAACAGAGCAAGACCACATCACTATTTAAAAAAAAAAATACACACACACACACACACACACACACACACACCACACACACACACATATATATACACTATAATTATATATATGACAAGTCTTTATGTAAATGAATGACTGATATGAGGTTCATTTCTATTTCTGAGCACCACCTACACAACGAATTTCTGAGCAATGCAACACTGAAGAGGAGTCTAGAGATGTACTTGTGATTCTTTAATAAATAGTCTGATGGGGCCAGAGAGGTGAGATCTGGAGAAAGAAAAAGTAACTCACTGATTACTGAGGAAGAGAATAGGAGTTTATTTTTCTTCATGTCTCTATCCTGGCTCCCTTTGCTTTTCATTTTCTGAAGTGCTACCACTGAAAATATCTCAAGGGTTGACTACTGGGCATGAAAAGAATCCGTGATTAAGGAGGGAACTGAGAGACCACTTCCATTTAGGAGTGAAGACTGAGGCAAAGAGAAGGAAAGAAAAGGTGGAAATACCAAGCTACAGAAGGAGGGAAGGAAGTTAACAAGGTTTTTCTCAAATGGCTATTTGTAAGTACCACTTGTATTCCAAAACTAAATTGTGTTGCCAATTGTGTATTGTTTTCTTAAATTCCTCCAGTAGCTGTTAATTCGGGGCCTAATATAAGTGGGGCTTTGAGGATCCTACTCTCAGGTCTAGTGGAACAGACAGACTGCTACTTACTCTGTAGTATGGGGACAGGGAGCAGCACTGGCATCACTCTGAATCAGAATCTGCATTTTAACAAGATCTCCAGATAATTCCTGTGTGTACTGAAGTTTTGGAAACATTTCTTTAAAGGTATCACTATAAAAGTGTTTGAAACAAATGTGCCCTGACATTATGAAAGGACAAAGGGGGAGTCACTTAATTTGAGGGTTAAGGGAAGAGTTCGCCTTGGAGTTATAAATTAGAATCAAAGAATACATTGGAGTTAATCAAGTGAATGTATATGGTGTGGTTGGATAGTGGTCTTGGCAGAGAGAATATTCCTCAATATACACTAAAGAAAGTTCAATTTTGGGAAGTTAAAGTGTAATAAGGTAAATGGAGACAGATGATGGTAAGGGGTATGAGTGGGGGCTACTGATTGACGGTTTGGTAAACCAACTAAGGATTTGGGAATTTATCCTTTGGGTAATGTGGAGTGAGTCACTGATTGCTTTTAAGCATCTGGTTTCAGAGGGCAGAGAATGGTGTGAAGCAGGTGGCAGCAGAAAAATGCCTTCATCTTTGTCCATGGGACACAATTTCTTCAGGTCTAGGATTGAATAATTTGTATCTTAGTTCTTCTTGTTTCAGGAATACAAAAAAGTCAGTATAGTCTTTACATAGTCTTAGAAAGTTTTTACTCATTTTTTTTTTGTTCCTAAAGTTTTTTTTTAACAAAGCAAATATTAGTAGTAATTTGTGTGATGATAGTTCCAGTCGGCATGGACCTCACAAAGAGGCCACTGCTTGCTCTTTTCTCCTCAACTTCAAGGCAGCAACAGATGAAAGCCATAACAGTATAAAAGTCATAGCGGAACATCTAGATTAATGTCATTTAATGCTTTATATTTAAGATATTTAATATCAGTTTCAATACAATTTTCACACTATCCGGTGCAATCCCTACTGCAAACCTTTAAACTCAGCCTGCCTTATCTGTAAACCACATACTTACTAGAGTATAAATTTGTCACCAACTTCTATGGCTGTTGAAAGCCTTTGTTGAGGTAAATGAGCACTGCCATTGTCATCCAGACACACACCAACCTTGCAGGCTTTAAAACAGCTTGTACTTCAATCTAGATTTGAATTCCTGGGTGGTTGTCTCTGCTCTTAAATACTTGTGACTGAAACTGCCTTTGTGAAATTATTACAGTGAAATAAATCTAACATAGGTGACTCCATTGTGCTTCTAAACTCACAAGCTAACTGCCCTTGCTCATTCCTGGATGTAGGCCCAGATAACTACGGGAGGAATTTAGTTTACAGTTTAAATTTAAAGCAAGGATGATAACAGTCCCTTCCCCTCCTTGTTCAGACTGAAACCACCTTTGTAAAGCTAATGAAAGGCCACAAGCTTAGACTTATGGGAGGAGCATGAATTCTGCTAAGATGCAAGCATAGTTAAACAATAACCTACCCTTGGTCCCAAGCTTGTTTTCTATAATTACTTACTGCTCAGGAGTCAAGTGGCCAGAGGTCACAAGATTTATAACTTCTCCAGTTGCTTCCCAAGACTGGTCTTGGATATAATTTTCAGACATTTTTGCATCCTGGCAGACAAACTGATGCCACCTGAACCTGGGACCCATACCAAGGAACTGACTTGACTGGTCCTGTGATGACCTCAAACCAGAAACTGACTCAGTGCACAAAGACAGTTTCAACATCCCTATGGTTTGATTCCCAGCCAATCAGTAGCACCTACTCCCTAGCTCCCTGTCCATCAAATTATCATTAAAAACCCTAGTTTCTGAGTTCTTGTGGAGGTCGATTTGAGAAATGCATACTATCCTTCAGCTCAGCTGCTTTGTGAGAATTAAACTCATCCTCTACTGCAACACTGCTGTCTCAGTGTATTGGCTTTACTGTGCAGTAGGCAAGAAGAACCAATAGGGTTTGTCACACCTCTGGGCTGTCCATACTTAGTAGTGATAGGGAACCATCTTTGTTTTTTTACTTCAGTCTTATGCCTGTTACTTCTTTACTGATTTGTTTGATCTCTGGTTCATACACCTTGACTCAGATATTTCAGACAGGAACACTTAAGCTCAGCTGAAGCTCCCTGGAACCTAACAACCATACGGGGCAAATAAGTCAAGACAATGTTAACACCCCCATGTTCCACACAAATGAGAAATAATAGAAAATGTTCTTAATATTTTGGTGATCCAGATTCCTTATACCAGGGAAATAATATGCAAATCTTTTTTTTTTTTTTTTAAAAAGGTTTTTAAAATCCAATTATCAAAACTGCCATTCTGTGGTCTCAAATAAAATGCAAATTTTATTTTAGAGACTAAGAAGTATAATGGGAGGCACAAAAGAGATTTCCAAATTTATGATTAAAAGAAACTTACATGTAAATTTAATTAAGAGCAAACTAATACTCCTAATTTTCTGTAGTTTTTGTTTAGCATACAAAATCATAATGACATTTTGAGTACGGCTATTCACTTGAGAAAGAGAGTATGATTTCATTGTCATCATAATCATCAATCGTCATAGCTAACACTTATAAAATAGTAGCTCTGTATACCTTTAAAATAGTTTACATGTATTAATTTATTTAATCTTCACAATAATCCTCTAAGGAAGTTCTGATTGCCTTTACATTTCAGATGAAGAAACTAAGTCAACGGGTAGTTAAATATTGTTCCCAACATTACACGTATTAGGTAGCACAGCTGCCCTTGAGTAGTCTTGAAAATGTGAGTAATTGATTCCAAGTAGAATGGCTTAGAGGACTTTTAAAGTCAGAGAGGTCTGAGTTCAAAACTTGGCTCAAGGCCTAAAGTACAACTGCTTGGTCAAAGAGATTAACTTCTCAGAACTGTAATTGGTTCGTTTGTAAAATAGAAACCATATCTTCTACTAATAGGTTCCTGGGAGGATGAAAAAGGATGTGAAAGTGCCTACCATCAGTTCAGGGACACAGGATGGCCTCAGTAAAGGTTAATTGCTTTTATTATTATATTACATTTCTAATAACATCTCTGTTGGTTAGAGCAATCAGGGTTTCTTCCCAAAATATGATTTATAGAAGATGAATTTAGTTCAATTATTTACATTTCAAAGTTATAAATATTTTCAATAAAATTTAGAACCATGTACTATGTATTCCTGGGCTCACTGGACTGAGTGTATTGAATCATAAGATAATTATTAGGAAAAACAATGATAGCTGTGATTTATAGAAGTAAATGCAAATGTATCTGGCAAAGGGAAAAGGGAAGGAGAGTTGAATGTGTGTTGGATTCAGCAACTGTCCTCAACTCTGGAGGGCTAAACTGTACTAGTTGAGATGTCTTCAGGGTAGCTCAGGGTTGCTCTTAAAAGCTAATCCAGGCCAGGCACGGTGGTTCATGCCTATAATCCCAGTACTTTGGGAGGCTGAGGCGAGTGGATCACTTGAGCCCAGGAGTTCGAGATTAGCCTGGGCAACATGGTAAAACCCTGTCTCTACAAAAAAAAAATAGCTGATTGTGGTGGTGTGCAACTGTAGTCCCAGCTACTTGGGATGCTGAGGTGGGCGGATTGCTTGAGCCCAGGAGGCGGAGGTAGCAGTGAGCCGTAATCATGCCACTGCACTCCAGCCTGGGCGACAGAACCAGACCCTGTCTCAAAATAATAATAATACTTTTTTTTAAAAAAGCTAATCCAGCAGGCATTTTCCAAATCCCCCAAAAACTTCACAGACCTGTGATAGTCTCATTGACAGAGATATGAACCAGAGAAACCTGGGCCTACAAAGATAACAGTGTTAAATTTAACCCTAATCTCCACCCCATCCTCATTCTCAAAAAAAACAGAAAGCAGACAAACAGTGGGCCCTTCTGTCTTGACTAGCTCCATTGTTTTGTTCCCTGCCCTCAGAACCTTTCCTGTTATCGCCACTCTGCTTTGTCAAGCTCCATTGGCTGCTGTTGTTTCTTGTGCACCATATCCAAACTTGGACTTTCTGTTTTTCTAAGTTCTTCTATGTCCAGCTGCTTCTCTTATGTGTATGTGTTGGAGTCCATTATTTTGGAATGTGAAAAATGGATGCATGTCTTCTTGCTCTTGTCCAAGCAGTTTTATTCCATTCCCTTTGGTATAAAGGGAAAGTCTGAAGTCATGAAAAGAGGCTAAAATGGCTCTGTCAGGCTTACAGTGGCTTCATAAGTTGGAGTCCCTGTTGTACTTCTTACTAGGAGTATCATCAAGTGACTTAAACTCTGAGGGATTCAGATTCTTTGTCTGTAAAATGGGGAGGATAATTGTAACTGTATCATCAGATGACTGTGAAGATTAAATGAACTGATAGTTTTTAACTTTAGAAAAGGAACTGGCAGTTCAAAAAGGGTAACCATCACCATTTATTAGTGCGTTCCTTCATAATGTCAACATCCCAGCTAAACGAAACCTTCCCATGAATATCTCTTTCTTTAAGAAGTCCTAACTGAGTTTTCCTCCCATACCCAAGACAATGTTGAACTTTACCCAAGACCAATGATCTTGGAAAACAGTGAAGTTTAATAAATCCCCACATCCTTTTGTGTTTTGGGAAATGGCTTACTGCACAGAACCACCCTGCTTCACAGTTGTTCCCCTGGCTTGCCTATGACAGGGCCATACAAAAAGACTCAAAATTCCCACTCTTTGCCTCATAGATAATTATGAACTGTTTTGCCCCAAGTGATCAATCAGAATATAATGCTTCTTAAAGAAAGACGGTTAACATTCTGTCCTTCCTCTAGATCCCTGAGCTTTGCACCACCTTAGCCTGAGGCAACATACAATCCCTCTTAATAGCCCCCTTCCAGAGACTATACTGGCTTTAGGATTAAATATTCTGGGGTCCACTGTCACATCTTGCCACTCCTTTTCATCCCACTTCCCTACATCTGCTTTTTTTTTTTTTCTTTCCAGCCTTGTTTACTCTTCCCTATGAAAGAAAAATCCTTTTGCCTAACTTTGAAAGGCTTGTAGATCTTATAGTTAGAGTAGCTTCCCAATTGCAATAGTCTCCCCACCTTACAAAGTCTGGATTTTTATTTTTAATTTGACATTCCCAGTCCAGATTTCACTCTCTTTCAAGGACAAATTCAAATTCCACTTGGGCAGGAAACTTTTCATGATCATCTCAGAATTCCCACCACCCTTTATGATCATTCATCTCATACCACTTTTCATCTTGCACCCTATTGTGTGCATAATTTACCTCTTCTGCTCAATAATATCTGCTCGAAGAGGTCTCTGCCTGATTCATCCTTTGATTTTTCACACTGTCCAGGACAGCACATCAATAAGAACTCAGTCAATTTTTGTAAAGGGAATGAAGAATGAATTTAGTACATCTACACTGTCTATCAAATTGAAGTACAGGGTAAAATGCAGTCAACAAATAGTACACTCTAAACTAGTATGTCATCTATGAGCCAGTTTAAATTAGATAGTATATGCAAGGTGCTTAGAGTGGTGCATATAGTAGACATTCAATAAATGCTAGTAATCATCATCATGATTAACATCATCAAATTCTCATCTGCCTTAAAGAGATGCTCATGTAATTGAGAATACCCAACTTATATAATCATTATGACTGAAACTAACCAGGGAATATTAATTGAATTGTTTTTATCTATCTTATAAAATTTAAGTTATAATTTTACCATGGTTTGAATCACAGTAATAAAATTTGACTGTGACAAACTATTCTGGCGTTGACACCAGAATAGATGTATCGCTAACCTATATTGTTTTCAGTTGTAAACCAAAAAGTATCTGAGACAAGTCTCAATCAATTTAGAAGTTTCTTTTGCCAAGGTTGAGGACATGTCCATGACACAACCTCAGGACATCCTGACAATACATGCCCAAGGTGGTTGGGCTACAGCTTGGCTTTATACGTTTTAGGGAGACAAAAGACATAAATCGATAAATGGAAAATGTACTTTGGTTTGGTCCAGAAAGGCAGGACAACTTGAAGCCATTGTGTGTGTGTTGTGGGGGTGCTTCCAGGTAGTAGGTGGATTCAAAGATTCTGTGATTAGCAATTGGTGGAAAGAATTTATCTAAGACTTGGAATCAATAGAAGGAATGTCTGGGTTAAGATAAGGGATTATAGAGACCCAAATTCTTATTATGCAGATGAAGCCTCCAGGTAGCAGGCTTTAGAGGGAATCAGTTGTAAATGTTTCTTATCAGGCTTAAAGAGTCTAGTTCTGTCAGTCTTCAGGTCTCTGTTTTAATGCTAATGCTGGTTAGCCTAAATATCAAAGGGAGGAAAGTATAATGAGGCATATCCAACCATCCATTTCATCAAGGCCTGAACTAATATTTCAGGTTTCCTTTATAATGCTCTTGGCCGAAAGGAGGGGTCCATTCTGTTGGTTGTGGGGCTTAGACTTTTATTTTTGGTTTACATAGGTTTTTCATCTTGTAGTTGTTTTAATGCAACAGAGGGAGGAAACTAGCATTTACAGAGAGTTTATTACAGGCTAGGTAATGTACCAGGTGCCTAAATATAATTTAACTCTCATTACCATTTTATATAAATGAAAGAAATTAACTCTAAAAGTCAACTTGCCCTTGGCATTTTAGAAAAAGAAAAAAATATCATTTAGATTGCAACCCAGGCATCATTAGCTTTCAGAGATTTGCTCTTTAAAGAATAGCTTTCTGCCTTACCTAACACTATGAAGAGATATACCATTTGGGAAATCTGCTAAAATCAGAATAGTGTAAACTTTTAAACACTTTACTGTATTAGAAACTTTCAGCCTTGAAAGGAACTGTAGGGTTCTGTAGCCTATGATGGGGTTCAAAAACCGATACCCCAAATATGGCACTTTAACATGCTGAACTGAAAAAGCAGTCTCATAGCCTCTCTGATTCCCTCCCTCTCCCCGCCCGCAAATGACTCTCTCAAGCCAGGAGGAAGCTGTTCTTTGAAGTTCTTTTATATGTCTAAAGTCCAAACTCACCAAAAAGGATAACTGTTGTTTCTTCCCCTCTGTGGAAGACTAACCTGTCTCTCAGGCTCATTCAAATTCCAAAGAGAACTATTTACAACTTAATTAATCTCTGCTCCCAGATGGGTTCTGTTCTCCCTAAGGATCCTTTATTGTCCCTCACCAAAATTCCTCTTCTCTCCACTCCCATAACCTGTTTGACCAGGATGGCATATAAGCTTCTGAACTCCACTGGCAAGATGGGTAACCACCCTGGTTCTCCTCATGCACACGTTAATAAATGTATATGTCTTTTTTCCAATTAATCTGCTTTCTGTGAGTTGATTTTTCAGGGTATCTTCAGAGGGTGAAGGCGAAGTCTTTACCTTGCCTCCCAAACATACAAGTAAGAATTAAAATATTTGCCTAAGTCCTGTACCAGGCTGCAAACAGGACTATAACTGAAGTCACACCACTCGAATTCAGACTCTTTTCTATGGCACTGGCTTACGTGATTTATAAAATCCATTCTGTATCATTTTTGGGGAATTTGAGTTGTTTCTCATATTGTACTATTATGGATAATACTACATTAAAGGACAGCTTAATGAGTTGCTTCTCCATCTTACACACTAATGCTTAGAAAATATGCCCTTCCCAGACCAGAGATTTTTTTTTTCTCTCTCTCTCTTATGGCTTAGTCTCTTTCCCTTCTGCCTTCTTTGCCAGATTTTTTTTTCTGTTACTCTCTTATTTTTCCTGTGTATGTTTTTTGCTAGCATCAGTCTTCTAAGTGAGACAGCCAAGTAATAAAGGAGAAAGGGGTTCTTGGAGAACCTACAACTGGCCTGCAAACTGGGAGAACAGGGGTGGGGGTATGTGTGGGAGTGTGGAGATGAGGGAAGTTCATGCCCTTTGCAGCGGGGAGGAGCCTGGCCTCTCCTGTTCTGGGGTGGTAACCCTGGGATTCGTTTGGTGAGGTGGAGAGCCCCTTAGCAGGACCCCATCTCACTTTGCTGTGTTGTTTTTCCTTTTTCCTTTTTGCCCAATAAATTCCATTTTTCCCACCCTTCTACTGTGTCTAGGAACCTAATCTTTCCTGGTCATGTGACAAGAACCTGGTTTCTAGCTGAACTAAGGAAAAAGTCCTACAACACAAGTTTCCTTAATGTTCTAATTTATGTTTTTCACATTGTGAATCTTTTTGAAGCTTTTGACTTTAAAACATTTTCCTGTGTTTTATGAATGAATTACCAGAGCTGTGCATGCTTTTAAAAACACTTCAATTGACCCTATATAAAGAATAAATTTTGTGCTGACTTAAGAAGAAAACCCTATCATCAGAATTATTTTGAAGAGAGAACAGTTGTTATGGCTCATTAGGATTATTACCTACTAATTCAAGAACAATGAATATACAAAGACTTTCAAGTAAAATAGTTATATTTTAAATTATTTTTATAAATATGCTGAAAGCTCTCAAATAATTACTAAGAAGTTTGTGATAAAGACTAAAATCACATTTAGCTATCTACAATAGCATATATTTCTAAAATACATTCCCAACTCAGCTTTTGCTTATTAAACATTTCAAAAGTACTTATTAATCATCTTTTCTCTCTATGCTAAATAATGCTGAAGACAAAGTCGTGGCTCGAGGGCCTTACAGGCTAGTGTGAAAGAGTAGGAATATATCCAATTGGCCAAATCACTGTGGAGGGGAAAGAAAAAAGTGTCAAAAAGCAAACTGACCACTAAGGAAAATGGGACTGTCCAGATCTAGGAGAGAGGACTGAAGGTTGACCAGAAGAGATGGGTTTTTGATTTGGCTGTTGAAAAATGTATAGACTGAACATTCAGAGATCTGGTAAGTGCATAGCAGATGGAGAAACCGTGTAGAAAGAAGCATTCAAACAGGAAAGTGGCAGCTGTGTAGCTTAGCAGTTTCAGTTCTAGACCATTTGTGACTTTACAATAAATTTCTCTTTTATTCAAATGACTTTGCATTGGTAAAACTTGCCTAACACTGCTATTTAGGGTAAGGCTTTCTGCCATTCAAGTAAACCTCACCATTTCAGTGATTTAATTTAACTGAGACTCATTTTTCACTCCTGAAGTCATTCAATGACAGTCTTTCTGGTCAGTGACCAAATTCCCCCCATTATGTGATTTAGAGACCTGGGCACCTTCCATCTGTTAAAACCTTGCCATTGTCTGCATCCAGTAATTGATGGAGAAAGAAAGACAGGGAAAAAGCATATCTACTTCGTCATTACATTGGCTCAGAAATGACATTCCTTCCCTTATACTCATTGATAAGAACTAGTCACATGGTTCCACCTAGAAGCAAGAGGGGCTGGGAAATTGAATTTCTGGCTGAGCAGCTGCTCCACAGCAACAGCTCTATACTAACCAACAAGAGTCTCCTCTGCCACACCCACCCACTAGAAACTATTTCCAAAGTACAGAAATACATATAAAAAAAATCTTAAACTCCTATTGAAGGTACATTTGGTATGTTTACATGACAGAGCAACAGCTGCACTGAAGTGGAAGATTTAACCACTACTAACTGAGCATTGTTGAAATACTCTGTAATTATGCTCTAGAACTCTGAATGTTATGAACAAACAAAAAAAGCACACATTTTAAAAATTATCTGAGTAGGCCGGGCACGGTGGCTCATGCCTGTAATCCCAGCATTTTGGGAGGCCGAGGCAGGTGAATCACCTGAGGTCAGGAGTTCAAGACCAGCTTGGCCAACATGGTGAAACGCCATCTCTACTAAAAATACAAAAATCAGCCAGGCCTGGTGGTGGGCACCTGTAATCCCAGCTACTTGGGAGGCTGAGACTGGAGAATCACTTGAACCTGGGAGGCAGAGGTTGCAGTGAGCCGAGATCATGCCATTGCACTCCAGCCTGGGTGATAAGAGCGAAACTCTGGCTCAAAAAAAAAAAAATTATCTGAGTAATTTTCCTGGAATTAATGACTAGAGATTATTTGAATGAGAAGAAGTATATGTCATTACGTATATGTAATTAATTATTTTGTCTTACTTCCTACATATTTCTTTTCTGCAAACTAACTGCCTGGCCTTTGTTTCAGTCCTTCATCCGCCATCCAGAAGAGTGCATCTCAAACTATCTGGGTTAAAGATCTACTTCACTGTATTATTTCCAATCTTCATTTTGAACAGCACCAGAAGTAGCTATAACTTCTTAACTTCATCATAAACAACAAATACAGATCTTTAAAGAACACATTCATTTATACAATTAGATTTTATAAATAGCTTGCGAAAGTATAAAATTATTGCTCTGAGTGTAATTTTATTTCTTACTAAATGTTTATCAAACGACAATGTTGAAAAAATGACACATGAAAAGGCAGGTCAACACTATTGGGTTTATTTAACTCAAAGACAAATTAGATTAACATAAAATGATCTGATTATATACCCCAAATGGAAAACATCATCCAAACTACTTCATTGTATTTGTATTCACCTTTTGTTTTAATTTAATTTTAGCAATGTCATAACCAACTAATGAATAGTAAATAGCTTACTACCTATTTGCTGCCCCCATAATATATTGTTTTAATATTAATGGTTATTTTTCATATATCTTCTACTTCACTTCCTTCATGTTTGGTGCTGATAACTATTATTGACTTATTATTCTGAAAGAGTTATATCATTAACTAGCTCAATTACGCCATAGCAACAATATCTAATTGGAAAAATTCTGTTTTCAGGTTACATTTTGAGTAGTGGACTTATAAAAGTTGATACACAGAAACATGATACATTGATAACCAAGTTTGCTTTTAAAGGTTTAAAATATATTTTATTTTTTTGGCCGGGCGCAGTGGCTCACGCCTGTAATCCCAGCACTTTGGGAGGCTGAGGTGGGCAGATCAGGAGGTCAGGAGTTTGAGTCCAGCCTGACCAACATGGTGAAACCCCATCTCTACTAAAAAAATACAAAAATTAGTGGGGCGTGGTGGCGTGGGCCTGTAATCCCAGCTACTCAGGAGGCTGAAGCAGAAGAATCGCTTGAAACCTGGGAGGCAGAGGTTGCAGTGAGCCGAGATCATGCCACTGCACTCCAGCCTGGGCGACAGAGCAAGACTCCATCTCAAAAAAAAAAAAAAAAATATATATATATATATATATATATATATATATATATTACTTTTTTAAAAAGAACACGTTTCTCTGTGCTTCTCTCATCCTTAAATTGACAGCACAAGCCTCAATTTTAAAATAAAAGCTCAGTGTGTGCTTTATAATCATAGGTAAAATTTTGAAAACCAAAATATTTAAGTAAATATTAGAAATTAGAAGACTCTGAGGGTGGGTAATAGAAATAGTAGCATTTAAATTCATGTGTAGAGTATGCTTCAAGATTTGGTGAATAAAGCAAATATGTTCTTCAAATGATGGCAGTATGTAAACAGAACATAATTATCTAATGGAACTTTAACAATAAGTACTCATTAAAGGTTCCAAAATTTCTATCATTACCATCAGAAGACAGTAGTGACTATATACAGCATTTCTGTTTTAAAAATAATATTCACAAAAGTTGTATTTTTTTCTTCCCTGAGAAACATATTGCAATTATCACTTGAGACATTGTCCACGATATTTGTAAACAATCTTTGATGCCATTTATATACCAGAATTCCTGGTGGATATGTTGGAGTGGAACCCGATGATCAACCCAACAAATGATAAAGAAATATACAGTAAGGTCTTCTAATTAAGGCACAGAGTAAGCTACTTCTTTACATCTTACATAGAATTCATAATGTCTTTAATTTGCATATTCATATTGAACTGCCCATTTACAGTTCATTGGATTTTTAGGTCCTCCAGATGGAACAAGAGATGCTAATATAATGACTAAAAGACTTGGTCAAGCATTTTAAGAAATGAAAACATTAAATCTCTTATGATGCAAAAGTTATATATTTTGACATGAAAAAAACCAACTCCATTTTCATGCAGTTTTCTCAAAAATAGTTTTTAGAAATTCTTCTAAATATATGTTACAAAATATCTACATCAATTGCAAGTTAAGAGTTACCTCTTGGTTTTATCATCAAGAAAGAGCCTTCAATATTGTGATAAAGGCAAGGGAAAACTAACCCTGGGATATAATTAGTGGACCTTTTCATAGTGTAAGAGTAATAGAAGCTCTTTAAAATAGTTTGAACAGTTTAAAAATAGCATTCATTATTTTAAATTCCTTTATGTAATTATTAAACTGTCATATCAAAACCTAATGTTTTGATTTTTTAAATTGCTCCCTATTTTTTAAACTACAAAATATTAGGAAAAATGAACCATAAAAATTTTAACATAATAAAAAAATTACTAGAGTCTCAGTGACCTTCCTCCAATTTGTCTATGCCTGAACATGCCTCAAATGGGTTTCTGTCATATTTTTAAAACCTCCAAAGAATACAGCACCAAAAGTCTTCCCTATTATTGAGCAGTGTTTTTTGTTTGTTTGTTTTTTCCAGGAACTATCCTTAAATGCTAAAATCACAGAGCAATAAATTTAATCAATATTTTTTAAAAAACAATTTGTAAATCCTCATGAAACTCATTACCTGCTGGATTTTTAATGTAGTCACCCTTTGCTGCTCTTCCATTATTCTGAACACTTCCAGTACTTAACATCTTATTATGGCACATCATTGAGGTTTTCGTTGTTGTTTGTTTGTTTGTTTGTTTTGAGACGGAGTCTAACTCTGTCGCCCAGGCTGGAGTGCAGTGGCGCGATTTTGGCTCACTGCAACCTCTGCCCCCCCAAGTTCAAGTGATTCTCATGCCTCGGCTTCCCGAGTAGCTGGGACTACAGGTGTGTGCCACCACACCCAGCTAATTTTTGTATTTTTAGTAGAAACAAGGTGTCACCATGTCTCGAACTCCTGATCTCAGGTGATCTGCCTGCCTCGGCCTCCCAAAGTGCTAGGATTACAGTCGTGAGTGAGCCAATGCGCCCAGCCCAGAGTTTTTTAAAATCCAAATAATAGTAATATTCTCAGTTCCTTTAACCTTTCCTATTTTGTAAACCTCTAGTTATTAGTGTACCATTATCCACATTTCTACCTAAGTTCTCACTGTTCCTGGTAATCTGGTGTCTAGGAAAGAAGAAAAACAAATCTGAGACCCCATTAAGTATAATACACAAAGTGAGTATAATAAGAAATTAGCTTGTGGTTTTATTTTTTTTCTTAATCTTGCATACATTAAGCTGTCAGAGTTTAGTTTGTTAACAAAAACTCCCATATTGAAGGAGTAGCATGGTTATACTGCTATTGCAGTGACTCAATTGTTGATTCTATGCACTGTTGTTCATTTTGAAAAATAACATAATAGAAATTTATTCAAATTAATAATGGGATGATACAACATCATTAAGTCTAATGGGAACCTACTGCTTAAACAAATCAACTTGGTTTTATTTATACCAAGTAACAAATTTCTTGCCACTAAGTGGCAAAAATAAAATTAAAACTATAAGAGCTGTATATATAAAATTGGTTTAATGGCTGGGCGCGGTGGTTCACGCCTGTAATCCCAGCACTTTGGGAGGCCAAAGTGGGTGGATCACAACGTCAGGAGTTCAAGACCGTCCTGACTAAAACGGTGAAACCCCACCTCTACTAAAAATACAAAAAATTAGCCGGGCGTGGTGGCACGCGCCTGTAATCCCAGCTACTTGGGAGGCTGAGGCAGGAGAATCACTTGAACCCGGGAGGCAGAGGTTGCAGTGAGCCGAGATTGCACCACTGCACTCCAGCCTGGGCAACAGAGCGAGACTCTGTCTCAAAAAAGAAAAAAAAAAACAAAATGGTTAATAATTCTCTATCCAATGAAAATACATATTTATAGATATATATTATATAGATCTATGTATACACACATTCACGTGCATGTAGATATAGGCATCATCACACTGAGACATCTAATTCACTTATTAAACCATAAAGAAATGTATCTCACTCAATATCACATAAGTTTTAAACAGTTTTTAGTGGTGACACTAGATGCTAAGTTTAGTCTTCATATTTTAACGAGTTTGCATGGAATAATGAACTAAATGCTTTTAGCTCTGAGGTTACAGTCATCTTTATTAATGGTACCTAGAGACTTAATTGTCATAAAATATGTTGGAATCTTTCTTCAAGATTCTAGATCCTTATTATGTTATATTTTACTCTTAAAACTTTTACTTTTAGATGTGTAGTCATCTAACCTCACCAGAAATACATCCTCCTAGAGTACATTTTCAATCTTTGATTTGATGAGACTGAGAAGATAAAGTTGAACAATAGAAGTTTCTTTAGCTTATCTTGCTAATCTTTCCACACCAGAGACTCTGTATTGAAACAGGTGCAATATTGAGTTTTCAGTCAATTTTGCTGATGTCAAAACTAAAAGCAGTTAATATAAAGTGCCGACATAATGGTTTGAGCTTCAAAAGTTTTACAGAAAAATCAATACCTGTCAAAGTAGAGAGCCAACATGAAGTAGAGAAAAGATGATCTTTAAAAAAAAATCTTTGATATGATATTTTTCTTTTTTGAGTGAGAGTCTCATTACCATAGCCTGGACCTCTTGGGCTCAGGCGATTCTCCCACCTCAGCCTCCTGAGTAGCAGGAACTACAGACATGCACCACCATGCCCAGCTAATTCTTTGTATTTTTTTGTAGAGATAGGGTTTCCCCATGTTGCCCAGGCTGGTCTTAAACTCCTGGGCTCAAGTGGTCCTCTCGTCTCAGCCTCCCAAAGTGATGGGTTTACAGGGGCAAGCCACCACACTTGGCAAATAATTTTAAAAATATGCTCCAAACTATTAAGAACAGCCATTTATTTTCAAATGAATCTTTTTTTGTGTGGTAAGATATATAAGATAAAAGTTACCATTTTAACTAATTTTAAGTGTACAATTAAATGGCATTAAATACATTCAAAATGTTGTGCTACCATCACCTTTATCCATCTCTTGAACTTTTTTTTATCATCCCAAACTGAATCTCTGCTAACTACTGAACAATAACTTCCCATTCCCCTGTTCCCCAACCTTTAATAATCTCTACTCTATTTTCTGTCTCTATGAATTTGCCTATTCTAGGTACCTCATATGAGAGGAATCATGATCAAATGGGTCTTTGGAATGTTAACCACAAAAAATAAATCAGTTTTGTAAAATAGAAAATAATATTATTGCAAAAAAAAGTATAGAAAAATGTTCCCCTGATTTCTTAGATGCAAATAAGTGACTGTAATAGTCAATAAGACATATATTAATATAGGGGCACACACACACATATATATACACATACATACGTATGTATGCATTTGTATACATATAAATATATATAATCATATCAAAGGTAGAAATGCACATATTCATTATTTACCCCAGTTAAAGACATTGAAATTCATTTGTTAGTAGCTTGCACACAAATAAGATATTCTGAATTTTCTCCACACATATAAACCATTACTTAATGGTCAATGAATGTTAGTCAATAATTGTATTGATGATAATCAGTGACATTTGACGGAATAGATTAATATTATAAATATTATAGGGACATGGATGAAGCTGGAAACCATCATTCTCAGCAAACTATCACAAGGACAAAAAACCAAACACCGCATGTTCTCACTCATAGGTGGGAACTGAACAACGAGAACACATGGACACAGGAAGGGGAACATCACACACCGGGGCCTGTTGTGGGGTGGGGGTAGGGGGGAGGGATAGCATTAGGAGATATACCTAATGTTAAATGACGAGTTAATGGGTGCAGCACACCAACATGGCACATGTATACATATGTAACAAACCTGCACGTTGTGCACATGTACCCTAAAACTTAAAGTATAATAATAAAAAAAAGATTATAAATATTAAAATTACATTAACTGAAACAAACCACGTGTATTAGTCTGTTCTCACGCTGCTAATAAATACCTGAGACTGGGTAATTTATAAAGGAAAGCGGTTTAATGGACTCACAGTTCCACATGGCTGGGAAATCATGGCAGAAGATGAAGGAAGAGCAAAGCGGTGCCTTACATGGCAGCAGGCAAGAGAGCGTGTGCAGGGGAACTCCCTTTTTCTAAACCTATCAGATCTCGTGAGACTTACTCACTATCACCAGAACAGCATGGCAAAGACCCGCCCCCATGACTCAATTACCTCTAACGGGGTCCCTCCCACAAGATGTGGGAATTATGGGAGCTACAATTTAAGATGAAATTTGGGTGAGGACATAGCCAAACCATATCACCAAGGTAAAGATTCAAAAATCAAACCAAATCATGGCAGTAGCCACTTCCATTTGTATATTCCTTCACAGTCCGGTTTGATGCATCTGCGCTAATTTACCCCTCACCAAAGCACTGTGAGTGATGACTATTCACAGTCTCAACACTAAGACAACATTTAATGAAGACAGATAACTTAGTTAAGGTCACTGAGCCCAGGCATGGCAGCTCCACCAATGGAACTAAGACAACCCTTAGATGCTTGGTCTTGTGTGTTTCCCTTACACTTCTCCAGGCTGATACCACACTTCACTTTCAAGAGTAGCTCTGTGCAACAGAAATATAAGCCGAACTACATATACAATTAAAAATTTTCTAGCAGCTACATTTAAAAAAGTGAAAAGAGGTAAAATCAATTTTGTAGTATATCTTATTTAACTAAATATTATCACTTCAACATGATATCAATATAAAAAAATTACTAAAGAGATATTTTGCATTATTTTTGTCAAACTAAGTCTTTAAAATCCAGCACATATTTTACATTTGAAATATTTAGCACATATTTTACATTTAAAATATCTCAATCCAGTCTAGCCAAATTTCAGTTGCTCAGTGGACACATGGTGCTTGTGGCTATTATATTGGACAGCCCAGTTGTTGATATTTTTTTTCTCTAACTAACTAAAACAAGAATTTTTTTTTTCTTTTTTTTTGATGGAGTCTTGTTCTGTTGCCCAGGCTGAAGCACAGTGGTTTGATCTCGGCTCACTGCAACTTCTGCCTCCTGAGTTCAAGCAATTCTCCTGCCTCAGCCTCCTGAGTAGCTGGGACTACAGGCGCGGACCACCACGCCTGGCTAACTTTTGTATTTTTAGTAGAGACAGGGTTTTGCCATGTTGGCCAGGCTGGTCTTGAACTCCTGATCTCAGATGATTCACCCACTTCGGCCTCCCAAAGTTCTGGGATTACAGGTGTGAGCCACCATGCCCAGCCATAAACCAATAATTCTATCAAGGGATATTTATTGAACAGCTTTTTGACTCTCAAAATTGAGTTTGTTAGAATTAATATAAGAGAATTTGAAAATTTGAAGCAGTAGAGTGCAAATAAAGAAGGGAATTTCATTAGAAATAATGATAATGATTTGTATTTAAAAGTTTAAATATGTGTCCAAAATGTACTTTGACTTTTCTCCTTGATAAATATAGATAGTAATGCCTATAAATAATTGTGTACAGTACCTGCCATATGGTTAGCAGTAAAAAAAAAAAAAAAAGTAGTTGTTTCTTTAACAATGAGGTAAGAATAAGTTTAGCTAGTGGTCTGAAAATCTAGAAGTAATACAGCTCTAACACCTGGGACGGACAGAAAGGATGACTGTATCATTTCTAAGAGGCAAGCAATCCGTTGGATTACACTGGCAGGGTTATTATAATGAAAACACTCTCAGTACACTTGAAATTCAATGCTGTCAAAGAAAATCAGTGAAAAAATTAAGAACTACTTCTGGCTGATGAACTATGTCAGGCAACAACAGCAATAGGGCAGCCAGAAAATTGAATGAAATCAAAATGCATATATGACTGGGGCAGAAAGTCCTGCTGACCAATTGCCTTTCTTAATATTTATGCTCTCACACAGGCATCAAAAATACTGGTATTGTTTTAGATTTTTAAAAATGTGACCCATCATTTTAGGCATAGCTAATTTCTAGTCTGTATTTATGGATTCTAGTACCTGACATTTTTAGAGATATAATACAGATAGGTATGTATGTATGTATGGATAGATTCAATGTCTGACTATATAGCACAGGCTGGTCTCAAACTCTTGGCCTCAAGTAATCCTCCTGCTTCAGCCTCCCAAAGCACCAGTATTACAGGTGTGAACCACTGAGCCTGGTCTCTTTTTATTTTTTAAATGCTGTCTTGAACCAGGAGGACCCTGTTAAGGCCCTTCCTGGAGACTGGTCAATTCTTCTTGAGCAGCAAATTGGAGATTTTTTTGACCAAGAGTCTACCAACCAAAAGGACTGAAGGAAAGAGAGGAGTGGTACTCCAAAGAAAATGGGAGGTGTCAAAAGAAGTGAAACATATTCTAGGAAATATAAACAGCAGATGTCTATTACTTCTAAACTTCATGATTTCTTAAAGATTATAAAATGTGATTTGATATTCATAAAATTATGATTTGAATTATGTAACTTTTTTGTACTTCAATACTGCTAAATAAAAATTAGACCCAGAGATTTTTCTTTTTTTAAAAAAGAACATTCTTGCAAGCTCAACTAATCATTTAAAATGGTATTTCTATTTTATTTCATCTAATTTTTCTCAGTGTTTCAGAGCAGCAAATGGAGGTCTAATTGACTGCATTTTCCAGAAATGGATGTTCATCTTTTATTAAATTCAAAAATCCATATGAAGTGGGAAATAAAATAGTGAATTATTTTCAAGTGCAATTTATGAAACCTAGAAGAATATTAGGTACTTGGCAAGCACTGGAATTTTTTTTTTTTTTTGACACAGAGTCTTGCTCTGTTGCCCAGGCTAGAGTGCAGTGGTGTGATCTCGGCTCACTGCAACCTCCATCTCCCAGTTTCAAGCGATTCTCCTGCCTCAGCCTCCTGAGCAGCTGGGACTACAGGCACGCACCACCACACCCAGCTAATTTTTGTATTTTTGGTAGAGACGGGGTTTCACCACATTGGCCAGGATGGTCTCGATCTCTTGATCTTGTGATCTGCCCACCTCAGCCTCCCAAAGTCCTGGGATTACAGACGTGAGCCACTGCACCTGGCGAGCACTGGAAAAATTTTTAAGGGTGAGTAAGTTGAGGTTATGTGGAAGAATTTAGAACAGGCCGGGCACAGTGGCTCACGCCTGTAATCCCAGCACTTTGGGAGGCCGAGGCGGGTGGATCACCTGAGGTTGGGAGTTCGAGACCAGCCTGATCAACATGGAGAAAACCCGTCTCTACTAAAAATAAAAAATTAGCCGGGCGTGGTGGCACATGCCTATAATCCCAGCTACTGGGGAGGCTGAGGCAGGAGAATCGCTTGAACCTGGGAGGCGGAGGTTGTGGTGAGCCGATATCGTGCCATTGTACTCCAGCCTGGGCAACAAGAGTGAAACTCCATCTCAAAAAAAAAAAAAAAAAAAGAATTTAGAACAGATCCTGGCACACGGTGAACACTCAGTAGGTGTTAACTATTCTAATTATTAATATTTAATTTTTCTTGTATTAATGGAAATCATTCAAGTTTATGATGTCTTGTTTTCCCCATGGCCAGAGATGGCACATTCCAACCTTGCTATGAATATGTTCTAAAATGTATACGTTTTCTGCTCAAGAGTAAAAACATCTTGTTTTTATTCAAACTTACTACACCTTAACAATAAATGTTAATTTGATTCATACATTTTTGAACAACCCATTTAGTATATTAAGATTAAATAATAAATAAAGGTAATGAGTGTCAGTGGTTTCAGGACAGTTATTGGAAACCACTCATGAAAGAGCTCTTTTGTTTTAGGAATTCAACTCCAAATCAACATTAGATAGCCAAGTTGATTAAATTCAGTTTCACCATATTTATGAGCATTTTTCTCTTTTAATTCAAAAGTGTGAATTAATCTAAATGATATTTGAGTTACAAAAATATGGCAGATATTTACTTATAAAACAGCTAGAAATGTAGTATATGTCAATTCATCAAAAATAATATACATGATGGTTTTTGTGGGTATGGATCCTGGAATGTTAGCAAACATACAAAGTAAAGTCTGGAAAGATCTGCCCCTTTTATCAATTTCATCAATTATTGTTAGGCTGTAGTCAGTGAAAGCACACTTTAATCCATGAAGTAATTTAACAAAAACAGTTTTTTTAAAGGAGAAATAAAATACGCAATTTTTTGAAAGAAATAGGAAGAAAAAGAAGCAATACTCCATCCCCAGGCTAGACCACAAATACACTGCTTAATTACATCCATGGCAGAAGAATTAGAGGTCTCAGTTAAATGTGTTTCCGTTGCACTTAAAATATAAATCTCTCATAGCGATCAGCAGAGCTAATATGAACACTACAATGCCTTGCTATTAATTATCCAGTGGAGTAAATCATAGACTGAGGTTCAGGGAATTAAATTTTATTTCTAAATTTGTCACTGTGACGTTTTGTGACCTTGATAAAGCCACTTAACCTTTCTTTGCCTCAGCTTCCTCATCCATTAAAAGAGGAGGAAGATGTACCTTTTGAGAGCGTAAATTCAGTCTGTGGTCGATTGGGAAGTAGTTTGAATATTCTGCTGTATTAACTGTTAAAAAGTTATATAAAGGATAAAAATGCTACTAAAACTATCACATCCTTGTAACAATCACCTCATTCTTTTTGCTTCTTTTCGAATCAGTTTTCCTTTCTTCACTTCCTCACTCTGCTTGCTGACTCTCAAATTTACTTGGGAAAATTTTTTCTGACATAACATTTTAACAAGGTATTCCCTTACCATTACTTAATTCTATGATCTGACCCTAGAAATTAAATGGTGTTGCAACTGGTCTGACTCATTTCCAAACTTTATGATGGCAATACAGTTGTTACTTTGTTTTAAATCTTTCTTTTTAAAATAATAGAAAAATGTTTTGGCCAGAAGGGGAAATAAGCATTAAATGGGCAAAAATGAAAATCATGTAATGTAATCAATACATCTAAAAAAATCCTATATAGTGTATATTTTTTTCCTTAGACCTAACAAATCCAAAAATATGTATCATTACTAATATTTGTATTTTTTGTCTACATAGTTGGTATTTATGATGAGCCAAGGTGATTTAATTTATTTTGGAATCACTAGATTGCTTATGGACCACCTCTGGATATGACGTTTTCCCCATACCCACATTCCCACATATATCTGGCAGAAGACTAGGGTTATAGTGTAGTCTGGATGTGAGTTAGAGTTTAGTGCAAGGAATCCTAGGATATGGCAATGTATATCAATACAAAGTTGAATGTTTTCACATTTTTATTTAACAATATGGAAGTATAGAAAATTGTTACACAATGCAAAACAGAATTTTATGCATATCAAATTATATTTTATAATCTTTAAGAAATCATAATGTGTAGAAGTAGTAGAAAATGGCTTTTTATGTTCCTTAGAATAATTTCCACTTATTTTGGCACCTCCAACTTTCTTTGGAGTACTTCTCTCCTCCCTACAGTCAATTCGGTTAGGATACGCCCATGACCCAAATTAGCCCAAACAATAGTTAGTAAATTTGAAAATATACATACTTTTAATGAGCAAATCCTTTCCTAGGTAAAAATCCTACAGAATTGCTTGCTTATATGTTCAAGGAAATATGTAAGTGTTTGTGTGTATATATGTGTGTACATAAGACGGTTAATGGCAATATTACTTACATAAGCAAAAAATTACAACAAGCCCTAATGTCTATCAACAAACTGAGATTTTCATATAATGGAATATCATAGCATAAGAATAATGAATAAAGTACAGATGAATGGAATAACATACATGCATATTTGAAACAAAATTTGGAGTTGAAGAAGCCAGACAGAATACACAACATGTGGGTCCTAATTTATACGTTTCAAAACCAGGCAAAATGTAGCTATATCGCTTTGTCATACACTATCAGCTAATACAACTTTTAAACACGCAAGAAAATAAATACCCCAAAACTCACATACTGAGGTACCTATCCAGTAGTGGAGAGGAAGGGGTTTATAATCAGAAGGGCATATGGGGGCTTCTATGGGGCCTACAGTATTCTATTTCTTTGCCTAGTTGAGTTCTTTTGATAGCATGCTAAGCAGCTACTTGTTTACATTTTATACACTTTTTGGTTATATATGTTATTATTAAAAGAAATAAGTAAAAATATGTACTGGATTCTGTATTTCTTATTAGGATAAAAATCTCTCACTAAAGAGAGGTGAAATAATACATTCCAGAAAAAATATAAAAGCATATTACACAGCTTTATACAGAGCCTTTTAAATATAACATTTTAAACAATGTTTCCATTCAAAACAGACATATCTTCCAACAAAAAACGTAATGACTTTTGTCAAGGAAGAGAAGTTATTATAGTGTAAGACAGAATCAAGTATAAAACCTATCTTCATACACTGGGATGACGTATTAAAAATGAACATAATCATCTCTATAGGAATACTCAGCACTGTATTCATACCTAAAAGTTCAACCACAGGCAGGCATTTGACTTAACAATATAAGAAAACTGATGTTATTTGACTTAAATCTCAATACAAATCAGCAATATAATGTAGGAAATGAAAAGGTTTATGTAAAACTCGGTAGTATTAGACTCGTGCAAATGTAATTGCGGCTTTTGCCTTTACTTTCCAGGGCAAAAACCCGCAAAGTTATGGCAAAAACCGCAATTATGTTTGCACCAACCTAAATATTAATAAAAGTAGAGTGTGAGATCTGTATGGAGGGTATTATTCCTCCACGATACCCACAGATGGGTAATATAAGAAGAGAGATTGCAATGTTAAAAAGAATCGAAAGGAAATGCTAGATTTGCTTTTTTTTTTTTGAGACAGAGTCTCGCTCTGTCGCCCAGTCTGGAGTGCAGTGTCGCGATTTCGGCTCACTACAAGCTCTGCCTCCCAGGTTCACGCCATTCTCCTGCCTCAGCCTCCCGAGTAGCTGGGACTACAGGCGCCCACCACCACGCCCGGCTAATTTTTTGTATTTTTAGTAGAGACAGGGTTCCACCATGTTAGCCAGGATGGTCTTGATCTCCTGACCTTGTGATCCGCCCACCTCGGCCTCCCAAAGTGCTGGGATTATAGGCGTGAGCCACTGTGCCCAGCCAGGAAATGCTAGAGTTTTTAAAAAACAAACATTGTAACAGAAATGAAGAAGCCCTTTGATGGTCTCATCAGTACACTGGACACCAGTTCAGGAAACAATGTGTGAGCTTGAAAATAGATCAGTAGAACTTTATCAACTGACATGCAAAGAGAAAAATGAATGATAAAAACAGAAAAGAACATCCAAGAACTGAGAGATAATTTCAAAAGGCATAATATATGTATAATCGGAATATCAAAAGTAGAAAAAAAAAGAATGGAGCAGAGTAAATATCTGAAATAATAATGGTCATGGAATTTTCAAAATTGAGAGACATCAAACCAGAAATCCAGGAAGCTGATAAAACACTGAGTAGGATAAATAACAAAATCACTATACCTAGGCATACCATATTCAATCTACAGAGAAAAAAAAAACACAGACAATCTTGAAAGAACACAGAGCCTGGGCGTGGTGGCTCACGCCTGTAATTCCAGCACTTTGGGAGGCCGAGGCGGGTGGATCACGAGGTCAGGAGATCGAGACCATCCCGGCTAAAACGGTGAAACCCCGTCTCTACTAAAAATACAAAAAATTAGCTGGGCCTAGTGGCGGGCACCTGTAGTCCCAGCTACTTGGGAGGCTGAGGCAGGAGAATGGCGTGAACCCGGGAGGCGGAGCTTGCAGTGAGCCGAGATCCCGCCACTGCACTCCAGCCTGGGCGACAGAGCGAGACTCTGTCTCAAAAAAAATAAATAAATAAATAAAGAACACAGAGAAAATATCATATCTATACAGGCACAGAGATAAGTATCAGAGTGAACATCTCATCAAAAACCATGCAAGCAATAAAAGAGTGGAGTGGCATATTGAAAGTGACAAAACGAAAAAAGTACCAATCAAAAATTCTACATCCAGACTGGGCGCGGTAGCTCACGCCTGTAATCCCAGCACTTTGGGAGGCTGAGGTGGGCGGATCACAAGGTCAGGATATCAAGACCATCCTGGCCAACATGGTGAAACCCCGTCTCTACTAAGAATACAAAAATTAGCTGGGCATGGTGGCACGTGTCTGTAATTCCAGCTACTCGGGAGGGTGAGGCAGGAGAATTACTTGAACCCAGGAAGCAGAGGTTGCAGTGAGCCGAGATCATGCCACTGCACTCCACCCTGGGCGACAGAGCAAGACTCCGTCTCAAAACAAAACAAAACAAACAAACAAACAAAAAAATTCTATATCCAGCAAAATTCTTTTTCAAAGGGGAAAAATAAATAAAGGCATTCTCTGATAAATGAAAACTAAGGGACATCATCACCACTGGACCTTCATTGCAAGAAATGCCAAAGGAAGTTTTTCAGGCAGAAGAAAAGTGTATGGAATAGAAACTTGGATCTACATAAAGAAGAGTGCCAGAGAAGGAATAAATGAAGGTAAAATAAAATATTTTATTTCTCTTATTCTAAATTGATGTAAAAGATAACTTTGTTTAAAATAACAGTAACAATATATTGGGTGATTATACAATATGGGTAAGTGAAATGAATGAGAACAATGTCATAAAGGATAGGAGAGAGGAACTGGGAGTACTCTGTAATAAGGTATCTGTACTACACAGCGTTTTTTGAAGGTGGACTGAGATTAGTTTAAAATTGGAATATCCAGGGCTATCACTAAAATATATATCTAAAAAGAAGGAAAATTGATGTAAAAATGGAAGAGATAAAATGCTCAATTAAAAGGAAGGAAGGCAGAAAGGAGTGAAGGAAATGCATATTGCTAAGTGAAAGAAGCCAGTCTGAAAAGGCCAAAAACTGTATGATTTCAATTATATGACATTCTGGAAAAAGCAAAACTATAGTTATGGTAAAAAGATCAGTTGTTTCCAGGGATTCGGAAGGCAGAAAGAAGGGCTGAACATATGAAGTGTAGAGTCTTTTTTAGGGCAGTGAAACTATTCTGTTACTTTTTAATTATGAATACATGACACTATGCATTTGTTTAAACTCATAGAACTTCACAGCACAAAGAGAAAACCTTAATGTATGCAAATTTTAAATATAATTCAGGAGGTCAGAGGATCCTGGGAAATACAGAATATGATAAAACAATCTAACTATATTACAAATATGTGAGATAACCTCACTGAAGCAGGTGAGGGGAAAGGTGCTGACCTTAGCAACTTTGGAAATGAGTGAAGTCTGTAAGGCTAAATGCTAAAACAATTGTACGTAAACACCATATTCTAATTGATAAAGTTGTTTCCCACATGGGCACAGGTTAACAAATTCTGATCTCACTATACATTTATACTGGAAGTGAACAATTCAGTAAAAGAATGGCAGATGGTGAGAACCAGTTTTCTAACTACTGGATTGGGAGGTTACACATAAGGTAGGGGAAGAGGCTAAAATGATCCATATGGTAATAAATTAGAGTTGGAAACATCAGTATGAACTCATGTTTAACTTAATATAAACACAGGTGGTTACACATATAAATATCTATAGATATGTGTATATGTTTATGTGTTACTATACACATTTTTCTTTTTTTGTCGATTAGAAAAGCTTCAAAACAACTATATCCCAGTAGCAATGAGTACTCTCAACATGAAGGTATTCATTTTTGGTATAATTCTCCAATAAAAGCAACATGGCATCTTTGAAAAAATATATCTGATGTAGGGACTGGGGCAGGAAATATACAAGATGAGCTTAGAGCATCTTAAAGGGCCAGAAAGTAGGAAAGTACTCAAACATACATACACACACACACACACACACCCCAATATAAGTATGTCACAGGGACAAAGGAGCCAACTAAAAGAGCTCTTAATGACCAAAACTGTAATAATTTGAGCAACAAAATAAATAAGGTAATTTGGATTATAAAGCAAAGTATAAAATAACTGTTAAGTCCAAACTGGTATAGAGCAACAATTGAATAAGTAGATAAATGTGGGAGAACAGACATATATCTCATGTAGCAGAATACCACACAAAATATGTGGACATTCTGCTCTCAGAGAGGTGGAACATAACCTCTCACTCCTTTAGCATGGATGACATATAGCATGGATGACAAAAACTACAGTATAAAAATGGGGAAGAGAGTAACTTTACAGTGGAAAAACCTACCTAACACTACCTCAGGTGATCAAGATCAACATCAACAGTGATAAGTCAGGCTGATATGACATGTTGTGATTTTACCTCTGTGTTTTTTCTTCCAAGGACCTATAACCCTCACCTAATCATGAAAAAATCTCAGAAAAATCCCAAATATAGGACATTCGACAAAATACTCCTCAAAATTGTAAAGGTCATCAAAAATAAAAAAAAATGTAAAACAGTCACAACCAAGAGTATCTTAAGGAGACATAACAACTAAATGTTATGTGCTATTCTAGATGGGATCCTGGAACAGAAACAAGGACATCAGGTAAAAAGCACAGAAATCTAAATAAACTACGGACTTTATTTAATAATAATGTGCCAAAATCAGTTCATTAACTATAACGAATATACCATATTAATATTAGATGTGAATAACAGGGGGAACTGAATGCAGGCTAGATGGGATTTCTACTATGTTTTTTCTGTAAATCTAAAACCGTTCTAAAATCAAATGCTTATTTAAAAAATAAAAGACATTGCCCTTGACTCTAAGTTGCTCACATTCTTATGAAAATACAGGAGTGTCATTAAATAGTTTGATGCAATGAGGTAAGTGCTGCAATAGAGATGCTAAAAGTGCTGTGGATGCATGGAGTACGTGCCTCAACAAGGGGATAACATTTTAGCTGTGCCTTGAAGAAAGGGTGAGAATCAGGGATGTGACAAAGGAGAAGATAAAAAACCTTCCAGAGGGAGAAAACCATGAATAAGAGTTCAGAGGGAGGACATTTGGAGTAAGAACTTCAATGTGGGTAAGGCTAATAAAAGATAGAGGCTAGAGATGGTGCCGTAACATCTTTAATTTAAAAGAAAAAAATTGAGAATGTTTCAGGAGTTTGACACCAGCCTGGCCAACATGGTTAAACCCGGTCTCTACTAAAAATACAAAAATTAGCTGGGCATGGTGGCACGGGCCTATAATCCCAGCTACTCGGGAGGCTGAGGCAGGAGAATCTCTTGAACCTGGGAGGCAGAGGTTGCAGTGAGCCAAGATTGCACCACTGCACTCTAGCCTGGGCAACAAGAGAGAAACTGTTTCCCAAAGAAAAAAAAAAAGATGTTTAAAATACCAAAAGTGCTGGACAGGTTTATAATTCCTTTCACTGTGATCTGTTTTGTTGAACCAGTACTTCACTTAGCTAAGGATATACATTTTCAATAAGGGAAGGATCGATCACCCATAAAAGCTCACGATGCTGCCTGCACATTTAGCCACTTCCTTCGGCCAGAAATTTCCTTTTTACGTATAGGATTCCTCTTTTTTTTTTTTTTAAAGTGACATTATAACAAACTTCAAATTCCACTAAAACCAAATAATATTATGTTTTCCATAATATTTTCATTAAGTAAAATATGATAATGATGTGCAGAAAACCAAGATAAAAAACAGTGATTCCTTATCATTCAGATACTGCCCATGTTTGTTGCTTTAACTGAGGAATATAATTTGGGTTTTAAGAACTGCTCTTTAATTTGGCCCCACAGTAAATGCGCTATAGTGTCACACCATTTAAAACAATGTTATACATAAATATATCTTCCCAGTAGACTTGTTGTTAATACCTAAAATGCATTTTAGTATATACTGTTCTTAATTCTAGGGCATGTAGCTCTACATTAACCCAAAATTTCACATCCAGTCAAACTGTTTCATAATTTATTTGCCCAAATCATTGTCTCAGGTAAGGCTACATATAAGTATTTATGATAATAAGTGGAATGAAAACTTTCATTAAAACTTTATCTTCCTCTTGAATATCAAGACTCAATTACTCTTTGTTTTTATATAAAGAAAACAAGATATTTTGGGACAAATGAAGTTTAGGAAAGTACGGTTGCCCTGGAAAGCATTTAGGATATAAAGAGTTCTATTTTTGGTTCTATAAAATAGTCTTACACAAGCTGTTTTACCATTCAGAGCCCAGTGTTCAGTATCCATGATACTGTGCTCCAACTGTCTCATACTAGGTACTGGTTTAGAATCCTAGCATTTCTAGAAAGGGGAAAGAGGTGCTTACTAAAGATGAGTTCTCCACTCTGAAGAATAAAGACTAGAAGTGCATTCTATTTTCTATTCAGGATAGATTGCTTTACTTTATATTTTTAAATTCCTTTGCCTCAATACTACTGGTTGAAAAACCACTTCAGTAGAGATTAAAGGAAAAAATTAAGTAACAGATGAAAAACAAATTTCAAAATTGATTGTATAGAAACTCAAGTATAGCCAGATACCTTAAAAGAAATAAATTATTATAAGATGTAGGTGACTACCACAAAACACTTTTCATATACAGGGAAAACTAATTTTAAGTGGACCAGTGAACAAATAAAACTCTGTTTAATTTAAAACAGCTAATGTCCTTTTTATGCTTTTCTATATAAGTTTTACAAGTATGATCATACACAAAAGTCACCAAGAAGAATCTCTCAATAAGAATATGAGAATAATATTTTTAATTTCTGAATGTTGTTCTTATTATCCCCACTTTTCTCATGAAACCACCTTGTAAGAAATGCACTATAAAGAAAAAAAATGTATGAATGCAATTTTCATGGACAAAAATTATGCACATTTGGATATAATTCTGCATTTTGCAAATTTATGTCATACATATTACCTTACTTCATTTGATCCTTGCAAAAACCCTATGAAATAAGAACAGCAAATTTTATCAACACCATTTTATACATGAAGAAACTAATATGCTGAAGGCTGTGGTAACTCCACCAACCTATGTGACTAGTGAGTTGTAGATTCATGATTACAGGTAGTGTTCTGAATCTTGTCCTCATGTCCTTCCACCTTAGCAACCAGCTATGAAAATGACTCTATGCATCACATCTCACATAATTATTCAATGACTGCACCTGAAGTTATGCTATTTTCAAGTTCATGAGGACATGTATGTCAGATTGATAGAGTGATAAATAAATAAAAGAGAAAAGCGACTTTTCTAATTTGGAGCAAGACAGGAAGACAGAGGTAGATTTCATATATTCTATTTAGCCACTCTAGGAAATGTTTCCAAAAACGATACCATTATAAAATATAAGCATAATTTTTGGAAACCATAAACTCATTTTTATTTCAAGTACTTTCAAAAGCTAACATTTCTTTTTTTTTTTTTTTCTGAGACTTCGTCTTGCTCTTGTCCCCCAGGCTGGAGTGCAATGGCACGATCTCAGCTCACTGCAACCTCTGCCTCGTGGGTTCGAGTGATTCTCCTGCCTCAGCCTCCCGAGTAGCTGGGATTACAGGCGCCCACCACCACGCCTGGCTAATTTTTGTATTTTTAGTAGACACAGGGTTTCACCATGTTGGCCAGGCTGGTCCTGAACCCCTGACCTCGTGATTCGCCCACCTTGGCCTCCCAAAGTGCTGGGATTACAGGCATGAGCCACGGTGCCCGGCCCAAAAGTTAACATTTCTATAACTCCCTAAACATATTGTCTCTAGCCTTTTGAATGGACTTCAGTGGAAGATGATTCAAAAGCAAGGAGGAATAAATTTCACCTATAGGAATCCACTTAGCATTTGATTATGTAATTCTTTAGAGAGTAAAAATATCAATGTGTAGCATAAAAACTAACTTAAAATAGTAGTTTCATCACTTGCAAGTGAAATATTGAAGACTGTGATTACCTGTAACAGTTAATTCAGTAGTTCTTCTCACAACAAAGCCTCCATATTTTAATTCACAGGTATAATTTCCAATGTCATCTTCTCTGACTTCTCTTATAAGCAGAGTATCTCTT
Organism: Homo sapiens; assembly: GCF_000001405.40. NCBI lineage: Eukaryota > Metazoa > Chordata > Mammalia > Primates > Hominidae > Homo > Homo sapiens. Next base: position 29,399,195 of record NC_000023.11, on the reverse strand, counting down.
TTGAATACAATACTTGGCCTCCATGTTTTTGTCCTGCATTCCTATATGAAGAACATACAATTTTGGTAGTACATATAGTAATGGAAAAATATAGAACAGTTTTAAATAACTAAAACAAAAGCTTCTAAAATTGCATTTTAAAGGGACTAAAAAGTTTGAAACTAATGCTAAATAATTTCATTTCTTCTCAAAATCTCTGGGGAATCAATTTGCTTCCTAGAATAATATGGCAAGTTGCACTGGTCATTATACATTTTTGAACCAATGAATACTTCAATCTGAAGATTATTTTTTTGGAAAAGTCAATTAACTTCTAAGATTAGTATATCTAAACCAGATATGTACTGATTTATTAGATATAAGAATAGAGATGTATGCTAAGACTATCCGTGACATCATTTTGGAAACAGATATTTCACATTTCATTATTGTGAAATCAACCATATTGAAATTGATAACATAAAATACAAACCATATTATTTTACTGGAAAGCAGAAAATTTGCTGTACAAAAGATTGCACCGTTCAATGATTGCACCTAAATTCTATTTCAATATTTGAAACATTTTAGTTTTGCATTTAGTAAAAATTAAATCTCTTCATAGTGTATGCATGCTATAATCCATGAAACAATCAACATTTATATGCAAGGTCTTTAGAGTTCCATAAATATCTGTTTTCATTGTTAATAGACTTAGCAAATTATGGTCTCTGAATTAAGCTTTGAATAATAATGATGTTGGCTCAGGAGATTTCTGTTTTTGCCAAAACAGAAGTCAATTTCCTCTAGCCAGATTTGAAATCAATGGAACGAGGATAAAATAGCTTTAAAACATTTGACATTCTTCAGGGGTAATATTGTTTCTAAAAAATTGTATTGCCAAATCAAATTTTTGCAGAACATTATTTTATGTGGCTCAATGCCTTTGTGTAATTGGGGGCAATTTTCGTGTTATTTCTGACCAAAATATACACTGTATATGCCATATTAGTTGCATGACTTGTGGTAATTGCATAAATTTTCCACTGAATGTGTGACATCTACATTTAGCCAGATTGATTATTTTATAGTATTCCACTATAGAAGTAGCCCTTAAATCTCTGCTATTTAGACTACAGGGGCTAATCTTTGACTATGGAAAAATAATCTGAAATGTTATGACTTTTAAATACCACATATACTGCATCCCCACCCACCACTTCACTAGTCTGCATAGCTTAAGGTCAAAATTATTGTGGCAATGTTGGAAATAGGACTAAAGGACCAGCCACTTTTTACACTGTGTGTGTGTAGTCTCTCATCTTTCAGCAAATTTTAAGATGCTCTTTGCAAAAGGTGAGAAAAGAAACACAACTCTTAAAATAAACTTATTAGTGAACAACAAAGACACTGCATATTTAGAAGCTGATGTCACACATGAGTACTAAGAAAAAAAAGGGTTTATTTGGAGACTTTGGGTCAAATTCCCCTAATACCACTCCCCCTTGAAGCAATCATCAGGGCTTGCCTCAGAATCTGCCTGTGGAAGTCAGACAAACCACAGGGTGGTTTGAGATGTGAGGGTGGTTAAGGATAAGAAATACTCCAACAATTAAAAAAAGAGAAAAAGAAAATTCATTCCCACAGTAACAGAAACCAGCAGGACTAATATTTGAGCTCCATTTAACATGGTCTAGGATTGAAAATCAAGCAAGGGACAAGTATAAAAATCTTCCAACAGTTCCCTTGATGTTCTGAACCCACAATTTCACATTATCAAGAATCAAAAGTAAGTCTTACTTAGGAAAGAGCATTGCTGTTTTGGAAAAATCTTTTTTAAAATTGTTAAAGGTTTGTTTCTTGTTTTATTTCTAACAGTTTTTGAATTCATCTTCAGTCTGTCATGAGGGCTCACATTCTGTATACTGACATTTGTGGATCTAGTTACAAAGAGGCCCAGTTTCTAAAGTCCCACTTCCAGTGAGTTAGACAAAGCAAATGTTACATAAGGATTCTTTAAACTATGTATAAAATATTCTGGAAGAATGTTCACAGCATCTATACTTTATTTTTTGAGTACATTCAATAACAAAAATTTCTTTTATTGTATAAACAAGCTTAAAATTATGTTCAAATCTGGAATATCAGTAAATAAACATCAATGATGGTGATAGGAAAGTCAGAGGTTGGATTATTCTGTTTAAGTTTAAAGTTTCAACTGGTTTTGGAAGAAAGTTACTTCAATATTATATTTCTGGTGTCATACAATTTCCTCAGATGTTATTTCTTTAAAATGTTTATGTTTATACATGAAAAAGATTAGAATATGGACAAAATTATGTCCATTAAACAGAACATTCCATGAAAAACTAGTATACGATTTTATCCTGGAAAAAAATCAGTCCTTTTTCCTTTTGTTTGGGGACACTTTGAAATGCTAATGTGAAGAACCCTGAAAAGAAGGTTCAAGGTAATTTAGTTCCTGAAATTATCAACCCAGACCATAGTAGACTTGAAAGAATTGTCCATGGAAATAAAATATAAACATAAACACAACAGCTTATTACAGTGGATTACCAATACAAACATTGACTAGAATTTACTAAAGCCATTGGTTAAAAAACATATAATGACCAGTACAACTTGCTATATTATTCTAGAAAGGCAAAGCTAAACTATATCACACCCATCTAAGTTTTCTATCCAATTTGTCCCAGAATATAAGGCACAATTAATTTGTTAATAGGAAATAGAACCACCCGCAGTCCATACCTTGTACCAAAGGATTTCAGGTTCTCTGGTTGGCAGTAGAAAATCCTCTATGTCACGGCATGAAATTTCCTTGCTTTTGCTAAGTTCAGCTTTTTCAAAATACTTCATCTTGGAATTATAGCAGAGTCCAGTGTCATTTTCACCCACTGTCAGTGAGATGGATACTTTCATACAGTAAGTGGAGTTTCTGTAACAAAGCAGAATAAATACAGTGACCTGGTGTGAACAAAAAGCAAGTGCTGCCAAGGCAGTGTATTTAATTCACTTAAAAGAAAAGCAAAAACTTCACTGTTTAACTAATTTTATGGTATCTTGACTTATTCCACAGGGTTCTCTCTTGCTACCCAGCTAAACAATACTTGCTCTTGTGAAGCTAAATGTATATTTATTTGTTTTTATTTGCCAGAGAAAAAGTTTTGTTTTACATTCAGGTTAAGTTTTAAAATGTTTAATAGATATTTTGTACCTAGAAAAAAAATAAAGGAAGATTTAGGTCCAGAATAAAGTCAAGCCTGGGCTTATGCTAAAATTGGCAAATTCAATAGAAGTAGAAAAGTGTAACTGGCCTATTAATCACAGTGAGGTTCAGGAATAATGCTGCATACTCTTACACTATTGGTTGTCTTGCTAAGACGAGTAGTTACTGAGTCTGGGCAGAACACATTCTTGGATAAAAGTTACACTATTGGTTGTCTTGCTAAGACGAGTAGTTACTGAGTCTGGGCAGAACACATTCTTGGATAAAAGTATTGCAAAGTTACTATCTTTATCGACCCATATCTACTTGGGTTGGAACCTAGAGTCCAGGTTGTCAGAGCTAAGCATTCTACTGTGTTACATAAGAACAACCCCATCCTGATAGACAGATTCTACAGAATTGGGTCATTAAATAAGCATCTCTTTTTTCTTCCTGGTACATAAATCAAGTTTATAACTTGGAATAAGTGAGGCTATAAATCCTGTGCAGAGATCTTTTGGAAGGGTTGAGACCAAATGAAGTTTTTTGGGTAAATTGCACTACTTCTACTTGCTTTTTAAGTCTCAGGACATTCAATGAACACTGATCATGTGTCAGGCATGGTGCTGGCTAATGAGAAGAAAGAGAGGAATAAAATATTGAATTCAAAGTTTGCTTTAGAACTTCCCATTTGGTAAATAAGTGCCCAACTGCTTATTCATGTACATGGCCATCAAATTCCTGTATTTGAGTCTCACTGCTTACCATCTCTACAAAACTGGGCAATTTATTTAACTCCTTTGAGTCTCAGGTGGGACTCATGGGAGAGCCAGCACTTGTCTGAGCATTAAAAAGGATACTGGATAGAAATCTGCTTGGCCTGTCATAGGTGCTCCGTGATACTGCTGGTTCCTCTTTGTGTCTGTACACATGCACAACATCTCTTAAGTCCTCCTCCTTATTCAGCTAATGCTTTGACATTTAAGCAGCTCCCTTATTTAGATTCTTGCTTTTGTTGAATGCTAATATGACACAGTGAGAATGTCCAGAAAATAGATAGGTAGGTTATTAGGCTTTATATCTGGTAACAAAGAATATTTCCACAAAATTAGATGGTTCTTTATTGAATGTAGACATCTCTAGCTTCCTATAATACCTAGCCTACAATTAGATGAAAGATACTTAATAGGTGAAATAATTAGCCATTAAACAAAGGTAATCAGAAGCTTGAAAAAAGTCCTGAGCGTGTGTGTTCAGGAATTTTGCTAGAATAAGGCATATTCCCTGTCCTCAGGCCCTCACAATCCAGGGAAAGAGATAGGCAAATAAACAGCTGAAATTCAATATGATAATTACTACAAAGAGATATGAACTACCACAGTGGTATCAAAGAAAGAAACAAGAAGGCTCCATAAATGATGATACCTGAACTATCTTAGAGACTGAATAAGAATTTGGCAATTTTAAGAAGGGTTATCTGAGGTAACGGTTTGCACAAAGCCTGGAAGGCATAAAACAACTTACTGTGTTTAAGTAATTGCAAATAATGTGGAGTGACTGGAGTATAAAGGACTTGAGACTGGACAAATGCACAGAAGCAAGACTGAAAGTCACATAAGCCACTTCAAAGAGTTTAAACTTTATGTTAAGGAATGATGAAATTTGGATCTTAGAAAGGTTTTTCTGATTATAATGAGAAAAATGGATTTGACTGTAAGGAAGAATAAATGCAATGAGGCAAATTAGAAAGCAACTGCATTCACTCAGAAACAAATGGCAGCCCCAATGAAAGCAATACACATTGGGACAGAAAAGAGGGATCATGTTCAAAATATACTTAAGACACTGAATCAATGTAACAGTGAGGAAGCAAAGGAAAGAGAGAGGCATCCAAGATGATCAAGAATTTTTCTCAGTTGAGTATATGAAAGGTAGAGTCAATCTTTCAGCATAAAAAACACTGAAAAAGAAACAGCTTTGAGAGAAAAGAGTGTGTTAAGTTTTAGCTTGAGCTTCACACCCAAGTGAAAAAGATATCCCTCTTTGGGTTTGCCAGCAATACTGCTCATGCATTATTTATTAATTTTACTCCAGGGCTGACTGGAGCATGCTCTTTCTAGGCTCATTATAAGATTATTTTTTCAGAAAAAAATTATCTACATTAACCTATTAACTATTTTAGGGCACATTCAAATATGCTTTCAGAAAATGCTTAGGTTTTGGAAGGATACAGATTTGTAGAACACAGAATTAAAAAAAAAAACAAAAACAAAAACAGAAAGGCCTTTTAAGGAAAGTAAATCTGTGCATCATAATTTTGAAACTTCCACATAAATCGTTTAGACACAAGAGTCTTAGGTTTCCTTTCTCCTCAAACTATTGATTACTTTTGTTTGTCTGTTGTACTATATCTCTTTGTATGGAATACGAGACATTCATATACAGAGAGAGAGAGAGAGAGGCAGGGTCAAGTGAAGAGCAAGACTCCAAAGCCCAACCTCATGGGTTCAATCTCAATCACTCATTCAAGCTCAATCACTCATTATTTTTGAGAACTAGGGAAAGTTGGCAGGGCGCGGTGGCTCAAGCCTGTAATCCCAGCACTTTGGGAGGCCGAGGCGGGCGGATCACGAGGTCAGGAGATCGAGACCATCCTGGCTAACATGGGGAAACCCCGTCTCCACTGAAAATACAAGAAATTAGCCGGGCGTGGTGGCGGGCGCCTGTAGTCCCAGCTACTCGAGAGGCTGAGGCACGAGAATGGCGTGAACCCGGGAGGCGGAGCTTGCAGTGAGCCGAGATCGCGAGACTGCAAGCCTGGGCGACAGAGCGAGACTCCATCTCAAAAAACAGAAAACTAGGGAAAGTTACTTGGCTCCTTTGGCTTTCATTTCCTTATTAGGATAAGGTGAAAGTAATACCAAAGACTCCATAGGCTGCTGTGGGAAACGAATACAATAAAACTCATAAAGAGCTTAGAACACTCAGTAAGCGTTAGATCTTATTATCGGCACCGCCTCCTTCATTCCCAGTTTCTTTATACTTCCATTTTGCAGTACAGTCGCACAGTGTTTGTTTAACAAATTAGAAAATACTACCATGATGAGGCCTTCAGTTCTTTGGTGTCTAATTAGTGTGAAGCTTAAAAATCCAGATAAGTCCTTATACTTTTCATTTGAAATATATGAGTGGGTTGAATAAGAATGACTAAAGTTGAATTAAATATGGACTCCCTACCACAGCCATCACCTCTTTCTCTTCTTTAAATACAAATGTCCCCTAATCTTCAGAAAGTGGCTCCAGAGGAGCATCACTTAGGTATTCTTATTTTCCTAACTTCTCCTTCAGCTCTGTGAGATGAGTGTCTGGTAATGTCTGGAACTCCAGACTCTCCAGGATGGCACTATTTTCAAATTACTTTCGATGTTTAATACTTGTTTACTGTTTCTGTTCATCAGGAGGTGATTTAAAAAGCTAAAAATAAAGTAGTATCCAACGAATGCTATAGTCCTATTTACTGAGAAGAGCTAACAGGAAGCAAGCAACTTGTGACACATTAATAAACATATGACACCCCTGAGGGGAATTTACACACTCTCAAAGCAAAGAGTACATTCCACCATCATCAAACTCGCGACATAACTGCTATGGTTCTCTGCTGTCAGGGAAATAACGTGGAATGGGGTAAATGGGGTAAAGAGAATGCTCCTACAGGACTTATGGTAAAACCATTAGCACATATTTACTCAGCTTTTATTGTTTATAACAGATGAGCTGCAGTCTACACAAAAACTTAAATCATGATTACTGGTTTCAGTATTTATAAAATGGCTAGAGAGACAGGACATGCATACAGGCAGAGAAAACAGAGTTATTTACAACTGAGAGTAAACACCCCACTATCCTTTCTAGTGAGGAAAGAATATTAGTATAGACTTAAAAAAAAAATCTAGTTGTCTCTGGCAAGGGTGACCGTGAGGTCCACACCAGGTACACACACAACATATTGGAGAAACAACTAACATAAAGTTACTTCTTTCAATGTCTTCATGTTACAGCAAAGGGACCCAATGCTGAAAGAAGTCAATGAGTTTTTCGAATTCTATTATCTAATTAGTGGTAGAAATGGGGTTAGAACTCACATCTCCTACTTCTAATTCACTGGTCTCTTCTATAAGCTAGGGGAGGCAATTGGTGCTGGGTTAGCACACATAGACGCTATATACCTATAGATGATAATAGATATAGATATAGACATACCATTGTTTAAAACAAAAGAAAGTTACCTACCCTTAACCCTTGGTTTTACTTTACTTTACAGTCTAAAATAAACGTCTTCTGGACGTTAAGGACTTAAATTTTCAAATTTTCTTCAGGACTTTAATGACCCAAGTTTTCAAAAAAATCCATGATCTAACTTGATTTTTTTGAAAATTTAGGTCCTTAAAGTCCCCAAAATCTGATAAGTGATATAAGGGAGCAAATGACCTGAAATACTATGTTTTCTTCATATTTTTCTACTATATAAAAGCATTTACTTCTGAAGCACTGGCTTTGAGTCCCGCCTTACAAAGAAGAAAAAAAAAATCTGATTCAGTGAAAATATTGGGAATTCCCAAATATTTTTGAACACAAGTAATCGATATATGACACAAAAATAAATTCAAAATAATTACTTCCATACAGTTTCCAGAAGTCAGTACAGCAGCACCCTGAACTCCTCCACAGGTTTCTCAGTACTGTTGTACTTTGAAATAGAAGACAATTCAGAGTTGATATGCATGGGAGCTATCAGAGATTTTTTTTTTTTTTTGAGATGGAATTTCGCTCTTGTTGCCCAGGCTGGAGTGCAATGGTGCAATCTCAGCTCACTGAAACCTCCACCTCCCGGGTTCAAGCGATTCTCCAGCCTCAGCCTCCGGAATAGCTGAGATTACAGGCACATGCTACCACGCCAGGCTAATTTTTGTATTTTTTGTAGAGACAGGGTTTCACCATGTTGGTCAGGCTGGTCTCAAACTCCTGATCTCAGTTGATCTACCTGCCTCAGCCTCCCAAAGTGCTGGGATTACAGGCATGAGCCACTGTGCCTGGCCGCTATCAGAGATTTTAAAATTCATTTTTAAAAGGATGACTACATTGCATAACTATAGATCAAAGTGCAGAAATTTGGGTAGTGCAGGCAGAAGGTAAAAAAGGAAAATATGTGTGGAAAGGGAAATTTTGTATATCACTGATTCACTGACAAAGGATATTAAAAACCATTTATGTGATACCTTAATGTAGCACAGTTTTAATTATTCTGTAATCACATGCCCTATGTACGATAATGTGTAGTGTTTGGTATCTCTCTCTTACTCTAGCAGAATTACCAGTGACATGATTGTAAAATGTATCCTCTAATAGGATCACTAAACACATGACCTGTATATTCTGCTAATCCTCAAGTCCCTAAGGGAAATACCATTTTCATAATGTTTGGCAATCTTTTCCTACTTCATGAAGTAGTGTGTAAGAAAGCCAGGGATTTGATTAACTTTTTAAAAGGATTAAGTTGTTCTATGCCTCTGTGTTTTATATGGTCTACTCTAACATTCACTGGTCATTTTTCAAGTCATGAGCTTTCCTTTTTGTAAGAATGAAGGCACATAATATTTTTCAAGTGTCATAAGCCTTTGGCACTGAAAACCAGCACAGAGTGGCAGCAGATCTGAAGGTTCAGTTACTACAGACTCAAGCAGAAGTGAACTGTCTGGAAGGCAGCTTCTCAACCAGAAATTTGACCATCGTGTCTAATCATTAGTTGTAAACATAAAGTGTTAGGAATCAAAAAGTGTCAAGGTTAGATTGTGGAAAGAGCATCTTAGAGTTTGTTAAACCTTAAATATACTTTGAAAGTTTATTTCTAATCTTAAAGCCTTCCATTTTCTTCCTTTTTTATTGTTCTGTCAGTCTTTATGGTAATGCCTGAAGCTATGCATGTGTCCCTCTCTTATATCTTATCTTTCTTAAACACAGTATGTTTGTAGCTACTAATACTAAATGAGAGATTTGTTTGGATTAGTTTTTCTTTTCAGAAGAGCTCTGGAGGGCCTATTGATTTAACCCTGGTTGAAATCAGCCCTTGGTGAAAAGATTAGAATGAGACCATTGAGCAGATGCTTAAAACCTAAAAATGCCAGTTTACTGCCTTCTCATTTGAAATTCTTTTTTAAACATTTTGTTGAACTGGTGAATTGAACTCCACCTACAGTCTTTTGCTAACTGTAAATTCAAGATAATTGTCTTCTCTTTTTTAGTAGAAAGTGATCAATATAATTTTCCTATTTTTATTTTTCTAACCTATTATTCCTGGAATACTAGAATTGAGAAGGCCTAGGCATATACAATTCTAGTCCAGTATTTCTCTGTCTGAGTTATTCTTGGACATGAACACTTTCAAACTTCACCTCTGTAGATTCCAAGAGTAAGGGAAAAGATAAGAGGGAGAAGAAGTAAAAACCATGTCACTGAGGGAAACTGAGGCCCAGGACATGGGTTCAAGATTACATACATTACATATAATTTCTTCAGGGCCTATGGCTGATTTCTTTGATCTTTATCCGTTTTAACCTTTTTTTTTTTTTTTTTTTGAGATGGAGTCTCGCTCTATTGCCCAGGCTGGAGTGCAGTGGCGCAATCTCGGCTCACTGCTACCTCCACCTCCCAGGTTCAGGAGATTCTCCTGCCTCAGCCTCCCAAGTAGCTGGGACTATAGGCGCCCGCCACCACGCCCGGCTAATTTTTTGTATTTTTAGTAGAGATGGGGTTTCACCGTGTTAGCCAGGCTGGTCTTGATCTCCTGACCTCGTGATCCACCTGCCTCGGCCTCCCAAAGTGCTGGAATTACAGATGTGAGCCACCGCACCTGGCCAACAATCACAATTTTTAATTACAGTATTTATCCTCATTTTGCTACATCCACTATTAATATGTATGCTTCTCATAATATGTAAAATAAAGAAGTAAGCTGTATGCTGTTTGAATTCTTAGACACACATTTTTTTAACTGAGGTAAAATTCACACAACATAAAATGAACCATTAACTATTTTAAAGTTTATAATTAAGTGGCATTTAATACATTGATAATGATTTGGAATGATCACCTCTATCTAGTTCTAAGACTAGAAAAGCTAGTACCCATTAGCAATTATTCTTCTTTCCTCTCTCCCTACAATAACTGGAAACCACCCATCTGCTTTCTGTCTCTATGGATCTGCTTATTCTGGATATTTCATATAAATGTCATCATATAAATGTAGCCTTTTGTATCTGGCTTCTTTTACTTAGCATAATGTTTTCAAGGTTCATCCACGCTGTAGTATGCATCAGTACTTCATTCCTTTCTTTTGGCTGAACATTAGCCCATTGTATGATATATCACATTCCATGTATCCAATCATAAGCTTATTGGACATTTGGGTTTGTTTTCACATTTTAGCTATTGTGAATAATGCTGCTATGAACATGCATGAACAAATATTTAAGTCCCTGCTTTTAATTCTTTTCGGTATATATCTAGAATTTGAATTGCTGGGTCATATGGTTTAACTTTTTGAGGGACCAGGAATATATATATATTTTTTTTAATCTCTTAAACTCTTTCTCCTTTTCTGAACATTTCAGTTTCTGTTGACACATGGATGGTAATTCATTACAGGAATTTGTTCACTGATGACCTGTTGAGGCTAAAGACTTCAAAGGCCTAATGATCTCCTTAAGTGCCTAGTACAGTACCAGGCATTTAGGAGGTACTCTCAATATATTACATGAATAAATGAATGAACTATTAGCTAATAGCTACAAAGTTCTGATTGCTTTTTTTTTTTTTTTTTTTTTTGGCTTAACCTTTCTAAACAACTCCCACCTAAACTCAACCATACTACTTTTTTGCCATCTTTCATTTTCTGGGGTTTTGAAATAACGCATATTTCTTTTTTTCTTTTTTTTTTTTCAGACAGAGTCTTGCTCTTTCGCCCAGCCTGGAGTGCAGCGGCATGATTTCGGCTCACTGCAAACTTCACCTCCTACGTTCAAGGAATTATCGTGCCTCAGCCTCCCAAGTAGCTGGGACTACAGGCACCTGCCACCACGCCTGGCTGGTTTTTGTATATTTAGTAGAGGCGGGGTTTCACCCTGTTGGCCAGGCTGGTCTCAAACTCCTGACCTCAAATGATCCACCCACCTTGGCCTCCCAAAGTGCTGGAATTACAGGCATGAGCCACTGCGCCCAGCTATAAATAACACATATTCCTTGATAGCATATACGGCAAACAGATGTGTCTTCCATGCCCGGCAAAAAATTGACATAGAGTTGTAAAGATACTCTGCACTGAAAAGCTACACACAATCACCTGATGATCTTCTTATTTCATCCTACACACAACAGGCCTTCTTCTAACCATAGTTGACATTCTCGATGTGAAAGACAAGGGATAGGGAAGATAAATGTGTGAGTCACATTTGGGTAAGTTGCACATCACTTTTTGTTCTCCAAGCTTTACAAAGGCAGCTTTTTCTAAGGTGGTCATAATATTTACCAAAACTCATGATCAGAGTTTCGTATAAAAAGTGACATCTTTGAACTCAGCACATTTAGAAATGGGTCCATACTCTGCAGACACAGACAGAACATAACAGACTATCTGCATCTGGAAAAACAAGATATTCTTCATCTATAAAAGGTCTAGAGAAAATGAAAACGCAAACCAGAAGTGCTCCCTGAAGAAGAGAATCACAGGCACTTCCCTCAAATTACATGTTCATAGCACCTGCTTGATGCTCTAATTTGAAGGCAGGACATGAGATTTTACTTGACTTTCTTCACCACTTCCTAATTTCATATTTTTCAACTCTTTCATCCCGTGTTCATCTCCTCTTCCCCTGTCATGGTTTGAAATAATTTCATTCTATGTATATGCAGCATATCTTTCCTTAAATTTCCAATTCAAAAAGGATGTTGTTTCATAAGAACAAAATAAAACAAAAAGAAAACACTAAGCCCAGCAATGGCGATGCAATGTAATATAAGACTAAATATATGATATTATTTATTAAAGAATTGAATACAACTCTCACTTACTGAGCATTTAAAATTCATTCACGGCTGGGCAGGGTGGCTCATGCCTCTAATCCCAGCACTTTGGGAGGCTCAGGTTGGCAGATCACTTGAGCCCAGGAGTTCAAGACCAGCCTGGGCAACATGGCAAAACTCCACTTCTACAAAAAATAGAAAAATTAGCCAGACGTGGTGGTGTGTGCCTGTAGTCCCAGATACTGGGGAGGCTGAGGTGGGAGGATCACCTGAGCCTTGGAAGCAGAGGTTGCAGTGAGACAAGATCACACCACTGCCCTCCAGCCTGGTGAAAGAATGAGACCCTGTCTCAAAAAAAAAAAAAAAAAATCATTCACTCAGTCAATACAACACATGTATTGAGCAATGGCTATATGCGTGGCCTGGCTGGGGATAAAGCAGTGAATAAACAGAGTACTTGATTTTATGGAGTTTATATCCTATTGAGAGGCAAACTGGGGAAGGAAGAAATATTGTATAGAAAGCTTTACCTTTCAATACCACCTCAAACACTGGGATGGGTATTATCAAAAAATAAAAAGTGTAGGCCAGGAACGGTGGCTCACATCTGTAATCCCAGCACTTTGGGAGGCCAAGGCAGGTGGATCACGAGGTCAGGAGTTCAAGACCAGCCTGGCCAAGACGGTGAAATCCCCGTCTCTACTAAAAATACAAAAATTAACCAGGTTTGGTGGTGGGCGCCTGTAATCCCAGCTACTCAGGAGGCTGAGGCAGAGAATTGCTTGAACCCAGGAGGCGGAGGTTGCAGTGAGCTGAGATCGTGCTACTGTACTCCAGCCTGAGAAACAGAGTGAGACTCCGTCTCAAAAGACAATAATTAAAAAAAATTTTTAAAAAGTGTGTTGGGGGTTGGACAACAAGTATTGGCAAGGAGTGGAGAAATTAGAACCCTTGTGTATTACTGGTAGAATGTAAATTGGTGCAGTCACTGTAGAAAACAGTTTCGCAGTTCCTCAAAATGTTAAATATAGAATATCCAACAACACCTCTCCTAGGTATTCACACAAAATAATTGAAAAAAGGGACTCAAACAGATATTTGTACACCAATATTCATAGCAGCAACACCCAAAAGGTGGAAACAATTCAAATGTCCATCAACAAATGAAAAGATTAAAAAGTGTGGTATATGCATACAATAGGAATGTTATTCAGACTTAAAAAGCAATGACATTCTGATACACGATACAACATGGATGAAACCTGAGAACATTAGGCTAAGTGAAATCAGTCAGTCACAAAAGGATAAATATTGTATGATTAAACTTATTCGAGGTCCCTAGGATAAGTAAATTCATAGACACAGAAAGTAGAGTAGAGGTTACCAGGAGCTGGTGGGAGGAAGGAATGGAAAGTTAGTGTTTCATGGGTAAAGAATTTCTTTTTCTTTTTTTTTTATTGAGACGGAGTCTCGCTCTGTTGCCCAGGCTGGAGTGCAATGGCACAATCTCGGCTCACCGCAACCTCCGCCTCCCAGGTTCAAGCGATTCTCCTGCCTCAGCCTTCTGAGCAGCTGGGATTACAGGCATGTGCCACCATGCCCGGCTAATTTTGTATTTTTAGTAGAGACGGGCTTTCTCCATGTTGGTCAGGCTGGTCTTGAACTCCCGACCTCAGGTGATCCACCCACTGCGGCCTCCCAATGTGCTGGGATTACAGGCTTGAGCCACTGCGCCCATGGGTAAATAATTTCTATTTTGGATGATGGAAAATTTCGGAAATAGATAGTGGTGATGGTTGCACAACACTCTGAATGTAATTACTGCCACTAGTTTTATACTTAAAAATGATTCAAAGGGTCAATTGTGTGGTATTTTACCACAGTTAAAAAAAATTAGAATGGTACACTTTAAATGGGTGAATTATATGATATATGAATTATATTTCATTTAAGCCATCATTTCAAAAAGACTTAATGCATTATCTCATTTCATTGCCCTCTATGTAATCTCATTTAACCCTCTCACTCTAAATTCCATTTCTATGTTGTGTCTCCTTTATTTGTATCTCCAGCTCTGAATTCTAGATTTATATATTCAAATGTCTATTTATTATGCCTTTTTGAAATCTTAAAAAGTTGCTTCATTTATTTGTGACATATACTACACCATCCACCGAATTGCTCAAGCAAAATAGCTGAAAGTCCTTTGAAACATCATGGGCTTACCCCAATGGAACTAGCATGAGTTGAATGAGGGGGTGCCATAAACTCACTAGTTAAGATAGATAATATTTCAATGCAATATTCAAAAATTAAATTAATGCAAAAATAATCCACAAGAATAAATCTCATAATTTTTTCATACACTCAGTTTTATATTTATAGTTATCCTCTCAGTTATCACTAACTGATCTTTTCTTTGTCTTCTTTCTTTATATTGGTATATATTTTCTCCTCCATAACATTGTAAGAGTCATGCATGAGGGAGTCTTATCTGCCTTGTTTACCACTTTATCCCATACGTAGTTTCTCAATTTCCCAGTTTCTCCTCACAAATGGCATTGGTGATGAATTTTTACAAGAGGGGATCTATCCTTTCAGTTTCTGGGTTCTGGTAACATGACTTCCTTCTTCTCTTTGTCCCTTCATATATAGGGGTGGTAGTGGTTTCCTAATGTTGCTAACCTCTGGGTCATTTCAGCTCTTCTAGCATATTGATATCCTGTTTCCCATGTTAAGTTTCTTCTACTGAACTATCTGGAATGAATTTGCTTTAACTGACTAGGTCCTGGCCAATACAGTAGCTTAGGGAACAAATAGTCTAAGTGTTTAATCCACATTATATATAAATTCCTAGAAGTCTCCCATGAGGTAAAAGAAAAAGATAAACAAATTATATAGTTGTACATTTGCAAATATTACAAATAACAGTGTTCAAACATGGTAAATGTAATAAGTTAAGGTACTTTTCCAGCTTCCTTTCTATGATTAAAGCCTCTTATTTATGTATCTAAAGCCAAAAACAGGAAAAAAGGAAAGAGCAGAATTACACTGTGAATTAGTAGAATTTAAAAGCAGAGTTAGGTTTTTGGGGAAGGGAACTTTTTTATTCTATATGATTTGGACACATTTCACAGTTGGTTTCCTTTCCATTCCTTTATATACAATTTTAATATCAGTTCAAGTCCATGTAATTTTTAGAGATTTCTTGCTAGAATGGAAATCCATTAATCTGAATTACCTATTATTCATTAAAATAACGAATGGCTTGAATACCAGCAACCTAGTAACTTTACTCGGCAATAACCGGTCATTTTTGGAAAAAGAAAATGGCCTAATGATTTGTATTTTTTTATAAACATAAACATGCTCAGAATATGACATTATATTAAGGATTCATGTCAACAGAGACAATGCAGAAATAAAACACTTTACATTTCAGTTGTCAGAATGTAATACCATAGAGTTATGTTAGAGGTATGATTAAAAGTGTTAGAAATAAAATACAAGTGGGTCCAATCTTTATCCGAATGTGACAATGAATATAAGAAGAGAATATTTTCACAGGGAGAGGAATTTATTTGCAAGTTGTGTGACTATGAACAAGTAACATCTTTCTTGAACTTCAGCACCAGATCATCAAATTCTAAGGATACTTAATCTCATAGAGTTATTGTGAGAAGTAAATAGCATCCTGGTGTGAATGTATTTTGTAATGGGCAAACTGCTACACAATAGGTATTATTCCTGTTACTGTTGTTTGCAGTGATGTATTAGCACTCAGATTATGGTCAACTTCACTACATTTCTTGCATCTTCTCAGGCTCAGTGTTGTTGCACATACCCTTCATTATTCAAAATCCATCAGCACTGGCTAAATATGAAATTTATATCAAGGTCACCACTTTTTAAAAAGCTTAATCTGCTTTCCAGCAGCACCTCATAAAAGAGATAAATCACATAACTCTTCCTATTTAATCTCCTTATCCTACTGTGAATGCAGCTCTCTTCCTTTTTCTGTTCTCCAGATCCAACTTTTGCATTTTTATAGAAAGATTCAGTATGAATAGAACACCCTTTCTGTGAGTGGAGTCTCATACATTTGAAATTCAGTTAATCTTGTCTCATAGTATTGCCTGAAAGAGCTGCAGTTGACACAGAGGCATCCAGTGGAAGGCATCCCTAGATGCAGCAGTACAGAAATAAATAAATAAATAAATAAACAAATACATAAATAAAACAGCAACGAGGGCTTATCTGTTACTGACTCTGCTCTCTTTTCTCAGTTTCAGATGGATGAAACACCAAGGGGATTCTAGAACTAGATAGCTAAATATTTGTGTATGTCAACAACTGTGTACATGGAACAGACATTTTGAAATTCATTATTTTCAGAAGTATGGGTCATATGAAAAACACTGATCCCTGGCCGTAGGGGAGGTGGAATAATTACACTGGAGGCTTTGCAACAGTCAGCTGTCAACACTCCTTTTCTGTCAATACTATAAGATCATTTCTCATGTTCTTCTCATAGGAAACAACTGTAACAAAGAACTGAAATGGCTTTACTGTATCCATGATTTTCAGTTACAATATCTGCCTCTTCCTTAAAAGTACATTATGATAATAGCAAGAAAATAGAGAACATGTATGTATTATTGCAGTTTAACCCAATTATATTCAGTCTTATCTGAATGTCAAGTTTTCCCAAATTATTCTTCATATGCACGTGAAGAATATCTTAATGATTAACTGGACACCATTTCCTTCAGTGCTTTCCTAAAGCTCCAATTTATGCAACAGCATTGTAATCATTCCCACTCTCAAAACCCTTCTGTTCACTAGTCTATTAAATACAACTGTAAATTGACTACCTTGGTGGCTAATTTACAAAAGCTATTACAATGCTCCTGGCTTTCTTTTACTAATATGGATTTATTTGGAATCAAAATTACATGAAGTATTGCTGTATAATTTGACTTTGTGGTTACTGATGTCATTATCTACCATTTATTATGTCTATAATGTACAAAGCACATAAGTATATGTATATATATATATATATATATATATATATATTTTTTTTTTTTTTTTTTTTGGCAACAGTCTTGCTCTGTCACCCAGGCCAGAGTGCAGTGGCACAATCATGGCTCGCTGCAGCCTCAACCTTCTGGGTTCAAGCGATCCTTCTATCTCAGCCTCCTGAGTAGCTGAGACTGCAGGAATGTGCCACCACATCTGGATAAGTTTTTTTACTTTCTGTAGAGGCGGTATCTCTCCATGTCGCCCAGACTGTTCTTGAACTCCTGGGCTCAAGAGATCCTCCTGCCTCAGTGTCCTGAGTAGCTGGGACTACAGGTGCATGCCAGCATGTCCAGCTAAGTTTTTTTTTTTTTTTTTTTTTTTTTTTTTTTTTTTTTTGTAGAGATGAGGTCTCCCTATGTTACTCAGGCTGGTCTCTAATTCCAGGGATCCAGCAATCCTCCCACCTCGGCCTCCCAAAGTGCTGGGGTTATAGGGATGTGCTACCTCACCCAGCCAAGTCATTAATTTGAATAGAGGCTTTTGCGTATGTTACTTTTTCATTTATCATATAAAAATCTCCATGAAAGCTTATGTCAATTCCAAAAATTCCAAAATTACATTATTGGTAACATCATTATTTATGTTGTATTTACCTGGTCTATTATTGCATTATTGAGAGATTTTACACAAAGCTATTAATTTTTTTGTATGCATGTGTGTGTCCTCTATTTTAACCTGTAACTCACTTCTTTCTCAACACTAACAAAAACTTTTCAGGACAGTCTAAGCTACTCTCTTTACTTTCTCAACACAGACTCATCTGTTTTTCTACTATGTTCTGATTTTTCTCCACTATTTCTCAGAAAATGTTGTTACTAAGGCTATCAAAAACCTACTTTTCAACAATTACATGGTTTCAATAGTTTCACTGGCTCAATACTTAACTGGCTTGAGCACTCCATGGCATTTAATACTATTTACTCCCATTCTTCTTGAAATTTTATTAGTAAGTCTATTCCTGATTGTAATATGCCTCTATTCATTCTCTTCTTTCTTCATAAATGCTAGACTTTTCCTAGGATTTTGTCCTTGCTATACATTTCCTCTTGAATTCTCTCATGTTACCAAGTGATACTCGGAATGTAGTAGTGCTGCCCCACTGACCAGTAACACTGGTGTGCAGGTGGTATACAAAGCAACAAGGTAAATATTGCATTTATTTTTAAAAGGTTTAAAAAGTAGTAGATTTTTAATGAGACTATAGGCCAGTGGTGAGAAATTCCCAAAAACCTTGAAGGTAAATCCTATTCCTAGTTTCTTTGTTATCCATAGGAATTGGACCAATACAAGCCTTCAACAATGGCCAGGTACAGTGGCTCACACCTGTAATCCCAGCACTTTGGGAGGCCAAGGCGGGTGGATCACCTGAGGTCAGGAGTTCGAGACCAGCCTGACCAACATGGAGAAACCCCATCTCTATTAAAAATACAAAATTAGCAGGGCGTGGTGACGCATGCCTGTAATCCCAGCTACTTGGGAGGCTGAGGCAGGAGAATCACTTGAACCCGAGAGGCGGAGGTTGCAGTGATCTGAGATCGTGCCATTGCACTCCAGCCTGGGCAACAAGAGTAAAACTCCATCTCAAAAACAAACAAAAAAACACAAAATAAACCCTCAACAACATTTGAGTGTGTCTGTTTCCCCACACCATTAGCTAACATGATAAGCTATGAAATGTTCCGATCTTCAGTAATCTAGTAGGAAAAAAAAAAAAAAGAATGGTCTTTTAGAACAAAATTCTGTCTTTCATGGTAACATGAATGAGCCTGGAGTACATTAAGTGAAATAGGTCAGGTACAGAAAGACAAATACCGCTTATATTTGTCTCACATGTATGTGGAAGCTAAAAAATACATCTCATGAAGTAAAGAGTAGAATAGTGGTTATCAGAGGCAGGGAAGGGTAGGGAAGGGAGAGGGATAGCCAAAGGATGGTTAACAGATAAAAAAAAATACAGCTAGGAAGTGGGACAAGATGGCTTACTAGACACAGCTAGAAAGCACTGTTCCCGCCAAGAGGGACCAAAATGTTAAGTAAAGCAACATAATTTGAATACATCTTTGGAGAGAAAAATGCCAAGAGTGGATGGAAATGTGACGCAGGCACTGAGGCTGAAGAGAGAGGAATCTGGGAACCGTGTATAAGGTACCTGAACGTTATGGCTAGTTTTCGGCTCCAAATGGCTCCTGGGAAAGGGGTGAGTAAAGAAGCTGTGGGACTGCCCACTCTCACTGTGAACCTCTGGGATCCTAGCTACAGGGGATTCCATGTCCCCCACAGACATTTGAGCTGGCAGGGGAATCTACCCAGAGAGTAGGTAGAGACAACGCTTCAGCTGGTGCAAAGCCAGGAGCCTTTCTGTGTGGGAGAGCTCCAGTAGGGCATGGCCTTAGGTAGGTGCCCATCCCACAGGGATCCCCATTTTCCTCTGAGAATCTCTAGGCCCAACTGACTGCCAGGCCAGGAGAAAGTGGGGCTGGCTTTCCTGCAGGACTAGGGTATGTCTACTTCGCAGGCTCTCCTGCCCAAAAGCCCTTCCCAGAGCCTCTACCTGGATACCCCCCATTCCCCCACACAGGAATGTATACATGGCACAGCCTATGCTGCCCAGCCTGGATGCTTTGCTTCACCTGAGTACATTCACAGCAGCCTGGGAGCACTTTGGATTTCCCAGTGCACCCAGAAACCAACCCTGAACGTCTAGAGGATAGAGCTGCGAGCCAGTCCTGGTGCCCCAAGGCTGTGGTGCACAGTTCGGGAATGCTAAGCTGAGATCTGTATGCAACACTCTAGTGGGGGAGGAGCCCACTCTCACAGCACTGAAATGGGTGAAACACATGGGTTCATGGACTGGCATGGGAGTGAGGCATGCCTCCCTCTGCAAGGCCAGTCCAGAAAGGGAGTAGTCTATCTCCATGTTATAGCCTCTGCCCAAGGGAGGCCCATGGCCCAGAATACCTAACAAAATAAATGTGGGCATGGTGGAAGTAATCAGAGGGGTTTCCTAAGACCCAGGAGCAGGCCTGGTGAGGAGGTCATCTCTTCTCCCCCCTATACCACAGAGCATGGCTGCAAATGCAAGGAAATACACAGGAGCTGCACAGCTGAGTAAGAGCCTATCTACTGACCGTTATTCCTATGTACCATCTACAGGATTGCAGCCCAAACTACAGCACCAAAAACATTTTGCTAATATATCCTCCTGTGAAACCATGGGCAAGAATTAAGCCATAAATAAAGACATTATACAGAACCTTGACCCTCAGAAAACACGCAGAAACAAAGACAACCAACTATACCCAACTTACACCACAGATAGAAGAACACTAGTCCTCCCAGAGGAGAAAGAATCAGTGCAATAACTGTAGCAACTTAAAAAGCCAGAGTATCCTCTTACTTCCAAATAAGCAAACCAGCTCCCCAGCAATGCTTCTTAAACAGCCTGACACGACTAAAATGACAGACATAAAATTCAGAACCTGGCTGGCAAGGAAGCTCATTGAGATTCAGGAGACAGTTGAAACCCAATCCAAGGAATCCAATGAATCAAGTAAAATCATGCAAGAACTGAAAGATAAATAACCATTTCAAGAAAGAATCAAACTGAATTTCTAGAGCTGAAAAATTACTAGAAGAATTTTATAATAAAATCAAAAGTATTAATAGCAGAATAGACCAAACTGAGAAAAGAATCTCATAGCTCAAAGACTTGTTCTTTGAATCAACTCAATCAGACAAAAATAAAGAAAAAATAATAATTTTTAAAATGAAAAAAAAAAAAAACCTCAAAGAAATAGGGAATTATGTGCAGTGGCCAAATCTATGACCAATATGGCATTCCTGAGAGAGAAGAAGAGAGAATAAGCAACTTAAAAAATATGTTTGAGGATATAGTTCACAAAAATTTTCTTAATCTCACTAGAGAAGTTGACGTACAAATTCAGGAAATACAAGGAACTCCAGCTAGATACTACACAAGATGACCATCCCCAAGGCACATAGTCATCAGATTCACAAAGGTCAATCCAAAAGAAAAAAATGTAAAGGCAGCTAGAGAGAGGGCTCAGGTCATGTACAGAGGGAACTCCATTAGGATAGCAGCAGACCTTGATGCAGAAACTCACAAGCCAGAAAAAATTGGCAGCCTATTTTCAGCACTCTTAGAGAAAATAAATTTCAACCAATAATTTTATATCTTACCAAATTAAGCTTCATAAGTGAAGGAGAAAAAAGATCTTTCTTAGATGAGCAAATGCTGAGGGAATTAGTTTTAACTAGACCAGCCTCATAAGAGGTCCTTAAGGGAATGCTAAACATGAAATTGAAAGAACAACACTTGCTACCACAAAAACACACTTAAGCACATAGCCCACAGACACTAAAAAGCAACTATGCAATCAAGTCTACATAACAACCAGCTAACTACATGATGAAAGGATCAAAATCTCATCTATCAATACTAACCCCGAATGTAAATAGGCTACATGTCCCACTTAAAAGACATAGAGTGGCAAGCTGGATACAAATAAAAGACTCAATCATCTTCTGTTTTTAAGAGACCCATCTTTACATCTAATGACACCCCCACAGACTCAAAGTAAAGGGATGCAGAAAGAGTTACCATGCAAACAGAAAACAAAAGACAGTGGGAGTCATCATTCTTGTATTAGATAAAACAGATTTTAAACCAATAACAATAAAGAAGGACAAAGAAGGGCATTACATAATGATAACAGTTACACTCCAACAAGAAGCCTTAACTATCCTTAATATATATGCACCCAACATTGGAGCACCCAGATTCATAAAACAAGTTCTTCTTGACCTACAAAAAGACTGAGACAGCTACACAACAATAATGGGAGATGTCAATACCCACTGACAGCAGGGTGATAAACAGATCATCAAGGCTTATACTTGACACTCAACCAATTGAACCTAACAGACATCTACAGAACACTCCATCCAACAACCATAGACTATACATTCTTCTCATCTATACATGAAGCATATTCTAAGATAAACCACATGCTTAGTCATAAAGCAAGTCTCAGTAAATTCAAAACAATCAAAATCATGTCAAGCACACTCTCAGACCACAGTACAATAAAAATAGAAATCACTATCAAGAAGGTCTCTCAAAACGACACAAATAAGCAGGGCACAGTGGCTGACACTTATAATCCTAGCATTTTGGGAGGCCAAAGTGGGTGGATTGTTTGAGCCCAGGAGTTCAAGAACAGCCTGGGTGACATGGTGAAACCCCATCTCTACAAAAAAATGCAAAAAAAGTAGCCAGGAATGGTGATGTGCACCTATAGTTCTCCAGCTATCTGGGTGGCTAGTGAGGATCACCTGAGCCTGGGGAGATTGAGGCTGCAGTGACCCATGATCATGCCACTGCACTCCAGCCTGGTTAACAGAGTGAGACACTTTCTAAAAAAAAAAATAAAACTATACAAATACACAAAAATTAGACAACTTACCCCTGAATAACTCCTGGGTGAACACTGAAATGAAGGCAGAAACCAAAATATACTTTGAAATTAATGAAAATCGGGATATATCTTATCAAAATCTCTGGAATGCAGCTAAAGTGGTGTTTAGAGGAAAGTTTATAGTGATAAACACCTTCATCAAGAAGTTAGAAAGATCTCAAATTAACAATCATCTAACTTTGTACCTAAATGAACTAGGAAATAAAAGAACAAACAAACCCTAAAACTAGGAGAAGAAAAGAAAATAAATAACTAAAACTAGAGAAAACTGTATGAAACTAAGATGGAAAAATCCATTCAACAGATCAATAAAACTGAGAGTTGGTTCTTTGAAAGAATAAACAAGATCGATAGACCACTAGCTTAATTAACAAAGAAAAAAACAGAAGATCCAAATAAGTACAATCAGAAATGACAAAGATGACATTACAACTAATTCCACAGAAATATAAAAGATCCTCAGAGACTACTATGAACAACTCTATGCAAACAAATTAGAAAATCTAGGGGAAATGGATAAATTCCTGAAAACACACAATCTCCCAAGACTGAATCAAGAAGAGATTAAAACTCTGAATAGACTAATATCAACTTCTGGAATTTAAGTGTGTCCTTAACTTAGTTTGTAGGCTAACAATGTGAGGAAGCTGTAATGAAGCAGTGAGGATTCGAATTTAATAGCCTATCTTGGCCCACATTTTAAGTGGCTAACCAGTCCTTAGAGGGTCGTTTCCTTAGGTTTGCAGATGTGTCTGCATGAGCTCTGCATTAAGCAACCACAAAGAGGTATCTAGAACATATCTCTTGACCTTCCTGGTTTGTTGGAGGAAAGCCAAACACATTTCTAGTTATAAAAAACAATTGCGCTGGGCCTAGTGGGACATGCCTGTAATCCCAGCAATTTGGGAGGCCAAGGCAGGCAGATCACCTGAGGTCAGGAGTTTGAGACCAGCCTGGCCAACATGGTGAAACCCCGTCTCTACTAAAAATACAAAAAAAACCTAGCCAGGCATGGCGGCGGGTGCCTGTAATCCCAGCTACTCAGGAGGCTAAGGCACGAGAATGGCTTGAACCTGGGAGGCGGAGGTTGCAGTTAGCCAAGATCATGCCACTGCACTCCAGTCTGGACAACAAGAGTGAGACTCCATCTCAAAAAAAAAAAAAAAAAAATTGCTCCCAATATGGAAACACAGAGACTCATATCAGAGAAAGGGCTAGGGATTTTGGGTATAGCTTCAGCAGCTTGAATAGCTAAATTAAAATAAAAGAAGCTCTGCTTTACCATTTGATATGAGCTAAGACAAATGGACTTTGCCTTCATGTACCACTCCTGTGCTATGTTGCCATAGAAGTCCTCTGTGCCAGAGGGTGGAGTCAGTATTATCTGGACTTTGAAATGTAGGAGAGTTTTTTCCTAGAAGTATTCCAAAACATTTGGGATATCAATTTGCAACTGATCTTGAGTGCTTCCTCTGGGCTCATTCCCTTTTTTTATTGACCCCAAAGAGGTGCATTCTCTGTGTGTCCTGTCCTGTCTCTAACTTATATTTCTTCTTCAACAACATCTATTACTGAGCTTGCAGAACCCTGTAGGTACCCCTCCATCCATCTCCCTGCAGAACATCTAACACTCAACCCTGGATGTCTGCTTATCAAATATTCTAGTTCAGACCCTCAGTGACCCACCTATTAAATATTTAGGCTCTGAAAGGAACCATACAATCTTTGTACGGCATCTCCTTCATTCATTCGACAAATGTTAATTCTCTGTCTTTGTGAACGAGGTCCTGCCAGGGCTGGTGCGGCCAAAAGCAAGATTAAGACTCTGCAGCTTCATTGAGCTTTCTTTCATCAACCTCTCATTCTGCAAACAGAGCTTAGATGTGGATTACACTATACATTTAAAATGAACTCCTCAATTGCTTGAGCCCATTGTGCCACTGCACTCCAGCCTGAGCAGCAGAGAGAACCTGTCTCAAAAAATAAATAATAAAATAAAATAACCTCCTCAATGTTAAAAAAAAAAAAAAAAAAAAAAAAAAAGCAACCAACCAGAAAAAGCCCTGGATCAGATGGATTCACAGTCAAATTTTACCAGATGTAGAAAGAAGAACTGGTACCAATCTTACTGGAACTATTTCAAAAAATCAAGGAGGAAGGTCCCCTCCCTAACTCATTATACGAAGGTAGCATCAGCCTGCTACCAAAACCAAGCAGAGGCACGACAAAAAAAGAAAACTTCAGGCCTATATCACTGATGAAAATAGATACAAAAATTCTCAACAAAATACTACCAAACTGTATCCAGCAGCACGTTAAAAACAGCCAGGCATTGTGGCTCAAACCTTTATCACGGGACTTTGGGAAGCTGAGGAGGGAGGACTGCCTGAGGCCAGGAGTTTGAGACCAGCCTCAGCAACAAAGAGACCTCGTCACAAAAAAAAAAAAAAAAAAAAAAAAAATTAAAAAGAGAGGTCATCACAACAAAACATTAAAAATTAAAAAAAATAAAAACAAATGAAAAATTAAAAACTTAACTCACCATAATCAAGTTGGCTTTGTTCCTGGGATGCAAGGTGGTTCAAAATACAAAAATCAATAAATGCAATTTACCACATAAAGATAATTAAAAACAAAAACCATATGATCACCTCATTGAACTGGAAAAAGCTTTTGATAAAATCCAAAATCTATTCCTGATTAAAACAACAACAACAACATCAAAGAACTAAGCATTGAAGGAACATACCTCAAAGTACTGAGAACCATCTATGACAAACCCATAGCCAACATCACAATGAATGGACAAAAGCTGGGACCATCCCCCACGAAACTGTAACAAGACAAGGATACCCATTCTGACCACTCCTATTCAATGTAGTACTAGAAGTCCTAGCCAGAGTAATCAGGCAAGAGAAAGACACAAAAGGCATCCAAACAGGAAAATAAGAATTCAAACTCTCTCTCTTTTCTGATGATATAATTCTATACCTAGAAAATCCGAAAGACTCAGCCAAAAGCCTCCTGGAACTGATAAACAACTTCAGTAAAGTTTCAGGATACAAAATCAATTTACAAAAATCAGTAGCATTTCTATACATCAATAACATCCAAGCTGGGAATCAGATCACAACATAATCCCATTTACAGTAGTAACAAAAAAATACCTAGGAATATATTTAACCAGAGTAGTGAAAGATCTCTACAAGGAGAACTAAAAAACATTGCTGAAAGAACTAAGAGATTACACAAATAAATGCAAAACATTCCATGCTAATGGATTGGAAGAATCAATATTGTTAAAGTAGCCATACTGCCCAAAGCAATTTACATACTCAATGCTATTTCTATCAAACTACAAGTGTCATTTTTCACAGAATTAGAAAAACGATTCTAAAATCCATGTGGAGCCAAAACAGAGCCTGAATAGCTAAAGCAATCCTAAGCAAAAAGAACAAAGCCAGAGTCATCACACTACCTGACTTTGAACTATACCATAAGGCTACAGTAACCAAAGCAGCATGTATTGGTACAAAAAAAAAAAAAAAAAAAAAAAGACACATAGACCAATGGAATAGAACAGAAAACTCAGAAATAAAGCTGCACACCTACAACAATCTGATCTTTGATGGGGCTAACAAAAGCAATGGGGAACGGACTTCCTATTCAATAAATGGTGCTGGGATAACTGGCTAGCCATATGCAGAATAATGAAACTGGACCCCTACCTTTCACCATATGCAAAAATTAACCCCAGATGGATTAAAGACTTAAATGTAAGGCCTCAAACTATGAAAATTCTAGAAGAAAACCTAGGAAACAGCCTTCTCAACATGGGCACTGACAAATAATTTCTGGCAAAGTCTTGAAAAGCAATTGCAACGAAACCAAAAATTGACAAGTGGGACCTAATTAAAGAGCTTCTGCACAGCAACATAAACTATCAACAGAGTGAACAGGCAACCTACAGAATGAGAAAATATTCACAACTATGCATTTGGCGAAAGTCTAATATTCAGAATCTATAAGAAACTTAAATCAACAGGCAAAAAACAAATAACTCAATTAAACATGGGCAAAGGATATGAACAGACACTTCTCAAAGGAAGACATACAAGCAACCAACAAACATATGAACAAATGCTCATCATCACTAATTATCAGAGAAATGCAAATCAAAGCCACAATGAAATACCACCTCATACCAGTCAGAATGGTTGTTATTAAAATGCCAAAAAATAACAGATGTTGATGAGGCTCTGGAGAAAAGAGAACTCTTGTGCACTTTTGGTGGGAATGTAAATTAGTTCAGCTGCTGTGGAAAACAGCTTGGAGACTTCTCAAAGAACATTCAATCCAGCAATCCCATTATTTGGTATATACCCAGAGGAAAATAAATCATTCTACCAAAAAGACACATGCACTTATATGTTCATCACCATGCTATTCACAATAGCAAAGACATGGAATCAACTTAGGTGCCCATCAATGGTGGATTGGATAAAGAAAATGGGTACATATGCACCACAGAATACTATGCAGCCATTAAAAAGAATGAAATCATGTCTTTTGTAGCAACATGGATGCAGCTAGAGGCCAATATCCTCAGCGAACTAATGAAGAAACAGAAAATCAAATACCAAATGTTCTCATTTATAAGTGGGAGCTAAATATTGAGCACTCATGGACATAAACATGGGAACAATAGACACTGTGGATTACTAGAGGGAAAGGGAAGGACAGAGTGTGCTTTGAAAAACTACCTATCGGGTACTATGCTCACTTACCTGGGTGATGGGATCCATACCCCAATCTTATCATCACACAATATACCCATGTAATAAATATGCACACGTACCCCCTGTATCTAAGTTTAGTTTTTTAAAAAGTACATTTAGGGCCAGGCACGGTGGCTCATGCCTGTAATCCCAGCACTCTGGGAGGCCGAGGCAGGTGGATCACCTGAAATCAGGAGTTTGAGAACAGCCTGGCCATCATTGTGAAATCCCGTCTCTACTAAAGACACAAAAATTAGCCGGGCATAGTGTCAGGTGCCTGTAATTCCAGCTACTTGGGAGGCTGAGACAGGAGAATCGCTTGAACCTGGTAGGAGGAGGTTGCAGTGAGCCAAGATCGTGCCACTGCACTCCAGCCTGGGCGACAGAGTAAGACTCTGTCTCAAAAAAAAAAAAAAAAAAAAAAAGTACATTTAGATAGGAGAAATAAGTTCTAGTGATCTATTGCACTATAGGGTGACTATAATTAAAAATAATTTATTGTATATTTTCAAATAGCTAGAAGAGCAGATTTTGAATGTTCCCAACACAGGAAATGATAAATGTTTGAGGTGATGGATATGCTAATTACCATGATTTGATCATTGCACATTATATACATGTCTTGAAATATCACACTCTACCCCAAAAATATGTAAAATTAATATGTGTCAAATAAAAATAATAATACAAGGAAAAAGAGAAAAAGAAAATACAAAAATATAGCCTTTTATTTTAGTCTTAACTTGCAACTCTATTATTGTGAGGTTGAGCATCTTTTCATATATGTAAATATTATTTATATATTTTAATGAATATTTATTTTGACCTAATTTTCCTCCGGAGGTATTTTTCTTATTCTTAATAATTTGTAGGAGGTGATTGAGGCCCAATGCTGGATTGGGAAATACTGAGATAATATTTGAAACTAGGTAGATTAGAGCACTGGTTGTGGGCAATCAAAAGAAAGGAGCATAAAAAGAATTTAGGACCAGAAGTAAACATCTCCTTTTAGGAACAGGGAAGCACTTTTGAGAAGAAATGTATTCTTTGAAGACTTATGGCTAAGGGAAAAAAAAAAGAACAGACTAAAGTTGAAGGATCCTAATGACCCAAGAGTGTCAAAGAATCAGGAGACGCAAGGCTTGTGGAAAAGTGTACTATTTATTTAAAATACCACCACCACCAATAACAACAGTTAACAATAAAAAAAATACTTCATGTCATAATGGCAACAAAAGAAGCTGGTCTTGAACTATGAAATTAAGTAAGCTATGTCATCTTCATATCCTACCACTTCAAAAACGTATCTTCTATTACTGTTCTGAGAAAAAAAAAGCCAATAGCCGAATATTAATTAAGCAGATAAAAACATTGCAAAAACAATACACAGATAAACATCCACACACAAGGTAAAACAGAGAAAAATTGTATTTTGACACTCTAAAAGGAAATTTACGAAAAAATTTTTTCTGGTTCTTATTCACTCATAACTTTTAATGTTTTGTTTTTAAATAAATTTTATACTTAAATAAGCCATTGCAAAGTTGGAAAGACACCATGAATCATAAATTTTTAAAACTCTAAATAAAAAAGGACAAACAACAACATATACGACATGAGCTAGCCAAACTCAGGAGAGACAGCGAATAAATAAGGACCACATGACAAGGAGTCCGAGGTAGGGAGAATTTCTGAAATGATCAGCCTATAAAAAGCAAAAGGTGAATACAGGCTCAGTGAAATAATGCTGCAAGAGATATTCTACATCTTCTCTGAATTAGGATCTGGAGCTGTCTCATTGTCCACCTTCTCCTGAGCTAAGTGATATGATTTTGCCGTATCCCCACCCAAATCTTGAATTGTAATAATCCCCTTGAGTTGTAATAATCCCCAAGTGTCAAGGGTGGGGCCAGGTGGAGATACTTGAATCATGGGGTCAGTTTCCCCCACACTGCCTGGTCTCCTCCAACTCCTCAAAAACAATCCCAGCCTCCTAGGTAATGGCAAACTCAACTGTCCAAATAGTCATCAATGTAGTGGGCCCAGTCTGCGGAGCCTGGGCTTTGGGGAGTGGTTCAAACCCCATGCTGGGCTGTACTGTTAATGCCCCATTTCCTTCGAGAATCAAAGGGAGTGGCCCTCGGTCCTCAGGAGGTATGCTACCAAATGCATGGCCCAGTCCAATAGAATGCAGGCACCTTTTCAATCAGGTGTGTTTAGCATTTTTTTTTAAGTACCTCAGGTCTCAGGCCATTAACTCTACTCCAGCTTCCACTTGGTTCCCTCATTTTGAACATCCAGCAGCAGCTGCTGCTGCTTCTGCCGCTCCATCAGTTGATTCTGCAACAATACTTTCAGCAACACACAACTTCTCATGCTCCACAGCCAAGGCCACAGGGTTCTGCACAAGGTTCAAGCAATCAAGAACAGGCCTGAAGGACTCATAAAGCTGTTCTCATTAATCTCACCAGAGTCAGAAGTTTTCTGTAGCTTCAGGCAGCTATGATATCTCAGGTTGGTTTTGCCCAGAAAAGATTTGGTAAAGCCTCCCTCAGCAGAGGTCCCAGCTGTCTTCTGCTTTTCAATAGCAGCAGCAGCAGCAGCAGCAGCAACAGAAGATAGAACAGTTGAGATTCTTGCAGCAGCCAGTGGCTGCAGCAACACTAGCAACACAAACAGCTCAGCTACCTCCAAGGAGTGGTCATAGAGCAAGACAGTCAAGAGGCAAAATGAGGAGTGGCATATCAACCACTCTAAAATCCTGAGTCCTACTTTATGTTTTCTCTCTTTCAACACACACACACACACACACACATACACAGAGGCTGGGCATGTTGGCTCACACATGTAATTCCAGCATGTTGGAAGACCAATGTGGGAGGATAACTTGAGCCCAGGAGTTCAAAACCAGCCTGGGCAACCTAGGGAGACCCTGTCTCTACAAAAAAAAAAAAAAAAAAAGAAAGAAAAAGAAAAACAAACAAACACCCCAAACAAAAAAACTTAGCTGAGCATGGTGGCACATACCTGTGATCCCAGCTACTCCACAGCCTTAGGTGGGAGGATTGCTTGAGCCCGCGAGGTGGAGGCTGCAGGGAGCCATGGTTGCGCCACTGCACTCCAGCCTGGTGGGCAAAGCAAGACCTTGTCTCAAAACAAACAAAAACAAACAAAAACAGAAACACATACACACAAGCATTGAATCAAAGCGTTTCTGAGGTTTTCCTTCATTTTTTGAATTGTGTCAGTATTTTACCTTGCTAGGTATACATACATAAAATATATAAAAAAATAGCACAGTCTTTGCATATAACCTATACACATCCTCTAGTGTACTTTAAATCATCTCTAGATTACTTACAATACCTAACACAATATAAATCCTATGTAAATAGTTGTTACACTGTATTGTTTCATGAAGTATAACAAGAATAAAGACTGTACATGTTCAGTGCAAACATAATCATCCTTTTTATTAATATTTGCCATATGTAGTTGGTTGAATCTGCAATTGCAGAACCCACAGATATGGAGGGCCAACTGTATTATATATACACATATATATGTAGTAAATACAAATATATAAATAATACATATAAATATGATAAAATATAGATATATACATTTGTATAAAGATATATATATAAATTTTTAGTCCTCTATTAATAAGTGGTGCTGGGCATGGTGGTTCACGCCTGTAATCCCAGCACTTTGGGTGGCCAAGGTGGGCGGATTACCTGAGATCAGGAGTTCGAGACCAGCCTGGCCAACAAGGTGAAAACCTGTCTCCTAAAAATACAAAAATTTGCCTGGCGTGGTGGCGTGCGCCTGTAGTCCCAGCTACTTGGGAGGCTGAGGCAGGAGAATTGCTTAAACCCGGGAGGCAGAGGTTGCACTGAGCCAATATTGCACCACTGCACTCCAGCATGGGTGACAGAGCGAAACTTCATCTCAATAAATAAATAAATAAATAAATAAATAAATAAATAAATAAATAAAAATAAATAGAAGCCCTTTTGCTCTACCTAGAAGCTCTATATGGTGATTCTCTCTGTGTCTGACAAAACCAGAGGCATTAGACACTTTGTTTTTCATTCTTCAGTAATTGTGGGATGATTTGGATATATGACTCTTAATAATATTTGCCAGACAATATTCTTCAAATGCATTATTCATGTGGTGCTTATTATTTTGCAAACACTTCATAATATACAAATGCACCTGCTGTCTGCCATTCATCTTGCTCCTCTGTTCTGTCTCAGTTATTTTGTCCTCATCAGACAAGATTATAATTAAGAGAGAGAAAAGGTAAAAGTTTCATGGCTTATAATGGACAAATGAATGAAAAATGATAAGTTTAGATGAACTGATTAAACAAACAAATTACAACAGGGAATTGCAGGGGAAGAATAAATAATTATGATATAAAATAACTTTGATTATATTTGCTAATTACACATGATTTCCACAGCTTCTAAACAATATATGTTAAGATAACAGAGTGAGTTAATAAACTATATCACTAGATCAAGCTCTTTTCCCCCTAAAAAAAACTTGAATAAATTCATATATGTGCATATATGCTTTAAAAATATTTTATATGTAAGTGTAAAGATAAAATTACTCAAAAATGTTATCTTCCTGATTTTCTCGAATTGAAGGTGACTTTAAAAAATGACCTATCAGGCCGGGCGCAGTGGCTCACGCCTGCAATCCCAGCACTTTGGGAGGCCGAGGCGGGCGGATCACGAGGCCAGGAAATCGAGACCATCCTGACTAACATGGTGAAACCCCGTCTCTACTAAAAATATGAAAATTAGCCGGGCGTGGTGCCGGGTACCTGTAGTCCCAGCTACTCAGGAGGCTGAGGCAGGAGAATGGCATGAACCCGGGAGGCAGAGCTTGCAGTGAGCCGAGATCGCGCCACTGCACTCCAGCCTGGGCGACAGAGCGAGACTCTGTCTCAAAAAAAAAAAAAAAAAAAAAAAAAAAAAAAAATTGACCTATCAAAAATATCAGAAAACTGTGCTTCTTAAACAGTTATTTTTGTTGAAAATTTTGTTTTTACCATAATGATATTTGCTATTTGAATCATCCCTGTGGATGGCTGGTAATCATCTTCTCTTTAGCATTTGCAAATATCATTGATCACTTCCTTGCGACTGTCAGAACCTTTAATATTTGATGCTAGAATAACTGACAAAATAATTACCAAGTAGTTTTTAAAAACACAAAATCTATCAGCATACAGTTATCCCAAACTACTTCTACTCTGACTTGTGGACCTAGAAGGGGTCCTTAGAAAAATTCTCAGACTTTCTTCTTAATATTTGATCAACCCCCAACTTAAGGTAATATAATATTATGAAGTTGGAAGCAGAATGGGTCCTGACACTAGCAAAGGGATTTATGATAAAATATTTTTATCTGTGTCATTTCTAACTACGACACAATCCTTTGATTAATTAATATCCTTCCTTGCATTTCTATTTTTTTTTTTTTTTGAGACACAGTCTCACTCTATCATCCAGGCTGGAGTGTGTAGTGCAGTGGCTCAGTCTTGGCTCACTGCAGCCTCCACCTCCCGGGTTTAAGCAATTCTCCTGCCTCAGCCTCCCGAGTAGCTGGGATTACAGGTGTGCACCACCACACCCAGCTAATTTTTGTATTTTTAGTAGAGATGGGGGGTTTCACCATGCTGGCCAGGCTGGTCTTGAACTCCTGACCTCAAGTGATCCACCCGCCTCGGCCTCCCAAAGTGCCGGGATTACAGGCGTGAGAAACTGCGCCGGACCATTTCTTTCTTTTTTAAAAAAGTATTTTTCCTGTTAGTTTCTTCCTTTATTTTCTTTCTTTCTTTGTTTTTTGAGACAGGGTCTCACTTGGTCACCCAGGCTGGACAGCAGTGGCACGATCTTGGCTCACTGCAGCCTCGACCTCCCGGGCTCAAGCGATCCTCTTACTTCAGCCCCCCGAATAGCATGTATCACCATGCCCAGCTAATTTTTTTGTGTTTTTAGTAGAGACGGGGTTTCACCATGTTGGCCAGGCTGGTCTCAAACTCCTGGCCTCAAGTGATCCACCCGCCTTGGCTTCCCAAAGTGCTAGGATTACAGGCGTGAGCCAATGTGCCTGGCCCCTTCCTTTCATTTCTATAATATGTGAAATCACGTTAAAATTAATTTATTTGGCTATAGGAAATCTTTCTTGATCCGGATTTGGCCTATCTCTCCTCCCTGTCTCCTACCACTTCCATATTCACAAATCTAGGGCTCTGACCATTTGTAACGATTGGTGCTATCTACGTGCCATGCTCTCCCTCACTTCTATGTGTTGATGAAGACCCTCACCCAGGAACTCCTTTCACCTTCTCTGCCTGAGCACCACCCATCTAAGTCTATTTTCCTAGCATCCTTTACTACATCACATTTCAAACTATTATATAGGGTTATTTTTGAGAATTAAATATGATGGCAAACATAAAGAAAATTAAGAATTGAAAATATGTATTAATATAAATATCTTTTTCAGTCCTTTTTATTTTCTTCAACGTAGATTGTATAATTTTGCATGCATTTATATGAAATTCGTGTTTTTTACCTTACTGATTAAAATTCTATCTACAGTTTACATAGAATTTTAAATATGTATACATATATAAAAGTCTATACAGTCATCCCTGTTATCTGTGGGGAATTGGTTCTAGGACCTCCTGTGGACACTGAAACCCACAGATGTTCAAGTCCCTGTTATAAAATGGTGTAGTATTTGCATATAACTTATGCACATCCTCCTGTATACTTTAAGTAATTTCTGGATTACTTACAATACCTAATCCAATGTATGTACTTACAATACCTAATCCAACTGTGTAAATAGTTGTTACACTGTTTTGTTTAGGGAATAATGACAAGAAAAATATCTGTACATGTTCAGTACATATACAATTTTTTTCCAAATATTTTTTCTTTTTTTTTTTTTTTTTTTTTGAGATAGAGTCCCACTCGGTAGCCCAGGATGGAGTACAGTGGCACAATCTTGGCTCACTGCAACCTCCACCTCCCGGGTTCAAGCAACTCTCCTGCCTAAGCCTCCCGAGTAGCTGGGATTACAGGTGCCCACCACCATGCC
This sequence comes from Homo sapiens, assembly GCF_000001405.40. Lineage (NCBI taxonomy): Eukaryota > Metazoa > Chordata > Mammalia > Primates > Hominidae > Homo > Homo sapiens. The sequence goes on along the minus strand of NC_000023.11, from coordinate 29,364,420 downwards.
TGGCTAATTGTCTTTTGTATTTTTAGTAGAGATGGGGTTTCACCATCTTGGACAGGCTGGTCTCGAAATCCTGGCCTCAAGTGATCTGCTCATCTCGACCTCCCAAAGTGCTGGGATTACAGGTGTGAGCCACCATGCCTGGTCCCAAATATTTTCAATCCGTGGTTGACTGAATCCATGGATGCAAAACCCATAAAGGCAGAGGGCCAACTGTACTTTTTGTTTTTATCAATGTTTGAATAGAATTTATTTTTATGCAGAAGTTAACATAATACTTATGTGTTTAAGAAACAAGTAAATTAAATATAACTTTTTGTTTTCTTGGCTTTTAACTAAAAATATATTTCTGAAGTCATGATTTAGGAACAGGTCATTCAGATAAACTACATCAGAAAAGTTTTCTTCTGCAAATATCCAAGGTCAAACTGAGAAACAAGAGGAAGACAAATCACTAAGACATTTCTTTTTATTTCAAATCACTCCTGGTATGGTTTGGATCTTTGTCCCCACCCAAATCTTATGTCACATTATAATCCCCAGTGTTGGAGGTGGAGCCTGGTGAGAGGTGATTGGATCATGGGCTTGGTCCATCATGAATGGTTAGCACCATCCCCTTGGTGCTGTTCTAGTGATAGAGTTCTCACGAGATCTGGTCATTTAAAAGTGTGCGGCACTCCCCTGCTAGCTCCTGCTCTGCATGTGAGACTTGACTGCTTTCTCTTCACCTTCTGCCATGATTATAAGTTTCCTGAGGCCTCCCGAGATGCAGAAGCTACTATGCTTCCTGTCCAGCCTGCAAAATCGTGAGCCAATTAAACCCCCTTTCTTTATAAATGACTCAGTCTCAGGCATTTCCTTATAGCGATGTGAGAACGGATTAATACAACTCCATTTCTTCTGCATTCGTATTTTTTCTAAATTTTGAATTCTGGGCATATACTAATCTATGCAAATACAAAAATTCTCCTTTCTCTGTTTATTAATATTTGAAGTGATAATAGTATGATAGCTTCTCATCAGATTGAGGTGCTATGTTTGGGATGATAGTACTTAAAAATAGATATGACAGGGGATATGAGGAGTTGTACAATGGGTATAGAATTTTTAAAACTCAAAGTTCTAAAGATCTGTTGCAAAATAATGTGAATGTACTTAACACTACTGAAACTCTATACTTAAAAAGTTAAGATGGTAAATTTTATGTTACCTTTTTTGTACTATGATTAAAAGCTAAAAACAACAATGAAATAGATGTGGCATACAAAATACTTCATTTTCAGGGACCTTAGGGGAACCTCAGGCACCTATTTACTCACAGCACGGTGGTTAAGAACACACCCTCTGGAACCAGACTGTCTAATTTCAAAACCTGGCTCTTCCACATACTGTAGGTATGCCACTTAACCTTCCCGTGCCTCAGTTTTCTCGTCTGTAAAATGAAGATATTTCATAGAACTTTTTCCACACACTTGTTATAAGGATTGAGAAGATAATGCTTGTAAGATGCTTAGATATTCCATAAAATAAATCCCCCAATATAACTGCAATGGAGGGATTAATTTAAACAAATTTGAAGGCTATGTTTTAGATGATCTAACACAATATAGTCTATCTGGCAAACATGAAATCACTCCGATGAGCAATAGGGAATACCTGGAAGTGATGCAAATTCTCTAATGCAAATGAAAGAGGTCTGCATTATCGTTGGATAATGATGGGTCATCAGTTTTCTGATGCTGTGGTCACAGCAAACAAATGGTGGTTTCTAAGCGGAGTCTCAAATCAAACACCCCTACAGGAGACCCTCAGAATTGGGAATCAAATTGCTTCACACATGCCACAGTCCACATAGCCTACTTCAAAGTAGATCATTGCAGGAATTTATATATTTAATAATGACTGATGATTCCCCCAAGCAAAGAAGAAGGCCAATGAGCACACAGTGCTTCTGAATGGTAGGGAGCTGTGGATACAGTTTCTGGCATCAACCAAAATCAGCGGTACCCAGGAACTCACTTAGAGTGTTTTACAGTAACTATGAAGGTGTTGCCATACTTTGCATTGACTCATTTATTCACAAATATTTATTGAGCACCTATTACAGGACACACTATGTCAAAGTCCTGAAGATACAGCAGTAAATAAGACATAATGTTTTTCAAAAGCTTTCAAAATCTTACAATCTAGTACATTAAGAAGAAATACATTTCAACAAAGTAGAGAAAACCCTAGCTTGGCTTTCAAATCAAATTGTATTTATCAAGCACAATTGATGCATTAACTGTTTTAATTTTTGTACTATATTTCAAAACTATGGCATTTGATGATAATTTTTTTAGAAACACTGCAATTTAGAATTTAAAATGGAAACAACAACAGACCTCCAGATGTAGTGTTGACATAATATCACTTTTTTATCACTTGCCCTCATTTCAGCTTAATAAGCTCTCTTGGCTCTCATCTTTCAATGTTTAATCCAAAGCAATTAAACTGATATGCAAATGTCATCTCCATTGATTTAAGAGTGACACTTAACACACAATTTCATTATAATAGGCAACTGCAACGTTTGTAGAATGATCAGCTCATTTTTATTTTTAAAATACATGGCTTTCTTCCAACATATGCATGTAAATAAAATGTCCACATACATAAATTTTATTTGATAAATGCCATGTGGATATTTGTCTTGTATACTGACCACAAAGGCCATACTGTATGATATTTCTATTTAAAAGACTGCTATCCTTTTGCTCAGTCTCTACAAAAATGAATATTTTAGCTAATGAATTATATTAGCACAAAGTACAATATTAGCAGAAATGAAAGTAAGCAGAAAGTTAAAGTTGTGTGTGTGTGTGTGTGTGTGTGTGTGTGTTTAAGGTAGTTTTTAGCATGCACTTCTCAGTAGAAAATCAAAAGACTGTAGTAGGAAGGCCAGATGTAATTTATGGAAATAAATACAATTAGTTTAGCTTATATGATAGGTTGATTGTGTTAATGACTCCATCTGTGACTGTATCCGCACCTTTTGCCTAAGGAAACTTTACTCTGGTTATGAGCCCACTAAATGACCTGTTTGAGCCAATGCGAAGTCATAAAGCAGAGGCTTCAATTAATACTTACACATTTCTTCCATTTTTTGGTGCCCGTCTCCAATTGACCTGCTAACATATCTAAGGTAGTCTGAGGAAGATGAAAATCGCATAGAGCTAGATTCTATACTCTACAGTTGTTCCATCTGTACCCTCCCTGCATCAGTCAACACCAGCTAACCTTCAGTGAGGATGTCAGCTGTGGTTGGCTAGGTTTCAGATACAGTATGCTTTCTCATCTCAGAGACATTTTTTTATTATCATAAGCTGGGAAAAAACACATTGTGTGAGATGGTATGCATCACTATCTTAAAATTAGATTGATTTTTCATTAATCATTATTTACATATATTTAATAGCACCCTTAAAAGCTTAGGGACTTTAGAAAGATACTCTTTTAGGAAGAAAGATGTATCAGAATTTGAGCATTTCTTCAATGAGGAAATACTTTTCAAGGAAAAGATGAAAGATCATTTGATGTACAAATTAATAATAAATGTATAGTAATTCCACATATTCACTAAATAAATATTTATTGAGCAACTGCTATGTGCTAGTTATTGTCTAAAGTACTGGGATAAAAAGCAGATATGGTTTTGGACTTCGATTTAGTGCTTAACTTGGTAAACTCAAATTTTAAAATCCTTGATTCAACCAAATAGTCTAAACACAACAGAAGAATCAGCGTTACAAAATTTATTTTGACCAAAATAACAAGTTAAAACTATTAAATGTGTGGTATTTATGTAAAAAAAAGGAAGCTAAAATATAAAAGAGTGAAATGTGTGAGTTATAACCAATCTGGATTTAATTTTATTTTAACTCTGACTCCTATAATTATTTCCTAACTAATCCACTCCATGTGTGACTCAATGGTCAAAAATAATTCAAATAAATCTGAAAGCCTGCAGGTTTTTCATGATCCTAAGAAACACAGTTAACCAATTTACGAAACCCTGAATCATGGAAACCCATGTGTCCTGTTGGGAATGCTTACAGGTTTAGTGTATGGCTGCTAAGGTAAAGCAGACTGGGTTTAAATCCAAGCTCCACCATTTATTAGCTGCCTGACTTTGGGTCAGTTATTTAAACTCATTAAGTCCCAGTTTGCTCATTCATAAAGCCACACCTCAGTAAAATTATGGGAATGAAATGCAATAATTAAACTATTTAGCACAATGCCTAGCACATAATCAGCGTATAAATATTAGCTCAAGAGAAAAGAAGAACAAAACAAAATTGACCAAAATAAAGGGTAAGATGGCTCCTGGCATGTCAAGAGAATTGGTGAGCTCCCCACCCCCTCATATATAGAGATGAGAATAGCATTTGGAGTTCCCACAGATCTGGGTTTGAATATTGGCTCTGGTACTTGAGGGATCTTTGTGGAAATGGAATGGTAATAACATGGCTACCTAGAAATATTGAGAAGGATTTAGTAACCCAGGGGTTACAAAGTATCTGCCACCATCACCTTCAGGCAGAAGGTACCCAAGTATGAGTCTGAATCCGTGTGGGGGGAAAAGCTGGAGTATGCACCTTACTGCTATCCTCTAACTAGTCCCATAGTTTACCCAATGAGGATAGGCTGCATTTATGAGAAGCCCTTAAACCATAGAAAGAGACCTTGAATAGTTGAGAGGGATCCTATGAAGAGCATCTGGGAAATTTAACTAGGTAAAGAAGGGAGGATAGCTATATATCATTGGAGTAAGCCACTATTAGTGAATGATGGGCAAAATACACACAAAAAACCATGTAAATAACACATTTCAGAGGAGGAATCAAATGGAGATGTCTGTAATTGTACAGAGCCTTCATGTTGAGATATTTGGCAGACGATCCTGGTATGAGTTGACAGGACAAATAGTACATGGCAGGCTTTTGAAATTTCACAAGTGGTAAGAAATCACTGACAGTGATAGACTGATAGTACTCTGAAGTCACTGAGCTATAATTATTGTTTTATTTTATTTTCTGTTGTATTTTTGGGAAGGGTGATGGTGGTTGGTGTAGCCAGTTAAAGGGACTGAGTATTGGTGAAAGGCCCTAAGTAGACAAACTATGAGTGACTTGATGATTGACTTCTCAGTAGTGGCTAAAATAATGAAAGTAAGGAATTTGTTCTAAAAACATCAGATATATTGATAAGTTTAAGAGGAAAAAATCTGAATGAACATATTTTCTTTATACTAGCCTATTGTAGTATATAAACCACGTTTTGCTAAAATAAACTTTTGGAGTATGTTTGCCTAATTAGACTGAAGGTCTTCGATGTATATTACATTGTTGTTTTTTTTTTTGAGATGGAGTCTCACTCTGTTGCCCAAGCTGGAGTGCAGTGATGCGTGATCTCGGCTCACTGCAACCTCTGCCTCCCAGCCTCAAACGATCCTCCCACCTCAGCCTCCCGAGTGGCTGGGATTACAGGCATGTGCCACCATGCCTGGCTAATTTTTGTATTTTTAGTACAGGGGGATGGTTTCAATATGTTGGCCAGGCTGGTCTCGAACTCCTGACCTCAAATGATCCACCTGCCTCGGCCTCCCAAAGTGCTGAGATTACAGGCGTGAGCCACCGTGCCCGGCCTGATGTATATTACAAAATTGCTTAAAAAGTAAATCTTAAATGTTCTCACCGTGACAAAATGATAAGTAGCAGAGTTGATGGATATGTTAATTAGCTTGATTTAATCATGTCATAATGTATACATATATTAAAACATCATATTGTGCCCCATATCTATATACAATTATTTGTCAATTATAAATAATATATATATAAAATAACACATATGTATTTATGTTCATGCTTTTTGGTAAGTACCCAATTAATATTTAAGTACTGAAGTAAAATATCTTGACAATAACTTTACAATTCTTTATGTGAATTTGTTACTCTGTGTGTGTGGCGGGGGGTGGGTGCGTAGAGAGAGACAGAGACAGAGATAGAGACACAGACAATGAAATTTTCTTGCCCATGATTTCTTCTTCTTTTACTTACTGGGGCTCAAAAAATGACACCCCAGAGAACAGTGCTTTGGCATGCTGATTACTTTGAACCAAAGGAGATTGGAAGGCTGCAGAAGCAGCCTCAGAGGCAAATTCTCTTTCTGACCTCCTGCCCTCTTGTCTCCTATCCCTCCTTCTGTCTCTGAAGCAATTTATAAAAAAACAGAATCCTTCTCCAAGGTAAGTCATAGAAACTAGAACCCCTCTTGCCCAAAGCAAGGATAAAACCCAGAAAAGTCACCCTCTCCTCCTTTATACCTTGAATACCCTCATTTCAGAGGGGGTTCCTGCCCTTACCTGAGAAGAAGGAATGCTACACAAAGAGGTCACAAGAATCTGAACAGACAGGCCTTGCTCGGTTTCCCTCCACGGTCTATTATCACTAGATCATACCCTTTTGTTCAGTCACATTTCTTCACAGCTATTCACTCTTCAACAACCATAAGCACAAAATGACATCGTTTTCCCCGGGTTTGGGAGTTTTCATTTCTGAAGTCCCCTGTGTCACATACAATTTTGATTAAACAAATGTGTTATGCTTTTCACTTGTTAATCTGTCTTTTGTTATAGGAGTGTCAGCCAAGAACCTTATGACACGGAGGAAAGGTATCGTGTCTTTCCCCTCTACAAACTGAATACATTATTTTCCAGCTGCTTAGTAGCCCTACATTTTTAGGTACATTTAATAAAGTTAGGTCAATAGTTGATAAAAACAGATTTAGAAGTGTTGTAATTTACATTTCTGCTATTACGGGGCTGTTTATTTGGAGGAAGTACTGAATCTTTATCTCAATTGTATGATTTGAAAAAGAAAAATAGTGGAAATATATGTCAGTGGTCTTCATATTCTTTTTTGTTTTTCAAATAAATGCAAAATCAAAGCTAATTAATTCCACAGCCTAGTTATATTTCTACATTTAGTCTGCATGTGACCTATCCCACTAGTATAACTTATAGAAAAGTGAACCACAGTATTAAAAGTGTTCTAAGTAAAAAAACAGGATTTTGTCATTTACTCACTGAAGAGTACTTTTAAATTCCATGTGCAACCTAAACACTGTTTGGACAATAATTATGACAGAAAATATTCTTTGATCATGAATATAATTTGCTATGAGCAAATTAGAAATAAAATGTAAGATAAACTATCACCAATTCTAAATCCTAGCAGTATTAATAAAATATCTGAAAGAATTTTTCTAAGGAAATAAGTTTATTATTTTACAATACATACACCATAACTAGCAAATTATCATGTAGTACAGGTTTTCTTGAGATTGGTTTGGTGGATGAATAATAATAAAGGTTTATCAGCAGAGTAATAGTGACTAGAATACTCTTGAAAACCTTGTGTTTAAAATAGTTTAAACATTTCTCTGAGGCGAAAACTAGAACACTACTCATTGCCAAATACTGATGGAAATGAGCAATCGTGGGAATCTTCAAGCACTTCTAGTGGGAGTGCAGACTGGTGCAAAATTCTGGAAAGCACAGAAATAGATATTTACCTATAACACGGCCATTCCACTCCCACATGTATATCTCAGAGAAATTCTCACAGGGATCTATAAGGGGACACATGAGAGGATGTTCACTGTAGCATTATTTGCGGTCGTATAGATGTAGAGGCAACTGGTTATCCATATTGGGAGAGGGAATAGGGTCAAATGTAGTAGATGCCCACTATGGAGAACCACGAAGCATTTAGAAATTAGAATGTGAGTGTGTGCGTGTGTGTGTGTGTGTATGTGTCACACATACATACGCACGTGTGTGTATATATGCACAAAATATACATATGTGTGTGTATATATGCATGTCTATATACATATATGTATGTATATAGTATAAATGGATCTTTAAAACATAGTGCTTAGTAAAGATGTAGAAAACAGTATATGATATATAACATAATTTACATAAAAAGATACACACACAAACCAACAACACAAATTTTACAAAAACACGTGCAAATAAAAAGATACACGTTGAGTACATTAAAACGATTGCCTCACTGTAGGAGAATAAAGGGATTAGTGTCGTAGGTATAAGGGCATATATGGATACACACGTGTACACACATATATATGCACATATAATGAAGAAACAGCACTAGCCTGGGCCAATGATGATAAGGAACTGAAGATTACAAAAAATATGAATGAACAAATGAATTAATGCATGAATACATATATACATAAAATAAACAACCATCTCAAACAATTTGTACCCAAAATAAAATTTCAGAACACATAGTTAATGATTTCAAAGATAATTTAAGATGAGCTCAGGACAAAATTTTAATCGTTAGGTACAAACTATATATTTTAATATAATCTCTTTAAACTCCTTTTGAGGTAGTTTTCCCTTATATCTGTAAGTATTCTTATTCTGAGTAATCCTGAAAATTTACCTAACAAAAAATGTTTTTTTTTACTGTTTACTTAATGAACAAAATAGTCTTCAAAAGCCTTATCAATAATACTTCAACTTCTTCTGTGAATATTTTAAAATATTACTATAGACATTTTAGAAATTGAAGAGATGTACTATACTGAATATTCCCTTTTAATACAAAAATTATTTATAACTCACAGATACGGTCTTTTTCCTCTGATTTTATGGCCCTATGCCATACTTCCTCACCTAAATCAATCTAACATAAAAATCTCAAAAAGAATTCCAGATAATTAGCGTAACAGTTTATCTCACGCTCGTTTTTACTTTAATCATCACACCTGAATTTACAAAGGAGCTATTTCTGACACCCAAGAAAAAAGAAATGATTGCTGTTTGTGGGTTATATCTTTATGCTACAAGTATTTCTGGGTTTTAACCAGTGGAGCACATGAGAAAGAAAAGTATCTTCAGAAAAATATATCTGATAAAGCTAAATAAATGGTTGGGACACAGATTGCCATTAGTAGTTATATAGTCTACTTGTTATATTCTTCCTAGAACTTTTCACACACTGTGCCCATCCTTTGGGTTATTTCTATGGCATTTGATATTAAGATTGTAGGAGACCAGAATATGATACCCCAAAATATGCCTCTTCAGTATAAGGATTATTTTGAACTAGTTATTTTGAGAAATAGCAGACACATGTGAAGCTCTGCAAACAAAGTAGAAGTTACCCTTTTGTAAGGCAAATTCACACTTATAACGTAAATTTTCATTTGTAAGGGTGTCTCTTTCTGTCTGTACCAAGAAGACTGGAGTCTTATTAATGAAGAAGGAAATGGCTTAAATCTGCATAAAAAACCTTACTCTTGTTTACTGTACTTTTCCTGGTCACCCCCATAAGTGGTTTCCCCCATACCCTTCTTTCTTTGTTTTTAGGTGAAGATCGTATTTAAGACTGATTCTTAAGCCACCTCTTTGAGATTTACTCATTTCCTTGGGTATCACCCATGTATATATGAGATATACATGTTAGTAAACTCCTGTTTGTTTTCTCTTGTTAATTTGTCTTTTGTTACAGGGGCTCCAGCCAATAATGTAGAAGGGTAGAAAGAACATTATTTCCTTTCACTTTTCCCTTCCCTACAAGATATATAAACAAATAATCCTGGACTTATGATGGTTTGACTTGTGATTCTTCAACTTTAGGATGGGTAAAACAATACACATTCAGTAGAAATACTATTCTGAACTTTGGATTTTGATCTTTTCCTGGGCTAGTGATATTTGTGTGATCTTCTGTCAGAATGCTGAACAGCAGAAGTGAGACATAGTTCCCAGTCAGCCACACCATCACGATCACAAGGATAAACAATGGATAATGTACTCTACAGTGTAGCATATTCAATAAATTACATGAGATCATAAAATAGGTTTTGTGTCAAGCGATTTTGCCCAACTGTAGGCTAACATAAGTGTGCTGAACATGTTTAAGGTAGGCTACACTAAACTATGAGGAGCAGAGGAGAATCTGTATTACCAAATACAACTAGTGTTGGATACTAATGGTTTTCTAAATCTCAAGCTTTGTACCACTTTAAAAGTAGTCATTGTCATCAACATCATCATCATCCTATGTTTATCTTCCAAATAAGTGTAGCATTGTAGAAAATTAGTAGTGTGACTTAGAAGCTTTGAGATAAAGCACCATCTGTATCGGTATACTGGAAGCTTTGACAAGTCACTTCACTTCTCTGAGCTTCTTTGTCCTCATGTATTAAAAAAAATAATAACAGTATCTGACAAAATCATAGGCTTGATATGAAGATAACAATTAAAACGCACATCAAAATAAATATAGGTAAACTTTATAAACAATAAGGTTATTTGTTTGCTTATTTTTTATGAGTCTCAATTTTGCCAGTAAAATGGCAATAATAATTAGAACCTCATAGGTTTTCTGAGGATTCAATGAGAAACTATATGCAAAACACAAAACACTTACCATAGTGCCAGGGACAGAGGAGGACCTCAATGAGTAATGAATCGTGGCTAAGCAAATTTAAAAAAAAAAAAAAAACACTGGAAAAATGTAGAAAATGAGAGATGGAGAACTATATATATTTTTAAACATATTACAATCCAGAAATTTTTCAAGTGTTTCATCCTCTTTCATTTGTAGTACATTAACATGTTCCAAATGAGAAAGAATACTAGGGGAAAAGTCTGATGTAAAAACAGCATGATAAAATGTATATTTTATTTGATTTCCCCCTAATATTTCCAGATGAAAAGAAATCATAAAGTTTCAGATGTCTCATTAATTTCCTGTTTCCCTATTGTTTCTAAGTATTAGTTTGATGAGAAAATGTACCAAGGGTATTCTTTTGAGGTCAAAAGATCCTTTGTTATAGCTAATATCTGCTAATTAGTTTTAAGAAAAGGGAAAACTATGAATCAGCCCTGATTTATATGGTCTATAGTCAAATGTTCATTAATTGATTTTTTAAAAATCTGAATACATGATAAAATTCCCCAAGATTAATAGGTGCTCCTTTTCCTCCAGTTCTTCCATCATTCCTTCCTGTCTTACCTGCCGTAATCAGCTTATTTCCCATAACCCCTTCTTGGCTTCATTTAATTATCTGACAGCCTAAGTGGTCTTGCCAATCATCTCAATAATACTCTCTTTCCACCCATGAGTTTCTTGCTTAACATCTTTTATTTCACCCAATTTGCCCTCTTTCTTCTAAGACATGCATTCATTCCTGGATCACACAATCAAATAATCTGGTGGTTTTTAAAGATTATTTTTTGTAAATTTCCTATTACACTCACAGGAGTTAACTATTTCAAGGTGTTGAAGGATAAGTTATACAAAGGAGAAAAGAAAAGCTAAAGCAGAGTTTAAAAATAAAGCTGCCAGTAGCAAGTAAGTAGGGTCAGAGAATGAGAATTGTGCCAAGAAATTTGAAATGTTAAATATAAAATCTGGTTGAGAAAACTCCTAAGTGAGAAATAACAGGGAAGTTCTATTTCTATTAATATGGCAAGCAAGGTTAATTGGAGCAACCTTTCCACTGAAAATAAGGAACAACACTGGGTTATTTTTTTTTTCTAAAGTTATCAAATAGTTCACAAGATAGGAATTCCTATGCCCAAAATCTAAGTAAAATCAGAGCTCAAAGGGTTAAGTGGCCCACTGAAGACATTTTTCCTGAGGACACTGATCCTGGACATTCCAGTAGTCTGAGCCTAGGTTTAATGGTAGCAGGAGGCTAAAGAGATGGGGATGGGGGGTGGGGGCTTGGTTAAATCTCAAATTGGAGAGAACCTCTACCCAGTAAAGCTAAGGGCTACATCCTCAGGAAAAATAATGAAACATAACTAAACTTGACCATCTCCACCCCTTATATATCCTTAAGATAGATTTACAGCACAAATTCTTATTACTTGGATGGTCCCCCAAAACCTCAAGCTATGAATTTCATTTAATTTATAGTGATCCCAGAGTGGTTATACCTTAGGCACCTGCCAAGGCTAATGGAAATCCTCTCTACAAGAATTCCCTTCAACCTAGGCCTCAGAGAATCCCCACAAATAACATTCCAGGGAAACTGATCAGCTCATTGAAATAGAAACAAAACAAAACAACTAAACACAAAAAGAAATACAGTACCTACAGCAAGAATCATATGAAAGAGCAGAGAGCAGCTATTGCTCTCTGTGGTGAAACTATGAATATTGGAGTTATCAGCCAGCAATTTTAAAACAAGTAGGTTAAAGAAATAAAAGATAAGCATAAAGCTTATGCAGATATTTCTATGTCTGTCTACAAAGATTACCTGATTTGAACAAAATTATTTGAACTTCCAGAAATGAAAAATATAATAAATAATATCAAAACTTCAAGGGAGAGATTTAATGGAACATTAAAAACAGCTGATGAGAACAAATGGTGGGGAAGGGGTCAGTCATTGAAGTAAGAGTGCCCACTATCTTCCCAGTATCCTTCTTTACTCCAGGCAAGCTATGACAAATGGGTAATGGAATACTGTTTATAAAAAGGGATGGATTTTGAAGGTTACAGATCATGATGGTAGGGCAGCTTGGATAAAAGCACAAAAGTTAAGAACACCAAGCCCATGGATTTCTAGACTACATCCTTGGCCTTTATCACCTTCAAAATCAGTAAGTATTGCTGCTTACGCAAAGAATGAAAAGAATGTACGGCAAATCAAAATCCATTCTTACAAAAAACATTAGAAGGCTTACCATGTACATTCGATATTTCTTCCTAAGTATTCATTATACAATTAAATACCAATTTCATATTGAAAGAAAACCTTTCGGCATGAAAATGAACGCAAAGGGAATAAAGTTATATTTTATACTGTAATCAGACTTTCATAGAAAAATAACAGCCACTTATTATATACCAAACAAGGTACTAAGTGTTTTATTCACATCGTCTCCTCAAACCCTCACAATAGCCTAGGAAGAAGGCATTAATAGCCTCATATAACACTTAAGGAAATAGATTCAGGGAGCATAAATAAACTATAAATGGTAGACCAGGACTTGATGCTGGGTGTTTTGAATCAAAAGTCTAAGTTCTCAACACGTAAGACAGTGTTATTTTATATAAATAAATTCAGAATAAACCAAGTGTCATCTCATTTTAAAAAGCACTTTTAACATCTATACCACTTCAATAAAGTTCCCCCAAAATTCCTTATCAGACCTTTGACAACTTAATGTCAAACTGGAAAAATACTGTTTTGTCAAGCACACTATCCTAAATGTAAGTTTCTTAAAATTCTACATCATCAACAATGTCTTAGCAAGAGAGAAAAAAGGCAAGCTGATAAACATGATCAATTTGAGATCTAAATGATCGTGCAGATTAGAGTAAGGTTCAACTACAGTAAGTCCTCACTTAATGTCATCTATAGGTTCTTGGAAACTGCGACTTTAGGTGCAACAACCTCATACACAACCAATTTTCTCATAGGCTAATTGATATAAACAAGATTTAAGTTCTTGTAACATATTTCTTGTCATAAAATATCACAAAACTTCTAAAGACCAACGTACTTCTAATATTAAACATTGAAATACATATGAGCTATACATCATTTAAGAAAGATTCATAAAATAAGTAAATCACGATTTACCTGCTTATTCCAGTTCCGAGTCACAAGTGGTGGGAGCCTATCCCAGCAGCTCAGGGCGCCATGTAGAAATCTACTGTGGCCAGGATGCCAGCCCATCGCTGGGTGTGTGTGTGGTGTGCACGCATGCACACGCACACACACACACTCACTCAGACTGGAACCACTCAGACACACCAATGAATTGAACATGCACAGATCTTGGATGTGGGAGGAAAACAGAGTACCCAGAGAAAACTCATTCGGACATTCAGAGAAATGCAAATTCCACATAGACAGTGGTCCTGGCTGGGGATTGATTTTTTTTCTCATCAGTGTTATAATGAAACAACATTGAACAAAACGATGTTATCTGAGGACCTGATGGATAGTAAGGTGAAATATAATAGCAGTGAAGGGTGAACCTCCACTTGGTTACATAGCGAGCTGCAGATGATTAACAGGCATTGGTGGCAGTGTGTCTATGAGCCAGGTGGGGGGGGGGGTGTATCCAAACACACAACTGATTTTAGCATATATATATATATATATATATATATATATATAAAATAACAGTATGTAGACCAAGGGAGGGGCTGGTCTTGTTCTTCTCCATGCTACTTAGACCAAAGACAGTGATATGACTGGAAACTGTCACATGAACCATTGTGCCAAGTAGAGATGTTTAGCCTATAAAAGAATAAAGGAGCATTGGAAGCGGGAGAGGTGACAGAGGTGGACATATGCCCTCAGGCATTTATCTATGGTGAAACCCTATTAATTTCTGTGAAGGATTTTTATTTCAATTTCACATGTTAGATTAATTGAGCCTAGAACCTATGCAAGTTGTTTTTAGTTTTCTATTAATTTATTTATATCTGGGAAAACTCTAGCAGGGAGCAAGCAAAAGAGGGCATGAAGATATTATACTGCCGCTGAGCACCATTTACACTCCCTGCGTTACTGGAAGAGGAGGCTAAAGAGGGACTTTATAGCTTTCTTAAAACATCAGAGGAGCTTTTGTGAGACAGAACCGCAAATGCTCTAGGGTAGGGTCCCAAGATGTAGAACTAGGTTCAAAGGGAAAGAACTTTAGACAACTCAGAATAAAGAAGAAATTTCAAACTGAATGGTACAAACAGAATTGCCTGCCTCAGGATGTCATAGACTCGTTGGGGCTCAGAAAACAATGCCCCAAAATGAAAGCCTCAAAAACAGCTTCAGAAGCAAAAGTTTTTCTTTGACCTCTTCCCACCCTCCTGTCTCTCTATCCCATTCTCCACGGAGGCTGGCCATAGAAACTAGAATCCCTCTTCCCCAAGGCAGGTCATAGAAGCCAGAACTCCTTTTGTCCCAAAGCCACTCATAAACTTAAAGATATTACTCTAACTTTCTCTCTGTCCTATCTGTGTACAAACTGGCCATAAAGAAATGATCTCACTTACCTTGTTTGACTATAGGTCAGAAGACCTCCATTCCAGAGAGGGTCCTGATCCATACCCACAAGGAAGAAATACATGAACAGAGAGGCCAAGAAGAATCTAGACAGATGGGCCTTGCTGGGTTTCCCCACTCAATCTATCAGCATTAGATCATATCATTTTTGTCCAGTCATATTTCTGCGTGGCTGTCTATACTTTGTTGAATCTAAGCAGAAAAATGGACAATTTCCCCTGTGTCTTTGGGTCTTCATTCTGAAGGCTCCCGTATATACAAGTTAAATAAATTTGTATGCCATTTATCCCACTCATCAATTTGCCTCATGTCAGTGATTTTGAGGTAACCTCCAGGGGGCCACGGGTTTGGCCTCCATAGACTCAAAGTTCAAATCAGGATAGAAAAACATTTGGCAGTTACAAGGAAAGGGCTGGAACTCAAGTAAGATGAGTCCATAGGACAAAATGAGCTACAAAGTCTCCCCTCTCCCATTTTGAGATTATTTTAGACTAAAGCTCCCAAATATCTTTCTCTATCTCCCTCAGGAATGTCCAACCTCATTTTCAAATACTTGTTTGAAAGAGTCACCCTCAAAATTCTTCCAGCATCTTAAATCCATTCATTTAAAGACAAGAATACATCATCTGTCCAATTTCCTGTTTCTATTCTGAAACTACATTATTCTAGTCATCCAAGCAGGAAAGCAGTCATTATGGGCCCCTCTCTCCCCTCCTAAATCAGTTGCTAAATCATGTGGATTCTGCTTTAACACAATGTCTCTCATACCCAGCCCCTCCTTTCTAGTTCATTCTTACTATCTTAGTCAAAGCTTTCACTATTTGTCACTTAGGCCACTTGTTAATGAGTTGTTAACTCCTTACACCCAGATATGATCCAAAAGTTACATTGAACTCTTCCATTTTCTTTCTCACTACAATTATAGGTGCAACATCCTCTATTTCTGCCAAGCTGTTTTATTTTAAAGGTTTGGATTTTCTCTCTCTCTATCTTAGGTAATATTAACCCCTTACCTGGGGTGTCCCATCTCATTTTCACCTTTATGGTCAAAGCTCATTTCAAATACTACCTTGTTACTCTAAGACATCTTTACAAGAGTGATTACTCTAATTTATAATACTTTATACCACTTTGTTTTAATATTTTCTTCGGGCCACAGTGTAATTCATTTTGTATTATAAGTATAGTAGTCCCCCTTACGTGCAGTTTTGCTTTCTGTGGTTTTAGTTGCCCACAGTCAACAGAGGTCCAACAATATTAAATGGGAAATTCAAGAAATAAGCAATTCTTAAGTTTTCAATTGCACACTGCTCTGAGTATTGTGATGAAATCTCATGCTGTCCAGCTCTGGTCTGCCCAAAACATGAACCATGCCTTTGTCCAGTGTGTCCTCACTGTACATGCTACCTGCCCATTAGCCACTTAGTAGCCCTCATGGTGATCAGATTAACTGTCTTGGTATTACAGTGCTAGTGCTCAAGTAACCTCTATTTTACTTAATCAGGGTCCCAAAATGCAAGAATAGTTATGCTGGCAATTTGGATATGCCAAAGAGAAGCCATAAAGTGCTTCCTTTAAGTGAAAAAGTAAAAATTCTCAACTTAATAAGTAAACGGCTGGACATGGTAGCTCACATCTGTAATCCCAACACTTTGGGAAGCTAAGGTGGGAGGACTGGTTGAGCCCAGGAGTTTGAGACCAGCCAGGACAACACAGGGAAACCCCGTAACTACAAAAAAATTTTAAAAATAGCTGGGTGTGGTGACATGTGCCTGTGGTCCCAGCTACTTGGGAGGCTGATGTGGGAGGATTGCTTGAGCTGGGGAGGTTGAGGCTGTAGTGAGCCATCATCATGCTACTGCACTCCAGCCTGGGTGATAGAGAGAGACCCTCTCTCTCCAAAAAAAAAAAAAGAAAAGAAAAGAAAGAAAAAAAATCACCATATACTGTTTGCTAAGATCTACAGTAAGAAGAAATTTTCTATCTGAGAAATTGTGAAGAAAGAAAAAGAAATGCATGCTAGTTTTGCAGTTGCACCTCTAACTGCAAAAGTTACAGCCACAGTATATAAGTTCTTAGTTAAGATGGAAAAGGCATTAAATTTGTGGGTGGAAGACATGATAAAAAACATGTTCCATTTGACAAAATCAGGTTCAGTACTATCCATGGTTTCAGGCATCCACAGGGTCGGGTAAGGTAGGTCTTAGAACCTATCTCCTACAAATAAGGGGTGGGGGAGACTGTATTTGCAAACCCAAAAGAATTCACCCTATTATACTTCAAAAGGCTTGAGCACAAGGACTGTTATTTATCACTGATGCTCTGTAAAATCTGGTACAGTGTAGTTGTTCAATAAATATGGAATGAGCTAATTAATACTGCCATTTTTCAGCGTATATGTTTCACTCTTGATTTTAAGCTGTTATTCTCATTAAAAATGTGACAATTAAGTGTATAATCCATACACAATCTTCACCACCACTGGAGAAACCTGTCAAGGTGTATTTCCTCTTGATAGCCAACAGTGAGGATTTAGTGTACCCTGAGAAATGTAATTCACAAAATCAATTAGCTCCCTGGATCAAGAGGATATATCACATTCGCAAATTAATTATCTGCTTGAAACTCCTTTCCTCGTGGAAATTATTTTTGGGTTTTATTTAACAAGCACAAATACGTATATGATGCCTACTCTGCTCAGGCATTGTTCTACCTGCTTTACAAAATGTAACTCATTTAATTTTATCATGCAGTCTTATATGTAAACTCTTTCAATTCAGGGATGCTACTAGAAGTACATTTTATGGTGCCTGCTTAGCCACATCCCCTTTTAAATGAAACTGCTCCACTAAGAGCACAGGTTCAAGCTCAGCTGAAGGCAATCAAGAATCCTCCCAACTCCTACCACTCTACCTGCCTCCACAGGCACTCCTACACTGATGACAAGTGAGTTGGACCAGAGGTTGACAATGTGGAGGGAAGAATAATGGCCTCCCAAAGATGTCCACATGCTAAACCCCAGTATTTGTGAGTGTTTTACCTTACATGGCAAATGGGAGATTGTTGATGTGATTACATTAGGGATCTTTAGATGAGAAGATTATCCAGGTTTAGCCAGATCAGCCCAATGTAATCATAATGGTCCTTATAAGGGAGACAGGCATTACTATATTCCTGACTGCATCTGAGTGAGGATATTAACAACAGCACCAAAGAGAGAAGAAATGAATCTTTTCCTCATTGGAGCCTTTTGGGCTTCAAATCGAAGAACTGACTGGCCTTAACAAACAAAAAGGAATATATTTTAGTGACAACTCAAAGCCAGAGAAAGTAACTTTCCTATTTTAGAGTAGATATTAAAAAGTATAGGGAAAGGAAATATAAAACTTTTGCTAATCACCCAGGTAGTTAAGCTAATAATATTCCATAGTTGTTTGATTTGTAAGGTGATTTAATAATTAAAAGAAAAACTGTCATATATTATTCATGTTTGTACAAACATATATATATATATCAATTTCTATCATAGACTATTCACAAAATAAATGCTAGATGGATTATAAATCAAGTTGCTTTTATTAAAAACCTATAAATGTACCAGAGTTTAGAGTCTGATACTGGCTTTCTTAAATAACACAGCAAGGGGAAAAAACATGAGACAAAGATTGATACATTTAACCTGTAAACATTTAAGAATTTTCAACAACCTAAGCAAAGTAAAAAGAAGATAAATAAGATACTATATCTGCAAGATATAAAATCCAACAAAATTAAAATGAACAATTTACAAAATATTATCTATAAATCAATGAAAAATAAAACAAACCAATACAAAAATGGAGAAATGTTATCAATGGGCATTTCAGAGAGAAGGAAGACAAAATAGACACTAAGAATATGAAAACCAGAGCTTGTGAGAAATCAGAGAAATGCATATTACAACAACATGTCAATAGCATTTTCTCTTCTCAGTGCTTCCAAAAGATAGAGGGGCTGTGAATTCTCATATCCTACTGGTGAGAAAATAAATCGATACTGACATTTGGAGGGCAATTTGGCAGTATCTATTAAAATTCATGATGCCTGTACCCTTTGACTCTCAGTTTCTCTTCTTAGTGCCTATCCCAGAGAAATACTTGCTTATGTGTACAATGAGGCATATTCATGGATTATAACTGAAGCATTATTTGTAATGGTGAAACATTTGGATAATTCTAAATATCTACCAATAAGGAAACGATTAAATGTAACTTTTGTGTAGTTTAAGCGTGAAATACTCTGTCAGTTAAAAAGATGATCTACGAAACAATCCATCAAGTTTCCATTAAAAATGTCTGATTGGTCGTGTCCTGGTCTTAAAACATGGTTGGCCAGGCGTGGTGGCTCACGCCTGTAATCCCAACACTTTGGGAGGCCAAGGCGGGCAGATCACGAGGTCAGGAGTTCGAGACCATCCTGGCCGATATGGTGAAACCCTGCCTCTATTAAAAATACAAAAATTAGCTGGGCGTGGTGGCATGTGCCTGTAGTCCCAGCTACTGGGGAGGCTGAGACAGGAGAATCGCTTGAACCAGGGAGGTGGAGGTTGCAGTGAGCCAAGATCGCACCATTGCACTTCAGCCTGGGTGACAGAGCGAGACTCTGTTTCAAAAAAACAAAAACAAAAACAAAAAAAACATGGTTACCTCTGGAGAAGTTGGAGAGTAGAGTGAGTAATGGCCAAGGGAGATTAAGATGTTCCCTGTGTGTGTTTTATTTTTTTACTTTTCTTAAATAATAGGAATGGATGTGTGTATCATTTGTCTAATTAAAAATGTATGAAATTTATAAATACTTTAAAAAAGGAAAGTGAATCAAGGCAAATAGCTATGTAAAATGAATAGCTAGATGAAAATTTCCCTTTTCTGTGAACATAAAACATAGTTCATGTTTATGATGTTAAAATATAATTCCATAGATGAAAATAGGAACTTAAGTATGGCCAAAAAGCCACTAAAATTAATAATTTATTTCTTTTTCAATTTCAAAGCAACATGGCTTTCTATTTCAATTTATTCTTACTCTTTTACATGGAATTACTGTTCTGGTTGAAAGGAAATGATCCACCCAACCATAAAAGACTAAGTGAAATCTCACATCGGTGAAATTTTCTGAGGAGATTTACAACTTGCATTTGGAAACAACAGAAAGTAATGCATGCTATTGAATAACGAAAACATAAGCATAAAAATGGAATATTTTCATATGTATGGCAAAGCTTTGAAAATATCTTCATACAGAGTGTGCTGATAAATGTCAATTTTCATACTGTACTTGGCATCTTGTTCATTTGCATTAATCTACTTTCGATATGTCCTAATGCGGAATTCCTCCCTTGCTCTCCTACCTACATTTGTGTGTGGTGTGTGTGTATGTGTGTGAGAAAGTGAGAGAGAGAAAGACTAATGTGGGCCAAGAAGTGAAAGCTAATTAAGAAGAGTTTCTCACTAATGTTTTTGGGAATCTTTAGCCTTTATTTAAATAAATATTGCACACAAAGACACATATATGAGATTTCTAATGTAAAAAAAAACTACAAATCAATCTTTTCTCATAGAATATCATCAAGTTGACTCGCACTTTATGGAGTGTTTCCTTCTCCTGAAATTGATCATATTGTTTTTAACCATATCTCCACCACGTAATGTTATTTCATACTTTCAGGAAATAAGACACTTAATAAAATCAAGTATTTTATTTCTTGAGTTTCTACTGTGTGCTTGGTTCTGTGGAATGATGACCAATAAATACAAGTGTAGAATGTAGCCCCACCCGGTTTTAGCAGGGTTCTTTGGGGGCAAAGGAAAAGACTCATCTACATTAGCCCAAGGAAAGGGGGATACCTGGGCTAAAACAAAAAGCAGGGAACCATTAGGCCTGTACCACTTCTGGGTCCTTACCCTATTTGCTCATGAGCCCCAATTTTTCCTTTATGGCATCTCAGCTTCTCCCTGTGGGACTCACTGGGAACAAAAATATGGAAAATAAATACAAGAAAGCAAAAGTACCTACAATCTCACCATGGGAGAAAACCATTATTGATAATTTGACTATTCATTTACAGGTTTTTCCAAGGAGCTTGTATTTTAACAGCCAGAAAAACAGTTAAAGCTGTTTTCATTTTATAAAATAAATACAGGGAAGAAATCAACAATTATATTGTTTTGATTACCCAAGTAATTAATACTTGTTGCAGACAGTTTAGGAATTGTCATCTCCACTAGGCACTGATGAGAGAGACCTCCAGAAGTAATGAGGCTGAACTGTCCAAGAACGACTTTTCAGTCATCATCTACTTGAAATTCTATTCCAGAAAAAAAAGAAAACGGCTTCATTCGCTGTTAACATTGGAACCTGTGACCTAGCAATGGTCCCTTATTATACTGCTTCTCTGCCATGCATATTTCACTTGCTTTGTGCTTCTTTTAATGATGTTTACTTGAACTTAAAGAGAAACACATTATCAACATCGTAATTTTTAGTAGCGTGTTAGCATAATTAGACAATTCAGGTGATACTAGCCTGCAGTCTAAGTCATATTTACAATTTAAAAACTGATAAATAATTAGAAAAGCAACCAAGTGATACTTCATATTGTCATGTATGTCTGCCTTTTTCTACAGGGTCCTCTGCTCATGTCCATCCTTTCTTGTGACTGAGGACAGTGAGGGCAAAGCTGCCCAAACGCATCACTAATGACCAGATGCAAACATGCTTGTTGAATGATTCATCTTCAAGAAAAGTTACATGCTTGACCTCTCTCTTCCAATTACATGTGGCTTCATTTTATTCTGTTTTTACTGCTAAATGGAACTAAAATTGGAAAAACTGTGACACTATTAACTGTCTCTTTAAGTATTTACTTGTTATCTGTTTACTGTCTTTCCTTCACTAAAACCTAAGATCAATGGGGGTAAAAGCCTTATTTTTTAATTCACAATTTAATCTCCAATGCCTAGCAGAGTCCTGGAATATAGTAAATTCTCAATAAATGTATTCAAATGAATGACTTATTCTGGTCTTTGGTTTTAAGTCCCAATTAACTTTTTTGCCTCAGAAAGTTTTTCCTGAAGCTAAAATTACAAAAACAAACAAACAAAACAAAAC
This sequence comes from Homo sapiens, assembly GCF_000001405.40. Classification (NCBI taxonomy): domain Eukaryota; kingdom Metazoa; phylum Chordata; class Mammalia; order Primates; family Hominidae; genus Homo; species Homo sapiens. The sequence continues at coordinate 29,342,157 of NC_000023.11, read as the reverse complement.
AAACACACACACACACACACACACACACACACACACACACACACAAAACAAGGCCGTGTGCAGTGGCTCACGCCTGTAATCCCAGCACTTTGGGAGGCCGAGGTGGGTGGATCACGAGGTCAGGAGTTCAAGACCAGCCTGGCCAACATGGTGAAACCCCGTCTCTAGTAAAAATATAAAAATTAGCCGTACGTGGTAGCAGGTGCACCTGTAGTCCCAGCTAATCAGGAGGCTGAGGTAGGAGAATCTCTTGAACCCGGGAGGCAGAGGTTGCCGTGAGCCGAGATCATCCCACTGCACTCCAGCCTGGGTGAGAGAGTGAGACTCTGTCTCAAAAATTAAAAAAAGAATCAAAGCAAAGCAATCACGGTACATCAGTATATTAATTCATTTTTTCATTTTTAAGCTTATTTTCAATCCTAAGGTTGCTCTCAATGTACTCACTATTTTCATTCACATATTAGCATACTCCATGCTCCAGTCTCCTCATTAGTTTACCTTCCTCACGTAATAGAAAATGTTCCTTCTACCAAAATAACTTTTTCCTCCTTTGCTCCAACTACACTATTATTTTTAAAAATCCTCACTGGCTTTTCATTGCCCTTCAGACTCAACTTTTTCATCTTCACTTTCAAGTTTAGTCATCATTATTCCAACCTCTTAGCCATTCCAACACTAAATTGTTCCCTCTGTTTTGCTCAAGGACGTATTCTATTTTGTCTTCTATAAAGATTATATTTTTAGTATGCAAATGAGTATGCCAGGTAGGTATCTCTGTATCCATTTGTCATACACTTTTAATAAAAGAATAGATTATATGCTCCACAAATTAGCACGCTTCATTCTCTCCTAAGTGAATGTGCAGGCAACACAAAGGGCCTGACTCTTCCGTCAGGGCTACAAAGGTGCTACAGACATCTTGGATTTATTTTCCAGAAGGGGGTGGTAACATGTGTTAAGATGGAGTTATAATGGTATATTGTTGTCTAACTAACTCATTTTACAGGTCAGCAACCTCCAATTTCAGATATAACGTTTTAGCCTTTTTCATTCTGCCATACTAGGAACACAGGAATAGTAAGCTAAGGGTGACAAGGGCAATAATAATTAGAACATTGATTTCAGTGGACATTTGAATATTCTCTTACATAGGTTAATTCAGAATTATGATAAACCCATTGGCCAGGAAATGTCTCTAGCTTTCACTGGATTTCTAATGCATAGTAAAATCTGAATTGCTATACTAATATTTTTAAGGGCACTAGATGTTCATTTCTCTTTCACATGAATGAAGGCTAAAGTAGTCATTACAGGGCTGGTATGGCAGCTACATGGTGTCCTCGGAGACTCCAGCTCCTTCACCTTTTCACTCCATCATCCTTGTGTTATGTTGCTTAGATCTATAGCTCTCACCATAATACCTGTATTTCAGAAAGGAAGAAGGAAAAGGGAAAAGAGCAAACAGGGTACTTGCAGGCTGAACCAGCTGTCTGTAAGAAAATTGCCTAGAGGCCTTATCGGGATTCCTAGACATCATTGGTGGCATCAGTGCCACACGACCAAAGGAAAGGGAATGTAGTTTTAAACTTGGTCATTGCTATTCCAAAAAAAATTAGGCTTTTATTATAAAAAGAAATGAAATGTTGATACACGACAGAATGCGGATGAACATCAAAAAGATTATGCTAAGTGAAAGAAGCCAGACACAAAAAGTCACATATTGTGTGAATTCATTTATATTAAATATAAAGAATAGGTAAATCTGTAGAAACAGAATGTAGATTGGTAATTGCCAAGAGCTGGGGGTAGGGGAAGTGGGAGAGATGGGGAACACACCTGCTTAATGGGTACAGCAACTTCTCCTGGGTAGATGAAAATATTCTGGAACTAGATAGAGATGGTAGTTGCCCAGCGCTGTGAATGTTCTAAATGCCACTGAATGTTTCACTTTAAAATGACTGATTTTATGTTATACAAATTTCACCTCAATCAACAAACAATTGAGTATATATTTTTAAAGTATGTTCTTGTCAGTAAGGCAGAAGGAAACAAAGAATATTGACTAGATAAACAGTAATCTCTACCACTGTATCTATTCTTTCAGTTGGCAGAAAAACATGTATTCAGCACCTACTATGCAACAGATAATGAGCTAAGCTATAGGGATGAAGGTGACTGACAAGTCTCTGACCTTATATTTTGCCCAGAAACATCTGATGAAAAAATATACATATAAAGACAAATCCCAGTTGAGGGACATCCTACAAAATACCTAGTGAGTACTCTTCAAAACTGTCAGGGTCCTCAAAAACAAGGAAAATCTGAAAAACTGTCACAGCCAAGGTTAGCCTATTGATATATGATGATTAAATGTAATGTGATTATCTGGATGAGATCCTGGAACAGAAGAAGAATGTTAAGGAAAACTGAGGAAAGCTGAATAAAATGTGGACTTTAGTTAGTAACATATATTGGCTCATTAATTATGACAACTGTACCATACTTTTGCAAGTTATTAGTAACAGGGAAAACTAAGCGTAGGGTATACAGAAACTAACTGTATAATACTGCATATCTAGAATAGTTCTTTAAAAAGAACTAACTATAATAATACTGCATATCTAGAATAGTTCTTTAAAAAGTTTATTTTTTATAAAGGGAACAGATAGTATTTCTTTAAATTTCATACCCCTTCCCCACTTTTCAATTCCCTTTTCTGAATCCTAAGGTATTTTTATCAAAGAGTGATTACACATTTAATATACATTGATTATCTACTATGTGCTAAGTACTAGGTTAGGTTCTTTACATAATGTATCATTTAATTTTCATCACAATCTATCCTATGTTTACAGTGAAGTAATTGATGCTCAGAAAGGTTATATAACTTGGCTGATGACAGCAAATAGCCAAAATGTACAGGAGTGAAAATGATCTGCCTCCTACATTTTTCCAATATGTCAAGTTGCCTTTCTTATAAAAGACTTGTCCAATTTTTATCACAGTGTCATCAACATAGTAACATGTGATATTTGAGTGTGTGCGTGTGTGTGTGTGTGTGTGTGTGTGTGTGTGTGTGTGTATTTACCCAGCATAAGCTTGGAGAACAGATCACAGTTCTCAGTACCTGCGGCTCGGGTGGGCCGAACATATTATTTATCTTAGTGCTGGGCATATGACCCAAGACTGGCCAATCAGGGTAACATATCCCCTTAGCCACTAGGGTTGATTCCAGCGTGGGCGTGTGATCAAAGCATGTCATCAAAATCAGACCAAACAAAAATGTGGAGCTTTCTAAAATGGGGGGCACCAAGAATCATGTAAGTCTGAGGTAGCCAGAGGCCATTTTAATCACCAGAAAGATAGGGCCTCACAGATAATAAAGTTACCACAGGGACTCAGAGAAATGAACAGTTAAGAAATGGAGAGACAGACAGAGACAGGAAGAGAAGAAGGGGATGAGGGAGAGTGACACAGAGAGAGAGAAACAAAGTACTAATAATATCAACTGAGCTCCCGGATTCAACTTTATCTGAGGACAATGACAGTCCTACCACTGGAGTGCTCACTGACTGAGTCAGTATTTTTCTTTGAACTATTTTCAGTTAGATTTCTGTCACTTGTCCCTCAGAGAGTTGTAATATAGGAAATGTGTGTTAAAAAGCAACATTTTTAAAAATAACATGAGCTTTTCTTTCAGCCAATTGTTGTCTAAAATTAAAAGCAAATATTTAACAACTACGTAAACAAAGATTTAATAATATCTACAAAACCTTCTTAGAAATGAAAAGAATCAAACGTATAATTTAACACTTTTAGATTCATTATAAATAGAGCATTCTATGTTCAAATGTATTTGGCTCAGCAATGTGCGTGTGTGTGTGTGTATGTGTGTGTGTGCCATTTCCCATATAATACTGAAACTAAAAATTTCCTAAAGTGATTAAATTTATATGCCTCTCACACACTTTATAGTTAACTCAGCCGACAATTCACTCAATCAGTGAATCATTTATTCAAGCATTTAAGGATAAAATAGTGTTAATTGATGAAGCCACAATAAAAAATGATTAAGATATGGTTTCTATGTCCTTAAGATGCTCAGTCCAGAGAATGACGCATACCAAAAAATTTAAAAAGCCTAATTTTTAATATGATGCATAATAATAAGAATAAATTTGTCGGCCAGGTGCAGTGGCTCACGCCTGTAATACCATCACTTTGGGAGGCCAAGGCGGGCAGATCACTTGAGGTCAGGAGTTCGAGACCAGCCTGGCCAACATGGTGAAACTCTGTCTCTCCTAAAAATACAAAAATTAGCCGGGCGTGGTGACGGGCACCTGTAATCCAAGCTACTCAGGAAGCTGAAGCAGGAGAATCACTTAAACCCAGGAGGCAGAGGTTTCAGTGAGCCAAGATCAAGCCACTGCACTCCAGCCTGGGTGACAGAGTGAGACTCCATCTCAAAAAAAATAAATAAATAAATTTGTCAGATATTGTTTTAAGCCCTTTGTGTATAGTATCTTATTTAATACAGAAAAAAAATCTTGTAATTCATATATCATTATCACAACTCCTATTTTTCAGATGGGGACATTGAAGTTAACTGAGGTAAAGGTACTTCTCTAAGGTCACATATATAATAAGCATAAACTCAAGGGTCATGAGCTGCAAGACGCCTATTTTAGCTAGTACTATATTTCCTCACTGCTACTGATTTTCATTTAAAGTTGAGAATACTAATCTTTTTTCCCTTTAAATTAGAAAGTAATCTTGTAAATGTATACTCTTTTATCTCTTAGACAATGCTTTAAGATAAAATAGTCCACAGTCAGCTTAAAATTTAAGATTGACAGTGTTCAACTGATAAACTCAAAACCTATCTATACTAGTCTATATTTTGATAGAAACATTAAAATGCATATAATTATTTACACATATATTTTATAAATGTTGGCACATTTCCTTGGTTATTTTTTAAGGCAATGCAGTAAAATGTCCAAAGCCATTTTATAATAAAAGGGCATGTTTGCCATGTTGGAACTCAGAACACAATACCCCAAAGTATGGCACCTTTGTATGCTGAGTACTTTGACTTGGAGGAGACTGGGGGGACCTTAGAAGCAGGTCTATCAGACCTTCTCCCACCCTCCAGTCTCCGGCTCCCCTTTCTCCTCCAAAGTGTGACATAGAAACCAGAATTCCTCTCCACCCACACTCTCAGGTAAGTCATAGAAACTAGAACTCCTCTCCCCCAAAGCAAGCCATAAAACCAAGAAATGTCACTCTCTGACCTTCTCTGTTCTCCCCTGAAAACCCACATGTGACAGGTGTCTTGCCCTGTACCTGGAGGAAAGAATGCTGCACAAAGAGGCCAGAAGAATCTGAACAAACATGCCTCACTGGATTTCCCCCCTCAATCTGGTAACACTAGATCATACCCTTTTGTCTAATCACATTTCTCCACACCTGTCTATGCTTCATCGAACTTAAGCACAGAAATACAGTTTTCCCTGGGTCTTCGGGTCTTCATTTCTGAAGCCTTCCATGTCACAAAATACCTTGATTAATTCTGTTATGCTTTTATCTTATTAACGTCTTTTGGCATAGGAGTGTTGGCCACAACGCTTGGAATCCCTGAGGAAAAGGCACTACAGTTTTTTCTACCCTACAGCAGTTTGTATTTTACATTTCGAACTATTCATATTCTTGTGAATATCCTTAAAAACAAAAGAAGACAAAGTTTTTCAAAGATAAGGTCAAAAAGCAGAATGATACAGGTATATCAGGTATATATATACATAGATATACACACACACACACACACACACACACACACACACACACACACACCCCAAAACGGTGCATATATATATATATATATATATGGCATATATATGTAATATATTAAAGGTATATATACATATGATATATTAAAGGTGTATGTGTGTACATATATATATATATACACACACACCTTTTCTACCAAAAAGCAGAATAATAATATAGGTATATAAGGTATAGATATATATGTATATATGTATATTTATGTATATAAAATATATACGTATAATATACATATATATTTTTTTAATACCAGTGATTGGCTATGATGGTCAGGCTTATAAAAAACAGCTATAATTGAGATATATTTCCATAAACAACCAAAAAGTCTGTAGCTATCACATATTTTTGGAACTATTTACATACGCACGACTGTTTTTAAATACAACACAATCAAGGATACTTGATACCTATATATCCTTTTTATTAACTGGCATTTTTTCAAAAGTTAAAGACTGACACTTTTCTAACAAATTCAACATCTATCATTTAAATGTGCTTTCAAATATAGGCAAATAATAAAATAGAAAAATAGCTGTCACAAAGTACTTGTCCTTTGTTCCGTAAGAGGTCAAAGGCCTCAGGTCAAGTCTATCAGTTTAGAATGATATGTACAGTCAAGCATTCTGACTTGCTTATTTCCTCTAATAAGCTGCGGTTCTAACATATATTGGAATTGTGGCCTCCAGATCCATGACAGAATACATTTCTGTTGTTTTAAGTCACCAAGTTTGTGGTAACTTTTTACAACAGACTCAGGAGACTAATACATTATAACATAATGGTAGTGTACACTTTGTAAAGGTACCTGATAGATAAAGAGTTGTTTCATTTAATTCATTCAATATTAGTTGAGTACCTGCTATAAGCCAGGTTTAACCTTTAAATCTATGTGAATATTTTTGTAATTTAGTGCTTTGAGGAATTCTCAATGGCACTGTTTGCTTCTAAAGACCTTAGAATAGCTCTCCCTCTCCCCTCTCCCCTCTCCCCTCTCCCCTCTCCCCTCTCCCCTCTCCCCTCTCCCCTCTCCCCTCTCCGTCTCCGTCTCCGTCTCCCTCCACGGTCTCCCTCTGATGCCGAGCCAAAGCTGGACGGTACTGCTGCCATCTCGGCTCACTGCAACCTCCCTGCCTGATTCTCCTGCCTCAGCCTGCCGAGTGCCTGCGACGCCACGCCTGACTGGTTTTCGTTTTTTTTTTGGTGGAGACGGGGTTTTGCTGTGTTGGCCGGGCTGGTCTCCAGCTCCTAACCGCGAGTGATCCGCCAGCCTCGGCCTCCCGAGGTGCCGGGATTGCAGACGGAGTCTCGTTCACTCAGTGCTCAATGGTGCCCAGGCTGGAGTGCAGTGGCGTGATCTCGGCTCGCTACAACCTCCACCTCCCAGCCGCCTGCATTGGCCCCCCAAAGTGCCGAGATTGCAGCCTCTGCCCAGCCGCCAACCCGTCTGGGAAGTGAGGAGCGTCTCTGCCTGGCCCCCCATCGTCTGGGATATGAGGAGCCTCTCTGCCTGGCTGCACAGTCTGGAAAGTGAGGAGCGTCTCTGCCCGGCCGCCATCCCATCTAGGAAGTGAGGAGCGTCTCTGCCCGGCCGCCCATCGTCTGAGATGTGGGGAGCACCTCTGCCCCGCCGCCCTGTCTGGGATGTGAGGAGCGCCTCTGCTGGGCCGCAACCCTGTCTGGGAGGTGAGGAGCGTCTCTGCCCGGCCGCCCCGTCTGAGAAGTGAGGAAACCCTCTGCCTGGCAACCGCCCCGTCTGAGAAGTGAGGAGCCCCTCCGTCCGGCAGCCACCCCGTCTGGGAAGTGAGGAGCGTCTCCGCCCGGCAGCCACCCCGTCCGGGAGGGAGGTGGGGGGGGTCAGCCCCCCGCCCGGCCAGCCGCCCCGTCCGGGAGGTGAGGGGCTCCTCTGCCCGGCCGCCCCTACTGGGAAGTGAGGAGCCCCTCTGCCCGGCCAGTCGCCCCGTCCAGGAGGGAGGTGGGGGGGTCAGCCCCCCGCCCGGCCAGCCACCCAGTCCGGGAGGTGAGGGGCGCCTCTGCCCGGCCTCCCCTACTGGGAAGTGAGGAGCCCCTCTGCCCGGCCAGCCGCCCCGTCCGGGAGGGAGGTGGGGGGGTCAGCCCCCCGCCCGGCCGGCCGCCCCGTCCGGGAGGTGAGGGGCGCCTCTGCCCGGCCGCCCCTACTAGGAAGTGAGGACCCCTCTGCCCGGCCAGCCGCCCCGTCCGGGAGGGAGGTGGGGCGGTCAGCCCCCCGCCCGGCCAGCCGCCCAGTCCGGGAGGGAGGTGGGGGGATCAGCCCCCCGCCCGGCCAGCCGCCCCGTCCGGGAGGGAGGTGGGGGGGTCAGCCCCCCGCCCGGCCAGCCGCCCCGTCCGGGAGGGAGGTGGGGGGATCAGCCCCCCGCCTGGCCAGCCGCCCCGTCCGGGAGGTGAGGGGCGCCTCTGCCCGGCCGCCCCTACTGGGAAGTGAGGAGCCCCTCTGCCCGGCCAGCCGCCCCGTCCGGGAGGGAGGCGGGGGGGGGGGTCGGCCAGCCGCCCTGTCCGGGAGGGAGGTGGGGGGGGTCAGCCCCCACCCGGCCAGCCGCCCCGTCCGGGAGGGAGGTGGGGGGGTCAGCCCCCCGCCCGGCCAGCCACCCAGTCCGGGAGGTGAGGGGCGCCTCTGCCCGGCCGCCCCTACTGGGAAGTGAGGAGCCCCTCTGCCCGGCCAGCCGCCCCGTCTGGGAGGGAGGTGGGGGGGTCAGCCCCCCGCCTGGCCAGCCGCCCCATCCTGGAGGGAGGTGGGGGGATCAGCCCCCCGCCTGGCCAGCCGCCCCGTCCGGGAGGTGAGGGGCGCCTCTGCCCGGCCGCCCCTACTGGGAAGTGAGGAGCCCCTCTGCCCGGCCAGCCGCCCCGTCCGGGAGGGAGGTGGGGGGGTCAGCCCCCCGCCCGGCCAGCCGCCCTATCCAGGAGGTGAGGGGCGCCTCTGCCCGGCCGCCCCTACTGGGAAGTGAGGAGCCCCTCTGCCTGGCCAACCGCCCCGTCCGGGAGGATGGTGGGGGGGGTCAGCCCCCCGCCCGGCCAGCTGCCCCATCCGGGAGGTGAGGGGCGCTTCTGCCCGGCCGCCCCTACTGGGAAGTGAGGAGCCCCTCTGCCCGGCCACGACCCCGTCTGGGAGGTGTGCCCAGCGGCTCATTGGGGATGGGCCATGATGACAATGGCGGTTTTGTGGAATAGAAAGGCGGGAAGGGTGGGGAAAAAAATTGAGAAATCGGATGGTTGCCGGGTCTGTGTGGATAGAAGTAGACATGGGAGACTTTTCATTTTGTTCTGTACTAAGAAAAATTCTTCTGCCTTGGGATCCTGTTGATCTGTGACCTTACCCCCAACCCTGTGCTCTCTGAAACATGTGCTGTGTCCACTCAGGGTTAAATGGATTAAGGGCGGTGCAAGATGTGCTTTGTTAAACAGATGCTTGAAGGCAGCATGCTCGTTAAGAGTCATCACCACTCCCTAATCTTAAGTACCCAGGGACACAAACACTGCGGAAGGCCGCAGGGTCCTCTGCCTAGGAAAACCAGAGACCTTTGCTCACTTGTTTATCTGCTGACCTTCCCTCCACTATTGTCCTATGACCCTGCCAAATCCCCCTCTGCGAGAAACACCCAAGAATGATCAATAAAAAAAAAAAAATAAAATAAATAAATAAATAAATAAATAAATAAATAAATAAATAAAATATGGGCCAAGTTCTCCCATGTTACCTGATTTCCCATGGAAAGCTGGATTTGGGATAAACATCTTCTGATTCCAAATATTGGCAACCAAGTCAATTTATAAATGAATGAGTGAGTTAAACTCAGCACATTGTGAAAATAAATGGCTTGAGGGCTGCCAATGGAGCATGTATCTTTAATCTAAAGGGTTGTTATAGTTTTGGGCTTTTTAAATGATTATGATGTATATCATTATTAATAGCAAACATTGAGCAGGTATAACCAAGGACAATTTTCTAGACAGAGAATCTGGCTCAAACACAGAAGTAACATCTCAAGAAGGACATGTGTGAGACAAATCCAATGTGGAATATACAGATGCGGATAAATGGGATTAGGACTACTTGGACCCCAGTCAGGAAGAGAGAAGAGTCTTCTCTCAAGTATATCTGCCAAGGATTATTCATCTGTTTCGTAACAATGAAGGAATAAAAATTGATATAGAATCTAAAAAAAAAAAAAAAAAAAAAAAAAAGACCTTAGAATAGTATTTTCAAAAATAATTTGTGACATTTCATATTATTTGGTTTCCTATAGATATTAAAAATAACAATCATAGTAATAATAATAGTTAACTTATTGCACATCAAACCACAAGTTGAGTATTATGTTAATTTCTTTACATATGTGATTTCTTATAATTATGATAATAGTCCCATGAGGTAGGTACTATTATTATCCTCATTTTACTGGGGATGAAGTTAAGGCTGCAAGAAGTCAAGTTACTTTCCTAAAGTCAAAAATCTAATAACACTGGTTTTCTGATTTCAAAGCCTGTGCCACACTGAACCACTAAGACAAATCATCTCTTTTGACATTATATTTCAAAAATAACTCTCACATTTGTGTGGACAAAAAAAGAATATATACAGAATAAGATGTTAAAATTGAAGTTGGAACTAGGCACCATGTTACAACAGATGCGAAATACTAGTGTGAGTTACAAATCACTAAATAGAGATTTTTAAAGGAAATGGGTAAGCATCTGTTCCTTACTCTTGAACTCCTTGGTGACTTTCAGATTTTAAATGGTTTAGGAAAGTGCAGAGGAAGGATTTTGTGCAGATATTTCTCTGACAAGATATTTTGTCTATCTCCTTGGGAAAGAGCTGAGAATTCTCATCTATTATCTCCAGCCAAGTAAAGGGGTCTTCTATGAGATTCCTTTGAAATCTACTGAATGTGTTCTTTGCAGTTGGGTGATGTGGAGGAATGGAGCTCACCTCACACCTGAGAGAGGCAGAGCAATGGCCACAAGCAGAATAGATGAGGCAGTGTTCCAAACCTTTGGGGGCAAAGGATATGTGAGTATTTTCTATACAGTGGGTATCTATAAGACCCATTTGCTCAGAACAGTCCCATTTTATGCCTGTCTCATCAAAATTATTATTTTTTTATTTTTTAGACGGAGTTTCGCTCTGTCACACCCAGGCTGGAGTGCAATGGTGCAATCTCAGCTCACTGCAACCTCCGCCTCCTGGGTTGAAGCGATTCTCCCGCCTCAACCTCCCGAGTAGCTGGGATTACAAGCGTGTGCCACCACACCCAGCTAATTTTTGCATTTTTAGTAGAGATGGGGTTTCACCATGTTGGCCAGGCTGGTCTCAAACTCCTGACCTCAGGTGATCTGCCCGCCTTGGCCTCCCAAAGTGCTGGGATTACAGACGTGAGCCACCACTCCCGGCCTCATCAAAATTATTAGTAATACCCCCTTTCACTCACAAATGTATTTCAGTTTGGATGATAACTTACACGGGCACCCTAACAGCAAAGTACACAGAAAATAGAGTCAACACTGGGTTGACTTGGGTTCTGACCAGTAGCCACCTATGGGAGTATAAGAACCTCAGCAACAAGAACCTGAGGTGAAGCCTAGATCTTCAGAAGAGAAGGAAAGAGTAACAAGTCTCCACACAGATAGAGATTGAGCCTGTCTGGGTCAAGGAAACTGTAGGAGAGGTAGGTAGGGCTGGGAGGGGAGAGACAAAGAGAAAGAACACTTAACCAGCCATTAGGCCTAGAAAACACTTTATATCACCTCATTCTGTCTTTATTCTGCTCTGACCTTGGAACAGTCAGAATAGCAAGGTGTAAGCAGGAGAGAAGTCCAAGGAACAGATTTAAAGACGCCGCCTGCCACGCCTGTCTTTTCTGTTGTAATACTCCTGTCTGCAGTAGCCCTAAACCGGGGAAGGGGCACAATTTAACACTAAATTAAGTTCAGAGTTTTAGATGCTACCTTGGACTAGTCATTCTAATACTGAATTAACACCTATGAGGTAGAGTGACCATGCTTGGAAGCTAAAATGAAATTGCATTTGAATATGTTACAGATGTTGCTGGTTCAAAATCTTGAACAAATATACATTTTTTAAAACAGCTTTAATGAGATATAATTCATATACCATATCATTCATCCATTTAAAGTGTATAATTCAGTGTTTTTAGTATATTTACAGGGTTGTCCAACCACCACTACCATGTAATTGCAGAGCATTTCACCCTCCCCAAAAGAAACCTCTTACCTATTACCAGTCACTCCCATTTTCCCCTTTCCTGCATCACCCTCCACCACCACCAGCAGCAGCCCTGTAACAGTAATTTTTCTCTATATAGAGTTGCTTGTTCTGAACATTTCACATAAATTGAATAATATGTGGTCTTTTAATAATAGCTGCCTTCTTTAGCTCAGCATAATGTTTTCAAGGGTCAGCAATGTTGTAACATGTATCAGTAGTTGTTTTTTTTTTTTTTTTTAAGACGGAGTTTCATACTTGTTGCCCAGGCTGGAGTGCAATGGTGCAATCTTGGCTCACTGCAACCTTCGCCTCCTGGGTTCAAGCGATTCTCCTGCCTCAGCCTCCCGAGTATCTGGGTCTACAGGCGTGTGCCACCACGACCGGCTAATTTTTGTATTTTTAGTAGAGATGGAGTTTCTCCCTGTTGGCCAGGCTGGTCTCAAACTCCTGACCTCAAATAATCTGCCCGCCTCAGCCTCCCGAAGTGCTGGGATTACAGGAGTGAGCCACTGCGCCAAGCCAGTAGTTCATTTTTTATTGCCTAATTATACTCCATTGTAAAGATAGGCCACGTTTTGTTTTATCCATTCATCAGCTGATGAATATTTGGGTTGTTTCCACTTTTGACTATTATGAATAATGCTATGAACGTTTGTGCACAAGATTTTATGTGAACATGTATTTTCATTTCTCTTGGGTATATACCTAAGAGTGGAATTGCTGGGTCAAATGGGATTACATAAGAATTTAAATATGTTTGTAAGTATATGAACTATTTCTAGATGAGACTCATAGTAGTAATTGAATTCAGGATATAGACGGACAGAAGAAAAAAGAGACTACTGTTTCTCTGTATCATTTGTGTGTGTGTGTGTGTTTGAGTGTGTGTATGTGTGTGTGTTTAGAATCTTGTACCATGAGCATGTACTATCTATTCACAACATGAATAAAGTAAAAATAAGCTGAAACAGTAATCATGGATAATGTAAGATCTATAAATATTAAGCAGATTAAGTGATTGGGAAATTTCTGTGTTAGATAAAACAGAAAATGCTCTATATCAATGTAATGGCTTTTCTATATCATAATTTGAAGCTATCTCATATATAATGAGAAATATCAGCCCATTTTATTAACCTTTTAATAGTAAATCATACTACCGTGATCTAAATTTAAATAATGAGAGGAAAAGCATACGACTTTAAGAGAAATCAAAACATTTAAGAAAAAATCACAGTATAAATAAAATCACAGACATAACTACTTTGAATAGAGCATTCTGAAAAATGAACAGAGCTGCCCTCCATGACGTTATTACTGAAATCTCAAACCAACTTTCTACAATTATTCATTTATGAACTCTCTCTCTCCCTCTCTCTCTCTGTCTCTCTCTCTCTCTCTCTCTCTCTATATATATATACATATATAATTTATTTGTATTTTTAGTCTAAACTACTCATTGAGATTACTCATTTCATGAAGTTGTTACCTGTTATATTACAGTCTACTTTCTTTTCTTTCCAATTAGTGGATTTCTTACTTGTAGTCACCTGAGGATTGGAGAATATGTCCATATCCACCCATCTGAAAACTGTGTTATTCTTCTGAAGTCTCTTAAATTTATTTTAATTGGTACAGTGTGTATAATAGGGAGAGCCACTAAAAAACTCTAATATTTTGGGATATCTTCTTATATAAGCCTTTTCATTGGCCTTGATCCTTTTATTTACCACTCTTTCCATTGTTCTAACTTTATTTCACCTTGTTGCTGCAGCCTAGATCTACCAAAGTGATTTCAATAGAGCTAAAATAATCAACCTAGAGCAGCTGACCACATAACCTATACAAAAGTAATACCATAGCAAATTTCTCCATATATAGTAGATTACTTTGGTTAATACCAAAAAATTATGGAAAAGGCTAGGAGAAGCAACAAAATTCCTGTGAACAACTGCTGTGTTGTGGCAGGAAGAAAGTAGGAAACATACTAATATAAATCAATACTTATGAAGCACCTGCTATGAAAAAGGAAAACAAAATCAAGGTCACAATCATCATAAAAAGCAGGGTTCAACAAACGACAGACTGCAGGTCAAACCTAGCCTACAGCTAGCATTCATAAATATAGTTTTATTGCAACATAATCATACCTATTTGTTTACATATTGTCTACAGATGCTTTAGCATTCCAATGGTGGAGTCGAATAGTTGTGACAGATACTGAATTGTTGCAAAAGAGACCATAAGTTTTACAAAGCCTAAAATATTTACTCTCTGGTCTCTTGCAGAAAAGGGTTTGTGCACTCCTAAAAACCATGTTAATACTGGGACCATCAGAGAGTATGTTAGTGCTAAATAACCTGAAGTTTAAAAAGTTTATTTACTCTAAAAATAAATATAGTATATATATAGTGTGTATTTACATTTTTATTTATGTGTATAAAATATATACAGCATATTAAGTATCTAGTATGGTCACTAGGCCAATATGTAAATACCAGAAACAAAATAAATGAAATTTTATAAGAGTCACCTATTCAAAAAAGTAATAAATAATATTACCTAGCTAAGAGTTTAATTTATAAATTAGAATGAAGAAAAGAAAATCGACTCTAAGAGAAAGTTGCCCAAGGTCAAAGAGCTAATAAAGTAACTGAAAAGAATTAGGGGGAAAGAGCCCTGAAAGTTAAAAGATTTATTAAGAATATATATTTCAAATATGAAGTACTGGTGTAATTTAAGAATTGGGAGGTTATGTGATATGTTTCATTGACAGCAAACAATATAAATTGAATTTCTTTTTTTATTTTGTCTTTTTCATTTCATGAAATACAATAGAAGGGAAACCTTGGTTTTCAACTCTGGCTGCATATTAAATCACCTAGAGAGCTCTTAAAATACCAGCATCTTAGTACCCAGAATAATTAAATCAGACTATTAGAGATTCTAATTTGGAGCCAGCATCCAACCACTGCTATATAGTGTGGCAATTCTCAAGAGGATCATGGGTATTGCAACCTCTAGGGTTTGAGAGGGGAATGTAAAAGACAGCCAATTCAGATTACATACAACCTTCTTCTTGCCTTTTTCTGAAGAAATATTATGTAAAAGAGTGGGAATGTGTTGCCCATGTGGAAATATGGAAGCAGAAGGAAAACATGGAAAACCACGGTTATACAGGAAAGGACATAAATTCTCAAGTTCTGCAAAATTGGTATAGATTCCAGCCCCAATATGACAATGGGAAGTCACATAAATTGTATAACCCTTGAATCGTCAACTGGACAATGAAAATAATAATAGGCCACTTATGTGCAGAGTCATTGTGCGAATGAGAAAAAAATGTTTGTAAAATCACTACTTCCAAGGTTTAATAAATGGTGGCTATATTATTCTTCAAACAAGTCAGTATAGATATTTAAAACATAAATTAAATGATTATCTCTTTTTCAGCTCTTCATTTAATGAAATAATGAGGGCTATGACATAGAACAATGCATTCTCAATATTACTTTTTCAGGTATTATTAAAAGTACATTTACAAGGTAAACACAGATTCTAAATAGAACAATGCATACAATGCACAAGACAAATTATAGAATTTTCCTATGCTGAAAGTGGAGTGGCTGCTAAGTACTTTGCCTCATTTGATGTAAGTTCAAATTCAATAAGAAACTTTTTCCTTGGACAAAATGTTTCAGAGTCCTTGGAAAGACATACAAATGAACTGGAGAGATAGTATCCTTGGTAAGACCTCAGGTTGTACAAGTACCATTACATCCAAACCAATTCACCATGAATAAGGCAGGAACGTACATGACCCTCTTTGTTCAAAGACAAATGTCAATGAATTAATAAAATGCCTTGAGTGAAATAAACTGTCATATTCTCTTATCTTAACCTCTACCAAATAAAATAGAAAGAACAGCTTTGGTGTTTCTATGTAGCTACATAATTGCTGATAGTTCGGATGTTTGTCCCCTCCAAATCTTATGGTGAAATATAGTCTTCAATGTTGGAGATGGGGCCTAGTGGTAGGTGTTTGTGTCATGGAAACAGATCCCTCATGAATGGCTTGGTGCTGTACTCAGAATAATGAATGAGTCCTCACTCTCAGTTCATGTGAGATCTGGTTGTTTAAAACTGTGGCACCTCCCCACTCTTTCTCCCTCATTCTTCCTCTCTTAACCACGTGATGCACTGGCTCCCCCTTCACCTTCTGCCATGATCAGAAACTTCCTGAGGCCCTCACTAGTAGCAGATGCCAGCACCGTGCTTCTTGCACAGCCTGCAGAACTGTGAGCCAAAACAAACTTTTTTTCTTATAAATTATCCAGCCTCAGGTGTTCCTTTAGAGCAACACAAATGGACTAACACACTCACAGATAAGGATTTCAAAGAGATATCAGTATTCTTGCAAATAATGTGCAAGTAAGTAGCCAAATAGGCATTTAAATCACCAAGAACATAATGGTGGAATGGTTTCTTGTAAAATATATCAACCAATTAAAACACTGCCTGATTTTAGATAATGTGTGATTTTAAAATTGTCAAGTAAGTAGAAAGAATAGAGATGGCAAAAATAAAATAACAAAGTTTAGAATCCAAAACAAGTATGAGAAAAGGAGAGTGGTAATTCTTGCCAATTAATTTTAAATAGCTGCATAAGGAAGAATATAGGGTGTGAACAAATGAAGACGTGAAAGCCTTCATCTGTCCTCTGAAATTATATTGGTTGGTGAACTTTGATAGCTTCATTAATTTAAAAACATATATAGTGCTTACTATGTGACAAATGTCACAGTAAGTGCTGTGGGTTAAAAACATGATTAATAAATGCACATCCCTTTCCTAGGATCAGCTGGATGATTGAGACATATATGCATACTTCATTCTTTTTAATTGTCAATATCAAAATATTTAATGGATATGCATGGTAATCATAATATCAATAAATTAATCTAAAATCTGTTCAAGTGAATAATTTCTGATGCTACATGAGAGAGAAGTCAAAAAATAATTAAGATATTCCACACAGAGCTAAATATAAAAATGTTAAACCCAATAATAATGATTTTTTGACAATAGCTATTGTAAGATATTCTATCTATTGAAATGTTTTAATGTAGAATAAATAGCTTGGTTCTAACTAGTGAATTTCACAAATCTAAAGTATCATTGAATAATACCAACAATGTAAAATTGATCACATTGATTATATTGAGGCACAGGAAGCAGTACCCCAAAGTGAAGTCCTCAGAGGCAATTTCAGAAACAAAATTCTGCCCTCCTGCCCTTTTGTCTCTCACCCCTTGTTCTTCCCTGAGGATAGCCATCGAAATTAAAATCCCTCTTCCCTAAAACTGGTCATAGAAATCAGAAATGTTTCTCCTCAAGGCCAGCCATAAAACCTAAAAATATCATCATAACTTACCCCCTACCTTTATGTGTAAGAACTGGCCATAAAGAAATTCTCTAACTTACCTGTTGACTATAGGTCAAAGATCCCCCATACCAGAGAGAGTTCCTGCACCACACCTGGGAGGAAGGAACGCTGCACAGAGAGGTCAAGAAGAATCTGGACAGACAGGCCTTGCTGATTTTTCCCACTCAGTCTATTAGTATTAGATCATACCCTTTTTGTCCAATCACAGTTCTACACAGCTGTCCATCCTTCATGGAACCTAAGCATAAAAAGGTAGTCTTCCCTGTATCTTGGGGTCTTCATTCTGAAGGCTCCCTCCCAAGCCACAAGAAACTATGATAAAATAAATTTGTATGGCTTCTCTCTTTTTATAGAGGTGTCAACTGTGACCCTTATGATGGGAAGGAAAGGGATCACCCTCTTTCCATTCCTACATGAGATAAGTCACAAGCGTATAAAGCAGCAATGCAGAATAGTACATGTGATTGTATAAGAAGTCATGAGAAAACACATCTTATACACACGTTAAAAGGTATGCCGTGCTTCAAAATCCAAAAATGCTATCCTTTTTTGAGTGAAAGTGTATATGTAATGTGAAGTTATGTGAAACTGTTGTGTGCTGTGGTAGTAAACAAGAGGTACAAAATATTTGAACTAAGAGGTGGTCTTAGGGGACTGTGATGGGCTGAAAGGGGATGGAACAAAAGAAAAATCTTAGTTGTCAAAATGTGCAAGTCTTGATGACTAATTGAATAGGAAAGTGAGGAAGTAGGGGAACAAGAGTGACCCGTTTGTTTCTAATCTACGTGATTCTCCAGGATATTGTGCTAAAGAAGAAGGGGATATATATATATATATATATATATATATATATATATATATATATATATATATATATATATATATATATATAAAAAATTCAGTATGAGTTGGTAGGTAGTGCATCTGGCATCCCTATGGAACCACTCCAGAGAAGTATCTGATGGAAATGCAAGGGTTGGAGATGGAATGAAGACAGCAAGAGGATGTGCAGGATAAGAAGAGTAAAGGAACTGGGACGGAAGCATGGTGGCACCTCTATCCAAAAGGTGACTGCAGGAAGAGAAACTTGTGAAGGATGTTGACAGTGTTCACAAAGGAAAGAAAACAGAGAATACTATAATAAGAGGCAAGTGTGTAGAGACTAAGACAGAGTAATGAACAGTGTCAAGTGCAGAAGAGAGACCTAGTTAAAAAAAAAACTAGCACATGTTCACTAGATTTACCAATATAAAAGTCACCATTGATTATAAAAATAATAGTTTTTGCACCATGACAAATAAAGACTGAATTACAGTAGATTAGCATGAAGTGGGAAATTAAGCCATGGAGATAGAGAATTGAGATTACTCCCTCGAGAAGATTGGCTCAGAAAAGAAGAAAAATAAAATGGCAGTTCTACAGTAGAGAGGAAAAGATGAAGATGACCATACAGTTGAAAGAGAATAAGAATTGATAAAATCAAGGATGCAAGTGAAATAGGTATCTCTTAAGTGGACGATGAGACTCTCCTCTGAGAAAGCCAGGAAAAGAACGTGAGGTTGGCTGTGATCATGAATACATTTATCATTAGGATATAGGGAAGGCAAGAGCATTCATATCTGAGGGTCTAAAATATTTAAAAACATATCAGGTAGGATATTGGCTAAGGAGAGGGGAAGGTTGAGAAGGGTTGAATAGGGAGCTTGAGGAAAATAGGCCAGTTTTGAATTCTCCTTTGGGAGTTTAGCAGGAGAGATGAGTTCAGACAACACTGAGGAGTAACTTTTATTTTTTTGTCAGTTATGAGGTTCCTGTTCTCGAACTCTGGTTTTAGATGTAAAACCTGAGTCTTTGAAGGGTTAAGACACTGTGGAAAGCCATACTTGAGCCAAAGATGCATGAGAGAGCCAAGCCCAGACCAGAAGAAACACCTACCAGAACAGTGAACTAAATTGTCTTAAGCCATTCAGTTTTAGAGTAGTTTATTATGTAGCCAAAGCTAACTGACACAGATATTTTGAATATGAAATATGTTGAACTTAGCCGGGCGTGGTGGCTCATGCCTGTAATCCCAGCACTTTGGGAGGCTGAGGCAGACAGAACACCTGAGCTCGGGAGTTCAAGACCAGCCTGACCAATATGGAGAAACCTCATCTCTACTAAAAATACAAAATTAGCCGGCATGGTGGTGCATGCCTGTAATCCCAGCTACACAGGAGGCTGAGGCAGGAGAATCACTTGAACCCAGGAGGCAGAGGTTGCAGTGGGCCGAGCTGGTGCCATTGCACTCCAGCCTGGGCGACAAGAAAGAAACTCCATCAAAAAAAAAAGAAAGAAAGAGAGAGAGAGAGAAAGAGAAAGACAGAAAGACAGAAAGAAAGACAGAAAGAAAGAAAGAAAAAGAAAGAAAAAAAGAGAAAGAAAAGAGAAAGAAAGATGTTGAACTTGGAATATATGTATCCTTGTGAAAGACTACAAGCAATAAACATACATAGAAAAAGCAACTCCATGAACTTGGCTTCTGTTATTTTTTTAATAGTGAAAACTCATTAGTTTATTTTTTCATAGTGTAATTGAAAATTAGGGTTTTTTTTTTGCAAAATATGATTTTTATTATAAGAACGAAGTTTCATAACAGAGAATATACTTCAGAAACTACTTTTAAAGGTTAGATCATGAATCAGAAAGCCTTATTTAATTAAAAAAATTAGCACTGATTTGTATTGCTTATGTTTTGATTTATGCCTCTGCTCATATTTGTTCTTTCTGTTTCTAGGCAAGGATCTTGTCTTGTCCATACATACCTTTTCTGCAAGCGTCCCTAAAATATGCACATAGAAAAGTTGCCAAATAAAGTGTAGAGTGACATCCTAGAGGATTTTGGGTTGTTAAATCCAAACTTAGGGAATATTTGTCTCAATTTATCACTCTCTCCAAAAGTAGACACATGACATAATATAACCTACATATAAGGAGCAAACCTCCTTTTGATAATTCTAAATTATACGTACTAAAACAAAATATCACTGTGCGACTACACACATACACACACACATATATTTGCATTTTTCAAACATACGAAAAACAGTAATTGTAATGAATAACAGCTCCTCCTGTATCTGTGTTTATGAATATCTGCCAATGCACTTCACTGTAACAGGCTCATTATTTATACTAAAGGGTTGCTTCCTTTTAACAATTGTAAATGGCTTCAAAGTGATGTCAGCACTTTAGCTAGAAATGAGCTCCTATTAATGGCCCTCTCAGTAATCAAGTAACCAATCTGCTTCTCTCCAGCCTCTCAAACCACTTCTTGAAAGACATTTTCTTTCTGTCTGTGGGCAAAATTCTCTCTCTACCTTTTAGAAAGAACAAAACCATTTTGTGTCAGCAACTGCACATAATAGTTAAAGGAACACAGATCACCACTCATCTTGGTCTTTCATCACTTAGTCCTCCACTCTCTGAGTATAATCAAAACCTCTTAAAAATCCTTTGCCTTCACATTAAGTTATTTGGAAAACTTAGAAACTTGTTATTTTCACACTAATATTTGAGAAAAATCATCATCCATAAGACCATAACCTTTGCAGACGTTATGTAGTTTAGGCATAACAACATATTCAACTCTTAATTTTTATAAGAAAAGGAATTTGCCTAATTTTTTGTAGTAAGCAATATTATTAATAATAATAATGATAATGAGTTACTCAACATAAAATGGATCATATCAATTTCCTCTATGCATGATTATGAGGCCCTAAATATGCTCAAATATATTTTTAATTCTTATAATTAAGTAAATAACATAGTATTATAATATTCATTCCTTTTTTTTTTGAGATGGAGTCTCACTCTGTTGTCCAGGCTGGAGTGCAGCGGCATGATCTCGACTCACTGCAACCTCAGCCTCCCGGTTTCAAGCTACTCTCCTGCCTCAGTAATTTTTTTGAGGCACACGCCACCACGCCCGGGTAATTTTTTTGTATTTTCAGTAAAAACGGGGTTTTGCCATGTTGGCCAGGCTGGTCTCGAACTCCTGACCTCAGGTGATCTACCTGCCTCAGCCTCCCAAATCGCTGGGATTACAGGCATGAGCCACCGTGCCCGGCATAATATTCATTCTTATAACACTATTTTGGAAGATGCTTTGTTTCAGATTATTTTATGTAATATCTTGTATAAATAAAAGTAAATTCATGGATTAAGGCATTTATATTCTTGTTTCTTAGAAACGTCTTTTTCCCATTTGGACCTGAATATAATTAATAGATAAGGCAGTGGTCCTGAACCTATTTGCTAGTCTTATATGTTGAGGAAAATCTGAATAATGTCGTGTATCCTTTCCCCATAAAAATGTACATATGCACATAGAAATAAAAATTTGCATCCAATTTCAGGACATTTGGATGACCTCTACATTTCCAGTGGTTCTTGAACCACAGAATAAGATACCTTTATTTAAAGTTTTCAAAAATCAACGCATTTATTTATGTCTTGGGTCAAACTTTGTACTCAACACCAAAAATTATGAACAAAAACAAAATACAAATCATACTTCTTCCTTTCTTCTTCACTCCCCTGACTCCCCTGTTGTCTCCCGTTGGGAGGCTGTATCCACACAGCAACAGTTAGTTATTTGTATTTATTGCCAACTTCCTAGTAGAGAGGTACTTTTAAGAAACCATTTGTTGACTTGTCCATAAAGTAGTGGATTAGAAAAGTAACAAAATAAAATTAAATTAAAATGTCATAAACTTCATGAGAACCACAGAAATTAGTAATGAAAGGAATTTGTCATTAATCTGTTTCTTCATCAGGAGCCAGAAAATGAGGTAGCATCAAAATGGCATTCATATCAACTTCACAATGCAATGAATGGGAACACCCATTGAGCTTTATGCTGAAGTTCTTAGTTCGTTGTTTTTAGCTACTTTATTTATTGTTAATAAGAAGCCCATGTACGGAAAAAAAAAATGAGAGACAACATTTCGAAAACTATATTTAAATTTTTAGATCGATGGATGGATAGATAGATAGATAGATACATACATACATACATACATACATACATACATACATACATACAAAATATCACATGTGTCCAGGCATGGTGACTTATGTCTATAATCCCAGCACTTTGGGAGGCTGAGGTAGGAGGATTGCTTAAGCCCAGGAGTTAGGGGACAGCTTGGGCAACACAGTGAGACCCTGTCTCTACAAAAAAAAAAAAAAAAAAAATTAAATTTATCTACATGCAGTGGGGTGCACTTGTAGTTCTAGCTACTCGGGAGGCTGAGGTGAGAGGATCATTTGAGCCTGGGAGATGGAGTCTGCTGTGAGCCGTGATCACCCCACTGCGCTCCAGCCTGGCTGTTAGAGTAAGACCTTGTCTCAACTATAGATAGATAGATAGATAGATAGATAGATAGATAGATAGATAGACAGACAGATAGACAGATATCATACGTATGTGTGTATCTGTGTGTCTAATATATATATATGGATTATATGTGGAATATATACAAAATATACATATGTGCCATATGGAATATAGGAATATATATGTGGAAAAAGTAAAATATCAAATACTTATTGTCACTTAAAATGGATCCTTTTCTTTTATAATTGACCATAAAAGATGACCAAAATACTAAAACAGGGTTAATTTAAAAACAATGGAGTTATCAAAATAATTGTTGATCTATAATGATGAGTACTTCCCTGAAAATATTTTTTAAAGTGAGAAAATTCTTGAACATGTTTTACTGGCTCTTTGAAAGTTTTATCTTTGCATATTTTGCCACCAAATTTAGAAAAAGTGAGCAGCATAACATTATCACTTATGGTATCACAGTTATTCCTGTCATATTATGATTAGCCCTGATTGAAATGACATTTCCAACATGTACCAAAACTGTGAAGATGGTAATTACATTCTTCATTTACATGAGGTTATTCTTTCAGCCTACCAATTTGTTACACAAGTTGCATAGGCATCTTTCTGTGAAATAAAACAAACACTGAACTCTATGTCTGCTTAGATTACCGTTATTATTTTGTACTAATTCCCTTTTGCTTTATTTCTTTACAGACAACCTACAGAAAGGGGGATAATTTCCTTTTACTTCATGCCCACCAACAATTATCAGATATAGGCAGGTTTATACTAACAGAAATAAAGGGAAAATGCGTCATCAAATTCACATAGTTTGTATTAAAATGTTTTCTTTCTTTCAAAATAATGTACAGCATATGTATTCAGCAAGCGTGACTCTAGCCTCTATAATCCTGTATTATGTTGCACTTTTCCATAAATTACAGATAGGTCAATGTGGTTCAAATTAGTTGAGTAATCTCTTCCTGAAAAACA
Organism: Homo sapiens; assembly: GCF_000001405.40. Classification (NCBI taxonomy): domain Eukaryota; kingdom Metazoa; phylum Chordata; class Mammalia; order Primates; family Hominidae; genus Homo; species Homo sapiens. The sequence goes on along the minus strand of NC_000023.11, from coordinate 29,318,232 downwards.
TTCAGCCACAAAGAAAATTTATCTTGGCACATAAAAGTCCACATTTTAAAGAGAAAGCCAAAATTCCTTGTGGTGGTTGCATGCTGTACCTACACAAACTATGAATTAAATTTCAGATATTTGTGGAACATTTTCTATGAATCAAGCACAGTACTGGGTTAACAAGACTTAGTTTTGAGTATCAGTTCTATCTTGGAGAGCTGGGTGCTGGTTGGTAGATCACTTACCCTATTTGAGACTCATTTTTCTCATTATTTAAATGAAGATAATATTGCTTACTTCCCAAGCTTGTTTTCTCAAATATGTTGCTGCCTGTCAAAGACTTTCATTAAATGTATCACATATATTAATGTTACCTCGCAGGATTATCAGGAGACCAAAAAGAGAGAATATATGGGAAAGAAAAAAATCTTTACAATATCATGCAAATGGAAGTGGTATCATTTTTGTTGAATAAATTCACACATCCACATACACAGCCACACAAACGTGAATGCCACTAAGGCTGAAAGATTTCTCCACCTTCCCAGAAGACATATTGTATTTCATGTGTAATCATGTCCTTTTTTACTTACATATTCACTACTAATCCCTTGGGGAAGAAACAAATCAACAAATACATACCATGAAATCAGAAGCATAAATTTTGGTAAATTTCATGATGCTCCTTAAGGTTTTTATTTCTGATTGAAATTGCTGTCACAGTTACAATTTTTATCCTTCTGTCATGTATCTGTAGATGCTATTCTAAAAAAGCCATTATGTGTAAAAATATTTTCCAACCAACGTTCATCTATAAATCATAATTGTAAATTAAAATAGTAAGAAAAGCCAAAGGTGGTTAATTTCCTAGATGAATTACTAGAAAACTTTGGCCCTCTGACCTTCCAGGGATTAAAAAGAAATCCAAAAGGAACTTGCTTTCATTGTCATGTTAACATTGCTGCTTTTGACAAAATGGCAACATATGTTGCATATTTTCTGGCATTTTTCTTGATACCAGTAAAAAGCTGGCAGCAATGTTATCCTCCCAAATTTGGAGTCAGGGTTTCAGCAATTGTGACACAAGGGCCCAAAATATTTGGGGAGAACTGAAGGACTTCTAGAATTAGGTCCCTTAGGAAACATAATCATTGATCCTGCTGTAAACTAAAAATAAAATCCTTAGCCCGTCACAAATGGACCAGACCCTCTCTTAGCCACTGAGACCCCAGAGAAACCTTAAAAACTGAATTCCTGGCAATGACAAGAAAGGAGGTCAGACACGCTTTTTTATACCCCCTCCCTTTTGGAGTTTAGGCACAACTGACTAGCATTAATGTTATTGTAAAATAGAGAGCAAAGACTAACAAAATGGACTCTGCAACATTAAGATACCAAATTATAAACAGGACCTAAGGCCATGTCAGACAAGGGTTAAATCGCACACCCCTACAGGTCACTCTGACCCAGTGTATTGATTAACAGACTTCCTTATCTTAACTTAAAACATTCCTTCCTGCTTACTCCAAATTTTTAGACAAACCTTTACTCCTTTAACCAATCACAAATTAAAGAATCTCCGAATCCACCTATGACCTGTAAGCCCCTGCTTCAAGATATCTCACCCTTTTAGGCCTCACCAATGTGTACCTTCCATATATTGATTTATGTCTTTGCCTAAAACTCCTGCCTTCATAAAATGTATAAAACCAAACTGTAATCTGACTGCCTAAAATATTTTACAGAGTCTGGTTTTGCCATCAACAAAGCCTAGTAATTCTCACTTTATAATTCAATATCACAAATAAAAAGACGTATGTTTGGGCTTTCCACCTGCCTTTAATTTTTATTTTTCATAATGTTCCTCAGGACCTTTGGCAATGAGGAAAGAGGGAAGTTTGGATGACCTCGAGGTCATCTTCAAAATCGGCCACTTTTGCCTAAAATGTTCATCAGTGATAGTTCATAACCACTGTCATTTTCGTGGTTCTGGGATGCTCCCTATAGCACAATTCTCAATTCAGTCTCCTCTAAAACCAATACTTAAGTAGAGGAAATATTTTGAAACCAAGAAAGCAGTCCGGGAATGGCCTGAGGGCACTGGGGTCATATACAAAGGAGGAGACTGTTAAAATGTTTCAGAAAGTGAGGCACCACACAGTTGTGCCTGGGGCTGTGAAAGAAATAATGGCTCAGGTATTAGCCATGGTTTATTGGGAAGCTGCCTATAGTCAACACTTTCAAATTAGTTCTTTATCTACATCCTAGACCTACTGCTCCTGCCCCTATAGTTACAACCTTTGGATTGTTCTTTGAGCTCTCTCTTTCTTCTTTATCCCAATACTCTAATTTATCCCAACATCTACTTCTGTCTTTTGAGTCCATCTCATCTCATGCCCACTATCTTAGCCTGAGACTATGACTCCAGTATCACTGGGAGTATCTGAATATGCTCTTTCCTTTTCTTCATAGAAAGCAAGTGCCAGATAAGCAGAAATGACTGAAAACTCACTGTCCTAATTCAACCTCTCACTGCTGCTAAAATTACCTTCTGTAACCTCTACTGACTCCTTGTTTCCAGAATTTTGCACGTGGACCTTAAGAATATTGTTTAAATGACTCATTTTGGGCTTCTAACTACTGGTATTGGGTTGTGACTGCTTACTGCAGGCAGCTTTCTGTCCTACTTATATATTAGTATTACTAGGAGAGCACTAAACAAATAAAACACACACAAAAATAAAAAATATAGATTCCCAGGCTCCATCCCAGATCAATTAAATTGGAATCTTCGGAAGGTTTGAGCAAGACGGAGGCAATTTTAAGTCTTTCCATGTTTTTCTGGTGTATAAAAATATTTGAGAATGACTAAACTGTGTAAGATAGGACCCCAGCTCCACACCTTGATAGAAAAAAAACCTTTGATCCTTCCATCCTCTGGTTGGAATTATCCCGTTTGTTATAAACACCGAATATTCTTATCATATATTGAATTCTATTAACTATTATTTTTGTTATCCGAACTCATCTTCTGCTGATCCATCTGACCCTTTAGGTGAAATCACATGGATTTCTCCTTTATATCTGGAACCCAGCATGGAAATTAATAGTTCCTAGCCTTTGTACATAGTTTTCCTTTAGCTTGGAATGATCGGACCCTTGGCTGACTAATGGATTATTACTCATCCTTTAAGGCCCAGGTCAAGCATCAGTTTCACTAGGACAGGTTTTTAGACTTTCCTACATCCCCTGAGCTGCCTTGGCATGTTATTCCTATTTTTACCAAAACAGTCTCCAGTAATAGGGTAACATGTCTATAAGTACAAGTTATTGAGTACATGGTTCTTTCATCCCTGTGCTCCTAACACACAGCAAAGAACATGGCATATAATATTTTGGTGAATGTTTTAGAAGAGTGGATGAAAAAATGAGTTGATACTTTAAGAGTAACTACTGTGAAAGTAGTTGAAAAATATATTTAACAGCCATTGTACTTTTACTAAGTGCCAGGTATCCTGCTGAGGACTTTATGCACATTATTTCACTAAATCCTCAAAACAACCAAAAGAAAAAGGTGCCACTGGTATCCCCATTTTACAATTGAGGAAACTCAGAGAGGTTGTCGCTCAACTTAATTATCAAGGCCCCTACGTCAATATAACTTTGCATTTTGTTCCACAAAACATTTTCCCAGGAAATAATGTTGTAAACTAATATACAGCGTCAGGAAATTCCTGAAACTGCATTTATCTGAACTACACAGTGATCAAGTAGCTCTGTCTTAAGACAATAAGTTGTTTATTTGGAGAAAAAGCTCCCTTTCATGGGACAATGGATTGTTAACATGATGAACTCCCTTACTTATTCAACAGCTATTTACTCATCAAGACTTATTCTAAGAACCTGGACTCACTGGGTCCACCAATTCTTGTCTATTATATCTTGGATTTTGCCCAATTTCAATCAAATCTCTGCATTCAAAGAACTTCTTTAAACCACTTGAACCTAGACCCCCTCAAAACTCTATAAAAAATATCTACCTTCAACCACTGTCTTCAGAGAACTAAGACCCTGTGTCAAGTGTTGATCTTTATTACTGCACTAAGTAATAAACTCAGCGTTGCTTAATCAACAGGCTATTATGGCGGTTGTTTTGAGAAAGTGACAATTTACACTAATTATTTGCACTCAATCCCACAATCGCGAATGAATTATTTACTAGACCTGGGTTCGTGTAACTATCCTACACTGTCTTGGTTAGTAAAACAAAATTAGTTTGTAAGATTCCAATCAGTCTTACAATACCTGTGTTTTTAATATTTACAGAATTGTTTCCTAACTCTCAGACTCTTAAGGAGAAAACAGTGTCTACAAGATTATTTTAAATGTGCATTGATATGTGAAAAAGGAAGGTTTTGATATGAATGGATAAACTTCATCCTTTGAAGCCTCAAAGAATGAAGGGTGAGGGCAGAGTTGCGGGAGGAGATTAGTGTTGTCATGAATGGTGAGCTCTTAGTAACATTTCTAGGACTTGTTTCTCTTTTGTGAATTGGCTGCACTATGCATTGCCTCCCTAATATTGTGGTTTGACACCTTTTTAGGCTTCCTGGACAGACAACCATTTCCTAAAACAATAGCCAACACTTATTGGGTGTTTATTATATGCTAGACACTGTTCTAGAATTGTTTGCTCTGAGGTTGGAGAAATAAACTTGGACTAGATTATACAGGGAATTTTAAACTACTCTAATGGCCATAGAACATATTTTGAAGGAAACTGAGGAAACTCTTGAAGAGTATTATCTGGGGGAGGGCTTAATGAGATTTACATTTTAGAATATCCCTTATTTATTTTGCGGAGATTTGATTAAAATAGAAAGGAAGGTACAGAGAAATCAGTGGGACAATTGTCGAAGTTGGGAAAAGACAGACTATGAGCGTGAGAATGCATGTGCGCGCGCACACACACACACACACACACACACACACACACAGGCTTGTATGTCTGTGTTTTATTGAGGATTAAAACATGAAAGGCCTGTTCCTGCTCTCAGGTCAAAATTTTGAAGGCTATTTTGAGAAGACTGTAGATTATATAGAGAAATTTAAACCTCTCTGTGGTTAATATTTGTATTATGACTTCTAATCTCTTGACTATAATTAGCCGTAATACATTTAAAGTACGAATGGCCTCTGTATTAGTCCTTCTTCATGCTGCTGATAAATACATACCTGAGACTGGGAAGAAAAATAGGTTTAATGGACTCACAGTTCCACCTGGCTGGGGAGGCCTCACAATTATGGCAGAAGGTGAAAGGCATTTCTTACATGGTGGCAAGAGAGAATAAGACAGGAGCGAAAGCCGAAACCCCTTATGAAACCATGAGATCTCGTGAGACTTATTCACTACCACCAGAACAGTATGGGAGAAACCACCCCCATGATTCAATTATCTTCCACCGCTCCCTCCCACAACACATGGGAATTATGGGAGTACAGTTCAAGATGAGATCTAGGTGGGACACAGAGCCAAACCATATCAGCCTCTGTTTCTGTGGTGTATACTGGAGTATGAAGAAGTTAGAACAGGAAAAAGTGGTTGGGGTGGCAAAAAGGAAATAGTATTAACAGCCTCTAATTCTCAAATCAATCTGTAAAAATCAGATGAATTTCTCTTTGTTTAAAGGTATAAATAAGCAACCCATAAGGATCTAGGCATAGTTGTGATTCAAGGACTTAGCTTGAATAAGACAGACTAAGTGTCAAACCCTGGGGAGGGGAATAAGAGAAATAAAAATGCAAAGGCACCCTTTTTGTTTTTTTAGATGGAGTTTTGCTCTTGTTGCCCAGGCTGGAGTGCAGTGGTACGATCTCGGCTGACTGCAATCTCTGCCTCCCAGGTTCAAGTGATTCTCCTGCCTCAGCCCACACCACCACGCCCAGCTAATTTTTTTCTTTTTTTGTACTTTTAGTACAGATGGGGTTTCATCATGTTGGCCAGGCTGGTCTCCAACTCCTGACCTCAGGCGATCCACCCTCCTCGGCCTCCCAAAGCACAGGGATTACAGGCGTGAGCCACCACGCCTGGCCGGGGACCTCTTTTTAACCAGACAATGTCCTACTTGTCCTCCATTCTCCCTCTGGAAACTTTCCCCATGACAAATTTTGATTCTGCACCCACCTGTGTATTCCCACAGTCCTCTGTGTTTCTTAGAACTTACCAGACTGTGTGTAATTATCTCTTGATTAATCTGCCTGTCCCATTAGATATAACTCAATAATGAACAAAACTGTATCTCAATATTGCCAAGCCCCTAGCTCATTAGATGTTAGTTGAGTGGATACATAAATGAATCAGCAAATAAAATAAGGAATCATGTGTAAATGGCCTTAAACATCTTATTCCTTTTTATTAATAATATAAAATTTTTGAAAAGTGTACCCTAATGTTCTTCTCAAAGTAGAAAGAGGAATTTCGTGATGAACTAAATTTGGGAAATGCTAGGTTAGACAAAATTTTGTTCTTTAAAGAAAAATAAATAAATTTTTTTCTTTGTTCTTGAGAACTTTGGAGCTATGTTGTCCAGTACCGTAGCCACTAGCAACATATGGCTATTTACATTAATTTCTATGAAAAAAATTGTTATTCAGTTGCATTAGTCACATCTTAGGTGCTTAACAGCCACAGATAGCTATTGACTATTGTATTGAACAGCAGAGACATAGAATATTTTCATCATCAAGCACAGAGATCTACTGGGTTGTGTTAACTGCATTGATCTAGACAGGCTAGTATTCCTGTGCTCGCTTTGGCAGCACATAGACAGGCTAGTATTCCTGAAAACGATCTTTGGAAAGCCCTGGTAGAGTACATTTTTCCTGAGATTACTCAAGAATTTTTGGACTGCAAATTGTAATGCAACTCTGCCATATTCTTTACTGCTTGATTCATATCGATTACATTTAGACTGAAATATAAAGCAGGTCATTGCTTTTCAAATGTAATGTTCATTTATTGAGTACCTATTATGTACAAAATATCTTTTATGGTTGGAATTTGGTAAGAATAATTATAAGATAAAAGTAATCAAAACAAAAATCTTTATATAACTAGCTCATGGAAGATGTTATATGAGCTAGTTTAAAACCACTGTATACTGCTTTGATCTCTACTTTTGGCAATTTCTAATTGGGAAGAGTCATTCTAAAAGGCAATTTGCCATACTTCATTTTAATCCAGTCATTTGGATGCTTCTGGAAATTTCATGGGGAAAAAAACACCAATTTAGGAAATGGCAATAAGATTTTTCTCAGACAATGAAACAATAAACTTAGAGTAACATCAAAGAAGAGGATGTTTATAAAATTGAATAAATAGGAATGCCTAGAAGAATTTAAATAAATCAAGGTAAATATTTCTCCTGGCAATACAGAAATAAATGCTCCCAGTTTCATTTTATGTCTGAATCAAAATTCAATTTAACTTTTGAATTTACAAAGAAAATTTAGAAAGAGCATTAAAAGCTACTTAGGAGGTGGTAATAAGCAATTTATTCTCTGACTTCTGAGTTTTCCTGTTATTTTGTTACCACATATTTTTCTTATAATTAAAGTTGTGTGTGTGTGTGTGATTTCTCAATTGAGCACCTCTTGGGACAATGACATAAAATACTTAACATTGTCATACTTCTTATTCATTGCTCTCCATTATGTTAATGTTCACATTCCAAAGACAATTATTTCTATTTGTTCTTCTCCTTACCCCATTAGCCTTCCCCATGCTGTCTCATTAGTCAGATTCCAAAAATGATTTTTTGCCCTTTCAAAATTTGTGTTTTAATGTCTTTTTGTTGCTATTTTGCTATGTTCTGTTTTCTAGTTTCAGCTTCTTTGATTTCTGCTTATTCTACCAACTAATATAAGAGAAAAGAAGTCAAAATATAATTTTTATAAATATAAAGCCATGAACTTCATACGGATATAGTGTGAGCACATGCCAAAGCTTTAGAGGGAATTACAAGGATGACAAAGTTGGCCCAAATAGAATGCCAGAGACTAGGATTCTTTCCTTAATAAGCTCCCGACTTACCCTTTTTTTGTTTTTTTTTTTTTCCTTTCTTTTTTTTTTTTTTTTTTTTTTTTTTTTTTTTTTTTGAGACGGAGTCTCGCTCTGTCGCCCAAGCTGGAGTGCAGTGGTGCAATCTCGGCTCACTGCAAGCTCTGCCTCCCGGTTTCACGCCATTCTCCTGCCTCAGCCTCCCGAGTAGCTGGGACTACAGGCGCCCGCCACCATGCTCGGCTAATTTTTGTATTTTTAGTAGAGACAGGGTTTCACCGTGTTAGCCAGGATGGTCTCCATCTCCTGACCTCGTGATCCACCCACCTCGGCCACCCAAAGTGCTGGGATTACAGGCGTGAGCCACCGCGCCTGGCCAGTTTTTTTTTTAGACAGTGTCTCCCCAGGCTGGAGTGCAGTGGTGTGATCTCAGCTCATTGCAACCTCCGCCCCTGTGTTCAAGTGATTCTCCTGCCTAAGCCTCCCGAGTGGCCGGGGTTACAGGCGCCCGTCACCACGTCCGGCTAATTTTTGTATTTTTAATAGAGATGGGTTTTCACCATATTGGCCAGGCTGGTCTCAAACTCCTGACCTCAGGTGATCTAGTCGACTTGGCCTCCCAAAGTGCTGGGATTACAGGCGTGAGCCACTGAGCCCAGCCCCGCCCTTTTTTTGGAGCAGTTATTTTAGAAAACTTTCCATTGTAAATGTATTCTCTGTCCCTTTGAGATGTAAATCTTCTACATCCCTGGAATGTCTTTCTCAAGCACCTGGAAGCCATTCTTTTGAAATCCAATCATCAAGAAAGATAACATCCTCATTTCTCAGTCTCTGTGGGAGGGTAGGAGCCTAATTTTGATAAGCCCAATCACCCTGACCGACCTTCCCCCTAGTGTCTTCCAGTGCTTTTCCTCTAGCTCACCCTAAGGCTTAAAACCTCTCCTGCCTTTCATTTCAATAAAGTTGAGTATACTTTCTTGCCCCTATTGCAATAGTCTTAACTGATATTACAATAGCTTTGAATAAAGTTTTCCTTGCCATTTTTTTAACAAATGCCTGGTGCAGTATCGCTTTGACTAAAAGAGATAGAATAAGATTGCAAAGTTAGATACAATATTGACTTATGTCCTATAGGACAACAAAACTGCAAGTTTTGATAATCCCTGCAGCTGTGCTAAGTAATAACTGAGCTATTTGCTGGTGTTTAAGATAAAGCCCTAGCTAGACCAATTTGCATTTCAATGGGGGACTTCCTGAGACCCTAGTGGCTTCCTCATCCAAATCAGTTAGGGGGCATTGATTTCTCCTTTAGGGAGACCCTGAAGATGTCCCTTGGAAAGAGTTACTCATCCTTGTTGAGGTCTCATTAACTAACATCTTGCCTGAGGAAAGCCAGGACGCTTGGACAATGTTTTCTATTGATCATTTCTATCGTGGGCTACAAGGGGGATGTATAATCGCCACAATGAAGTCAAGGACAGATCCTTAAGAAATTAGAATTTTGCAATATACGGGTATGTGGTGTGTAATAATTTAGTCACATGAGTGCAATTCAGTATAATAACACATATTGTTTAATTCTGTTTCACAGCAGTCCTAAAGGTTTGGTATCTTCTCCCAGTTTGCAGATTTAAGAAATTAATCCTATTTAGTGAGTACTGGGGCTCCTCTACTGTTTTTCCTTATCCAACATTTTCTCCCTTCTTTTGTTATTAGCATGTAGTTCAAGTTGGACTGATTCTCTCTGGTTCTTATGCCTGAGAACTGGTCAATCTGAATATTCTATTCCACTGGCCACCGTGATTGGTTCAGGGATGGACATATGAGGCCAATGAGAGCCACACTTTGGATTTTTGTTGGAGATTTAGGAATGCATGATGTCTTTCTCTGGCTCTGGTGGCTAAGACAGTAGAATCTAAGACTAGAGGAGATAGGGGTCATCTTTGCCTACCTAAGAATAAAGCCAACACCAAGGAAAGAAGTGGGAAAAAGAGAGAATGTTTCAGCTGTTATCATGTGAGCCTCTAATCTAAATCCAGACATGCCTAAAAAGCCAGGCTATCCTTGGACTTTTCAGTTCGTGAATCAAAAAAATCCCTTTCTATGCTTAATCAGTCTTTGATCTCGGTTTTCTGTCACTTGCAACTGAAAGAATCTTGAAGAAGACAAGCTCAGAGAGTGTTATGGACTGAATATTTGTGTCCTCCTAAAAATTCATATCAAATGTGATCAAGCAGTATTGATAATTTTCTTTCTAAAGATTTTAAAAATTTCCTTTGGCAGTTTTCTAATACCATGTATGCAATAACCTAGTTACTTGACTTTTTTCATCAATTTCCAGATTTCATCAGTTCTAAGATGTGCATTTTGCTTGTATTTTATCATCTCCAAAATTGGGTATATCTTTTATGATTGCTATAAGAAAGCATTGTTGATTGTGTCTCTTACTATATTTGGCATCTTACATTCAGTGCAATAAGATAAGTGCTTAGATATAATTTAAGAAGCTTTCTATTAAGGGAAAAAAATGTACAAATGATGACAATGTTTTCCACTTATCAAAATAAACTTTTGCAATTGTGTTCAGTTTCTTCAAGTGCACAAATTTTACATTCTTACATTTCCCATTTATGCTATGTATAGTTCTATCTTAGTTCCAATTCACACTTCCTGTAGCTTCTTTTTTCTCTGCTGTTATGGCTTTTCATAACTCCTTTTTTTCATCATCTCTTTATTTTATTAAAATTTATTTAAATTTATTAAGCTGTTTTTACATGATTATCTTCATAATTTTATTCATAAATATTGAACACTTCCAAAGGAAATAAAGTCATGACTTCTGAAACTTCAGGAAAAAATAATTTTAAAAAATATGCAGTGAAATAAGCTGCTTGATCAGTACTTGACAAGGGGTTTCTGAAACTTTCAGAGTCAATTGAGTTACTTCAAAAGAACATTAGAAAAACATATGCGGCATCATTAATTCAGTCATTAATCCCTTTGGGGAGGAGTTAACCAGACAAAGAGGTTAGGATGGAGGTTCCAGATAGATTGAATAGCACAGACACCAGTACAGCAGCATGAAACAAGAAAGCTTTAAAAAATTAAAATAGTTCTGTTGCTGACATGAAAGATGAGTAGGGGAAAGTGCTTTGAAGGGACACTAAAGTAGTAGCTACAGGAGAGACGGTAAAGGGCTTTTGTGTTTTAACACAGTTTAAATATTATCTGGAAAGCTTGAAAAATCATTGAAGGATTTTTAAACAGGAGATAACAAGTTCACATTTATATTTTATAAATATCAATTTCTTTTTTTTTTTTTTTTTTTTTTGAGACAGAGTCTCACTCTGTCACCCAGGCTGGAGTGCAGTGGCATGATCTCAGCTCACTACAACCTCTGCCTCCCGGGTTCATGCCATTCTCCTGCCTCAGCCTCCCAAGTAGCTGGGACTATAGGCGTGCACCACAACGCCCAGCTAATTTTTGTATTTTTAGTAGAGATGGGGTTTTACCATATTGGCCAGGCTGGTCGTGAACGCCTGACCTTGTGATCCACCCACCTCGGCCTCCCAAAATGCTGGGATTATAGGCATGAGCCACTGCGCCTGGCCATAAATAAACTATTTCTGGTTTTTTCGTTTTTTTTTTTTTTTTTTTTTTTCTTTTGACAGAGTCTTGCTCTGTCACCAGGCTGGAGTGCAGTGGCACGATCTTGGCTTGCTGCAACCTCTGCCTCCCAGATTCAAGCCATTCTCCTGCCTCAGCCTCCCGAGTAGCTGGGATTACAGGCACCCACCACCATGCCCAGCTAATGTTTGTATTTTTAGTAGAGATGGGGTTTCACCATGTTGGCCAGGATAGTCTTGATCTCCTGACCTCGTGATCCGCCTGCCTCGGCCTCCCAAAGTGCTGGGATTACAGGCGTGAGCCACCGCGCCCGGCCCCCCATAAATATCAATTTCTAAGCAGAGAGGAATAAAAATGTCTGACAGCTGGATTGGAGGGAATTAAACATGTGAGAATTAATGAGAGATTAGACTACAACGTAGGTAGTAATGGACACTGGGGATCTGAAGATCTGGTTTACTATCAACCCACCATCAAAAGTATATGGATTCTATTGCCTCTGGGTTTCCCATCACCCCCAACCAAGTGAGTCATCTTCCTCAAAGAGATATTAAGGTTGAATTCAGGATGTCTGTCATCCTTAGTTTAACAAATCAATGCCAAAATTGTAAGCATCCCCTCTCCAACACACTCATATACATACACTTCTACTGCATTAGCATTTCTATAATGCTATTATTCATTCATTCATTCATTTATTCATATTCTGTGCCCACACACACATCTCATGGCTCAAATTGTTTCACTGTACCCTTTGATGCAATATTTCCATACTCATATAACCGCTCTAAATCCTTAGTATCCCCTTCTCTTCTTGGTATTCACCCAATCAAACCTAGCTCTCCTCTGTGATTATCACTTCTCCTACAGCTATCTCAGGTGGTGCTTATTTACTTCCTCATACTTTTTGCATTTCAGAGATAGGGACTGGGCTTGATATCCTTCCTTCCTATTCCAGCTCCTAAATAATAATTCATCCACTCTCTTCTCCACAATCCTGCTCTTTTGAAATGCATACCAGTTGGTTCTATAACTCTTTTGCCCTCTTGTGCATTTTCATGTCTATGCTGACTCCAGGAAGGTTTGGCATCTGGTTTATGGATTTCCTTCTCACTCCAAGCTCTGCCACTGTCCTTGGTGTTCTCAAGATATATAAGGATAACCCATCATAACCCTATGAATGTTCATCAGGATAGGCCAGATTACAAAATTGTCATGACTTTTTCAATAACAAAGTTACATTTTCTCACTCAAGCTACATGTCTACCATGGGTGAATTGAGGTTTATGTTCTATGTCTCCACACACCAAGATCAAAGTTTGATCTCAGTTAAATCAGCACAAACTCAGATAAGCCTCCCCTGATTTCTCAAATCATCAAGTCAATACCACCCGGTTATAATTTCACATAAAATCATGTATCTTTCCTCTTTAACAGCTGTTATTTTTGCAATTTTACATTTATTTGTGTGATTTCTCATTGGGTTTCTTGCTCATTTCTCTATGAGTCCTATGAAGGCAATGGCTGTGTGTGTTTTTGCTCACCCTAGGTTCTTCAATGATTAGCACAGTCAGCAGCACAGACATCATAAGTACTTCTTATATTAAATAATGGGTAGAGGGAAGAATAGTTGAATGCATAAATGGTAAGGGCATTGCTTGTACACATGCATGCCCTGAGGCAGGAGAATCACCTGAACCCAGGAGGCAGAGGTTTCAGTGAGCCGAGGTCGTGCCACTGCACTCCAGCCTGGGCAAGAAGAGTGAAACTTCGTCTCAAATAAAAAACAGCTACAAAAATAAAATTGTGAGAACCAATTTAATTTTTAAATTTCTCTTATCTTTTCAAGTGTAGAAAAAATTTCAAACATATACAAAAGTAGAAAACACTACACAACTCCCATATACCATCATCCAACTTCAACATTTATCAACATAGCGCTTATTTAATTTCATCTATATCCCTACCCATCACCCCAACCACACCCAGATTCTTTTGAAAGAAATTTCTGACATCATACATCTCTTTTTTCAAAGTCATTTTAAGTACATATTTTAGAAAAGACAACTTGAATTATCTGAGGAAGAAACTCAATGCTCTGCTAGAAGTTTGCTAATGTGATTAAAAGATATTTTAAAATAATTTCACTAAAATTCATTATTAAATAAGCTTGAATTTCAAAGGGCCAGAAAGGAAAGAGAAAGCTGAAAAATAAATACTTCCTGAGTAATAAAGGGGCAGTGTTGGTCCTGTGGATATTCATGTGGGTATAACAATCTATTTATTTAGAATCAGAAAAAAAAGAGTTGCCATTGAAGCCAAGAGAAGGAAGAAATCTAACACTCATCTGACTTCTGGATGAGACTCAAGGCTTTCTTGAGGAAAAAAAAAAGCAAGAAAATAGTTATTTTCCATAAGATAATTAGTACATATACTGGAGGGGACGGGCAGGTATGTAACTCACTACCAAGTTCCAGCGACCTGAGGATTTTCTCACAATGAAGCGTCCAATAAGTGTGTGCCGGTGGAGGAGGAGGAAACTCTTGTTGGCCTAGACACAGAGGAGGTTTAATGAGGCAGAAATAAAATTACACATTTAATTCTCCCTCTAAGTATATTTTTCCCTCAAAATAGGCATTAGAGTTAAGTAATTTAGTTGATTGAAATGTTTTAACAAAGGCAGCTTTTTTGATAGAGAAAAAATTAGTCCATTAAGTATGAAGTACAGATATTAACAAACAAAGATGCTCACTAACTGGCATCTGTTCAAATATAGGTGTGGGAAAAATGAAAGGTCTTTGATTGACTAGATTTACTCATTCATTAATAATAATCGACTTGGTAGGTCCTAGGGCCCAAATACTTTATGTAATTTCTATTTAAAAGTTAAAATTTTGTACAAGGCTTACTGACACTTTGGTTTACGTAACATATGCAAAGCTTCTTTCATGTTTACTTCCATTTTTTTCATGAGACGCTCTGAGAGATTAAGAGTATCATCCAAGATTCATGCTGTTAGAAATCTGGATCTAGGAAGTACTCTAGGTCTTCTGGTTAGAGAGTTTTTATACTGCTGTATTATAATACTTTTCTAAAATAGATACAATTATAAAGAGACTTTAATATAGGTTTCATATTTATACTAAAACCTTTACGTTGTTAAACACACACATTTTACATCATCAACATCTGTCTACTCTCTGGAAAGTCATCATTCATAATTTACCCCTAACATTTAATGCATGGCCAAATCTTATTAAAACAATGGCCTAGTAGCACTCCCAAACTTCCCCGGATTACCACTATCATGGCCTAAGTCCAGACCCTCAACACCTCCCATCTTGTTAGTTCTTTAGCTGATTATGTCAGTGCCCCACCCAAACGTCTACCGTATGAAGGCTGCTTCTTACAAATACGTGACACCCTCAGTCTGATGGCTTTTGTCTGGCCCTGAGACCAACCTTGGTCTTCATGAAGGGCAAGCCAGAAATGCTAGAGAACTAAGATTCCTAGTAGAAGAAACCCTCAATCAGGAACAGGTAGGGAGCTGGTAGAAAAACAACCCAGTTTCCTCTCCCTTCGGGTATAACTCTGAGAGTATGTCTACATTGTCTCACAGAGTTTTCCAGTAAACCTAATTTCCAGTTGCCAAAAGGGATAAAACAGCTTTATAATGCATACTTTACTGGCTTCCCTTCTCTGCTACATCTTACTTCCCCATTCCTCTAGTGATGTTTCCTTGCGGTTTGTTTCTAGAGGAGTCCAATCTAAGACAACCCTGTAGTTAGATGCTACT
Organism: Homo sapiens; assembly: GCF_000001405.40. Taxonomy (NCBI): domain Eukaryota; kingdom Metazoa; phylum Chordata; class Mammalia; order Primates; family Hominidae; genus Homo; species Homo sapiens. The sequence continues at coordinate 29,302,768 of NC_000023.11, read as the reverse complement.
CTCCAAGCCCTCCATTCAACATCCCCACACACTGCTGCTAAATGACCGCCCCAAAACTCAAATCCAATTTTTGTCATCCATCTGATTAAAGTTTTTCATTGTCTCCCTGAACCTTTTTGTGTAAAGTTTCAGCTCTCCCGTTTTGTACCCCAAGACCATGAACTGATCCTTTCCAACTTCTCTAAAAATGACCCAAGTCATGGGAACTTTACTATAGTCGTGGACAATTAGAAGAATATATAATGACTGTAGCCATATACTATCTTACCACCTAGGATCTCCTCCAAATCTCCTTTTTCATCTCCTTATTTCATCCAGGTAAGTTTTACTTCTGTATCAGAACTCAATATTTAAATCTCCAAGAAGCCTTACCTGATTTTTATTCTGAATTACACATCACATCTATGTGCCCATTACACTCTGTTCTTTTCTCTGTTGTAACCTCTGTCATATCAGACATTAAACGTTGAGTGACTTAACTTTCTCTCTTGAAAGACTATAAGATTCCTAAGAACAGAGACTTTGACTCTTGTTCATCACCTGGCCAAAAACAACTCTCATAAAGAATTCATTAGATAATTGTCTGAATGACTGAATATATAGAATAATTTTCTCTGCGACATTTAGGCCATCCTGGATCACTGTCTTCAGGTCCTAAGAAAAAAAAAGTCAAACACCTGAACCTGAGATTCTATTCTTGGGTACTTCCCAAATCTATCCAAAAGTTAACTTTCTAGCTTCTGTTTCTTTCCCACGCACCACTTTGCACTTTTCACTCCAGCCACGTGTATCTGTTGCTTTTCCCTTCTGAAGCTCTTTTACTAAATCACCATGTCTGGCCACTCCTACTGTGTAAAATAACATGCCCTTTCAATTTCTCTGGGAAGAAAGATCTATCTCGTGTAGCCTCAGAGACCTGTCTTCTGTGTATCCATCCCTGAGTCTCTCTGGTTGCAACAGCTCTTTGTCACCATATTTTTAACAGCATTTGCCGTACAGTGATACAGATAATTTTTTATGAGTCTGTCTGTTTGCCTGGTTGACTGTGGCATCTTCAGGCCAATTTGTGTCTTGTCTATTTTTATTCCTGTGTGCAGAAAAAAATCCAGGCCTGATGTGTAGTAGATGTTCGATAAATCTTTGTTGAAAGTACAAACGGAAGATAACATTTCAGTTGAATTACATATATTAAAAAGTATGTGTGTTTATGTATACATGTCCATGAATATTGTCTAAATAATTTTCATGTTGGATACTTATACACAATGTGAATATATACAGTCTGGTATTCGATAATCAAACACTACTAATAAATCAATTTTAAAGAAAATGGTAGCTATGTGGCAGAAAATAACATTTTTATGTGAGTAGCAGGAAAAGTATCTGAAGATGGACATAAATCTCCCCTAACAAGAAAGTCAATCCAAAGGTAACAATGAAAACATGTAATGGCAACAAATATATTGAGTCTTTTGTCATGTAAAGGCACCAATAAAAACTATAGTTCTTTTAAGATCTGAGATCTAGTTAATGTTCAGAGTAAACAAGTCGATGGTTCCACATTCAAACAAAAGAGGGAATTCAAAGCTGCCAAATTTATAGCCTCCTCAGACCAGGAGAGCCACAAACAACTCTTGCTGATGAGGAAATTACGGCAATTACAAAAACTGTCAAGGGAAATGTATGATAATATATAAAAATTTCATGGCTTGACTTTAAGATCAGAAATTAATATTCATGATAAACGTCAGAGTCAAGGACGTAGAGCTTTGCACTCTAGAGTTAAAGATCTTAAACTCTAATTTTAGAGTAGTCATTAAGTACTGTTTAGACAAACAAAAATGTTATTTCCTCCAGGGGGGGCGATTAGGGTAAAGAGAGAGCTGTCATATTCACCTAATGAATGAAAACAACATTCAGAGATTAAGCAAGTTTGATATTTTCAAATCTTTACTTTGTAAGCCAAAGCCTTTGAACAGACATCCACAGCAGCAATTTTCATTAGAAGTATAATTCCTTGGAAACGCCACTTTAGAAACTAGAACAACATTTTTATTCTTTTGTACTAGCTATCTACATGAGATTTCTACACTGTGTCAACAAGGTTAACACACAGGCTGTTATTCTGCACAGTATTGGTTTCCTTAATTAAGAACTTTTCAGAAGGTTGACTAATCTGCAGTGCTTATTCATTTGAAGATCACAGCAGAGGAATCTGGAAGGCACCCTGCTATATCTTCACTACTAATGATTCCATTTGTAAATTAAATTTAGCCTAAGAGGTAAATAGTTTGCACTAAAAAAACTCTCAAACAGTAACTATAGAGTGCATCTGTCACATTATAGAAGGAAGATGTGTCCTTTATATTCAATCTCCTGATGTTTTGGGAGGAGATATATACCTTTTTTCCATTCACTTTCAATCATTAATTCTTGACACTCCAACATGTGCTGGGCACTGTGTTAGGTGCCGGATGTCCACCACCAAGAGACTATTACAACAAGATTATATGAAACACCATGTTGACTTTGAATTAGTATGGGATAGAACTCTCTTAAAAGGATCATTGTCTTAGTCCATTTTTTGTGTCGCTATAAAGAACTACTTGAGGTTAGCTAGTTTGTAAAGAAGCGATGCTTATTTAGTTTACAGTTTTGAAGGCTGTACGAAAAGCATGGCACCAGTATCTGCTTTTGTTGAGGAACTCAGGCTGCTTCCACTTATAGTGGAAGGCAAAAGAGAGCAGAGATCACATGATGAGAGCAGAAATAAGAGAAAAAAGGTGGATGTGCCAGGCTCTTTTAAAGCACCAGCTCTCCTGGAAACTAAGCAAGAACTCATTCACTGCTGAAGTAGGCTATTAATCTTTTCATGAAGGACACACCCGCATTACTCAAACTCCCATTAGTAACACCTGACCTCCAACTCTGGGATCAAATTTCAACATGAGGTTTGGGGAAACAAACATCCAAACCATAGTAACCGTTATCACTTGAATATAAATTCACAAACTTAATGTGGATAAGAATCATCTGTATGCATGCTGATCCATCAGATTTCTGATCCTTGTTTCCCCAGAAATTCTGATTCAACAGTAAGTGGTAGGATCTAGGAATCTGTTTGTTTGTTTTATTCACTAGCACCTTGGTGACCTTTTTTAATCTAATTAGACATACGATTATAATTTGAGAAACCCTGAAAAGGGGTTTCCAAGCTTTTTTGTGTCACATTTACCTTAAATGACTTATAAAAACCTATTATTTAAAGGTGACATCTATTTTTGTATGTTTAAATAATTTTAGTTATTTGTTAATAGGAGAGAGAAAATACTATATATTGTATAAATGGAATATGATGAGAATTAACTAAGTGGAATACATAGTACATGATTTAATGAAATAGGCTTTCCATGTGTTATTTTTGGACAATGCACATCAAATATGAAAGAAAACAAATGTATTGGTCAGGGTTCTCTAGAGGGACAGAACTAATAGGACATATATATGGGAATTTATTAAGTATTAATTCACATGATCACAAGGTCCCTTAATAGGCTGTCTGCAAGCTGAGGAGCAAGGAGAGCCAGCCCGAGTCCCAAAACTGAAGAGCTTGGAGTCCAATATTTGAGGGCAGGAAGGGTCCAGCATGGGAGAAAGATGTAGGCTGGGAGGCTAGGCCAGTCTAGTCCTTTCACGTGTTTTTTTTTTTCTGCCTGCTTTATATTCTAGCTGTGCTGGCAGCTGAATAGATGGTGCCCACCCAGATTAAGGGTGGGTCTGCCTTTCCTAGCTCACTGACTCAAATGTTAATCTCCTTTGGCAACACCCTCACAGATACACCCAGGATCAATACTTTGCATCCTTCAATCCAATCAAGTTGACACTCAGTATTAACCATCACAAGTAAAGTGTGTTCCTGAGTTTTATCAAATGCATCTTGAAAAAATGATAGTCCTATAAAACATTCCAATTACACTGACACAATTCAGTATCACTACTATATAAGGCTTTGGCTGTTCTGAATTAGGAATATACCAACTTTGATTAAGCACTGAAGTTATCAAAAATTCCTGAAACACAGGCAGGAGAAGATCTCTGAGTTTAAGGGGCCTTGAGTTTTCAAAGTAATATTTTAGACTATCCCTTTGTTTGGCACCCTAAGTTCTGGGGCAATGCATCATGCTACAATTTGGGAAGGAAGAAAGGTGTGCCTTTCTTTTGTAAGGTGGAGGAAATGCTATTCTGAGATTTCAGGCAATTTTAGACAAGAGTACATGTGAAAGTTGAGGTTCTGGAGATGAATTTCCTTCAAATTATTTTTTTCGGAACAGTCTGTGGAACTTTTGTGCAACCTCAGAAGTAGTCAGATTTCAGTTTGAAGAGGTTGAGCCTTTGAGGGAGAGACTATTTACCAAGTGGGCTAAGCCAGCCTGTTGCCTGATCTTAAGGCACCTTGTTCTTTCTCTTCATAAAAGTTAGGATCCAAGTAATTACTGTTTCAAAGGCTCTTTTCTAGAATAAACTTCCAGAAGAGACATGTTCTATTCTAGCTTAATTCTACTGTGGTTTAATTCACTGCTGTGCTCCCAACAGCTGGCCTAATGGCTTGCATAGAATAGATACTTAATAATCTAAAAGAATAAATTAAATAGATACAGTATCAAATATTCCTAGCCAATTTAATCACATTAACTTACATGCAACTAATTCTAAAACTTCTACAGTAACAGAAATAGTAGTCTTGTTTTAATGTAAATTAATTGTTAGCTTATCATTTAATGGATTGGCTTATAGAGTCAAGAATAGAAACACAGCCTAAGCCTCAATATCTAGAGTAGATGGGGTAAAACTTTGTTGTCAGATTGCTGCAATCATTCTTCAAATAAATTAGCCATTGGAAATGAATGGATTGAAAAAAATAATTGTATTAAAATCTTACTTTTTTAAGTAAATAAAGGAAGATCTACCTGAATAATCAACAAATTCAATTACAAAATATTTTTAATAAATTATTTTTTATGAGTGCACTGATTAAGAAATCAAAAGATCCAGCTCGATTTTCAGTATTTCTAAACATTAGTTTTGAATTTCTAGAAAGCCAATACTTCTTTGGACTTCCTCCATTGTTTATCTGTAAAACTAAGCAACCCCTACAGTGAAATCTAAAATCTTTTCCATGTTTACATTACATGATTCCAGGCTAAATAAGAGCTATCCAGAAGAGTTTCTATTCTAAAACAGTAGCCACAAACAGCTTGTAATGACTATTTGAAAACAAAGACTAAGATCCACATGTGGCTATTTAAAATTAAATAACATTAAAAATTCAGTTCTTCAGTTGTATTAGGAGCACGTAGTGACATTGGGAATGGAAGCCACATGCTGAGAATGGCAAAGCATAAAGCTTTAGAGCCTAAGTCATGCAAAACGTTGAAATTATCATAAAAGTCCAGGAATGCCTACCTTATAACTACTTTACGTGAGAAACTAAACTATCTTACTTAAGCTGCTTTTCTGTAATATGAAGCCTAACTAATCCAACCTGGTGTGATAGTGCTTTGAAATGATGCTTTATTCTTTCTTTATTTTTTGGCTTTAGAACAATATAAAACATTTTCCTGAAACCATTGGACCAGACTTCAAATTTGACTCATTCACTCCATAATCACGGCTCTTATAGAACAGTCTTTTGGGACCTTCATGAGAAAAAATTGATAGATCCAGATCTATAATTGTGAGATATAATGAAATCAGTGAAATGCTCATTTAAGTCTTTATTTTATAACCTCAGATTTTGTATAATAAAACAGTTACTCAATGGATACTTGCCTGAAAGTCAGAAATGTCACTGTAAAACCAACATAAATCTAGGCCAGAGCAAACCGATGAGAAAAGCCATACCTATTCTTCACCAAAGATTTAAAGAAGGTGAATATAAGCAGGTTATATATATTCTAATCATAGTTGTCTGGCTATTATTTCCAGGGCAAGGAGAATTTTTCTGGAAACCGGAACTTAAAATATTTGAAAATGCAGGAAATTTGCCAGCTAATTCTTCAGAATGCCAGTGAGGTAATTCTACAATTGGTTGTGAGTGTGACTTAGAATCTGAGTAGAGGAAATAGCTATTGAGGGCAGGATGCTTGTGTATGTACTGGGGGTAGGTATGGTGGTACTGAAAGTATTAACATTTCTTAATACTTTCAAAAATGGTAAAGGATGGCTGTGGAAATTAAAAAAAAAAAAAGAAGGTTGTCCAAGAATATGCATTACTCATTCTACAAATACTGATAGAGTACTAACCATGTACAAAACAGAAATAGGATATTGAGTCATCTCAGTATGTGTGAAGGGATACTTTTGGCTCTTACAAAAATGGCTACTAATTTTCCCTCAAAATCTGTCCTCCTTCTTCAGTGTAGCAGATGCTTTTGACATCCCACCCAGAATTTCTTCACCAGCTGTTGTACTCATTCTCTAGCTGCTGTGGGTACTAGCTGGTCAAGGCCCATAGCTGTACCCTTTTCTTGATAATCACCTTGGTATGACAAGAACCACTCAGATAGAGATACTTGCGATGTCCAGGCTTGCTTCAATGTGAGATTAAACTCTGTGATGCAATTTATGCACCACAGCTCCCTGTGGGATCAGGCTGAAGCTAGACTTGAAAACACATCTCTGCCTGACTTCTTCCCTGCAGGTTTTTTTCTGAGAGCACTCTCTTCATAGCTCACTTGCACAGGAATCCCTATCTTAGGCTTTTCTCTTAGGGAAATCAATTTGAAATCCTTAAATTAGTAGTATTTTTATCAGGCACATGGGTTTTACTAACAAAAACTACATACCCAAGCCATCACTACAGCTTGGTGTAGTTATGTGAACAAGTTCTGGCCTATGAATGTAAGTAAAAGTGATATAAGTAACCTCTGGGACTTGTTCTTAAAGGTGGGAAGGATCATGTCCTTTGTTCCTTTCAGTCTACACCTTCGAGCTTGTAATAGCGTAGATATGATGGACAGAGTTTCATCTTGGGAAAATAAGGATGAAGACCATACCCTATAGAGGGCAGAATCCTGAGGCCTAGACAATTAGGCAGCCAATACATCCGCTCTGAAATTTGGATATATTGGACTTTTCCCTGACAAAGTTCTCTCCTGTTTAAGCCACCGTTATTTCTAAGATTCTTGTTATACACAAAGCCACCCCCAAACTGTGACAACTAATCAAAAGATTTTACTCTGTTCAGATCTCAGTGATCATATATGTGTAATAAGAGATGCAAAGATGCAAAGATGCAAAGTTACACCTTTGCCTTTAAGATGATCTAAGGGAAAGACTAATAAGCAGACCATCAGAGAACCTAGAAAGTACCCCCAAACTCCTTCCTTTATTTATTCAAATGCTCTATGGCAAACCAGCGATGGGGGAACTTTATTTACATGTTTCCCTGTCTAATAGCTTAAAGTGTAGGCGATTTTATTTCTCAGAGCTTGAGTTGTTTTGGTAAAAATGTTTAGGTTTGTATTGAAAAGCATTAAGATAGGCCTCTTGCTGTCTCTTTTACTTATTTCCCATAGCAACATCCAATGAAGCTCAGAATATATCCAATCAAGTATCATCTCTCATGGATTTTTTTCTTCCAAAAATGACCTTGAATCTGTTTTATTTTCTTTGGCACTTCTACCATTAATACTCTAAACATAGGCCCCCCATTGCCTTATGCCTCATTTATTGTAAACACTCCTTGTCTGTTTTCCATTTTCTAATTTCTCTGGTTTCATAGAATTCCTGTAAGGTACTTCCAGGAAAACTGCTTTCTGTTTTCCATTCCCTGCTTGATATTTCTTGGCATTGAAGTCTTAGCATTTTTTTACCATTATTTACAGTCATCCTTCTAACTATCACCTACAGAAAGCCCATTTTCTAACAACACTGATCTACTTGCTTTATCAGGAATATATTGTAGCTTTTTCTTTGTTAATAACAACAGTTGCTACTGTTGGCTTTGCTATTTGACAGCTGCAAGGCATTTTCTAGATCAGGGGTCAGCAAACTGTGACCCACAGCCCAAATCCGTCCCACCACCTGTCTGTGTAAGTAAAGTTTTATTGAAACACAGCCATGTCCACTCATTTATATCTTGTGTATGGATATTGTCTAGCTATTACAACATAGTTGAGTAGTTGTAATAGAGACTATATGGCTTGAAAAATCTAAAATTTTTTACAATTTTACTTTTTTTTTTTTTTTCTGAGATGGAGTCTCGCTCTGTCACCCAGGCTGGAGTGCAGTGGCTTAGTGCAAGCTCTGCCTCCCGGGTTCACGCCATTCTTCTGCCTCAGCCTCCCGAGTAGCTGGGACTACAGGCACCCACCACCACGCCCGGCTCATTTTTTGTATTTCTAGTAGAAACGGGGTTTCACCGTGTTAGCCAGGATGGTCTCGATCTCCCGACCTCGTGATCTGCCCACCTCAGCCTCCCAAAGTGCACAATTTTACTCTTTATAGAAAAAGTTTGCCAACCCCTGTTTTCATTCATTATTTAATTTTTCTTGTAGTAGTCTTCCTGAAACCTTTTAACAGAAATCTTTCCCAGTTACACTTTCCCTAGCCATGAGTTTAGTCTTGAAACTACTGCTCAAATCACAAGTCCTTCATACGCTCTTTAATCAGCCCCTTTTTGTCTTCTCTACATTCCATGAGATTTTTATTCATTTATTTTTTTTTTTTTACTTTAGGACCACACACAAAATTAGATTTAGAAAGAGCCTGGAATAATCTTAACTTCCTATTCTTTTTCACTGATCTCAAATAAGTGATTACCTTATCACTTATCCCAAATTTTGCTGATCAGCAGCTACTACTTTATTAAGCCTAATCAATTTCTCTTCACTTAGTGCATCAATATTAGCAGTTAACATTTTATTTTTTTTGGAGAATAGTTTTTTACAAATAAAGAACAAATAGTAATAATCACAGTATAACCCTGTATAGCCACCAATAAAGTCCTGTTGGGTTGTAAGTGATTTGTTTGCCTGGCATATGTTGTTTGTAATTTTTAAAATTCCCTCATTATAATTACCAATTATGTCATGTCCTAGATTTTCAGTAATGTTTGTGAAATACGATAAATACACATGTTATATCCATGGTTGAAAAGGGCCTATGGTGATTCATTTGACCTAAAATGGAAAACAAAAAAGACTACATAAAATCTCAAATTGGACTTTATGCACCTAATTATTTTACAAATGTATCTTTTCCAGTACTCTATCTACTCCATATTAATTTGATACTTTTTGAAGAAAATTTATAAGTCTCTGCCTTGAACATGACACAATTGATTTCAAAGAGTTCTCAAAGCTGTCTCTCCTATAGGACTTGGTAAGATTAGACAAAGCTTTTCTTAATCCAGTGATCTAAGAAACTACCCCATGATCACTCCAGCAGAATTTATTTCATCTTCTTAGTAAAAAAAAAAAAAAAATAGGCTGTTTTGTTGAAGACATGTATTTCCTAGATGGTTAAAAAAAATCAGTAAATCAAATAGACATTTCACACAGCTCTTGGCTTTTACTTCCATCAATTGAATTTGTTGTTTTTGAAAAGAGCACAACCCAGAAATATAGCAATTTGGCTAATTATTGCTCTGTTAAAAGTAGTTTGATCCATTAGAAAATGTCTTCGTGTCTCAGACATGGAAATATGGCTTAAACTTCAACACCATCTCCAAGAATCATCAGAGTTATCCAGCTGAAAAATCTCATTGAAACCTACTATGGCAAGAAAGATGTCTCTACCAAAAAACTACAGAAAGTGCCTGATGTGCAGTTTTACAAAATAAATATATTATCTATAAGAGACTCTACATCCAAACTTGAAATCTTATTTTAAAGACTTTCACTTGTATATGACTTTTTTTTTTTAAAGGGACTGGCTTATGTAGGTTTAATTGCATTTTTATAACCTATAAATTATAGCTGATATTCTCAAGGGTATACTATGGTTTCAATTAAGAGAGATAGTTTAAAAATTAGGAAACCAAGATTGTGAAACTACACTAGATCCTTGGAACACATATGCACACAATCATTAAAATTACTGGGTAGGATATAAAACATTTATACGGACTTTGATTGCCCTGAACAAATTATGAAGACTCCTTATGGCATAAATGTTTAAGGCTTTCTAAAATAATGCTGACATTATATATCCTTTGATTCAAGAATGACTTGATTTTTTAAATAACTTACATAAAAATTCATAAATATTAAAAGTATACTGTATCATACAGATTTTTAAAAATTACTTAAATTGTTTATACTACAGTTATAGCAGTTACTTGTTTGGGTCTATCAGATCTAACACTTTATTAGTTTTTATTTCCACCAGGTGACAGTAAAGGTATATTCTGTCAAAAGACAGAAAATTGTCATCTGAAATACCAAAAATCATGATTTAGGACAAGCCATTCATAATTTGTGTTGGTTTCAGACAAGAGATGTCATAAGAAAAAGAATTATTTTATTTTCTTATGGAAAATGATAGGAATCAGAAAATTGTTTAATTTTGTCTATAGCAGTGTTTTCCACAAGGTATTCTAAGGAACACTAACCTCAATCACTCATTATTTTGTTCAATAAATATGTATTGAGTGCTTTCTCATTGACAAACACCTCATATTGATTCTGAGGGGGAAAAATGTCTGTGGTAATATGTTTGGTATACAATGCATACTCCATCATCCAGAGAAAGTAGCTAAGAAAGTCTATGGGGCAGACTCTAAGATTCTTAGCTAGGAGGGTCTATGAGGCATGCCCTAAGACTAGCTAGGCAAAACTCATTTAAGAATCTTTGGTACATTGTCCTCCAGCATCCTGACTTGAACAGCAAAGTAGAGGGGCATCTTTCCTGAAGATATTTATGGGTGTGGCTTCTGCTTCATGAAGTGGATTACAACTTAATACATGGAAGCTTCACAACATTTTAAGGAACGATACTACCTTATACCAAAAGGGATAAAGTTCAAATTGCAAAGAGGCCTGGGCCATTAATTTTATATAGAAAGGAAGAGCATGGACCCAAGAATATCAGAGAACCACTTCCAGTAACCAGAACTGAGCCCTAATTAAGAAGTGGGAGTTGAACAATAAGAACACCTGGACACATGGAGGGGAACATCACATACCGGGGTCTGTCGGGGGGTGTGGGGCTAGGGGAGTGATAGCATTAGGAGAAATACCTAATGTAGATGACAGGTTGGTGGGTGCAGCAAACCACCATGGCACATGTATACCTATGTAACAAACCTGCACGTTCTACAAGTGTATCCCAGAACTTAAAGTATAATAAAAAAAATAAAAAATAAAGTATATTTACTCTCCTTGGGAAAAGAATAAAATAAACTGGTGCCATGTATCCAGCTGAATTTTAGAATTGCCATGGGCCAGTGACTGCTCTGTATCTCCTATCCGCAGCCCCCATTTCAAATGGGGATATTTGGTTTAGCTATGTTATCCCTATCTCACTATTTATGTTGGCTATGTGAGGGCCAAATTATATACCTTTTTAGTTCACAGAGTTTTGGATGAAGAGCAGCCACTCCTGAGCAGTTGTATTCAGGGAACTAAGCAGGAAGAACCTCATTCACACTCAGAGCTGACTTGGATAATAAGATCATCAACTTCTAACCTAATCCTGATGCCACAGAAAGATAAGACTTTGGAGGTTTTAGGAATGGGGTCACTATACTTTGCATTTATAAGGACATGAATGACAGTATTAAGGGTCAAAGGTTGACTCTTAGACTGTTACTTTGGTGGTCCTACCAATGAACCACACCTCAAAGCCCTTGTAAAGTCTTCTCCTTTATTATCTCAAAACTCGGCTCATGAGACATCAGTAAGCATGACTCAAGGAGATGCTTGATAAGCAGTTATACTTTCTGAGTTGCCACATAAAAAGTCTGGCTCACCTGATAGATAAATGGAAAAAGCACATGGAGAGGCCCTCAGAAATAATAGAGAAACAGGCTCAGCCAACCCTGTATTGCAGTGGACTCCAGCCACAGGTGACCACAGGCAAGATCACTGGAAGAACCACCTAGCTGAGTCCAGCCCACATTGCAGAGTCACGTGCAAATAAAATGGTTATTGTTTTAAGGCACTAAGTTTTAGTGTGTTTTCTCCCCAGAATAGGTAGAAGAAACAATTGTTTTTGAAGTAATTATAGGAAAGATAGAAAGAAAGTAAACATAAACTGGATTTTCATCCAGAAATAAATATGTATTGTTCAGGTAGGCAATGAAAATATTGAATTTCAAATGAAGGAACAAAGTGAAAAAATGATAAGAATTCATGCCTTAATCTGTGAGGAGCAGACAGGATAGTGAGAACATGACATGTTGCCATGTCATTCTTCAAGTTCTGAGGTCTTTCTCAGAGGTATTTCTTCCATCTTTCAGAGACTTCTTATGCTTGTTTGCCGTTACATGCAGACTTTTTAGTTGTAAGAAGGAAGACTTAAGAGGAACGGGGCTACTCTATCTCGGCAGAATTCCACTGAATTCTAAACTATTTTCATAGTATCTGCAGCAATTTATTACACACTTATTTTCTCTTAGGTAAACTACTTGAAAGTAAAAGCTTCTCTTTAAATCTTTTAAATCCTACCATTAGCATAGCATGAGTGAATAAATGGATGTTCTTTAAGTACTTTTTGATAGATGCTTACTTACTGTGTTCTTTCAATGAGAAAAAAGAGTTACATAGTCCCAAAAGGAAAAATCAAGACTTGAGCAAATGAACTACATGCTAGATATAACACATTATAGATATGTCATTTGAAAAAAATATGTTTTTAAAATGTTAACACAAAAATCAATCACATTTTCACATAGTAACAATGTACATGTCGAAACCAAAATTAAACAGAAGATATCATTTACAAACATTCCAAAGAAAATGAAATACTTAGTTAAAATTTTAACAAAATGTTTATAGGATTTGTATGCTGATGAAAGAAACCAAAGAAGGAAGTCCTAAATACGTGGAGGCACATACTGTACTCACAGATAGTGAGACTCAATATGGTAAAGATATCAATTCTCCTCAAATTGATCCATAGGCTTAATGAAACTGCTATCAAAATTCTAGTAAGGATTTTTGTAGACATAGACAAACTTATGCTATAATTTACATGAAAAATAATAGGCCCTATAATAGCTAAACACAATCTTTAAAAAGACATATAAAGTAGGAGGAATCACTCTAGTTGATATTTTCACCACCATATAGCTATACTAATCAATACAGTTTGGTATTGGCAGAGGGATAGACAAAGGTATGGAATAAAAAACACAGAAATTAACCTACAAAAATATGCTCAATGGATTCTGAATAAAGATGCAAAAGCAATTCAATGGAGGAAGCATAGCCTTTTCAACAAATGGTGCTGGGACAACTGGACATCCAACCCCATAAAACTAAGACTTAACCTAAACAAACATCAGTCCTGAAATAAATATTAATTCAAAATTAAGATTTCATGATGAAAATGCCAAAAGTAATTGCGACAAAAGCAAAAATTGACAAATGGGATCTAATTAAACTAAAGAGTTTTGCACAGCAAAAGAAACTATCATCAGAGTGAACAGACAACCTAAGGAATAGGAGAAAATTTTTGCAATCTGTCCACTTGACAAAGGTCTAATATCCAGAGTCTACAAGGAACTTAAAAAAACTTATGAGAAAAAAACAAACAACTCCATTAAAAAGTGGGCAAAGGATATGAACAGATACTTCTCAAAAGAAGACATTTAAGCGGCCAACAAACATATGAAAAAACGTTCAACATTACTTATCATTAGAGAAATGCAAATCAAAACCACAATGAGGTACCATCTCACGCCAGTCAGAATGGCGATTATTAAAAAGTCAAGAAACAACAGATGCTGGCGAGGTTACAGAAAAAAAAGGAATGCTTTTACACTGTGGGTAGGAACGTAAATTAGTTCAACCATTGTGGAAGACAGTGTGGCGATTCCTCAAAGATATAGAAACAGAAATACCATTTGATGCAGCAATCCCATTACTGGGCATATTCCCAAATGAATATAAATCATTCTATTATAAAGATAAATGCATGAATATGTTCATTGCAGCACTACTCACAATAGCAAAAACATGCAATCAACCCAAATGCCCATCAATGATAGACGGGATAAAGAAAATGTGGTACATATACACCATGGAATACTATGCTGCCATAAAGAAGAATGAGCTTAGGTCCTTTGCAGGGACATGGATGGAGCTGGAAGCCAGTATCCTCAGTAAACTAATGCAGGAACAGGAAACCAAACTCCACATATTCTCGCTTATAAGTAGGAACTGAACGATGAGAACACATGAACATAGGGAGGGGAACAACACACACTGGGGCCTGCTGGGGCTGGGCAGGTGGGCTGGGGGAGGGAGAGCATCAGGAAAAATAGCTGATGCATGCTGGACTTAATACCTAGGTGATGGGTTGATAGGTGCAGCAAACCACCATGGCACACGTTTACCTATGTAACAAATCTGCACATCCTGCACATGTGCCCCAGGACTTAAAATAAATAAATAAATACATAAAAATAAAAAATAAAAAATAAAATAAGCATTTCTTCAAAAAATAGATTAATTCAAAATTAATTACAGACTTAAATGTAAAATGTAAAGCAACTGAATTTTTAACAATTTTTTAAATCTTAAAAATAAAAAATAAAACAAGGAAAAATCTTCAGGACTTAGCACTTGGCAGAATTTTTAGACTTCACACCAAAAGCATGGTCCATAACTGGAAAAATTCACAAATTGAAACTTATCATAATTAAAAACTTCTGCTTTGCAAAAGACCCTGTTAGAAGGACAAAAAGATAACCTACAGGCAGTCAGAAAATATTGGCAAACTACATCTCCAAAAAGAATTAATATTTAGAACATACAAAGAATTCTCAAAATTCAATGAGGAGGACATAAATAATTCAATTATAAAATGTACAAAAATATGGACATTTTACTGACAAGAAGAGAGATGGCAAATCAACACATGAAAATTTTAATCATTAGCCATTAGGAAAATGCAAATGAAAATCATAATGAGTTATCACAATATGCCTACCAGAATGGCTACAATTAAAAGTAGTGACAATCGCAAATGCTGCAAGGATGTGGAGAAATCATACATTGCTGGTGGGAACATCAGATGCTATAGCTACTTTGAAAAATAGTTTGGTTCTTTCTCATAAAACTAAGCACACAACTACCATTCAATCCATGTTCACTCTTGCGCATTTATTCCAGAAAAATAAACTTATGTTCACCAAAAATTGAATATGAATGTTCATAGAAGTTTCCTTTTTAATATCCCCAAACTGGAAATAATAGAGACACCCTTCAACAAGTGAATAAATATGGTGGTAGTCCATACCATGGAATACTACACAGCAATAAAAAGGAATGAACTATGGATATGTACAACAACTTGGATGGATTTCAAAGGAATTATGCTGAGTGAAAAATCCAATTCCATAAGGTTCTATACTGTATGATTTCATTAATATTGCATTAATAAATTAACAAAACTATAAATATAAAGAATAGATTAGTGGTTGACAGGGGTTTGGGATTGGGGTTGGGTAGAGATGGATGTAGCTATAAAAGAACAATAGGAGGGGCCCTTGAGACGTGATGGCATTGTTTTGTATCTTGACTGTATCAATGTCAATATCCCGATTATGATATTGTACCACAGTTTTACAAAATGCTACCACCGAGCAAATCTGGGTATGGCATCTCTCTACGTTATGTCTTGCAACTGAATATGAACCTGCAATTATCTCAAAAATAAAATTTTAATTAAAAATAGGGTGCCAAATAACTTAGCATGCTACCATTTGGGGGGCACTGGAATGCTTCCACATATACCAGCTAGCTTTGCATATGAAACTGCTAATAGGGCATAACTATGAAAAGGGGAATTAAAAAGTTGGAGGTCAAGAATACGGAACTATTATTTTATTTTATTTCATTTCATTTTTAAGAGACAAGGTCTTGCTCTGTTGCCCAGGCAGAAGTGCAGTGGTGTGATCATAGCTCACTGCAGCCTCAAACTCCTGGCCTCAAGAAATCCTCCCACCTTATCCTCCTGAGTAGCTAGGACTATAGGTGCACACCACCACACCAGGCTAATTTTTAAACAGTTTCATTTTTGTAGACACGGGGTCTCACTGTGTTACGCAGGCTGGTCTTGGACTCCTGGCCTCAAGCA
The DNA here is from genome assembly GCF_000001405.40 of Homo sapiens. Taxonomy (NCBI): domain Eukaryota; kingdom Metazoa; phylum Chordata; class Mammalia; order Primates; family Hominidae; genus Homo; species Homo sapiens. The sequence continues at coordinate 29,286,460 of NC_000023.11, read as the reverse complement.
ATCCACCTGCCTCTGCCTCCCAAAGTGCTGGGATTACAGGTGTGAGCCACCACACCTGGCCACCAAATTTTTATTTTTTTAAGAGTAAACTTGTTTTTATATATGGCCATAAAATAAGACAAAAGAAATTGTTACATAGCTTTCCTTCATTCACTTTTTCATGTAAAAAATAAAATATAAATTTAAGAATGAGTAAACTGAGTAAAGAGCCAGTAAGTATGGAGCAAAGAATTGTGTGGTATTATTCTGTCCAAAATAGATATTAAAGAAGGAAATAAGAAAGTTCTTGTTCATTATAATGATAGGAGTCTTAGGTGTTTCCATTATGTATGCCATTTAATTGCATATATTTAAGTGTAAATGGAAATTAGTTGTATATGAAAAGCTTGATAAACAATTTCATTGACAAGTTAATACTCAGAATATTTATCAGAAAGACTAGAACCTTAGAATGGATGCTAACATTTTCAAGCCTCTAAAATTCTTTGCAAGTGGATTATTTAAAAACTAATGGTGACAGTTTAGTGGCCTGATAGCTAACAATATGCCAAAATGTCAGTGACTCAACTGACAGCCCTTGAGCTCCTCTCACGTCAACACCAAGCCGTGCTATTTCAAATGCTGTTTGTAAAGACTTTTGAGTACCCCTTTCCAAATTGGAAAAGAAAGCTGTAACAACACTCCCTTCAAATTGATTGGCATATTTGAATTTCAGTGACAAAAGTATCTCTTCCTGCAGTTTATCCCTTTCTCTAGATTGCCACTTGACACACATAAACTTTAAAGTATTTGTCTTTTAGTTTCACCTTTTATTAAAATGTAGACATATGAACATATGGCAAGTGTCATCATTTTGGAAACTTTTCAATCTTTCATTCATTATTGCAACTGGTAATTCAGAGGCTTTTTTTTTTTTTTTTTTTTTTTTTTTTTTTTGAGACGGAGTTTGGCTCTTGTTGCCAGTGCAATGGCGCGATCTCGGCTCACTGCAACCTCTGCCTCATGGGTTCAAGTGATTCTCCTGCCTCAGCCTCCCGAGTAGCTGGGATTACAGGCATGCACCATCATGCCCGGCTAATTTTGTATTTTTAGGAGAGATGGGGTGTCTCCATGTTGGTCAGGCTGGTCTCGAACTCCCAACCTCAGGTGATCTGCCCACCTCGGCCTCCCAAAGTGCTGGGATTACAGGCATGAGCCACGGTGCCCAGCCCTTCCAGAGGCATTTTAATGCAGTTTCTCAGAGTATTGGATCACAGTGTATATTTAAATACATCAGAGAATTGCAACCTCAGTGTTTTCAAAATTCAGATTACTAATGTGAACACATCATTATTTTTCCATCAATAATAAGTGACGAAATGTAGTATTATACTATGGACATCCAACTCAATTCTAATGTCAGATAAATGAGGACACACATTTGCCTATCTTGAAGAATCACCTTACGACATGCATGAACAATCAGAAATAATGATTTTTAAAAAGAAACACAGCAGATATGAAATTAAAATCTAATTACTATTGGTCAAATGGGAACAGCTAGTCCAAACAGTATTCTTTAACTGTACTAGTGTGACAGTTATTGATCTGTACCCCTACAAAACCTCTACTTTTATTAAGAGTTATGTTTAATCATAAAAGGATTAGTAAACCCTAAGAGAAAGAAGAAGAGTTGCCAAAGGAATGATGCATTTGTTTGCTTATTTATTTATTTTTGAGACAGAGTCTCGCTCTGTTGCCCAGGCTGGAGTACAGTGGTGTGATCTTGGCTCACTGCAACCTCCGCCTCCTGGGTTCAAGCGATTCTTTTGCCTCAGCCTCCCAAGTAGCTGGGATCACAGGCACGTGCCACCATCCTCGGCTAATTTTTTTGTATTTTTAGTAGAGATGGGGTTTTGCCATGTTGGCCAGGCCGGTCTCGAACTCCTCGCCTAAAGTGATCTGCCTGCCTCGGCCTCCCAAAGTTCTGGGATTACAGGCGTGAGCCACCATGCCCGGCCAGATGCATTTGTTCTTTGAAAATCCCTTAGGCATTTTTCCCAAGCACAACTCTTTACTTATATTCATTTATATTTTCCAACATTAACTCTAACATAATATATGTTGCTAGTGTTAGAAAGATACCTTTCTGTTTAACTTTTATGCAACTTGACCTATTTCAATGTCCTAGCACACCCGTAGCCATGGCTCAGCTTACAGGTAATTATTAGAGATGACGGTGAGAGGGAGGCATGATATTTATGACAGAGGAGTGTTAGCTGCTGATCAGGATTTCAGGAGCGGTAAATTTTTATTTGAAAAAGACACTAGGTGATTCTGAGACTTTCTCTGAGTTATGGGAATCCATTACTTTAGATTCTTCTTTATTTCTCTGAATAAGCCCAAATACAGAAAGCCAAATAAATAGATTTAAACACACCCTCTATATGACTATACCCAGCTTCGCTAATGTTCTAATAGTCCAATGACATACATGATCATTCATGAAGGATGTGATTCACAATCTATGAGGGGCTAAATGCTTAAACTGAGGTTTTTAACTGCGAATGTGTTACATGGGCATTGCTTCAATGCATTATCTTTAAACAAACTGCATATACCTCTTCCAGAAGCTGACAAAGATGTGTAGATGTATGGTGGGTATCCTTGGGGATACAGGAACTGAATTTGTTATTAACTTTGGTATTGGCCCTGAAAGACTTGGGAAGATTTTTGTATTGACCCAGAAGTTTTGGTTAGCAAAGCAATCTGGAACACAACCTTCATATTCTCTAACATGGTAATTCTCTCTTCCTCTCCCTGTGCACATACACACATTACCTAAATCATCTTTGCAAATGTGTGTGAACCAGAAGTATCCATGCTCTATCTGTCTGCGAAGGGCAATAGCAAAATGTTACAACTCATTTAGCAAGAAACTATGCATCCTTTCTGCAAGTCTTTGCTTACATTTTATTTGCACCATTTTACTTCCTGTATAAATTTTATTTCATAGTTTTTAGTAATTCTTGGTAACATAAGTAGCTACCCAGATGGTATCGCTTTTCTCCATAAGCTAGAAATAATGTCTAATATAAATTCCAATCCCATCTTTTTATGATTTTGATTCTAAATTTTAGAAAGCAGCAACACATGCAAATATTGAGACAACGGCTTTAGGCAAAAGAGATAGCAGCAACATTTAAGTACGAGAAAGCAGCCTGTGCTTTCTTTGATTCAGCAGTAATAGAATTAAAGGGATACCTGATGACACAGGCGTAGAGACCACTGTCCTGTAGCAATGTTGGCCGGAACCAAATGGAGTCTTCTTCTTTGCTCATTCTACTTCCGTCAAAGGCTATTGGCTCTTCAAAGTCTCCAGGACCAGAACTTTTGTACCACATCAAACTGAGTCCAGCACTTTGGGCAAGGGAGTAATTTGTTCTGATATAACCATAAAAGAGTGCACATTTGATTCGAACAGGCTCTCCCACCAAAACTTGATATTTCTTGATATCGATAGACCAGTCAGTGCATCCATCGGCTATCGTAAAAAAAGAGACAGAGAAAGAGAGGAAAAACATTAGAGGCAAAAAAAATAAGCAATTAGATTATTCATTCATCCAACAAATATTTACTGAGCATCCATATTGGGTCAGATTTTATTCTAGGCACAGAGCACATAGCAATGAATCAAACTGAGAATGGCCCTGCAAAGTAGTGGACTCTGCTAACAAACAATATATTCTTCACTGAGTCTGCTTCTGCTGTTATTTATTATTTGTTTATATCAGTGTGCTGGTTATTGATTTATTGCCTCTTAGTTCTAAATGTACCTTTCTGCCTGCTCGGTAAAAATAGATCTGGGCCTTTGAGATATGTTTTTCTTAACTAGCTGGCACTGAAGCTTTGTGGGGAGAGGGCACTGGTGAGACATTTCAGGAAGAAAGGGATTTGCTTCCTATTTTCAATGTGCTCACTTGGCAGGCTCTTACAGCGTGCAAGCCTTCTTCAGCACCTGGCTCCTACAGTGCTTGGCAACCAGCAGCTTGGCGATGTTTCCCAGGTACCTTAGAGGGAGGGTCTCTGTTAACTTGAAGAAGACAGATTTCTGACAAGTTCTGCTGGTATAGCAACTTAGCGATTTCTGCCATTCGGTAAGCTATGGTTGTACCTTCCCAATAAAGTGCGGATCTCTGCTTTGGGGATGAAAACATAGGGACTTTTTCTCAGGTGTGCTATCTCAGCCCTAGGGCTAATGGTAGCCATTCCTCTATTATTTATGGTTCTCTTTTGCTATAGACTGAATGTTTGTGCCCTCCCCTGAAAATCCATATGTTGACGCCTTAACCCTCAATATGACAGTACGTGGAGATGAGGCCTTTCTTTGGGAGGTAATTAGGGTTAGATGAGGAGGGTCATGAGAACGAGGCTCTTGATGGGATTAGTGCCCTTATAAGAAGAGACACCAGAGAGCTTGCTCTTTCTCTCCATCGTGATTACAAAAAAGAGATCATGTGAGCACAGAGCAAGAAGGTAGCCATCCAAAAGCCAGAAACCAAATTGGCTGGTACCTTGATCTTGGACTTCCCAGTCACTAGAACTGTGAGAAAGAAATATCTTTTGTTTAAGCCACTCAGTCTATAGTATTTTGTTACGGCAGCCTGAGCAAACTAATACATCTTTCTTTTATGCTAGCCAATCCCTTCATTACTATAATCCCCTGTTACATTTAATAATTATTTGTAAAAACTTTCACTGTTCAAATGACTGTGTTTTTTTCTCTAACTGGACCCAAACTGATACAACTGAGAATAAATGTTTTACAGCCAAACAATATAGAAATCAATAAAAGTGAGTTGAGCTCTGGGAGTGGTTTTTTCCCAGCCAGAGACAGAGGTAAACAGTCACTTTGCTCTGACTTCTGGGAGAATCGGAGAAGTGTAAACAAGAAACCATGGTGGGAAATGCGGAGGATGGGGGTGGGGTATGATTGGGTTTTCTGTGTTTTCTGCAGGTACCATCTTCCAAATGACATCTTGACACCATTTTTTGATCACCCCTCTCCCTGCACATGCATACAAAACAACAGGTCCCCATAGGGCAGGTACATCAACATTATCATCATCACAGAGAAGTTGTGAATTTTACTGTTTAGAGAGGGCAGTTGCCCAACACTTAGCAAGAAAATCAATTTGGCATTACTCAGAGTATACAAATGTTGAGCAAAAGGGCAAAGACTGAGAAAACAGGACCTCTGACAGTAATAACATTTGAATATTGCAAGCAGGGTTAAAGTCACTACAAATTAATAAGAGGGCAATCTAACAGCTCTGAGAACAGGATAAATAATATAATATTCAAGAGAAGAAAAATGGTCTAGATGAAAAGGAGGATGTACATTACAGCAAAGAAGACACATAATAACGTGGAATTAATTATCCACATTTATTATCTTAAAATTATATCTAACATCTAATAAGCACTTAACGATGTGCCAGGAGTCTATAAACTTTCATTTACTATTCACAGAAATATAAACTGAGGCATTTGAACTTGCTCTTCCCTCTGCCTGGAACATTTTTCGCCAACCATCTGCATGGCTTTCTCTTTCTTTCTTGCCAAATATCACCTCCTCAGAGAGGCCTTTTGCCTTCCCATCCTGGTCACTTGATCCAGAGTATGCCTTGGTATTTTTTTCACAAGACCTATTGCTATTTGATGTTATATTATGCATCCACTTTGCTTTCTGTCTCCCCGGTTGAATGTAAACCCCTTGAGAGCAGGGACTTTGTCCTTCTCACTTCCCTTTTTAGCCACAGTGCCTAGAATTGTGCCTGCTAACCAGCTCAGCATACATTTACTAAATGAATAAATGAATGAATGCATGAATAAATAAGCAAAATAAACAACTGAATTACCAAATTATACAGTTGAAGAAACTCCATGCCAGCTAATAAGGGTGAGTGCTGGGGTTCTCACCCAGCTTTATCTGAACCTAGAATTAATTCTCCCTACTGTCACATATTGTTTTTTAATAAAGGTGTCAATTTCACAGCATTCTTTGATTTAGTTCATTTCAATTACCAAATTTGGGTTTAAAATTTTTACAAAAGGGCTGTATTGAGGTACTATCTAGAGTAAATATGCTGGAAGCTTGGTGGGCACCATCAATGTCTGAGTCATTGTCATAATTCCTGTCATGACTACTGTAGAGCTGGCATACCACGTTAAACAGGAGGAAAAAACTACACAGAGATGTCCAAGTTATATAATTGCATATAATATTTATCAAAACAGTTTTGTATATTTTCCCATTACATAAAATGAATCCTAGGTGGTAATTTTTTAAACAGTTATAATTTTGATTATAAGTGTAAAATTATTTTGTTTTACCACTATGTAAATTACAATAGAATCAAGTTAATATAACTGACTATCTGTCATGGAGGGTATCGCTGCTAGTGAAAAAGGCTGAAATACCTTCAAGTTAGCAGTATATAAACAGTAAGATAAAATTATTCGAGTCTCAGAAGATTTGTAGTATAAAACAAAATGCTTGAAGGTAAGCAAAAAGATTTAGTCTAGAAAGTTTTAAAAAGTTAGTAACAAATTAGATCAAGAGAATAGAGAGAGAGTTGTGTTGGGAATGCATATAGATATTACTACACACTTTCAGAATATGCTTTCTGAGAAAATGTTGGAAGAAAATCACAAATATTCCTGAAAATTACTCTTATTCCATACCTAAATATCAGTCAGGAAAAAAGTTTCATACAGTTCAACGTCATGTGCCAAAGAAAAGTTAGAGGCAAAATGAAGAAATGGCACTTTGGACGACATTAGAGACACTTGGTGTTCATTTCAATATGGAAACAGAGGGAGGATCTATGGCTTAGGAGGTTTTACTACCATTAAACTAAATGCATCCTGTTAAAAAATAAACTTAAAATGGTTCAATAATTCCTGGGAAAAGATGGTAAACACTATAAAGAACAGTTCAAGGCATATTCAAATTATTTGAATAAAATCTTTTTTTTTTTTTTGAGATGGAGTCTTGCTCTGTCGCCCAGGCTGGAGTGCAGAGGCACGATCTTGGCTCACTGCAACCTCCGCCTCCCAGGTTCAAGCGATTCTCCTGCCTCAGCCTCCTGACTAGCTGGGACTACAGGCGCACGCCACCATGCCCAGCTAATTTTTGTATTTTTAGTAGAGACGTGGTTTCACCATGTTGGTCAGACTGGCATCAAACTCCTGATCTCGGATCTGCCCACCTTGGTCTCCCAAAGTGCTGGGATTACAGGAGTGAGCCACCAAGCCCGGCCTGCATAAAATCATTTAAACAAATGATGGACCTATGTCTCTCTTCAATAGTTACAATAAAACATTTTACTAAATGAAAGAAGTGATGAAGGAGATATATTTTTTTCCTTTGTTAACGGTTTGCCTCATCTGCACACATGTTCTCTCTCACACCTTCTATATTGTATTATTGTTTCTAAACCAGCTGAAAAGAAATTAGAGACATAATGATATTTCATCCCCAAATACGTCAGTATGTATCCCCTTGTGAATAAAGACTTTAAAAATATAGCCACAAAGTATATTTTTTAACCTTGTGTAGTGAGACTTTTCAAATCTTAAAAGGATATGTGATAACTTAAAATCTAACTCTTGATGAACAGAATTGCTGTTGATCCATTCAGTTTTTTCTTACTTCAGCACACAAGCTTTGTTGGCTTGGGAACAATCATTCCAAAAGCATATTTCTAGACACTGTTGATTTCAGTACACATTAATTGTATGTAATTCATATAACTTTTATTGTTATTGTTTTTTAAAATTATCATCAGGTAATTGTGGATGCTGGTAGTACTTAATCTGTTTTTCTCCCTTTCGGAATAAAATACCCTTCTGTAAGTCTCTCTCAGAAAATTTGCTATTGGTACTCTCCTTCCCTGATGGGAGGATTCTATGGAAATACTCCAGTTCAACATATCTCTGCAGTACACGTTCTTTCACAGCCAATGGGAGTTTATGAAGGAAGCCATGAAGTTACATTGGGGAGTGGGAGTAAGAAGTACCATATTCATTCATTTTTGTTACCTCTCATAAAGTTCTGGGAGCATATATGAAGACAGTAATGGAATTAAGATTCAGAAGTAATTCCTTCACTACTGATGTACTATGAAGAAAACTACATATATTGGCTATTATCAATATATTCAAATAAGAGTAGAAAAAGTATTTTTAATTAAGTCACTGTTACTACCTATGTAAAAGCTAAAAATATGTTCATGGTAACAAACTTGAAGTTTGAATTCTTTCAAAAAAGTCTAATGATATAATTTATACATGTTGCATACTAATATGAAAACAAAATACTATATTTATAGAAGGATAAATTATGTTACTTTAAAGTAAAGTTGAGCATCCCTAATCAGAAAATCCGAAACCCAAAATGCTCCAAAATTCAAAACTTTTTGAGTGCCAGCCAACATGATGCCACAAATGGAAAATTCTACACCTGACCTCAGGTGATGGGTTACAGTCAAAATGTAGATTCACAGAACACAATTTATTTAGCATCCCCAAGGAAAATATAAAATTACCTTCAGGCTATGTGTATAAGCTATATATGAAACATAAATCAATTTTATGTTCAGACTTGGGTCCCATTTCCAAGATATCTCATTATATACTGTATATGCAAGTATTCTAAAATTTGAAAAAGATCTGATATCCAAAACACTTCTGGTCCCAAGCATTTCAGAAAAAAAGGATACTCAACCTGTGTCTACTTGGATAGATATCTTGGAATAATAACTAAAAAGTAGGGAGAGCGACTCTCACTTTGCAGCAGCAACTCTTGTTGTTGGAGAAACAAACAAACAAACCCAAACTTCTAAGTTTGCCTTTTTAAAGCTCTACACTTGACTTCGGCCTGAGAAAAAGTCTTCATAAGGGTTGCTCTTCCTTGTATGTGTCTATATGTGAACAAATCCTCAATGTTTTAGGTTAATTTTCTCTGAACAATTCTTTAACTGTTAATCTGAAGGTCCCATGCATCTGTGTGGGATCATGTTATTCCTGCCTTGCATTAAGTAAATTCAGCTTAAGACTTGTTTTTGAATCTTCTTTTTTTACTTCTCTTAGTGTTTAGAAGTGACATGAGAAAGTACCTAACACAGTACATGGAACACAGGGGATGTTCTGCTTTCCATTCCCACACTGAACAGGAGCAGAAAAAGCCCTGCTATTTCAGCAAACACAAACAGATGCACGTCATCCTACAAGAAAATCTGGATTCTTATTTTCTTTTATTAGCCTTCGCATAAGAAACTGATGCAGATAGGTAAAATCTTGGTACATATGGTCCATCTTTGACTTTGAAGACTTTTTTCATTCTTTTGACTATTTAGTTACCCTATGTTCTTTAGTTAATACATACTTTCATTAGCATGTATCATATTAAATCATTATTTGCTTACATGTATTTCATTGATCACTGAAGTGTGGTGTACTCTGAGAAGTGGGACTTTACCGTATCTCTATCGCCATCTCTATATCTATCTCTATCTTTCTCTATCTTTATCTCTATTTCTATATCTGCCTAGCTATCTGTTTATCTATCTATGTATCTATCATCTACATATCTAAATCTCAAACTGGACCCAGCAGCATGTGCCTGTAGTCCCAGCTACTCAAAAGGCTGATGTGGGAGGATTCTTTAAGCCCAGGAGTTCTAGTCTCGTCTGGGCAACATAGCAAGACCCTATCTTTAAAAAAGAAAAAAAAACCTCATTTAGCTCTAATTATAAATTTAGAGCTATTTCCATATCTATATATATTTGGGGCACAATAGGCAATCAATAAATGTGTGTTGAATAAATTAGTGATTAACTAAATAACTGTTCACTTAAATGAGTATTGAAAATGTATATCTTTGGTGTTAACACAATCGCTTATAACTATTGTTTGTAGATATTTTTAACCCTGATAATTAAAAAATAGCAGTATGCATTTTTCCTTTATAATATTGCAAAGTGATACAATTTTCTAACTCAGAATAATTTGATTTCACAAAATTGAGTGTACTTCAGAACTCAATAAATCCTTGTTGATATATTAAACATAGTTTACTGAATTAAGCTTACTATTATATTGTTTATTTAGCTCATGTATGTCTCCTGGAAAACCCTCTATTTGGGTAAAAACTGATAGGAATATGTTCAGACAGATAGGTCAAAAAGTATTGCCAGCTTCAGGCATTTTATTCCTTTGGGACACTTGTTGGACACTGGATTAAATATCAACATGATGAGCAACAGACCAAACAAACACTGATAAAATTTAATCCTTTTCCCAATTTAGAGGAGCCTCACAGGGAAGGCCTGTTAGATGGCAGGACACCCAGCCAGCAAATTGATCCTTTAAAGAGAAAGTAACAGGGTTCAAGGCACAGATTTACTTTTATTTTGTTTTTGTTTTAGAGCAGACAAAAGAACAGAATTACACTTTTCAAGATAGTAAGTTACAAAAGGTCTTTAAATTTTATAACAATCCCAAATGGACTAATGGATTGTTTTCAGCAATGAACATATAAAATAATCATGCATTAAAGTTCAAGTCATATATTGGTGTGAGACAACATGTTATAGACCGCATATGATGTGCAACTCACTCTTCTATGACAAAGATTACTGAGACTTGCATCACCCTTGAAGATATCATCTATAAGTGGGAACAGACTTGTCAAAAACCATGTATAGCACAAGAAAAACGAATAAATTCTGAGAGCAAAGATAACATTACTGAGGAAACACAAAGCAAGAAGTTTGTTTTACCTCTCAACCCAGAACTGTTTTCCATTTCACAGATGAAATAATGGAGCAGGAAATATGTCTAGGAAGATCAAAAAGGATTTAAGAAAGAGATGAAATTAAAAATGTGCTTCGTTCAAAACCTGATAATTTGGAAGAGAAAATTGCAAGCCAATGGTTTATCCCAGTTAATAGGACAGTATATGGTAAGGTTCTGAAATAGTGGAGTGGTGAGGAGTACAGAAGAGTGTAAGGAGGTGAAAATAAGTGCAGAAAAGACAGGTTTGGCAAGACACCATGCCAAAAAACTTGAACTTAATTCTGTAGCCCCGTAGTTTTCAAGTTTTCGTGTGCATCAGAATCACCTGGAGGACTTTTTAAAACACAGAGTTTTGTGCTCCCCTCTCAGAGTTTCAGATTCAGAAGGTCTGGATTGGGACCTAAGGATCTGCGTTACTACAAAGTAGTTACTACAAAGCAGGTGATGCTGCTGGTCCAGGGATGACACTTTGAAACCCACTGCTAAAACCAATGTTGACAGTGGTAAATGTCTGCAAACGAAGTGTTATTATCTGATTCACATTTTAGAAATATCACTTTCAGGACAATATCAAGGATGGATTGGAAGGGGATAGCTAGGAGTAAGGAGACAACTCAGAAAGTTCTTAAAATAGAGGTTACAAAAAAAAAAAAGAAGTAGCAAAGGATATGACAAGGAAATGTGGGAAGAATTGTAGTCAGAATCAACAGGATGCTGAAATTGATCAGAAGGGCGAGATGAAGGAGGAGAAGGAGTCTAGGATGACTCTGAGATTTCAAATCAGGATTCCAGAGAAGATTGTGGCACTATTAATGGAAATGAGGAGCAAAAGCAGATTCAAGGCGAGAGATAAGTGTTGTTGGGGTCAAAGTCTTGTTTGTTAGCTTACTACACATTTTCTGCCTTCATTACAGGTGTTTATACAGCAGAACGTTATTGCTTGTACTTTCTGGTATGTGCAACAAAAGCACTGCCATGTATCCTTTTCATATTGTGAGCTCTGCTGGACATTCAAGCCCCTGGCATTAGAGAAAAATTTAAGGAAAATAAGAATGAAGTCTGTTGTGTATTTTAATATGCATATGCTTTCACATGAATAATATCATACAGATTAATTGCCTATTTGATTAACTTCTTACAGAGATTGTAGAGGAAAATTAGACACACACAGCTTGTGTACTGCTCCGCCAAGTGAATTTCTAAGTGAGAACTTTTAAAAAGGTTAGAACCATTTTTTAAGTGATGCCAAGTCTATTTTTATCAGAGAAGTCTCATGAAATATATAATATATTGTAAACAGATTAGCTTCACATACAACTGTTTTGGGCATTAATCTACATTCATATGTGTAATCATATATCTATTATGATTGGTATCTGTTGACATACTGCATTTTGTTCAGGGTATTACAAAAATGTATCTGTGTACCTCCTTCAGGACCTTTCCTTCTCATTTTTGTCATACATATAATAATATCCATCCATGTTATCGGTTTAGTACTTCTTCATTTTCATAGCATTTTCATAAACACTCTCAGACTCAAGTAAGAAAAAAGGGGTGATAACTTGAGGAAAAAATCATGGGGATATTTATGTAACTTTGCATGTGTTTTTTTTCCAGCTGTATTGAGGCATAATTTACAAATAAAAATTGTATATGTTTAAGGCATACAATGTGATGTTTTGTTTTAAGATACATATATATGTATTGTGAAATGATTAACAAATTCAAGTATAGAAGATTGCCTTGATGGGCACTGGCAACCCCACCCCCACCATGCCCCCACTCCTGCCAGTGCGAATACACGCATGGATGCTACCAACCCTGCTTCTGCCACCACCGGTGTGAATCTGTGTATGGGCACAGGAAACCCTGCCTCTGCAAGTGCCCTACTCCCACCACTGCAGGTGCAAATGCTAGCACAGATGACAGCAACCCTGCCCCCACTGGTGCCCCTCCTCAGCTGAAAAATGTGCACCCTACCACACATGCTGTGGCTGCTGGCACACCCGAGTGAGCACAGATCCCACTGCTACCACTGGACAAAGCGCTTTGGCTGGCACTCTCCAACAGCGTGTTGTGGCCAGTGGACCAAGAACACTTAGGTCCCTCCAGTACAGCAAGATCTTAACTTCAAGGGGCTCGAGAGCAAAGGCAGGGGCCCGGTAAAAGTCCCTCAGAGTTAGAACACACAGTCCAGGAGTGCTGTGTTGAGCCGTGGCCCCCTAAAATCTTCCAGAAAAGAGGCCAGTTGAAACCCACCTTATACCACAAACAAACCCCCACTGGCATCACAGAAGATAAAAGCAAAAAGTGCCATTCAAAGGACGCAACTTCAAAGACTGAAGGAACGTCAACCCACACAGATGAGAAAGAACCAGGGCAAGATCTCTGGCAACTGAAAGAGCCAGACTGTTTTCTTACCTCCAAACAACTGTGCTAGTTCCCCAGCAATGGTTTTTAACTAGGCTGAAATGGCTGAAATGACAGACATGTAATTCAGAATATAAATAGGAATGAAAATTATGGAGATTCAGGAGAAAGTTGAAACCCAAACCAAGGGATCTAAGGAATACAATAAAAAGACACAGGAGCTGGAAGGCAAAATAGACATGTTAAGAAAGAACCAAACTGATCAGATAGAGCTGAAAAAATTCACTTCAAGAATTTCATAATACAATCACAAGTATTAACAGCAGAATAGACCAAGCTGAGCAAAGAGCTTGAAGACTGGTTATCTGAATTAAGTCAATCAGACAAAAATAAAGAAAAAAGAATAAAGAAGAATGAACAAAACCTCCAAGAAATATGGAATTATGTAAAGAGACCAAATCTATGACTCACTGGCATCCCCGAAAGACAGAAAGAAAAATCATATTTGAGGACATCATCCATGAAAGTTTCCCTAACCTTGCTAATAGGCCAGCATTCAAGCTCAGGAAATGCAGAGAACCTCTGCAACAATACTGTACAAAACGACCATCCCCAAAACACATAGTTATCAGATTCTCCAAGGTTGAAATAAAAGAAAGAATGTTAAAGGCAGCTAGAGAGAAGGGGCAGGTCACCTACAAAGGAACCCCGTGAGGCTAACAGTAGACCTTTCAGCAAAAACCCTACAAGCCAGAAGAGATTGGGGGCCTATATTCAGAATTGTTAAAAAAAAAATTCTAACAAAGAATCTCATATCCAGCCAAACCAAGCCTTTATAAGTGATTGAACCAGGGAGAAACCATATTTTTGAACAGAACAATAACAGAACAGAACCATAGTGAGTTCTGAAATTGAACCAGTAATAAAGCCTGACTACAAGGCTACAGTAACCAAAACAGCATGGCACTGGTACAAAAACAGACACACAGACCAATGGAACAGAATAGAGTCTAGAAATAATGCCACACACCTACAACCATCCGATCTTTGAGAAAGTTGACAAAACCAAGCAATGGGGAAAAGACTCCCTATTCAATAAATGGTACTGAAATAACTGGTTTCAATATGCAGAATATTGAACCGGACCCCTTCCTTACACCATGTACAAAAATTAACTCAAGCTGAATTAAAGACTTAAATGTAACGCCTAAAAGTATAAAAACTCTGGAAGATAATCTAGGACATTCCATTCTGGAAATAGGCCCTAGCAAAGATTACATAATAAGGACACCAAAAGCAAATGCAACAAAAGCAAAAGTAAACAAATGGGACCTAATTAAACTAAAGAGCTTCTGCACGGCAAAAATATATAAATAAATAAAAATAAAAAACAAAAAGCAAAAACCAAACTATCAAGAGAGTAAACATACAACACACAGAATGGGAGAAAGTATTTGCAAACTGTGCATCCAACAAAGGTGTAATATCCAGAATCTATATAGAACCTAAACAAATTAACAAGCAAAAAACAAACAACAGCATTCAAAACTGGGCAAAGGACATGAACAGACACTCTTCAAAAGAAGACATACACACAGCCAACAAGCACATGAAAAAATGCTCAACATTACTAATCCTTAGAGAAATACAAATCAAAACCACAATGAGATATTATTTCACACCAGTCAGAATGGTTATTATTTAAAAGTTAAAAAACAAAAGATGCTGGCAAAGTTGTGGAGAAAAGGGAATGCTTATACACATCTGGTGGGAAGGTAAATTAGTTCAGCTACTGTGGAAAGCAGTGTGGTGATTTCTCAAAGAATTTAAAGCAGAACTATCATTTGATCCAGCAATCCCATTATCGGGTATATATCCAAAGGAATATAAATCGTTCTGTCATAAAGACACATGTATGCATATGTTCATCGCAGCACTATTCACAATAACAAAGACATAGAATCAACCTACATGCCCACCAATGGTAGACTGGATAAAGAAAATGTGGTACATATACATCATGGAATACTACACAGCCGTAAAGAAGAGTGAGATCATGTCCTTTGCAGCAACATCAATGAAGCTGGAGGTCATCATCCTAAGCAAACTAATGCAGGAACAGAAAACCAAATACTGCCTGTTCTCACTTATAAAGTGGGAGCTAAACATGAAGTATACATGGATACAAAGAATAGAACAACAGATAACAAGGTCTACTTGAGGGTGGAGGGTGGGAGGAGTGTGAACATTGAAAAACTACCTATCAGCTACTATGCTTATTACTTTGGTGATGAAATAACCTGTATAGCAAACTCCCATGACACGCAATTTACCTATATAACAAAGCTGCACATGTAACCCTGAATGTAAAACAGAAGTTTAAAAAAAATTAGTCAATTATCTCCAAAATGTTATATAGATTTAATACAATGACAATCAAATGGGCATACTAATTCTAAAATTCACATGAAAATGTTAAGTACCTGCTATATTCAAAATAACTTTTTCAAAGAACAAAGCGTGAAGTCTTATGCTACCTGATTTCAAGATTTATCACAGTTACCATAATCAAACTAATCAAACATAATCAAAGTCTTGTCATCAAGATAGAAAAATAGATAAATGTAACAAAATTAGAGTCCAGAAATAGATCCACACATATATTTGCCACTGATTTTCAACAAAGCAAAAAGGCAATTCAGTGCAGACAAGATACTCTTTTAGACAAATGGTGCTGGAGTATTTGGGTACCCATATGACAAAATCTAAACTTTGATTCATACATTCTACTGTAAACAAAAATTTTCCTAAAAAGGATCATGGATCCAAATGTAAAGCATAAAACCATAAAACTTTTAGAAAAGACAGGAGAGAATCTTTGTGACTTTGGATTAGGCAAAGGTTTCTTAGATAAGACACCAAAAGCATAACTCATAAAAGAACAAATGGACTAACTTCACGTCATCTAGCTGCTCCATTCCTAGGTATTTGACTAAGACAAGAAAACTCTACGTCTATACACGTGCACACAACTGTTCATAGAAGCCTTATTCAGAGTAGCTCCAAATTGTAAACAATGTAAATTTTACCAACAGGTGAATAAGCAAATGATGAATGTAGTCATATAATTAAATACTAGTTAAAAATGAATGAATTATTTATACATGTCATGGATGAATCTCAAAATAATTACACCAAGTGAAAAAAGTCAGACAAAACAGAGTACATACTGTTTTGATTCCATTTATATAAAACTCTAGAAAATGCAAACTATAGTGGCAGAAAGCGAGTCAGTGATTGTCTGGGATAGTGACGAAAGGGAGAGAGCATTACAAAAGGCCATGAGGAAACTTTTAGTGTGATGGGTATGTTCACAGTCTTGATTGTGGTGATGATAGTTTCATGAGTTTATATATATGTCAAAACATACCAAATCGCTCACTTTAAATATATGTGATTAATTGTATATCAATTATACCTCAATAAAGCTGTTAAGAATAGGCTCTCTGCCTGCTTGGTTGACAATAGAATGTAGGTGACAGACATCAAAAAGAAGACCTATTAGAAGATCACTGCAATAGTTCAGGTGAGAGATGATGGCAGCACAGAAAAAAAAAAAAAAAGAAGGTTGCCTTGAACCTTAAACTCTACTTTCCAGAGTTTTCATTGGCATGATTTCAGGCATTCTTTAAATAATCAAGGTAAGTAGAAACCTATGTTTAAACAGCAGAAAATTACATTGATTCAATCTTTGTTGCTTTTGGTTTTATTTTCCCCTATCTTTGAGAGTGCAGCTTATGGGTGTGGGGTAAATTCATGTATATTTTAAAGGATTGATAAATTTGAGGTGAAGTACTTACGTGAAAAGCTGTACTGGCCAGTTGTTAATATAAATATCTACTAAATCCAAAGCCAAATGTAAGCTGCCTCAGTGCTACTTAGCAATTAAAAGATCATCAAGTGCTGGTTTATCACTGGTTTACCAGTGAGATTATCTTTACAGTCTGCATATTAACAACGATTAAACTCAAAACTAGATGAATTTTCTGGCCTAGCAGATGCTATCTCATGATAACACTTAATGCAGTAAATCACTAATATTTAAATAAAAGTTTAAATTCTCAGTGAGTGAAAGTATGTTTTTGTATGGTTAATAAATAGCTTTAAAGAGGAACTTAGGACTTCATGGTTCATCCAATTCAGAATCCTTTCTTTAGCTACTTTCTACCGAAAAGATGTAGCTGGGTTTCTTGATGCATCCTTCAAAAGTTAAGACTTCAGACACTTAGTGGTCATACCATGTCCCTTTCCTTTAATATGTTTCAGACAACCAACAATATTTGAAATTTTAGAGGATGAATGATTTTACAGCATTTAGTCTGTGTCACTTCTGGACAGAAGCATTCATTGATTCGTTCACTGATTCATCCTTTATTTCAACAGATATTTACAAGGTGCCTGTTGTATCCTAGGGCACTGTTCTAGCTGGGCTGAGATTTGATAAGCTTACTGCATAGCGCATTAAGCAGGGTTCCCCACTTTATTCTAAGCTTACAGCTGTTCCCAGCATATTGTCATGAGGAAGATGGATGTTTGTCCCAAATCTTACTTTATTTTTTCAATGTAGTATTCATAGATATTTTCAAAGCTAACCAAGGCTGTGTGGTGGCTTGCCCTTAGTGATGACAAGGGTATGTGCACGCACACATATATACACATGCACACATATTTATTTTTTATTGTTCCTTAATTTTCAATGCCAAGTTCTTATCTTTGTATTTGACAGAAAAGGCCACCCCGGTCTACACAGAGACCCACTTGAGAATTATGCAATTATGAAAAATAAGCATTTACTCTGAAATTAATCAAGCCTGTTCATTCTCTTTCTTTATTTCCATTACTGCGCCATGAAATAGTCAATCACATACTCTTTTATTCTGTAAATTGGAAAATACTGAATAATCAACACCTTTGAAATTTCAGAACTTCATTCAACAGAGTAACTGTAGTCCCTGACTTCTGTTTTAATATGCTGCCAGTTATTGCAAGTCATAATAGCATAATACAGGGCCCGGAAAAATATCATTCACTCAGTCGTTTCCTTGAATGGTTTTGGGGTATGAAGCAAACTATTGTACATCACTGTCCTCATAATGAGATTGTTCTGCTGGATAAACAAGCTCCCCACAGGCCCTACCTGCTGATAGGACCCAGTGAACCAAACATTTAACACTTCACAGAGGCTCCTCCCTGCCATTCCTCTGTATTGCATGCATCATTCTCAGGAGAAAATTTGATGCAAAGAAGTAGAAAATTGAGCTACTGACTCCTAAGTCTGTTGCTACAACCTGGCTTAGTAACAAAGCCTCAATTCAATTTCTGGGTTCTGTGAGATAATGGAAGTTTCAAAGTTCCAAATAAAATTGTGGAAATATAAATTCTTGTTCTATGTGACCAATTTACACATGGCATTCGGTGAAACTAGTCCACCCAAGGAAACTACTAAAACAAAGCATGGATTTAATGCAGAGCTTGTTCATTTGCTGAAAATATTCACTGAAAAAACTGACTCATGCAGAAAATGGAATTTTTTTTTTATTCCAGTGTTTAAAAGATAACAGCTTTGCTTTAAAAAAAAATTCTTCCACTATTAGAAATAGGGCACAAGTAGAAAAACAACGCAGCTCAGAAATGATACTTTGATAGTTCTCATGTGTGGGGATGTTAGAATGCCAAGTCTGGCTGTGCTATGTATGTGTATGTGTTTGTGTGTGTATATGTGTGTTGTTTTTACCACTACTTTAAGTAATATAATGTTAATAACCCTATGGTGTCATAGCTTTCTTTTATAAACTATACAACAAAATGGTATCAAAGGTATGTTTTTATATTCAATAGTTCATGTACATCACTCTCATAGTGGAAATACAATACCAGAAGTGACCTTATTCAATCATAAACAAAGCACTATCAGAGTGTTAACTTTTCCTAGGAAAGTAAAAGAGTACTTCATGGGGACATGCAAGGGATGAGGCTTTGAGATTAATCATGCATTCTGTGATGGAAATTTCAAGAAGTGAGAAAAGGCAGGTTAACACTGTGAATAGTGAAATGATTAGGTATCTGTGGAAAAGAGTGGTTTGGATAGAACATAGAGTTTGTGGTCCTAGGGTAGGTAGTGATTGAGGAAGAGGTTGGAAAGGTAAGACCATTTGTTTATTTATGCATCCCCATGGCCAGACCAGACATGACTGATTGGTGCTATGATGGCCCCTTAACCAAGGGCAGCCAAGTCCTATGCAGGCAAGTAACCTATCTCTTGGTTTCATTAGAAAAGATGAGCTAGCCCAATCAGAGTCCTCCTTTCTGAGTATAAACAAAAGGCTTAAGGTAGACTTAGGGCCAAAGAAGTTGTGATGACCACATGTAATCTAAAGTGATAAGGAGGAACCTATGAATAAGTAGAGAAAGCTAGTCTTAGGGAGATAAGAGTGAAGATATATGCAGAGAGAAGCTTAGAAAAAGTAGAGAAATTAAGAGGCCATAAAGGAATGAATGAGAGGTCAAAGCAAGTCCCTAGAACTTAATTCTTGACTGATAAGATTTTTTCCAGTTTATGTATTTTTCTACACTATTTCCTCAATTTCCAAGTATATAATGATACTGAAATCTACATATCCATCTGGGTTCCACTTTGGTAATTTTCAAACCCATCATATATCTGTTAACCCTAAATGCAGTGAGTTCCTATTAATGATGACTACTGTTGGGAGGGGGGCTTGCTTACTCATGTATTGTCTTACCCTGCCTGCATTACCTCAACCTGTCAGGTCATAAATGGTGACTCCTTCTCGCACAATTGACCTTTGTTCCTAATGAAAACATTTTGGTATCTATTATGCTTCATTAGTACACACTGTTAAACAAATCTTTAAAACTACACATTAACACAGGAATAAAATTTCTTTTTTAAAGATTCCATGATTTGCACCATATTTTCTTAATCCAGTCTATCATTGTTGGACATTTGGGTTGGTTCCAAGTCTTTGCTATTGTGAATAGTGCCGCAATAAATATACGTGTGCATGTGTCTTTATAGCAGCATGATTTATAGTCCTTTGGGTATATACCCAGTAATGGGATGGCTGGGTCAAATGGTATTTCTAGTTCTAGATCCCTGAGGAATCGCCACACTGACCTCCACAAGGGTTGAACTAGTTTACAGTCCCACCAACAGTGTAAAAGTGTTCCTATTTCTCCACATCCTCTCCAGCACCTGTTGTTTCCTGACTTTTTAATGACTGCCATTCTAACTGGTGTGAGATAGTATCTCATTGTGGTTTTGATTTGCATTTCTCTGATGGCCAGTGATGGTGAGCATTTTTACACCATGGATGGTGGCACATATACACCATGGAATACTGTGCAGCCATAAAAAATGATGAGTTCATGTCCTTTGTGGGGACATGGATGAAACTGGAAATCATCATTCTCAGTAAACTATCGCAAGAACAAAAAACCAAACACCGCATATTCTCACTCATAGGTGGGAATTGAACAATGAGAACACGTGGACACAGGAAGGGGAACATCACACTCTGGGGACTGTTGTGGGGTGGGGGGAGGGGGGAGGGATAGCATTAGGAGATATACCTAATGCTAAATGACAAGTTAATGGGTGCAGCACACCAGCATGGCACATGTATACATATGTAACTAACCTGCACATTGTGCACATGTACCATAAAACTTAAAGTATAATAATAATAAAATAAAAAAATAAAAAAAAAGATTCCATGATTTATCTTTTATCTTTTTCTGAACATTAACAGATAAATCTAAAATCTAACCAAAAGCCAAATGTTATCTATTTCAAGAAGGTGAATTAAAATAGTTATCACCCTACAACAATGCCATTCATATTATATTCATAATATTCATAATTCATATTATATTCATAATATTCATAATTCATATTATATATTATATTCATAAGTTAAAGGTAGATCCTTATCTAAAAATTAAAGAAACAGGGCCAGGCGTGGTGGCTCATGCCTGTAATCCCAGCACTTTGGGAGGCCGAGGTGGGCGGATCACCTGAGGCCAGGAGTTCGAGACCAGCCTGACCAACATGGTGAAATTCCGACTCTTCTAAAATACAAAAAATTAGCTGGGTGTCGTGGCGTATGCCTGCAATCCCAGCTACTCGGGAAGCTGGGGCACGAGAATCGCTTGAACCCGGGAGGCGGAGGTTGCAGTGAGCCCAGATAGCGCCACTGCACTCCAGCCTGGGCAATAAGAGGAAAACTCGGTCTCAAAAATAATAATAAAAAAATTAAAGAAACAGAACTCTACAATAAAGAAAATTAATGAAACCAAAAGCTGGTTTTTCGAAAAGATCAATGATATTGATTGTACTCTAGGATGGCTAAGAAACAGAGTTTGATACAAATTGTGGTGCAATGATTATCTAGATGGTTTGTATTTTATAAACAGGTACATAGAGAGTAATTGAGAACCCAGTTTCTGAGAAGAAAGTTTATATTTTTTCAATTCAATTTTTAGGTCAATGTTACATTGCTTATATAGTAAAAACAAATTTATATTTGAAGATTATAAATTATTTATATAAAATAAATTTTATATTAACTATATTATATTCACACTCTTTTTAGGAGTGTGTTATAAAGCATCTACTGGAGCTAAAACAAAACAACTTTGAATCTTTTCTTGTCACTTCCCTTCTTCCACTTCTGATAATGCTTTCTTACAGATGGAACTTAGTAAATTTCCCTTCTTCCACTTCTGATAATGCTTTCTTACAGATGGAACTTAGCAACTTTCCCTCACTGCTTCACTATCAAAAGAGTGTGTTACTTATGGGAAATCATGGCACAAAAAATGTCAACACACACTCCAGAGACTGCAGGGAAGCATGCCCTCCCAAAAATTCACAAAAGAAGGAAACACTCATTTCTGCTTCTATTAAAATCATAGTACGCTTAGGAAAAAAATACATGCTTTTGAATACAGAATATTTTGGGGCCAATTTGTGCTGAGAGCATCAACACAAAATAGCATAAAATACTATCAGCATTAATATACCATGAGCAAAGGATTGCAAAAGGAAATTTTATCCACTGCCTTAACATGTCTAAAGAAAATATATATATATAGTGCATGTGTGTATCCATCTAAAGTGAACTTAGCCCATATGCTAATTGATTACTTTAAAAGATTTTAGAAAAGCTGAGCAGCATATGTTTCTACTTCTCCCTAATTGGAGAGCTAGACTATATCAGAACATTTTAAATTTAGAAATCTATAACTTTAAAAAAAGAAGTGTACATTGTTTAACATTGCTCTATGAGAGCGGGGGGGGGGGAGAGAGAGAGAGAAAGAGAGAGAGAGAGAATGATGAATGAGATTACAAATAAAAAGGACTTAATTAATACTGGTGAGCCAATTCTAGGGTAGTTTTAATGAAACCAAGTACTTACTCCCTGGACTAAATCTTATCCCTACTGTCTCTAGTGCCTTTTCTATCCCAAGCCTAATATGGATGATTGGGTGTGATAAGAAGACTTAATGCTTTCTTACTTCAGGTGAAACCACAAACTTGACTTATCCTAGTAACGTAAGCCTATGATTGGACTAGGGATTATTTTATTTCAGTTCTGTACTTTGCACAGCATGCCTGGATATACTTAAGCACAGTCAGAGTCAAAGCAGGCAAATATTGTAGGAGTAATCAAGCCTTGTGTTCTGGATTTTTCTCATTATCATGAGGGAATACTTTCAGTATCTTTACTGGCAATTATGTTAAAACAACTGACACAAACACTTTCTGCTTCAACCTCTTCAAGGTAACTGAGTATTAACTGAATTGCTCCTGCTGTTTTCCCAGTTTATGTTCACTAAAACATTTTCATTTGGAGGAAAATAATAAGCTAAGATCATTAATAACAAATGTCCAATAATCAGTCCTTCATTCTTTCTTTACTGCCTGCTTTCCACATCAATAAAGTATAAAACATAATGTCTGCCCTTAGTGAACTCACTCTCTAATAGGAGGGACAAACAAAAAAATAACTATAATACAGTACAATTTGTTTCTAATGGTGATATAAACAAATATTGTGGGACCACTGATAACAGAAGAAGGGACAATGACTTCTAATCTTGCCTTAATGCTTTCGAGCATCTGGTAGAAAAAAAATAACATCTCTAAATTGATGCTAAATTACTCATCAGCAAAGGATTATATACATAGCCATCCAATATTTTGGTAACTGGCATTTGGCTCACTTTAACATGAAACTTAAACTGAGTGTGCTTTGGTTATTTTGAAAAAAAAAAGTTAATCTAGGTTATATTCCTCACTGATTACCTATTGGATTTTACATTTTGAAACAGATACCTCCACAGTTAAAATATTAATGAAAGAAGAAGAAACATTTATTGTCTTCCAGAAATTTGTGCAGATGGGAAAAGGTTTCACCTCTAACAATCAATTGTATGGAAGTAAAAACATGAGCATTATTCTTATTTTTAGCATATTAGCAACTTTTTTTTTTTTTTTGAGATGGAGTTTCGCTCTTGTTGCCAAGGCTGGAGTTCAGTGGCGCGATCTCAGCTCACTGCAACCTCCGTCTCTTGGGTTCAAGAGATTCTCCTGCTTCAGCCTCCCGAGTAGCTAGGATTACTGGCATGCACCACTATGCCTGGCTAATTTTGTATTTTTAGTAGAGACTTGGTTTCTCCATGTTGGTCAGGCTGGTCTCAAACTCCCGACCTCAGGTCATCTGCCGACCTCGGCCTCCCAAAATGCTGGGTCACCATGGTGAGTCACCATGCCCAGCTACCTATTAGTAACTTAAAGGATGATACTCAAAGCAATAAAGATTGGGATAAAAATGGCATACTCATATACCAAAGAGGTAATTACTTACTTATTTATATCACAAAATAAACTCATTATTTCACTCTTTCAAAAAATATTTCAAGAATGCCTACTAGAACAAAATAATAGTAACTACAATGTATTGAGAATGTATATTGTGCCAAGCACTATGCTAATAACTGTATATGAATAATTTGGTTTATTCACGGTAGGTATTATCATTATGCCCATCTTACATTTGTACTCAAGGACAGCAGTTAATACATTTCAGAGCCAGGACAAAAACCCAAGCAGTCCAATCCACTATAACCCAATGTGTCAGGCAACATGATTAGCATGGCATATATGCTGGTAAACAAAACAGACATGGTAGCAACCTTCATGAGTATATCTAGTTGTAAAGAGAGATATTTAAACAAGTAAGCCAACAAACATATTAAATAATATTATACATTGCAAAAAGGCACCAAAGAAAGGAAAGGTATTATGCAAGCGAAGGATAGCCACTTCAGATTGAGGTCATCTAGGAAGGCCTCTGTGCAAATGGAACATTAAAATTGACCCCTGAAGAACAAAAAGAAACCAGACATGGCAAGTGCGAGAAGAACATTCCAAACAGATGAACAGCATGTACAGGAGAGTCTGTCTGCTCCGTGTGCCTGGGAGTTAGTGATCTGTTAGAGGGGTGGGCAGCATGTAGATTATATTTTTTTAAAAAGGTGGATTTTATTCTAAATGTGATGGAAACCACTGCAAGGAAGTAGAAGGAAAGAAACATGATAGCGTATAACGGCAAAAAGCAGGGGTAAGGGAGAGGGAGAAAGAGGCAGCCAGGTTTTTGAGTTGAGCAAGAGGGTGGGTTTTGGTACCACTCACTAAATTGAGGAGGTCTGGAGGAAGAACATGTCTCCAAGGAAGATTAAGAATTTAGCCTAAGGCATGGAATTGATTCCAGGTCTCTTGGAAACTTAGATTAAAAACATTTATAAAGAGCCTGAAGGGTTATTATTATTTTTTGCCTACAAATTATCTTATTTATCAGATAACATTGAAGACATTATCTGCATGTACCTGGTTGTAGTTTTAAAAAAAATCACAGCAATCTGAAAGGCAACAATGGAGAATCATGCAGTGGCATGTGTTGCAGCCATTAAAATCATACCTAGGAAAGTCGACTTCAAGTTGGAAAAAAAGTTTAGGGTACTTTAATGATTAAGTGACTGACCAACAATAACAGTTTAAAGTTTTCCCCTATGATTTTCTTGGAGATAATATCTATAAAAGCAAGGAAATAAAAATATTATTTTATTTATTCAGTTATACTATATTTATTATATATAATATATATTGACTATATTATTTTTACTGTCTATACATTTTATTATTTTATTCGTTCAGTTATACTATATTTATTATATATAATATATATATTTACTATATTATTTTTACTGTCTATACATTTTATTACAAATATAAAAATTAACTATATAAGTGGGATGAGAATGCAAGTTATGATACCGGAAGCCAATTGATCAATCAAGCAAACTGGGGTGATAGAGTATTCTGGGTAATACTTTTTCATCTTTTATTAAAATCCATTAATCTTGTGATTGTGCTTATGCACACATACATATATCACATATACCCTCTTGCAGCACACTCACTTTTGAGGGAACACTAGCCATTTGACTCACCCTTACCGACGTGATTGGTGTGGTTTGACTGTGTCCCCACTCAAATCTCACCTTGAATTGTAATAATCCCCATGTGTCAAGGGCGGGGCCAGGTGGAGATAATTGAATCATAGGGGCGGTTTCCCTCATACTGTTTTCATGGTAGTGAATAAGTCTCAGGAGATCTGATGGTTTTATAAATGGGCGTTTCCCAGCACAAGCTGTTTTGTGTGCTGCCATGTAAGACATGACTTTGCTCCTCATTTGCCTTCTGCCATGATTGTGAGGCCTCCCTAGCCATGTGGAACTGCGAGTCCGTTAAACTTCTTTCCTTTATAAATTACTCTGTCTTGGGTATGTCTTTATTAGCACCATGAGAACAGACTAATACAGCAACTAAAGTCTGCACGATTAGAGTTTTATCCTCAGTTAGCTCTTGAAACCTTATGTCGGCTTTAGCCATTTGCTTTTAATTTCTCTGTCTTCTATAACATTTGGTAAAATAAATTATCCCCAACATTTAAATCTTAATAAGAATGAATTGGGACAAAGAGGTGAAAAATAAGGAAGGCTACTGTAATAATTATAACTGTTTACCAAACTAATAGGATCTATGTCTCTAGTTATATCTTGTAGAATTATTGAAGAAAATGCTGGATAAATAACTCTCATGGGAAAAAGATAAAAGCTATGGTTTCCAGTCTTCTGGAGTTCCATACTCATAGAATTAAAAAATATAATAATGGTGGGGGGTAGTCTACATAAGCTTGCCACTTTTATATGGCCCAGTAAGTGTATTTCACATCAACACTTATTAATCAACATTTTACTGGCCTCCTTCATTAAAATTCCTCTAATGGGAAATGAAACAAGCAAAATGACCCATGATACCATGTATAGGTTATATGTCATAAGAAGCTGCAACTTCAATTTACCTTTTCCCACTGTAATGTAGGCAACCTTAAATATTTGACTATATTTTAATATATAGATCAGATGAGAATTTCTAGTAGTAATACAACTTTGAAATTTTGTTTCTAATTACATTTATCCAGCATCAATTAAATTTTAAAATCATGATTAATCTTATATGTTTTTTTCAGATTTTTGTGACATATAGTTATTTAAGCTAAAGAGAACACCATTTAAGAAATTTGAACTCTGTTAAAATCTGGCCAACAGGAGTATATACTAAATCCCTAAATGTAGAAGTAGCACCTAAATTATAAATAACAGTTGCTTAAATAAATATCCCATTTATTTAATAGTATATAAAATAGTTTATATTATTTCTGTCCTAGATTTGACTACGAAATCCAGTTATGGAGAATTTTAATGCATACTTTCTATTCAAACCAACTTTTTTTCACTCAAAATTAAAATGTACTAACTATTCAGTACAGAAAAAGTAAAAATAATTTTAAAAATTGAGTTAAGAAAGTATGGTATCTTTTGGAAAATGAAACTTCAAACAGTATTCACTAATGTGAAGAGGATTTGAGCTGTGTTTTTTGTTAGAAATAGAAAAGGCTTACACCATAAACCCCTTGAAGAGCTGCCAAATTAGGGTCATCGAAGTCTGAGCCTAGAGATGATAGAAAAGGAAATCCAATTTGAGTCTGACAAAGAGAAGCTAAGGTCTGATATGTGTGAAACTTATGAGGTTAGAGTTGGGGAGGGGAGAAACAAATTATTTCATATTTACCATCAATATACTGCCAATGGCATGATGATGTGTCAAGTAACTCCTCAGTTTGCATCCCTGCATTTATTAAGTACCATCAAAGGGCTTAAAAGACAGCATTTGAACCATGCCCAGCAGATTTTATGGAACAAAAAAAATATAGTCTATTTGCACACCTGACATCCATTTAGGTTATATCTTCCAATAAGGAAAGCAAAACCCAAAGGGCATCTCTGGAATTGTGCTCATGTGTGTGTATTTTTTCTTCTTAATATAGCCCATAAATGCTAACAGAGCCTCTGTGGGGGAATGTTATTACAATTAGAAGGCTTGATTGGAAACAGGGTGCATACATTTCGGAGCAACTTAATTTCTAAAAAAAAAAAACTAAATAATAACTTTGGCTTTATTATATTTGAGTACTTAAGTAAATCTTGTAGTGATCCCTGATTGGTGAAAATCATATACCTGGGGGCCAGAGTGGGCCCTAGCCTACATGAGTTAGCTGAACAATGTCGTATAAAACAAATGGTAACTTTAAGGATACTGAGATTTCAAACTAAAACATCACACAGAGGAACCCGAAGGTAACATGTTGTTAATTCCTGGTGTAAAGTTTTAACCTTGTTTTTTTGTGACGTGAAAATTAGTTCAAGTTGTCCTCTTTACCTAATCGCTCACATTGTTATTCAATATTTTTTAAATTGTTCGATATGTTATATTTGTATATATTTATGGGGTACATGTGAAATTTTGCTACATGCATTTTTTTTTAAAGCGACAACGTGGCACAAAGAAAATTCTCCCTAGGGCAATTATATGCAGCTTTTTTGTCACCTGCTATAAGTCATGTATACTTAGTATCACTAAAAGAGACTTTTTGCCTTAAATTTGTTCCTCTCTGTAAAGTGCTATCATTGAAAGGTGTCATAGGACACAAGAACTATTCCAAAATTGACCTTCAAATGATCCGGGAAAACCCCATTTCAAGGACTGAATTTAAATGCTGGGTATAATAAAGGCTTTCACAAATGTTGTCAAAGGAATTTCTGTTCTATTAAAACAACTGAAGGATACATTGCTTTTTGGAAATATTTCTCTCCTTTTCTGTCACCATTAAGCATATGACTCTCAAAATAAATTCCCCCGGGACTAATTCTCCTTATAAAAATTACAGCCAGAGAAGTTATAACAACATGTTATCATAAAATAAACCATGAAGCTCTCTGCAAAGGAATAGTAAGTCAGCATTCCAGCGGTGAAAACTTGGCAGCAAAAAGCATATCCCCTAAGGAATTGTGTGAGACATTTTGATGGGATTAAAACATGCTGCATGACATATGGTATATATTTTTAACACATATAATAGGAGAAATAAATTGGAGGAAGCATCTAAGCATTAATCCTCTAACTCCCACATCTCATCCCATCCGTTAGGGATTTATCTCTTTCAGTTTGTCATGGTAATGTAAGCATGAAAGGATCTTTCCTACCTTCTGGAATTCAACTTTAGAAAGGGAGATAAAATGTCACTATTATTTATCTACATCGTTTAAGTTGCTGCTTTTGTACAGAACAGAGAGATGTAAATAGATAAATGCAACAACTTCAATGTACAGGTTGTTGAACTGAAATCAGTTTTACTAATATTTTTAATGGCGCTAATATCTTCCCATGCACTCAAATGATATAATGCATTAGGGCAAACTTGGCAAAAAAAAATTACTTATGGCTACATTGGTGCTAACATTATAACCGGATAGATTGCAAAAAGTTTCAGAGACATACTAGGCTTGTTATTCTAAAAGAAGAACAAGGAAAAATGAAATGAATGTGTTTGGCTCACTATTTTTCAAATATCTCTGTGAGCTGTTTATATTTTACTGAAATAATGAACATTGAAAAATGCTCTCTGTCTCTTCTGAATTTATTACTTTCATATTTCGTCCAATTAATAAGTTGCAGTAGTGAGAGGAGGTAAGAAAACAGGGTAATTCTCCCATATTTATCATTACAAATTCAAATACACAAATTCAAATGCTATATATATAAACATATAGCAGATTCATATTATATGTGTGGACATCAAGTCACTCAGCCTAAGGTCTCCTCAATGCAAAATGCACATTTTAAAAGTACCCACTGTATAGAGCTGTTTTCAGGATTAAATGAGGTAAGCCAAGAAAATACTTACCATACTTCCCAGTTACAAGTTACCAATAAGTGCTAACTGTAATCACCATAATTATCATCACCACCATCATCATCATCATTTATATAGATAAGGTCCTGTGAAACTGACGGTGATCTCGGAAGCTACCCTTGGATAAATGTGATGAGCACACTGAAATATGTGTCACTGAACTATCAGACTACTTATAGTAGCTCTACAAGGTAGGCATGATCTTCATTGCACAGTTGAAAAAACAGAGGCATTAGAATGAACCGGCTGGATAAAATTTAATGAAATCAGCAATTAACATATCTTCCTATCTTATGTTGAGTCCTGCATTGGAGACTGTGTCTTGCCTTTTATATTCCCTGCTAGGAAGCTCAAATGACAGTAAGAAAAATAGTCACAGCAAAATTGTTGTCCCTTTTATATGATTAATTTGCATCATTTGTGTCCTTTACATTGTTGTTGTTTATTTAATAATATGTGGTTTTAGTATAAGCAGCCAGCAATCCTTTGTGAAAAAGGGAAGGGAAAAATAAATAAATTAATTAATCAAGCAATATATATTTTCAGGAAGATGTAGGAAGCTTTTAAAGGAGATTAGATAATCAGACAGATGCAAATCAAAACCACAACAAGATACCATCTCACACCAGTCAGAATGTCTATTATTAAAAAGTCAAAAAATAACAAATGTTGGCGAGGTTTCAGAGAAAAGGGAATGCTTATACGCTGTTGGTGGGAATGGAAATTAGTTTAGCTGATGTGAAAACATTTTGGAGATTTCTCAGTTAACCAAAAACAAAACTACTATTCAACCCAGCAATCTCATTACTGGGTATATACCCAAAGGAAAATAAATTCTTCTAGCAAAAATACACCTGCACTCATATGTTTATTGCAGCACTGTTCGTGATAGCAGATATGGAATCAACCCAGGTGCCCATCAACAGTGGACTGGATAAAGAAACTGTGGTACATATACACCATGGAATACTACATTGCCATAAAAAAATAACAAAATCATGTCCTTTGCAGCAACACGGATGCAGCTGGGGGCCATCACCTAAGCGAATTAATGCAGGAATAGAAAACCAATTACCACATGTTCTCACTTAAAAGTGGGAGCTAAGCACTGGGTACGCATGAATACAAAGAGGGGAACAATAAGCACTGGGGATTCCAAAAGGGGGAAAGACAGGAGTGAAGCAAAAGTTAGAAAACTGCCTATTTGTGTACTATGTTCAGGACTTCGGCAACAGGATCATTAGAAGCCCAAACTTCAGTATCATGCAATATGCCCATGTAACAAACCTGTACATGTACACCCTGAATCTAAAATTAAAAAATTAAGGAGATTAGAGGCCACGAAAATAAGAGTTTATTTGAGACATTTTATAGGGTTAATATCGGACTAGGTGGGATGGGGGTCATATGAGATACTTCAACGACCATGAATCAGTTTCTGGGGAGGCCTGATTCAGCTAGGCGATTACATGGGTCAGGAAGAAGAGGGAAAAAAATATTCAAAATAATTTTATGCCCTTCCTAGGGCATAAAACAAGAAAAATATAGAATTCTGCTCCAAACTAGGAAACCTAGAACTGAAGAAAATAGTTTTAGAAGAACAAATATAATGAATTTCACACACACACACACACACACACGCACACACACACACACACAAATACCTTAGTTACTAAAAACTCAAAAGGTCAACTTCACTTAAGAAAAGCAGTGGTCTAACAAGAAAAATATCTCCAATAATGTTTTTTAAATCTAATGACACGATTTCAGAGCATATTATGTTCTTGTCTTAAAAAAATTCAAATTCATTTTAAGAAAAAAATTAAAGAGCAATATAAACTAAAAATGTGACTACTTTTATTATTATTCTCCATAAGAGGATAAAAATGAAAAGCAGCAAAATCAGAAATCTATCAACAGATACACTTTTACAAACAATTCCTAGTTTCAGGCTTTCTCCTCAGACGTGGTATTTGAGATTAAAATATCAATTGCATCTTTTGTGATTTCACAGCAGCATCATTTCTTGACTCCTGTCACTGTCAGGCTGCCAACATCAATTTTATATTTATTTCAAGGTGACTCTGGAATATTTCACCTGTCTTGTGTGTGATTATTCTGCTTCCACTCCAGTGTTTTGACTTGTTCTCCAGCTTCATCATACTAGTAGTCCACTGTATAAATGCATACAGCTTGAACTGGAACATGTCTTTTTTCCATGAATATAATCTTATAACCCTCCTATGTTTAGAAATACTTAGAAATTGCTGCCTCTCTCTCTCCCTTCTCCTCTCCTCCCTCTCTCTCCCTCCCCCTCTTTGCTCTCTCTCACATACACACAAACCCATCTACACATATACACGGAAACATTTATACATATTCTATTTTGCAATGTATATGATAATTGTTTCACACAAGATGCCTCTTAATAGAGTATCATATCCATAAGTATAAATCATAAACATAAATTGTAGCAAGAAAATATTAAATTTTGAAAGATGGTGGCATTTGTTCTAGTTCCTATTTTGCTAAGACAGGACACCTATATCTTTTTCCAGAAAATATATCTAATATAAGCAGCTTTCTTTGTTCAGATTCATTTAATTTTTTGCTTTTTCAGTTGTTGAATTTCTTTTCCTACATTTTCTCTGGGCTCATAACAAACCCTGGATAAATACACATAGATCTAGCTCTCCACTTCTGCCCTTTTATATCCAGTCTAAGCTCAATTATATTTTCCCATTGTAGATGAGATTTTCTCCACTTACTGATTTACCTTTTAAGTCCCGCTAAATAACAAGACCATTTGCTTTATGTCTAAACATCTTTAAATGTGACTTTCATTAATATTATACATTCAATTGGGGCTACTCACCTATTTACCTTTCACCTTAAATGCTTGCCATTTTTCAGGTCCCCTAAGGCATTTACACCATCTAAATGTATAGTTTCACCTTTAGTTCCTGATAAAGGTCCTAGTTTCTTTCATCTGGGTTTTCTAATCATCTCTTCCCTGGTCTCCTGACAGGGTCCACCTACTATAGTTGATATGAAATGATGCACCCCAAATCTTCAACCTTATCAAACACATTAATCACTGAACACTTCATATCACAAAGCCTTTGAGTGTTAGGATCCAGTTAATCCTCTAGGTGCTCTCAGTTTCGTCATGTGTAAATGGAAATGATAATAATACCAACCTAAAGGAGT
This sequence comes from Homo sapiens, assembly GCF_000001405.40. Classification (NCBI taxonomy): domain Eukaryota; kingdom Metazoa; phylum Chordata; class Mammalia; order Primates; family Hominidae; genus Homo; species Homo sapiens. Next base: position 29,253,572 of record NC_000023.11, on the reverse strand, counting down.
TGTGGGGCCAATTAAATGAGGAGTTTGTGTAAAATACTTGGATTGATTCCTGTCACTACATATATATGTTAGTTACGACCATTATCATCATTAATTAATTCAGGTCTCTTAACAGTTTTCCATAGACTACTTAGCTTTCATTGTCATGCCTCTACATTATTTTGATTTAATTTGTCTTCTGCCTTTTGTTATCTAAGACTTAACTCTTCCTACTCAGCATGTTTATTTTACTATTGCATTACTTTACACTATTTTTAATCTATTTGCTCAACTCACTATCCATTTGAGAATACAATGCCCAGAAAATTGTTTAAATCTCACCACTTTATCATCTAGCATGACTGATTTTCATTATAAGGGATATTTTCCTCTTCTCCATCTTTTCATACAATTAATACTTTTCGATATTTTTCTTGGGTTTATCTATTTTTATAAACATTAGGTAACAATAATCTTAGACATGTTATTTCACTTTCTTGTCATTTTTGAGAGAGGTAATGAGAGGTATCTCTCAGATAATGGATAATAATGAACATTATTTTTAAAAATTACTAAAATAATGATTTTAGTACCAGAAAACATAGTTTATTTCTGGTGATTGTAGTGTATTTTACCTTGAATTGTTATAGACACGAGAAAACATTTACCAGATCAATAAGAAACTACCATAATCCCAATGTAAGAGTTTATACAATTACTTATAAAAGAGTGGTTATAAAGAGACAATCAGTATTCTAAGAGAAGTAAGTTTTCTCTTGGTATATGAAGACTTTTAATATGTTCTTCCTATTAAAAAAGCACTGCGTTTGTATACTTGAATCTTGGGATTGAAATAAAAACATACTCATATATGAAGGCAAGTCATGAAAATTTCAGTATGGTAGTGGACAATTTAAAAATGACATAAGATTGTATCACCCACAACCTTGTACAAAACTAGATGAAATTACACAGCGTCTCAAGTGTGGAAATTTATTTAATAGAAACTGAAGAACCAAAACAACAACAAATAAAAATAAAGGGGAGGCATTTTTTGGCTAACAAAGAAGACAAACAAGAGCAACAATTGTTTTGTAATTTTGTTTCAATTTCCCTAAATAATTGGTATACTTGCTTGCTTTAAAAAAATGTATTTAACCAGACATACAACATTTTTATTTCCCTGTATGCCCTGGCCACTAGGAAACTGATAGAGAAATCTAGTGATCAACTACAGAAACATATTAGCTTTCTCTACACTATATTTGCTTCCATCTTTTCTCTATGGCCCTGATTTTCTTTTTTTTTTTCTTTTTTCTTTTACTATTATTGTACTTTAAGTTTTAGGGTACATGTGCACAATGTGCAGGTTAGTTACATATGTATACATGTGCCATGCTGGTGTGCTGCACCCACTAACTCGTCATCTAGCATTAGGTATATCTCCTAAAGCTATCCCTCCCCCCTCCCCTTACCCCACAACAGTCCCCAGAGTGTGATGTTCCCCTTCCTGTGTCCACGTGTTCTCATTGTTCAATTCCCACTTATGAGTGAGAACACGCGGTGTTTGGTTTTTTGTTCTTGCGATAGTTTACTGAGAATGATGATTTCCAATTTCATCCATGTCCCTACAAAGGACATGAACTCATCAGTTTTTATGGCTGCATAGTATTCCATGGTGTATATGTGCCACATTTTCTTAATCCAGTCTATCATTGATTTTCTACTTTAACCACAATATCGTATACATGTTGTTTAACAAAATCCATTCCTAAATATTTGTCACGGAAGTCCTACTGGACTTTTTCCATTCCCACCTTGTCTCTCTCATCTCCTCTTCTAGCATATTCCCCCAACTCACATCACTGTTTGTTGCCCCTTAAACACAAAACATTCTTTTACTTCAGGTTTTTGCAACTTTCTGTGTCCTGTCTGTAATTTCCTTTTGTCCATATGGCTACATGTCTTGCCCCTTCACTTCCTTTTAATTCTCTCAAAAGCCAGCCTATCAAAAAGAGATTCTTTTTGACATCCTATAATATAACATTATAATCTATATCTATGTAGACAGATGTATATGGATGTGAATACATACATGTATTTGTGTGTGTGTATAGATGTATAAATATAACTGTCCTACTCCTGCATACACGGTCTACTGTTATCCCCATATATTATTTTTCTTAAAACAATTTTCACTACCTGAACAAAAAGCTCCATTACAGTTAGGACTTTATTTTGTGTTTGTCGGTTTGTTTTGCTTTACTCTATTAGTGGTCCCTAGAACAGTGCCTTAAACACGAAATACACTCACCAAATATTGGTTGAATGTAAGAATTACTAAATGGATAAATAAAAGATACAGAATTTAGACAAATTATATACACTGACGTACTATTATAGAAGAAATTAATGTAAATTCAAAAACAGCAAATGTTATAGTGCTATGTCTTTTGAGATACCAATTAACATCAACCTAGTTGCAAAACAGGGGTAATAAAGTCCAATTTAATTATGTCTCCTTCCCATCTCAGCTTAATTTAAATTCCTTCCCACTTTTACTTTCCTGAACTTTGAATCATTCCAGAAAAGAAGTGATCCAAAAAAATGTTTCCTGGCTTAGAATTAGCATGGTTGTTAGGAAAAATAATGCATTTCTCACAAGTGAGATGGGATTGAGGTGGCTCAAACCAAGCCAAATGCCAGGTAAAACAAAGTGATTCTCATTAAAAGGCTTGTTTTGTCTGATGGGAAATTTTGGAGTCCTACGATTCTGTAATAACATTATCTGTTACAGGAGATTAGGCAAACAAGAGCCAATTAAACCGCTGGACAACAGCCAAGGTACCACTGCTGATACAAACAGGAGTTTACATGGAAGTATCAAAGTAAACTCCTGGTTTTATCTAAATACCCTTCTTTTTCCTTGCAGAAAGATTCTTATTTTTAATGATACAATGAAAAAAATAAATTTTATCTTACATATCATGCAGCATAAGGAACAAGAGAACATTTAGGAAGAGACCTGAAGGAAGAGGAAATGACCTCTTGTTATTTCAGAAGCAATCATTCTCCACTTTGGGTTCCAAATGCTAAAAGGTAATGAGAAGCCTTAAAAAACTGGCATTCTCAGCACTCAGTAAACTGGCCCTCGGAAATCTTCACAAGCCATAGTTTCATGGTTTAATGCTTTCTTCACTCTTCTGAAAGGTGGGAATCAGAGATGAATGCCCATCCTACTCACTCAAGTTCATTAACTTGGATATCCCCAGGATGCTCATCAAATATCTTTAATTATTTAGCTAAACTTTTTGTTGTTGTTGTTTCTATTTCTCAATTGTAGTTTTCTTTGTTATTCCCTTTAGGACTTATTTTTCCAGTGAAATAAAGTCCAATGAGAGAGAAGAATGTGATATTCCCAGTAAACAAGATATCAGTTGGGGTACATTGAAGAGAGAATTGAATTAGCAGCTATTGGCAGTTTCTACATACAACTAGAGTCTACAGGTCTAAGTTTTGTTAGCTTATACATAATTTTCTGAATTATTATATGGGAAATCACTTTAACACTTCAAGTAAAGAGATATATAAAATGATGTGTAAAATTTCCTATATAACATTTTACATTACCAATTAGAAAATACTTTGATGTAAATTGTGTAATACCTGGGAATTTCATTTATCTTTCTTTCTCACGCCTTTCCTTTATTTCACTGTTTTGGCAATTGGTACCTTAAATTCTACATACTTTTCAAAAATATCACTCAGCATTAATGAGGAAAATTAGGCCATTGGGGCTTTGTAATTATAACTAAAATGTTCTCTCATATTCATATAAGATTTTGACTTGCTCTCCACTTTTTCATACTCTGAAGCCCATTTTCCACTATTGTAATCTATAACTGCTATAAGAAATACATATTTTGATCTTCATTGTTCTGAATATAGAATGTGAGTCAGATTCATATATCGCTTAGTAATTGGAAAATGGTTAAATAACTGAGACTCTGAAGGAAAAAAATTGAAAATAAAGTAACATAGAGTGCTATCAGTGTTAATGGGGTGTAAACAAGATACTATAATGGGTTATTGCATTTCTGGGTCACAACACCTTCTCCATAATCATTTAAGAATATTAATCAGGCAAAAACTATCAAATGATCTCAGTTTGATGTCAAAATATCTGTGAAAAATTTTTCTCTCCTGTTTCATGTTCACTATTACCAGATTCCTAATACAACAAAAATAATTCTAGCTCAATGCACAGTTAAATTCCCAGACAAAGTAAGTTCTTAGAATTCATAATTTCCTCTAATCCCTTTAGTTTTAACTATTCTTTCTGAGTTGACCATACAATAAGATATAAAATGTAAAAGCTATAAAACTGTGTAAATTGAAAAGTAAATTTTTGTCCCACTCCAATCTCCCCAGCCGAGTTCCCCTCCCTAGAGACAATCCCTTAGCCAAACCCAAGTATAAACAGGCCAGAGATATTCCATTATCACAATATGTGTATTCTTTCCCCCAAGAAATACCGTACTATAACCGTTGTTTCGAATCCCCTACTTTTTCATTTAATGATACCTTTTCAACTTCTTTCCATACTAATAGATATAGAATAGTCTCTTTTTGTGAATGACCTATAACTTTCTTGACTAGTCCTCCATTGATGTATATGTCAGTAATTTCCAATCTTATGCAATTCAACACACAATGGCTGCAAACACACAGACACACAACGGCATGAATGTGTATGAATGAGCATGAGATGGCATGAATGACCATATTTGCAAGATACATTTGAGAATTGCCTAAAGAATATGCATCATTTTGTTCTTGATAGGTATTGCTGACTTGCCTGAATTTAGGCTGTAACAATTAAACTCCCATCAGCAGTGTACGAACACCTAATTCTCTATACCATTTTTTAACTTTGTTAATCCGATGGGTAAAATGTTTAATGTTAATTTATGTTTATTTTATTACAAATGAGGTTGAATATATTTTCATATATTTCAAAGTCAATTGAATTTCCTTTCCTATGAGTTGTCTATTCATATCATATGTGCATTTTTGCATTGAGTTGAACTTTTCTTATTGATGTGCAATAGCTTTTTATATTATCTTGTTCGTGATATAACTTGTATAACACTTTCTTTTTTCTTGTTTTTGAAATGGTGTCTCGCTCTGTCGCCCAGGCTGTAGTGCAGTGGCATGATCTCGGTTCACTGCAGCCTCTGCCTCCGCCTCCCACGTTCAAGCAATTCTCGTGCCTCAGCCTCCCAAGTAGCTGGGACTACAGGCGTGTGCCACCACACTCAGCTAATTTTTTATATTTTTAGTAGGGAGGGGGTTTCGCTATGTTGGCCAGGCTGGTCTCAAACTACTGACCTCAAGCGACCCGTCTGCTTCAGCCTCCCAAAGTGCTGGGATTACTAGTGTGAGCCACCATGCCCAGCCAATACTTTCTATTTGTTTGTGTTTGTCTTTTTCTTTTGCTAACTTAGAGCAAATTGGAAACACCTTGAACTGTATTACTTCTTCAGACTCCACCATAGTTCTTCTACCTCTCCACAAGGTTATCTACAATATAAAAGTATCCTCTCCAAGTTACAGAGAAAGTGTCAAGAACCCTAGTGTGTTCCACTAAATGTCTAAAATGCCAAAACACACAGGGCTTTCCTTCTCCTGTTTTTAATCTCCATGTCATCCCCACCACCAAATAATTATCCTTCCATGATGTCTAAATTAGACTCCAAAGAGGATATTTTGCATGCCTTCACTTTAATTAATTTATTAATTATTTATTTTTGAGACAGAGTCTAGCTCTGTCAACCAGGCTGGATTGCAGTGGCATGATCTTGGCTCACTGCAACCTCTGCCTTCTGGGTTCAAGCGATTCTCCTGCCTCAGCCTCCTGAGTAGCTGGGATTATAGGCGCCCGCCACCACACCCAGCTAATTTTTGTAATTTTAGTAGAGACAGGGTTTCACTGTTGGCCAGGCTGGTCTTGAACTCCTGACCTCATGATCTGCCTGCTTCAGCCTCCCAAAGTGCTGGGATTACAAGCATGAGCCACCGCACCTGGCCAATTCTGTTTTTTAACAAGCTCACTTTTTGCCACTATTGACCCTGTTTTTAATTTTTTTTTTTTATTTCTCTGTCCGTGTTATTTCAGTATGGCTCTGTAGTGTCTTTAATATCTGTGTGACATGTCCCATGCCCAGATGAGCACAGAATCATTTGTCCTTGAGACAATAGGATTATATAAAAATTTTTCTTTTAATCACATGTATCCAATAAAAAACAGTAAGTAAATGAATAAACATACCTCTTTTGTATAAGCCCTATTGTTTCATAATTTCTAATATCCAATATTCCTTGTGGTACAGATTTTAATTTTAAGGCACCCATATATGCTTTTAGAAAAATATATGTTACAGTAAATATCTAGGCATAGCCGACCAACTTGCAAAGCTAATTTGTGTGCTCCACATAAAACAGAATATATGACTTCAACTTAGATATGAATATATCATTGGTTGTAGAGCTGCTCTTTCCTGTTTCCCCTAACAAACTATTTTTTCACATCTTTGGGATAGGAGTATTTTCCTGTGTTTCACCTTACATTAAAACTAAACACTTTGCCAGATTAATTCAAGTATATGTCTACTGCTTGCTGAGCAAACAATAAGCATAAATATACACACAACAGCTTACCTACTACTCTCCCCCACCCCACCCACTCCTGAGGCCAAACTTTCAGAACTCTCAATCTTTGGGAACAGCTCTAGACTTCAAAACAATTATGGTTACAAAAAGAGGGCTGGAAACCTTACCTCATTGGGAAGAATGAAGCATCCCCATGAATCCAAGTAATAAACAACATAGAAGAGAGAACCCATAAAAAATAGTACCCAGTATGCTATGATTATTTGATTTCCTACTTGAAAGCAAAAGTATTCTCTGATGGGTTGGTAATCTATATATAAACCAGCTTTTCACAGAAAATTTGTAGTAGCAACAGGAGATAGAAGAAAGTAAAAGGGAGGGAAACCGAAAGAAGAGGGAAAAAATTCCATGGCAATCATTCAAAGCAGCCATACTGGCTGTTATGAAAATCCCCTCATCAGCTGTCCAGGCAGCATGGTGGTAATTTGAAGTCATGACTAGAAGGATGATGAGAGGTAGATCAGCTATCAGGGGTGGGGTGGGTAAAGAGTCACCTGTACCTCATCACTGTGACCCCTAAAGGCCTAAGACTTTTCCACTGTTAGTGGGCATCAAGTTTGCATGTTGGTAAATAGGTTGCTGAGGTGGGGAAGACCTGGCAGAAGGCTAATTAACCACTTGGCAATCATCTCTTTTTTTCTTGAGGCATTGATTGCTAAAGGCATCTTGCACAAGGTTACATTTGTAAAAAAAAAAAAAAAAAAAAAAAAAGAGCGATGAGAGATGACAACAAATCTGATTCTTGACTTGCATCTTGTATCTACACAAAAGCACCAGTAGATTACACTAACACCCAAAAGTACTACGGTGCAGAATCATCAAGAGAAAAGAAAATTTATATTTGAATTATTTTATACTTTAAGACAGAAAGTATGCCTTTGAAGAATTCTATGAGGGCTAACATGTATATGAAGGTGTTTTTGTTTTGGTATCTGAGGATTGCCAGGTTTGATTCATCTAGTAAAGATGAAAGTTCCCTAACCTAGGCAATACCATTCAGGACATAGGCATGGGCAAAGACTTCATGATTAAAACACCAAAAGCGATGGCAACAAAAGCCAAAAGTGGCAAACGGGAGCTAATTAAACTAAAAAGCTTCTGCACAGCAAAAGAAACAATCATCGAAGTGAAAGGCAACCTACAGAATGGGAGAAAATTTTTGCAATCTATCCATCTGACAAATGGCTAATATCCACAATCTACAAAGAACTTAAACAAATTTACAAGAGAAAAACAAACAACCCCATCAAAAAGTGGGCAAAGGATATGAACAGATACTTCTCAAAAGAAGACATTTATGTAGCCAACAAACATATGAAAAAAAGCTCATCATCACTGGTCATTAGACAAATGCAAATCAAAACCACAATGAGATACCATCTCATGCCAGTTAGAATGGTGATCATTAAAAAGTCAGGAAACAACAGATGCTGGAGAGGATGTGGAGAAATAGGAATGCTTTTACACTGTTGGTGGGAGTGTAAATTAGTTCAACCATTGTGGAAGACAGTGTGGTGATTCCTCAAGGATCTAGAACCAGAAATATCATTTGACCCAGTAATCCCATTACTGGGTATATACCCAGAGGATTATAAATCATTCTACTATAAAGACACATGCACATGTATGTTTATTGCAGCACTGTACACAATAGCAAAGACTTGGAACCAGCCCAAATGCCCATCAATGATAGACCAGATAAAGAAAATGTGGCACACATACACCATGGAATACTATGCAGCCATAAGAAAGGATGAGATCATGTCCTTCGCAGGGACATGGATGAAACTGGAAACCATCATTTTCAGCAAACTAACACAGGAACAGAAAACCAAACACCGCATGTTCTCACTCATAAGTGGGAGGTGAAGTATAAGAACACATGGACACAGGGAGGGGAACATCACACACCAGGGCCTGTCGGGGGGTGGGGGGCTAGGGGAGAGATAGCATTAAGAGAAATACCTAACATAGATGACGGGTGGATGGGTGCAGCAAACCTGCACGTTCTGCACATGTATCCCAGACTTAGAGTATGATTAAAAAAAAAGGACTGAAAAAAAAGATGAAAGTTCTAGTGGTTTGAGGAACCTCAGTAATTGGAATACTCAGGTAACTAATTTGCCATGGAGTCTGCTTAGTGAAATTTTATTGCTTGCATACATGCAGTGAATAAAACACATATTCCTCAAGACATATATTGTAGATACAATTGCGTATCAAATGCAAAAATAATCATCATTTAACAGTTTTGCAAATATGTTTATTTGCTGACTGTTAAACCTTGACTTCTGAAATGTTATGCCAGTTTTGATATGGGATGGAAAATGAGAAGCTTAATATTTAAAAGGCATAACATAAAATTTTTAAATCATTTCTGAGGTGAGCCGAATGCTCTGAATAGAGTAATTCTCCCATCAAAATGCTATTAACATTTAAGGAGAATCTATTCAATGAATTTAAAAATGCCAAGAACGAATACCTTTTCTTTTTCCAAATAGTTACTTTGTTCAAGTGCTTTGAGACTCAAGTTTTAAGGATCTAAAAGGCTCTGTGGAAAACTGTTTTCTAATTTATTTCTCTTTCTGTGTCAAAGATTCACCAGACAGATCCCTGAGATGTCATATTTCAGCGCAAAGTCACTCTTGCGTGGGTTTCTATGGCAGCCATTGCAAAAATTTTAATGCAGCTATCAACTTTCTGTTCCAGTGTTGACTGCATGCATCAGTGTCAGGAAGACTGTATTTGTCTTGACAAGTCTGCATCTGAATATAATACATATACAGTTGTACCCCTAAGCTGTAAGTCACCTTAACACTAGAAACAAATAGATAACAGGGACACACATGGAATTACACAATGTTTACATGTGTGGGGGAGAGGGAAAAGGAGGGGAGGAAAGCAGAGGAAGTAGAGCACAAGAGAAGAGGGGAGGGAAACTCTTTCACAATTCAAGACCCTTTAGAGGTAGAGATGCAATCCTTCTCTTCCTATGAGTGTCACTCAAAAGGCATAAAGAGCTGAAATTATATCATTATTTGGTGAAACCCCTGGTGAAACTCAGTACAGTCCCTAAATGAGTGACTGAATTAAGGAAGGCTCCAGATCCTAGGTAGAGTGGATCTTCAGAGGTAGATGAGAGAAAAGATGTTAGAAAAATGAGAGATAAAATAGAAAAGCAGCAGGAAAGAGAAAAAGTAATCATTACTTTTGAAGTTAGAATCACAAGTTTAGAAAGTTGTGTAGCTTCGTTTCCATTCATTCCATCTGTTCTAAGAATGTAGGTGTTGGTTAAGGTATGGGAAAGTTGGTCCCGCCACAGGAGAACAAGAGAAAGTGATTTGAGAGGATGACATTTCTTATTCTCACAGGTCCCAGAGAGAGGGTGACAGTATGCCATGCAGGGCCACAACACGGCACAACCCATGAGTGCTTGACCTAATAGGTGATGAGCAGAGAGAGCATGAGGACTTGTGATTGGTGCCAGTGAATTTCACCGGGCAATTTGAAAGCAAACCAAGCAAGGTGGGTGGCTGCGGAGCCAGATGCCAGCGGTTGGGTTTATTTTCAAGGGGTTTCAGCTGGTTTTGAATGTGGACTCAAAATTAGGACAATGAGAAGGATGTTGAAGCATCAAAGCATGAACGCAAAATGAAGGGTTCTTAACATATTCCAAATACGCTTTGCAATACTCTGCTCTTAAATTTCACTGGTGGGCAAAGCCTAAACAGAAAGACTGGAGATGAACTCCAGGATTTCTCCTCTTTACCATATATGGGGAGATAATAAACCCCCCGGGGAACATGTAAGATCTGTGCAAAAAGAAGCCACAATGGATTCTGGCCATGCATTCAGCAATAAGCCTCCCAGCTGGGCCTGGAGAGGGGCCTCACGTGTTCTTTTGATAGGATTGGGTTTTCTAATTTAAAGCAGAGTAGTTGAAATAAAATGAGGTTGTTATTCACACAGACCTAGATTTGAATACCAACTCTGTCACTTCCTTTGTAAGTATGGGTAAGTTGCTTACCTATTCACGTCTGTTTCATCATTTCTAAAATGGAAAAATATGACTTGGCTTAATGACTGGGGTGAAAATTATGAGATAATATATGCAAGGTGCCTAGCAAAAAGGCTGGCCCATATTAAATACGTACTATCTAAGAACTGTTGTTATTAATGCTATTCGTTATACTTTGAATTATACCATTTTATCACGCATACTAGCATTATCAATTACATTATCCTTGGTAGCCTTTATAACACCTGGTAAATCCCTGTACATATAATAGATGCTTAATCACTACATGTTGAATGAATGAGCCTCAAGTTATAAAATGTTATATATCTAAAGATCCATACAATTAAGTGGCTCATCTCATATGACTGTAATCATAATTGAGGTCCAACCTGGTAGTTTGATTTTTCTTGTAGCATTTAAGTTCAGAGGCATTATAGCACAATTGGGAACACTGGATTTACAGCCAAAGTGTCTAAGTTCAAATGTCATCTTTAAATGGGGCATGGGCGCCCCTCCTGTAAAGTAGGAGTGTACGTAGAATTATTTCACAGAATTCTTGGGATGATTAGATGAGTTAATAAAACTATATTGAGTAAAACACCTACAAGACTGTTTAGCACATACAAAGCATCAATTAAGTACTATTATTAAAATTAGTGACTGATGTTAATATTGTCAACAGTTAACAGAAAAAAATCCTTTTTCATACTGTATGTAATCATATGCAATTCAAGTAGGAACAGTTGAACCTTGCTTGTGGGAAAGAGTAAATACAGCCTCAGCTCTGACTCTGTAACTAACCGGCTTCTTGACCTTGAGTGAATCATGAAGACTCTCTGTTTGCAGGTCTGCATCAGTTAAATGTGGGTGTTGGGTAGACTGTGTCTCTGGGCCATCTTGTCCCTACTGCAATAGCATTCTCTGACTTTTACTGCACCTTGTGGGATCGTTTATCTTCCCCTGGGAGTGCAGTTTCAGTTCTACAAAAGCAGTTGGGGAAAAAAAATGTTATATAGAGAACTACACTTTGCTGTCAATTTTCTAGTATCAAGTCTATTCCATATACAATAAGGCAGAACTATAGTAAAACATCCTGATGCTATTTCTTTTTAAGGCCCCTTCATATTTACCATTTCCATTGGAATTGAACTCAGAAAACAGTAAAGTAGCAAGGAGATGTGCATAAAAGCCCTTTTTAGCTCTCAGCGATTGAGTAAGCTTTCTGTTTCCAACAATTGTGGTAGCAAGATTTTTGTCATATCACATCTCCCTGCTGTATTTCCTTTTTTTTGCTCACATCCCCTCTTTTTTCCAGGAGCCACCACAGATGATGTTAGGCATGTGGTGGCCATGTAAAACTGGGATTATAACATCACAGAAGCTGTGCATGATCCAGGACTTCAGCGATAATTCCTCTTAAACTCATTTTTAAATGAGAGAAATGAGGCAAAAAGCTATCCTTTAACTTGTTTAAAAGGATGCAATAATTAGAGACAGAGCCAGGACCAGAAACCAAGTTTCTGGTATCCCAACTCACCATTTTTATCACTGTATCATGGTGCCTTTGTGTGAAGAACTGCTTACTCAGTTCAGCCCGAAAGGGAGTTACCAAAATCCATTTCTTTCATTCACTATATAGTATATTTGCCTTAAGAACATGGTCCTGTATTGTATGACTCTATTAGTTTCAGTTTGCAGAGGAATCATCCAAACTATTGCAACTCTTAACCCCAAAATGTAAAATGTTCCTGTACTGCACATAAAGTTTCACGGACACTATAAATTCTGGATGAGAGCGATCGAGAGCTTGCTCATAATCCCTGAAATTTTGGAATTTAGAATTGACCTGAAGAAAATAGTACCATTTGACAGAATATTTAAAAAATAATTGTTTTCTTCACTTGTCAAGGAAACATTAGCAATGGTTAGTGGCTCACAGGAAAATGTTTGGAGACGTTAGCAATTTTTTGCCTTTACTCTTTTTAAAATCTGGAGTATCATTCTGGAATGTGCTTCATGTATTAGTGTCACAAACCATTACTTTTGGTTGAGAAAAATTCCATGATCTTATCATCAAATTCCATAAATCATATATGCAGTTGGAAAAAAAGCAGTTGGACAAAAACAATTGTTTTTACAAACAATTTGTAGGCCTCAAATGGATTCAAAGTACACAGTATATAATCAGGTTGATTTCCTTTCATTTTACAGGTAAAAACCTACTGCCAAAGTTGAAAATTAAGATGTCCATAATCTAAAATAGTGATGCTTGCTTCCATGTGCAAACCTAGGTATAAATATATTTATAAGGCCGGGCGAGGTGGCTCACGCCTGTAATCCCAGCACTTTGGGAGGCCGAGAAGGGCGGATCACCTGAGGCCAGGAGTTCAAGACCAGCCTGGCCAACATGATGAAACCCCGTCTCTACTAAAAATACAAAAATTAGCCGGGTGAGGTGGCGTGCGCCTATAATCCCAGCTACTAGGGAGGCTGAGGCAGGAAAATCGCTTGAACCTGGGAGACAGAGGTTGCAGTGAGCGGAGATCATGCCGCTGCACTCCAGCCTGGACGACTGAGTGAGACTCTGCCTCAAAAAAAAAAAAAAAAAAAAAAAAAAAATATATATATATATATATATATATATATATGTGTGTGTGTGTACCTATATACTACTATGTGGTAGGCAGAAGAATGCCTCCCCCAACAAAAAGATCCATGTCCTAATCCCCAGAACCTGTGAATATTTTAGGCTACATAGTAAAGGGGGCAATAAGCTTGCAGATGGAATTACTGTTGTTAATCAACTGACCTTAAAGGAAGACTAGCCTAGATTATCCAGGTGGATCCAATTTAATAATAACCATCCTTAAGTGGAAGAAGGAAGCAGAAGAGTCAGAGAGGTAGATATGGCTACTGAAGAAGGATGAGAAAAATGCAATGTTACTGACTTTAAAGATTGAAGAAAGGTGCCATAAGTCATGGGAATGTGGTAAGCCTCTAGAACATGGGTGTCCAATCTTTTGGCTTCCCCTGGCCACATTAGAAGAAGAAGAATTGTCTTGGGCCACACATAAAATACACTAACACTAATGATAGCTGATGAGCTAAAAAAAATTGCAAAAAAAAAAAAATCTCACAATGTTTTAAGAAAGTTTACAAATTTGTGTTGAGCCTCATTCAAAGCCATCCTGGGCTGCATGCAGCCCGCAGGCCACGTGTTGGACAAACTTGCTCTAGAAGTTGGAAAAGGCAAAGGAAACTGATTCTCTCCTAGAGCCTCCAGAATGAAATACAGTCCTGCTGAGACCTTGATCAGTATGACCTGTGTCAGTATGATAATAACATTATGTTGTTTTAAGCCACTAAGCCTTTGGTAATTTACAACTGCAGCAATAAAAATCTAATGCACACTACTTATTTTTAACTTGCCATTTGATTAACTGGAAATTGAATGTGGTATGATATTCAAAAAGATCTCCATTTAAAAAATATCATATTTTTAAAAATAATGTAATTTAGTTGTAACAGTTTTCTATCACATAAGAAAGCAGTACTTAAAGCAAGGAAGACATGTATTGCACTTTTTGCAACAAAGATTAGACTACCCAAGATAAATTCCACATAGATTAGTATTGAGTGAGTCAGACTATAAATTTTAACACAGACCATGGAGAAAAATGTTTTATTATCAATATTTTCATTTTTTTTAGATTGGAAGGCATATATGGTATCTAAAAGTTATTTTTAAAGGTTGTCATCTTTTTAAAGAAAGCTTTTTAAAATCTAGAGAAATATGAAAAAGATAATTTAAAATCATATTTCTTGAAATCCTCTTTCAGTGATAATTTGCAAAACTAATTCAGTAGAGATTAAGAGATCATTGATAAGGAAAAGAGGTGATTATCCATTTCTTTGTTTTGTTTTGAAAATAAAGTTCTAGGCCATATTCCAATAAAACTCTACCTCTAAAGACAGCCACATCGGCCTCTGACATCTCTAACATTTTATTCATGTCCACAACTACCTTCTACAATTGACAGTGTACCTGAAACAGATCCAGTGCTTACTACAGGTAACTTTAGGTTTGTGATAAACAATTGTAAGTCACTGAATATATAACTAAAATAATATTTCTGTCCTCCCAAACATAATGGATGACCAAATTGGGTCTTGGTGATCTCTACTGGCTAGAAAGAAATTGAGGCAAGTTAGAAGCAAAGGAGCCATGTGAGGGGCTGCTGTTATGTTGGATGAGAGAGTGATTCCCAGATTCAGATGTAATCGAGTAAACAGTAAAGCAAGAATGAGATTAGAAATGGCATATGAGATTGAGGGAAAGCAATGTCACATGATGACAAAAATGTATCAATGTGACTCTAGGTAACAGGTATATGGAGCCAGAATTATAATAATCAATAGGTAATACAGGAAGAACAAATAAGAAGTCTGGATAATATGATTAAAGATGTTGAAAACATTGTAGCTAACTAAAACCATCAACCAAAATCGTCCACTCTCATTTCTTAAACATTCACTGCATGGTGTAACAATTCCAGGTGATATTTAGATAGCCAGATAATCTACCTTCTCCCACATATGAGGAAACACTTAACAGAGAGGAAAGAAAGGCTATTTATAAACTCTGTCCTCATCATTCAGCTTGAGAATAACAGAAGCAGGTGTGTAGGTCTTTCTCAATAGTCATGAGCAATAGAGATCTACCATACCGAGAAAACACAGCTTGCTGACAAATCCGGTGCACTGTGCATTTGCACTCTTTTCCATTCTCAACAATAGGGAAGGCGCCACATCACAGCGATTGACTTCATTCAGCTGTTCTCATTTCGTTTCCTCCACAGTCTCCCCATAAATTTCTATTGTGCCAACACGCAGATAATTGATTACATTCTTTTTTAGTTTGTCTTTGAAACTTGCAATCAAATTATTTTATGCAATTAAAAAAGCATGATTATTTTTTCTTTCATAATACCTCTCCTTACACCTCTCCTCCTCCCACACTCTTGTCATCCCCTGCCCTACCTCCTTCAGAGTTCCTCCTCTGCTAGTTTTGAATGTCATACACTTAATGTGTGTACTCTATTGAAGCAGCATTGCCCAGTGGCAGTCAGACACATTTGTTTCACAATTACTAACAACCATAAAACATGAAGTCAGAGGTAATGTCTGTAAAGACACGTTACTAAGCAAAGTAGTAGTATTCAGGGCCCTTAATATGCAAACACTACGGGCATCAAATAAGAACCTACCTTAAGTGGGTGACATGCAATTCAAACACATGGAATATACATTAATAAAAACTACTTATCGATGTGTACATTGCGAGGATCTGCCATGTGCAAAGCATACAGTGATGCACACTGTTTTATAACTGCAATACACACTGGGGTCCCATGTTGACATATCAAGGTATATTCACATGAAGGCTTACAGCATTTCATAGCTAAGGGCACTAACTATGCTTGCAGCTGTTTAATGATTGGGTGCGGTATCTAATTAACGTTGTTTTCCCATTAGCAGAGCCTAGAGTATCTACAAACTTAAATGCAAGATGAATGAGTACTTGCAAGATTGGCAGGACTCTATCTGGTAGGGCTACTGATGGCTTATTAAATAAGCAGCAATTCTAATTAGGTTATGTTCGTTTTGACAGTTTCTGCAAACTGACATTTCCATTTGCTTAGTTTCTTGGAACAACCCATCATGCAGATATATTACTTGTTGAAACCTCATAAAAACCCTGTTTTTCTCTGGGCTGTGAGCATGAATTTGTAATGAACTTGGCTCTAGGTGAAAGGCAAGTTCTCACCCATTACTGCAAGGAATGGTTTGATTTTACTGAAGGCCAATTTAACAATACCAGTGCAACACAGATGTCCTCATTACTAATATGGGATATATAAGGTATTGCAGTTGTGACCTTGAAATGGAAAAATATTAAGAAGAAGAAGGAATGGGGCCAGGTGCGGTGGCTCATGCCTGTAATCCCAGCACTTTGGGAGGCCAAGGTGGGCAGATCATGAGGTCAGGAGATCGAGACCATCCTGGCTAACACGGTGAAACCCCCGTCTCTACTAAAAATACAAAAAAAAAAAAAAATTAGCCAGGCGTGGTGGGCGCCTGTAGTCCCAGCTACTGGGGAGGCTGAGGCAGGAGAATGCAGGAGAATGGTGTGAACCCAGGAGGCGGAGCTTGCAGTGAGCAGAGATCGCACCACTGTACTCCAGCCTGGGTGACAGAGCAAGACTCCATCTCAAAAAAAAAAAAAAAAAAAAAAAAAGAAAAAAAAAGAAAAAGAAAGGAAAAAAAAAAAAAGAGAAGGAATAGAAGAATACAGCCTAAGACGGCTTGATATTTGCTGCTTACACCTACAGTTTATCTTTTTAGGTGGAAGTCAGTGATGGCTAGCACAAAGTATAGCCAGTCAACGCTAACCAGAAGAGAGCTCAATTTTCTCGCTAAAGATCTCACAGCATGGTCGGTCAGTCCCCCAATCCAACGTAAGTGTGACTTTAGTAACATTAATCACATCCTCATTCAATAAGGTCATAAAGAAGTTATTCACTTTTAAGTCTGTGAACTGAAGTAGTGTTTGAATATCTTTAAACAGGGACAAATATAATTTTATTTCAATTAAGACTTCTGATTACTTTTCCACGAAGTATTAGTATGTCTCCATGCAGAAGCATGATTTATTAGACTATAGCAACCCAAACAGTGGAGAAATTAGGAAGTCAACTGTATTCTCTATAAAATTGTTGACAAATGATTTGACCGATATTTCCATTGATGTGTGTGCTTGTTTGATGCTGCTTAAACACATCAATAGAGTACAGAAATCTTGCTTCTCGACATTATGTTCAATGAGGCATCAGGGCTGATTCATCAATTGACTTTCAAATGGAATCTGATGAAAAAGTGGCTGGCTGTGGCACAGATTCAGCCATACCTCCGGGAGAAAAGAGTGCACCAGTTTTAACATCAACATCAGTTCATTAACTCAAAGGCTGCCTAGCACATGTACTTCCTTATGCTATAGCATTTGGGATACTTTAACTAAATGGGTGATGTAAGAATCACTATATTTGCCTTTTTATGAATTGCTTTTATGATCTGTTCAATGCAAGAAACAAGACTCATTTGATGAAATTTTGCAAGTTGTTTTTTTAAAATCAGTTTTCCAATGTCAGTGTTTCTTACATAATTTGTTAACTCTCACCATTAAAACACACACATACCCTCACACAAATGACACAGGAATAGTGCTTGTTACATATGTAACAACCATGGAAGGTTTTTATATACTTACTTCTACCTTTTTTTTAAAGAATGAATTTAAGGTAACTTACCTAAATATAGCAGGAAAACATAAATTAGAAATTTGTAACGAGAAAAAAGGAAATACACAGAGACAGGGAACAAGGTCTGAACTAGAGTCAGTACAGATTGTCTCAACTAGAAGCTAATTCAAAGAGAAAAGCCTGGTCAGATAAAAACAATAACAACCGTTGATTGTTCAGTACCAACACAACTATTTCTAATATTAAGAAAAGTTTTCCATGGGTCTTCATAATGTTATGAAAGACGTCCATTATATTGTTCCTGCAGTAAGTGACCTCAGTGGCCAATATTTGGTTATTGTTCAATGTGACTGACTAATGCAGGGATCGACTCAATACAAACTCGAGAACTATGTATTCAAATTAGCCCCATTACTCAGATAACCAAACTGAGACCGGGAAGAAACTTGCTCAAGGTCATTTAGCAGGGGATGCGTAGAAGTGGACACTTTAAAAGTATCCATGCATCTCACTCTCCATCATGCTGCAAAGGCAGGAAACACAAGGGTGCCAGCTTCATAAGGCTGGAGGACAGGAAGGAAAGGTATATAGTAAAGGGCCTTAAATGTTATAATCATAAATAATACTTGTTGATCTATTGCATAGGCCAGGCACTGTGAAAATATGTTAAATGCATTGTCTTATTTAATATTCAATACAGTCTTGAGTGGTAAAAGTTATTCATGTTTTATAAATTGGAAAACCGAAGCTTAGTAAAGTCATACATCTTCCAAGAGATCACAAAGCTAGGAAATATTAGAGCTGAAATCTAAACCCAAGGTTTTACTCTAGAACCTGTATGCTGAAGCATTTTATTATATACCTTCCCTCTTCTTGTATCTGGAGGATGTCTCTGTAGGCAAGGGACCAGCAAAGGTTTTGATGTATGTGTAGGAGGACAGATGATATTTATTCATTGAGTCCATCAGTCAATATTTATAGCATGCATAAATGTTAGCGTTCTTCTAGAGATACAGCTTTGAACAAAACTCTATCTATAACCCTATCTCATGGAGGTTACATTATAGTCTGTTTATAAGGGAGATTACTTTGGCTGTCTTATGTAGGATAAGGAAGATGACTTTGGCTGTGTTATGTAGGATTTCATGGAGACGGATGAGCTAAGAGAGCTTCATTTGAAGGTTACTGCACTGATCCAAAGCAAAAGATAATGAGGACATTTATTGTTATTTATTGCTGCATAACAAATAACCACAAATTTAGTGGCTTACTTTATAAATATGTGCAACCATTATATATCCATAAAAATTAAAAATTAAAAAATAGTGCTTAAAACAACCTGAATTTATTATTTCACAGTTTTTGTGGGTCAGGAGTCCAAGTGCGGTTTAACTGGGTCCCCTGCTCCGAGTCTCACGAAGCAGTATTGAGGTGCCAGCCACGCTGCATTTATTTATGGAGCTTGGGTGCTCTTCCAAGCTCATGTGGTTGTTGGCAGCATTCATTTCCTTGTGGTTATAGATCTCTGTTCCTGCTAGTTGTCAGACAAGAGCCACTCTTTGCTCCTAGAGGCCACTTGAAATTCATGGCCACATGGCCCTCTCATGGGCCCGCTTACAACATGGCTGCTTACTTTGTCAAGGAGTACTTCATTCCTAGCAGGAGAATTTATCTCTTCAGGAAGAGCCCAGTTCCTAGTTTAGGGGCTTTCACCTGATAAAGTCAGGCCCACCCAGAATAATCTTCCTTTGATTAGCTCAAAATCAACTGATTTGCAGCCTAAATTATATACACAAAATTATCTTCCATTTTGCTGTATAACGTAACCTAGTCGGGGGTGTGGTATCCATCCTATTCATAGTCTCATACACACTCAAGGGAAGGGGATTTTACTGGGTGTGTACAACAGGGAGGCAAGAAACTCTGAGGGTCTTATTTTTGGCTCCCTGCTTACCACAGGACCTGACCTCATAATCCTCATTTTGCAAAGTATCCTGATGAATGATGCCAGATAGGTTTTAGAGGTAGAACCAACAGGAAACTGGGGGAAGGAGATAAGAAAAAAAGAAAGATTAAATAAGACTATAATCTTTTATTCTTAAGAAAATTAAAGGTAAGCCCCTTTAACTGAAATACACAATACAAAAACAGTGCAAAGATAACTAATTTGATTTGGGCCATGTTGAGGTGCCAGAAGAATATCAGGAAGTGATGTCCAGCAGGATCCTGGAGAAGAGAAGAAAAGATGTAGCGCTGGGGGAAGAAAACCTGGAAGTTACTTGAATAGCAGAGTCAGGTATAAATAGATGAGATTTCTAGGAGCTTGAGTACAGGGGAAGGAGGGATGACCCAGCATAAGAATGTTAAGTTGTGATAGAGTATCTTCAATTTAATTTAAAATATCAAACTTTTAAAATGCTTCTTTCGGCCAGGCACGGTGGCTCACACCTGTAATTTCAGCACTTTGGGAGGCCAAGGCCAGTGGATCACTTGAGGTCAGGAGTTCAAGACCAGCCTGGCCAACATGGTGAAACCCTGTCTCTGTTAAAAATATAAAAATTAGCTGGGTGCGGTGGCGGGTGCCTGTAACCCCAGCTCCAAGGGAGGCCGAGACAGGAGAATCACTTGAACCCAGGAGGTGGAGGTTGCAGTGAGCCAAGATTGGGCCACTGCATTCCAGCCTGGGCGACAGAGCAAGACACTTGCCTCAAAAAAAATAAAAAAGTAAAAAAAAATAAAAATAAAATGCTTCTTTTG
Organism: Homo sapiens; assembly: GCF_000001405.40. Taxonomy (NCBI): domain Eukaryota; kingdom Metazoa; phylum Chordata; class Mammalia; order Primates; family Hominidae; genus Homo; species Homo sapiens. The sequence goes on along the minus strand of NC_000023.11, from coordinate 29,232,767 downwards.
ACAATACACTTAAAATGTGGGCCTGGAAAAGTTAGTATCTTGGGTATCTTGCTCTCCTACAATCTTTTTTCTTCTCTCTAGGTATAACAGACAAACACTGTTGCTCAAATGTGTAACTCACCTTTATTACATTATAAAAGAAACATGTTAGGCAATCAGGAGGATGCTCGTCTGAGAGATGACTGTCAGATGATTGTAAATGTAAGTAGCATGATGTTGATTTTTGGCAATGCCCTAATCTGCCCAAGGCATTTGTTACGAACTGTTAAAAACTTCCAGAGTATATAAAAAATAGTAATGTATCTAGACTATAATTCTTTCACGCTATTTCTGCATTCTCTAATTGCATAAACTACTATTTAAGTCCTGAAATCTCTTTTACATTCAAATCCAAGGAACATATAGTAGGCATTAAAAAATATGTTTTAGTTACTAGCCTATATTTATGTCCCTAAAAATATAATGTGTGTTTTATTTTACGGTAAAATCATGTCTTATCATCTCTGTATCCATGTTTCATTTAAAGGAGTAGAACTACTTAAAAGTACAGACTCATTTATAAAATAAGAAATTATTTTTTTAAAACAAAAAGAACAAAAACAAAATTCACTAACATTTAATATATATTTAATGTAATATATTCAGAGTATATATCTACACTTAATTTCATTTATATTTAAATCTGTAATCTGATAAAACCATAAAGCCGACATTAAGACAAGATGCAACAGGCCTATATCCTTATCCACTAGATGGCTCTCTTATAATTCTAACTCATTATCTTGTTGTTCTAAGGAAAACTAAGAATTCACTCAAAGTATACTATGCCCAATCTTATCATTTGCTATGAATGCCATCCATAGCAACACCATTGAACCAAATGGAGAAAAACTCGAACTTTATGGCAAATCAGAAGTATGGCTTGTGAACCTTTATTGTTTAGCAGAGTTAGAAAATGACAGCTTTGCATGGTATACAGCAGTATTTCTAAACATGAGATCAGTAGATTCACACTGGGGGAGTCACCTACTGACTAACAATGTGTAGTTTGGGTTTCCATCTCACATCTCCCGAATCAGAATCACCTGGGGTAGGCGTAAACTAGGACTCTGTATAGTTACCAACTTTATGCACAAAGTTTGAGAATGCAGACCATGTCCAATGTCAATTAAGAAGAAACCCAGGGGAAGTATTATCCTGAAATGAATGCAAATTTCAATGTAAAGTTAGATAAGCCACCTACAGAAACAACCTCAAAGATTAAAGGAAAGAGATGTAAGAACAACCAACAGACACCACAAGGCTTTGTTGTAAATAAAACCAATTTTATGGTTTCACTCAGTCGTTAATTTGCCAAAATGTTCAACCTAAAACCAATATACAAGCTTCAGCGAACTCAGCGGGGTGGGTGCTTTTTATCAGAACCGGTTGCAAACTGCTGAGCAATATGGGATAAAAGCATTTGCACGGCTATAGTCTCACCCACAGAGATGATGTTTCTCATTTTGAAGGTCAGGCCATACATCACTGGCCCAATGTCAGAAAACATGCATCACCTCCACCTACACTGTGCCAGGTCAGTAAGAATATAAACAAAAGCAACTGCACAGAGCAGCCACCCTCTCAATAGCTCCATCCTCCTCAACCATCCTATCTGCAAACATGAAGCCAAAGAGAAGAATCCAGGTAGTGAAATTCAAGTCTGTTGCTTAAGACCAGAAATCCTAATATCTTGTAGCAGCAGATTCTGTTTTTTTCTGATGAATACAGGACAGACTTAACTTATAATACTGGATTACTTACAACAGCTCTCTTAAAAATGTCCCTGGGGCTTTGCCTATGTCTATTTCAGACTACCATGAGTTAGAGGCTCTCAGAGACTCCTGCTACCAGAGGTCTCACATATACGCTACAGGGCCCTCATCACAGAAAGTTCAAATTCCAGCTTCAGTCACATGTATTGCCTGTGGGGGATCACTAATAAAATAGGTGGTTGAAGAATGACCTGACCTAGTTGTAGGTCACTTCTTATTAACAATTTATTATGAATCACTTCATCAAATTAACTTGTGGTCATTTCATGGTTTTAGAAAGAAACTTTGGTAGGCCTAGAGATCCAGGAGAGAATGGGATGTGGGCTTTCAAGTTTTCAGTAGTATAAACGATTGTAGGAAGGGATGGGGAGATGAAATAGGCTGACAAAAAGCGCTGGTTGCCTGAGAGACAACAAGGTTTTTTTTTTTTTTTTTTTTTTTTTTTTTTTGGTAAAGGGACCATAATGATAGAGCATCTACAGGGGTCACAATAAAGTGAGTGGACTTGGGCAAAGGTTTTGATACTGTGGGGAGCAGACGCCTGAGAATGCTGAAACCACATCACCTAATTAACAGTACTCATTTTTCTACAGAATTCAAAATAAACTTTCAAACAATATGAAGCTTCAGTATGCCCTAAAGCTCCTAATTTAATACTTCTATATAATACAGTCAACTCCAAATCCTTTTGCACATATTTTCTTGTTTTTAACAGCTGGCTTCATCCCATTTCTTTAATACAGACTTACAGTGTATAGACATGCTTTGAAATCCATAAATGAGGCTGTCTTTATTTGAAATGAAGGCCTATCCTCTCAAAGACATTATAGCCAATAACTTCACAACAAATCAATCTCATGCAGACTAACTAGGTGAGTTATATGTCCATTATAAATTTCTTGTGATGGGTTGAGTCATTTAGCACGAAGGCTAAAAGGCTTAGAGCAACAATACAATGTTATATTCAATGCCACGTCAGCCAGTGGCCATGGATGCTCAGTAAATAGCAGTGTGCTGTGACTGATCATGTATCACACAGTTTGCAAGTACTGAAGATATAATAAGCTAAGTCAAGAAACAAAGGGAGTTTGGATTGTTTTTCTTACATTAACATGAAATACCCCAGATCACTTTAATATATATTCTGAAAGCATAAGAAAGGGTGGCTAATTAAAAAATATATATTTGATAATTCAGAACATCTTCCTTAACAAGCAGAGCTGTTTTGTGCTGAGAAATTTATGCTGGCATTGCATGCGAGGCATAAACTTTCATGACAGCAGGCAGTGTGAACGGAACCAATCTGATTGAGAAACAGATCCAGAAATATCCAAAGGAGAATTACATAGCCACCTTTCTCTCCACACCTTCCATGAGATGAACTTTCAAGTTTCCTGTACAAAAAAGGAAAGTTGCTTTTCTTCTTTCCATAAAGTGGTATAGCAACTTTAGTGGTAGAAATACATTTGAGATAGAATGAATTATTCAAAAGCTTAGACAAATCACAGGTACTATTTTTCAAGGTACACTTTAGAGAGTTTTTTTTTTTTAAAAATTATCATACAGAATGGGTTAAGACCAATAATTTCTTTTATGAAAATTCAAAATGTAATTTTCTGCAGAAAATTTAAGGCTAAAGCAGAGTTTCCAACACTTTTCAATTTTGGAAATTAGCATCATAAGAAGAGAACAAAGACTGACATTGGGTTTCTAATTTTTTGTTTCACCAAAACAAAAATACAAACAATGAAAGGGAAACGATGCCAATGAAACAGTAGGCTAACTGAAATATAATAAAGAACACTTCTTTAAAAGGAGAAATTTAATTTTATGAAAAAATGTATTGTATGTTGCTTATTTTTCTCATTCTGCCTCAAACTCATGCATGCCCTATCTTCCCTGGAACTTGTCCTTGGATGGGCCTTTAGAAACCCAGAGTTGAATATATGTAACCTCACAGCTCTTACTAAAGAAGCCAGTAATTGCAGCCCACCTCTACTGGCCACCACCCACGCACATCCAGAGTGGGCTGAGAAGTGCCTTGGAGCAGAGCAGGAAAGAAGTCCTTGAAATTTGGTGATCTTCAGGCAAGGCAACAAGGCAGATAGGGAATACGGATGATAGTGAAACAAAACAAATTGCATCACAAAAACACAGGCAGCAAAAGCCAGTCCACGGAAGACTACAGAACAAACTATTTAGCTTCCTCAACACATATACTGTTTAAATAAAAGAAAAAGATAAAGGAAGAAACCTATAGATTAAAAGAAACTTAATAGATTTTAAAAATTAGGCAAAACTGGCCAGGTGCGGTGGCTCACGCCTGTAATCCCAGCACTTTGGGAGGACGAGGCGGGTGGATCAGGAGGTCAGGAGTTTGAGACCAGCCTGGCTAACATGGTGAAACCGCATCTCTACTAAAAATACAAAAATTAGCCAGGTGTGGTGGCACGCATCTGTAATCCCAGCTACTCGGGAGGCTGAGGGAGGAGAATCGTTTGAACCCAGAAGGCGGAGGTTGCAGTGAGCAGAGATCGCATCACTGCACTCCAGCCTGGGTAACAGGGTGAGACTCTGTCTCACACACACACACACACACACACACACACACACACACACACTAGGCAAAACTAAACTACAGTGTTTAGGGATGCATATTTGAGTGACAAAACTATGAAGAAAAGTAAGGATGCCATTCCAAAAAATAAAATCATCATAATGGTCACAGTTGTGTGTGTGTGTGTGTGTGTGTGTGTGTGTGTGTGTGTGTGTGTGCACGCGTGTGTCCGGAGATGGTTATAAGAAGGCACGTGGAAAGTTTCTGGAATGGCTCGCAAGGTTCTAGCTTCTGACATCAAGGATAGTAATAAAGGCATTTGCCTTCATTAGTAATAAGAGTGTTCATTACCTGTAAATTTGTTTTGTAAATATTTTCAGTATTTGTATTATTATCTATAAAAATAAAATATATTTTTTAAGTGAAGAGTTTGGAGTCAGACAACCTGGTTTAAACCAAAACTCTGGCACTTACAATTTATGTAAAATGGGGATGCTGACGATCTCTATAGTACCCATTAAACAATGTAATCATGAAGATGAATAGATGTAAAGGTTATAGAAACTATTTCCAGATAGGAAATCCTTCATGGGTTTTAGCTATTATTATAGGAAATGGTTCTCTGTCTAGGAAGTAAGCAGTGGTAGATGCAAAGTGCTGCAAATGTATGAAGGACTTAGCAATATTCTGCACCATAATTTATTTTTTATTCATATTTCAAATTAAATTATTCATTCCAGAGAGTGCTTATTTTATGTCAAAAAAGTGATACAAGTTTACAATGAAAATCAATGGGAAATGGAATTCTGTTGATTATTACTTTGCATCCAAATTTATTGGAACTCATCCATTTCATTAACCAAGGCAGATCAAAGAAGTAGCTCTATGTGTTAAAAAGGAGACTGTCAAATTAAAAAGTCTTAGTCTGATTGAACCTCTCCTGATTGCAAATTAAAATATTAGGGATTTTTTGTTTGAATTCTTAAATTTAGATTAGGCTTTGAAAGGATTAAAAACTTCATTCATGAAAAGCTGGTCTTTAAAAACAATAACATTCAACAACTTTCCTTTTTAGCTTTTTTTTTTTGAAAAGGAGGCAAAGCTTTCTTAATACTACTAATTAATTATTATTCTTTAGTTTTAATTAATCATTGTGTTTTTTGACCTTTGGATTGTGTTACCATTATACACTGCTAGTTTTAGCAATTTTTAAAGCTCATTTTTTGGGTTCATTTCAGATCTATTTTCTATGCCAAATATGCTAATGATTGCATTTTAGAATGTTGATTATTCTAATAAAAACACTCTAAATTACCACATTAAATTTAATAGGATAAAAGCCAGTGTCCACGCAGGTGATTCAAATGTCTTGAAACTCCTATGACTAACATTAAAAAAAAAAAAATCTTCCATTCCTATGCAATTAGGAATATTAGTTTATAATAATGTTCTTTGGAGAATTCAATTTGTTTTAAGTCCCTGGAATGTTATTATTTTGTCTTTAATGATTTGCTACAGTTTTGGCATATCCATTCTATTTTAGCTCATTATTTGAGAACTTTATCAGGTAATAAGTATTTGTAGTATTAAATTGCATTTTTTGCACTGTCACTGACCAAAATTGATTACAGTTTTTTTTTCATCTGTTAAAAATGGACGAATCAGCCAGTACAGTGGCTCACGCCTGTAATCCCTGCACTTTGGGAGGCCGAGGCATGTGGATCGTCTGAGGTCAGGAGTTCAAGACCAGCCTGGCCAACGTGATGAAACCCCGTCTCTACTAAAAATACAAAAAAAATTAGCCAGATGTGGTGGCGGGCACTGTAATCCCAGCTACTCGGGAGGCTAAGGAAGGAAAATTGCTTGAACCCAGGAGGCGGAGGTTGCAGTGAGCCGAGATTGTGCCACTGCATTCCAAGAGCAAAACACCATTTCAAAAAAAAAAAAAAAAAGAAAGAAAGAAAAAAATGATGAAGCAACCTGTTTGCTAGGGGCTTAATGAGAATAATTAAAACAAAATACAACTGTGGAACATCATTATAACACTACTTTTCTCATAGTGAAATAAGTTAAACATCAAATGTGTCCTGAATTCTGGGACATAACTTATTCCAAATTTCATCTCATCAGGAGAGACTCAGATGTTCTGAGTAGGCCTCTAGAAGTATGAAAAGATATCATTCTATAAATATTGTACACAACAACTTTTATTATCCATCTAGACAGACAATGGTATTGACCATTTCAAATACACACTTCTATATACAGTACACTGTATAAGCTAGAAAATGCGTTAACATGAATCATCAATATGGAATCTTTCCTATCAGTGTAACAGTGCAGACCTGTGGTTTGCAGACCAATGGCATTGACACCACCTGGGAGTTTGTAGAAATACTGACTGACCACAATGGCCTTAATGGTCCCCCCCTCCCAACTTTAGACAAGCTTCTTTCTGACTATAGATAGGCCTATTACCTCCTTTTTTGTAGAGCGATTACTTTGGAAAATTTGCAATTGTAAATTCCTTCTCTGCCCCTTTCAGATGTAAACCTTCTACAACCTAGGAAATTCTTTCTCAAGGACCTGGGCGCCAATCCTTTGAAATGTAATCATCAAGAAAGATAGGGCCCTACTTCCCAGTCTCTATAGGAGTGTAGGAGCCTAACTTTGATAAGGTACCATTAGCAAACACAGGTGGCCTAATCATATTAACCAGCCCAATCACATTCTCCATCCTGCCTATGTCCTCCAGTACTTTTCCATTAGCTCACCCCAGCATTTAAAAATCCTTTCACCTTTTGCTTCAGTGGAAGAGTTGAGATGAAACTCTCTCCTATTACAACAGTCCTCAATAAAGTCTACTTTACCTGTTTAACCGATCTGTTCAATTTTTCTTTTACAAGACTCTCAGCCTCATGTCTGAATCCGAATTTGCAGTTTAACAAGATCCTCAGGTGTTTCCAGTGCCCAGTAAAGGTTGTGATGCACTGCTTTGGACAATAATATTGATCACTCTCTGCTGGTACTTAATAGTGCACAGGTCAAGATAAAACAGACTTGGAACGTGGAACATTACAATGTTAGATAAGCACGGATGTCTAACATGGAAATGTCAGATAAGCACCAGCTAGTTTAATGACATAATAATAAAAATATTCCTATTTCAATTATTTGAGTATTTCTTATTGTCTTTAAGTGCTCTTTCTGGGTATGTTCTAAAATACTCTGTGCTCCATTTGTCACTTACTGTTTTCAGTTGAAAAATTAAGTCAATGCTTTAAAGAAGACAAGCATGAAAGAATCTGTCCTGCCAGCAATGGAGAGCATAACACTAAGGATGCACCACTACAACTACACAACCTGTGTCTACTAGGTGCTGAAGTCACTGTGTTGGCTAACCACAAAGGAGGCAGAATCGATTTTGGTCATGCAGGCAACAATCACACCATTCTGATTTTCTGTGTGAGGGCATATGCAATGATTATTTTAAAATAAATCACATAGGGGTCTCTCATTTTCTCATAAAAAAGTTTTAACTTTAATATTCAGTCATTTTTATGTTGTTTAGCATATGATAACTTGCCTTTACAGTAGACTAAAAATGCTCTTTAGTTATAAATAAACAATAAAACTAAGACATTTAAAGTTCCCTAACAGCTCACATTTGTTCTATGACTAAGCCCAAAAAATGTCATAGCAGAATAATACTTTTTGAAATGTTACAAAAAAGTGAAAGTAAACATGATACAACTATATATTCAAATGTATTTTTTATATGATAGGCAAAATTTACCGCATTGAGGATGCTGTTGCCTGAGATGATGATGATGATTACTATTATTATAAAGGAATAGATAGAAAGAGAGAACAAGAGTCTTCATTATTCTTATCTGAATAAAAACTATACAAACAAGTGCAACCCAATACTCAAGCAACTTTTGTCTACTTTTGGAGAATTAGATCTTAAGCTATAAGATTTTGAGGGCCAGGACAAAAGTCATCTTTTTTTTTTTACTTTTCCATCACATAGCCAGTCTGAATGTTTGTACACATAGGCTAAAATAAATGCTTGGAGCCGGTAGTCAGAAAGTAAGTCTCTAAAATTTAAACCTAGTGACTTTGGAAATGTTAATACTGACAACATAGCATGAGTTTAAAGAGTACCACCTTACTAAATGCTAAAGGTGTTCTCAAAATTACCATCTGAAATTCTGTCCGTATCTCGGGGCTTTGTTTCATTTCAATTTAATTAGATGCATATTAATTTAGTCCCTACTGAATCAGTCTGGGAGGTTATCATTCTGAAACAAAACCTGTTCTAATGGTGTAAACATTTTACATGGAAAACAAGTGAACAATAATATGCAAGGTATTACAATATAGTCCTGAGGATCTTAACATTGTGTGTGCGTACAGGAGAGAGAGATGGACTCCTTTGGCATTTGGTGATTATGGATGCCTTTCTGGAATGTTTATATATGCACAAAATAAAACTTCATTGAATTATGATGAAAACCAGTTATATTGAAAGGCAATAATCAAAACATAATAGGCTGGGTGCAGTGGCTCACACTTGTAATCCCAGCGCTTTGGGAGGACGAGGCGGGTGGATCATGAGGTCAGGAGATCGAGACCAGCCTGACCAACATGATGAAACCCCATCTCTACTAAAAATACAAAAATTAGCCGGGTGCGGTGGCATGCACCTGTAACCCCACCTACTCAGGAGGCTAAGGCAGGAAAATCTCTTGAACCGGGGAGGCGGAAGTTGCAGTGAGCCGAGATCGCACCATTGCACTCCAGCCTGGGTGACAGAGTGAGACTCCATCTCAAAAAAAAAAAAAAAGTAATAAAATGAATTTGCAATATAGTAACATGTAATTCTTTATTGACACTTACATGACAGGAGATAGTGGCAGGCCTAATTTTGGAGTGACAATGAATGCAAATAATATCTGAGAAACCTACAAAAACCATAATATAATAAGAAAATATTTGTAACTTCAAGTGATAAAGTAACAGTTTCTTTCAATAGCCACTAATTAGTGTGGCTAGTATTTCCAAATGAAGCAAATACTAAATTTCAGTTAGACATAAATGAAAATAGACACACATATGTGTATGTGTGTGCATACACGTATTTTTCCTATAGAGTCCAAAGGGGCAAAATGATGAAAAACCTTGTAAGTCTTTTAAAGTATGCTGACATTACCTCAAGGGCAAAGAGAATGTACCATTTTTTTTTAAAACTTCAGGATACTTATCAACTTTACCTTTATGAAAGATCATTCTGGCTATAACATATAGAAAATATTACATTGAGTAGGGTTGGGCAGGTGTCTGAGTAGAGACAAGGAGAATAAACAAATTTTGGTGGAGAGTGATTTATATTGAGAATGAGAGATATGAAGAATGCTATCAGAGTTTCTGAATAGGGTAACAGGAGGGATGGTTTTATTTTATCTGTTTTGTGACCAGAAACCATAGGAGACAATCCGAGTCTTGTTTGGGAAGAGGTTGGAATACGACACATATAATGGATTTTCAGTCTAGGTCTAAAACTGCTACACTTTAAAAGATGCCAGCCCTGCATATGATGACCAAATATTATAAGACACCATCTTCACCGGGGCCTCCTCTCATTCAGGGCAAAATCCTTCCACCCCTGATAAGTTTTTGGTTCTTATCACAGCATCAGATTTCAGATATCATTGCAATATAGAAACAGACAATCTTTTTGAAGGACCCATTTCCGCTGTCTTAGTATCCCATCTCATTTTTTTGGCAACTCAAGTTAGGCAAGCATCTCTTGAAATGAATAAAATAAAAGAGAAATAATACTAACTACAATTTTCTGAACAACTCCTAAGTGCAAGGTAGTCAGTCATATGTCCTTATGTTCCAATAATTCATTGAACAAATATTGACCTAGCATTAAGTTCTAAACATTGTTCCAGAGGCTTGGGAGCAGGTAATAAAATAATCAAAACCCTCTCCCTTCAGGGAGCTTAGTTTTTAATCCTAACAAGAATCCTAGGAAGCTGGAAAAGTATCAAAATTTTATCAATGAAATTGCCAATATTTATAGAAGTTAGGCAGAAATGAGGTTTCAGCTAACGTTTGTGGCCTCACAATAAGTGTTAATTTTTGTGTTTGTGTGGCACATTCTTTCAAATATTCTTGATGGTGGCAAAGCTGAACGCTTTGAGGTGAATCCTCTATTGGAAACATGTCTAGTCTTCTTGCACCGGGGAAAAATGGTGCAATACATCTACACCAAATAGATGGGGACTATTTAAGACAGCTGCATTCCTTTGTTTGTGCTTATATTTGTTTGGTGAAATATATACATGTGCAGGTTTTTTTTTTTTTTTTTTTGACGGAATCTCGCTCTCTCACTCTGTCGCCCAGGTTGGAGTGCAATGGCAAGATCTTGGCTCACTGCAACCTCCGCCTCCTGGGTCAAGCGATTCTCCTGCCTCAGCCTCCTGAGTAGCTGGGATTACAGGCGCATGCCACCACGCCTGGCTTATTTTTGTACTTTTAGTAGAGATGGGATTTCACCATGTTGGTCAGGTTGGTTTCAAACTCCTGACCTCGTGATCCGCCCGCCTCGGCCTCCCAAAGTGCTGGCATTACGGGCGTGAGCCACTGCGCCTGGCCCATGTGAAGGTTTTATAAAGCATCTTGTAGTTCAGAGAGCTGGAGAAGTCTGTCATATGTGTGTGTGTGTGTGTGTGTGTGTGTGTGTGTGTGTGTGTGTGTGTGTGTGTATGTGTGTGTATACATTGCTCCTTTGGCATAATGACGGTAACATATGCAGTATATGATCCCTTGCTTTAGGAATTTTGGATTTTCAAGATAAATGTTCCTCCTACCTAATTTCAGCCATGTCTTATTTATGAGACCTTCACGGGGTATATAAAAATGCACTGTCAGTTGATTCGTTCTCCTGAGCATTAGTAGTTTTAGTCAGGTAGAGGTGAAATCACAAAAGACAGTGAAATACACTTCTATCTGATTTTGCCTTCATTCCATTGATCTTTGGAAGGTGTGTTTGGTCAGTTTCATCATAAAATTGCAGGTAAGCAATTTAATTTTTGTTAACTACATCATTGCATGATAGCTATGCAAGGAAAAATTCTAATAACATTGGATAAGTTTTCTGCCTTATTTTTTATAACTGAAATATATGAACCTTATTTTCATCTATGTTAACCAGTAGTTCTCAACTCAGGTTGCACAGCAGAAACAGATATACACTAAGGCCGGGTGTGGTGGCCCCATCTCTACTAAAAATACAAATATTAGCTGGGCGTGGTGGCGGGTGCCTGTAGTCCCAGCTACTCAGGAGGCCGAGGCAGTAGAATCGCTTGAACCCGGTAGGTGGAGGTTGCATTGAGCCAGGGAGCCAAGATTGCACCACTGCACTCTAGCCTGGGTGACAAAGTGAGACTACATCTTAAAAAGAAAAAAGGAAAAGAAAAGCAATACTAATGCCTAGCCATTACCTCAGACCAACTGATGCAGAATGTCTAGCAGTGGGACCCAGATATGAGTTTATTTTGAAATCTCCCTGAGTGACTGCAATGTGTAGCCAGAGTTGAGAAACCCTGATTTGTACACTGCATCTTACCTTTATTTTTCCTACACAGGATTTTAATTTACAGCTTTTTAAAAAGAAGAACATCAGAAGATCTATGTATTTGTTGTATTATGTTAGATTTTCTGCTCTTCCAATATTTACACAGCTGTTTAATACTCAGAATCATCTACCACATATTTCTACCACAATTAAACTGAGATCCGACATTTACGATTTTCACGTAACCACAATCAGTTCCCAATTCCCTTGTGCAACCAAGAGTAGCTCCCTCACTACAGCCACGTTTTACAGGTTCCAGATCAGAAAGTATTCAGCATTATTCAAAATTATAATCTAGCTATGCTATTTCTGTCGTTTACTCAATTTCAAGAACTTATCCTTTGGAAAATAAGGGCAAGATAAGAGTCTCCAAAAATGTACTAATGTTTCATGTAATTTTTCAAGCTATTTAGATATGTTAGACATGTAAATATCTTTTACTTCAAGAACATTTTTAATTGTGGTGAATTATTATGTCAAATTGAAATCTATAACATGAACAGCAAAATATATAAATTGGTCTAAAAAATACCTGTCTTTAAGATTCAATAGTATTTAATTTTCAACCAGGTGGGCAGTTGGTAAGGTGAGATTCAAACATGGTTTTCAATTAATTTAGTTGTTAAATTACACATAAATTATTAGGGAAACAAAAGCACGCTTAGCCCTAACTGTACCTTATCATTGATTTATTAACGGCCCAGAATTCCTCTCTCCCTATCATCTTAGTCACTATTACAAACTTTAACTTCTCCCACAGGACTCCTATTGCCAATTTTTCTTTTTTTTTTTTCTTTAAAGATTACTGCTGATTTCATTGAGTTAATGGTGGCCTTCGAGCTACAATGCTCTCAAGCTCTTTGACCCAGACCTAGAGGTGACTATAAGTAGATCTATGCTTTTGAATTGGAGAATGTTTCTGAAAGAGTAGCAGGAAGTAAGGCTGGAGTGATTGACTAAAGCCAGATCATGAAAGGTCTCATGATAAGATAATGAATTTGAACTTCATTTTGAAGAAATGGAGAAACTCTGATGGTTCTTATACAGGTGAGTGCTCTGATTAAATTTCAGATTTTAGAAAGACCACCCCAGCAGCAATTTGGAGGAAATATTTGGAGGAAGGTCAAACTGGAAGTGGCGAGATCTTTCAAGATGCAACAGTCCAGATAAGAAGGGATGTAATTCAAGTGAGACCTCTCCCCTCTCTACTAGTCAAAGGGTACTGGGCACAATCCTAGAACTCTGTGATGACTTTTAGCACAATTATCATACTGTACTATAATAATTTATCCTTCTCCTTCTCCTTCTTCATATTAGTAGCTCACTCCCTTGCTAAACCACAGTATCTCTAGATGACAGACCCATATCTTTTCCATTTTTATCCCCAGGTCCTAGCACAGGGCCTGGTACATTGTAAGTGTTTAAAAACACTTAGAGAATATTCACGTGAATACATAAATAAAGCAATAATTTTAATGACATTAATTTGTATAGTAGAATAAATACTTTATCTAGATTTGAGTCTTGGCTCACCCAATAACTACTTGGCAGACTTCTGACATTTCACTTATTTCCCAATTATCGATTAATCAAAGGGTATGGACTAAATTATTTATAATGTATGTTCTGACTCTAGTGAGTTATGCAACTGTTTCCATTTAAAATTTATCACACAACAGAAAATTATAAATTGTCAAAGTTTGGCTCAAAAGACCGCATTTCATATCATCAACTGATTGTCACTTTTGTCCATTTTAATAGGTTCAAAGTGATTTCGTGTCTTCTCAGAAATACTAGTTTTTACTCAAGTATGTGAGTTGACATGCAGATGCAGTGGCAAATCAATATTTCTTCCACATGAAATCCCAGATTGCTAAAATATGTACTTTTGTCATTAAGTGATTTATTTTTACGTGGCTAAATTGAGGGAATATTATAATTTTATAGTCTGATGCCATTAACATGACTACAAATGCTAAATCACAGCATTCCTTAATATGCTTCAATATTCTTTGCCTTCTTTGATATTAACTCTGTTTCTTGAATACAGATGAATAAACCAAGTTTTTAAAGTGAATCCATAGTTGTACATTATTGTTTTAATAATGAAACTTCTTGTCATCAGTATTTTAATAATGATCTTTATCTTTAGGTAGCAGTCAACAATTTTAGGTTTATATTTCTTGGTTTTTAATAATTAAGACCATAGACATAGGATATAGCAGCAGAACATAATTGCTCAACATCAGTTGCATTGTCACCCTAAAATAGTTATAACTCTGGGATGCTATAAATATTCCTCAACAAGATTTAATATAAAGACAGGGTAGCTTTCTTTTGTCGTGCTTTGGATATGTCTTACCTAGGAGATATGAGGAAATAGCTATTTAAAAAAATATTTTAGGCTTCCATGTTTCTCCATAGACTGAAGAAATAGCTAGCATGGTCATTTGTAAATGGTAACAAAGAGAGTGCACTGGTTAAGCCAAACATTACAAAATAAAAATTATACCGGATGTGTCCAGGTTGATATTTATATAAAAACTTATCATACCAAAGCAGTTTCATTGGACAATAGTTTCATGTATACTTCAGCATAATCCTGCACTATGAAGTAAATTATATATTTATTCTACATTGTCATGGCATTTTATTGGTAGAGGAAACAAATGAGATTTTTTTCTGTACAAAAAACAGCAAACATAACATTTTGATTGACTTTGTCTTTAAAGAATTATAACCAGAAAATTAATGAATAGTAAGTAATATCAATTACACAAAGTTTCAAAGCTACCTATAGGATATAAGGAAAAACAAATTTATTTTTTTAATCTCAGATTTTTCTTTCTTCTGTTTCCTTTGGTCTTTGCCACATCGGGCTTCAAGTTTATTTTACATCTCATTAACTGGCTTTTGTATAATACAAGTAAGTGTGTGTGTGTGTGTGTGTGTGTGTGTGTGTGTGTGTGTGAGAGAGAGAGAGAGAGAGAGAAAAAATGTATAAATTTTAATATAGATGATTTGTGTTTTCTAAGTTCAAGAGTTCAATCAGTAATTTCAATTTTCATGCAGTTTCTTAAAGTGCCACTTCAATATTTTTTCTTTAACTTATGTGTAATATTTCACTGCAAAGAAATCCATGGAAGGCAGATTATTTAAGATAAATACCTGGCAGCTACCTGGCAATGCACAAGGTGCCTCACCAAGATTATCATGTTTTAACTTCGCAAGAACAAAATAAGATAATAAAGACCAAAATACTAAACAATGACTAAATAAATAGCAAAATGGGAAGTTAAACTACAGTTGTTACAAAGACCATGATTCTTCTGCTGTAACAGCTATAACATTGTCTTCTGAGCATGGAACACACTACCTGGCAAATATTTGGTGTTTAACAATGGCTTTTTGAATTAGAATCTGCAAGGCATTTACTAGGAATCTAAGGCAGTGATTTTCAAACTGTGAGTTGTATCTATTATTGGGTCATGAAGTCAATTGATTTGGTCTAGACTAGCATTTTATCAAAGTGGAGTAAAATAAACAATTCAATCATGTATCACAGGTTTGTTGAAAAGGGCAGTCCATCATGGGCGATAAACAACCCTGCCTGTCCTTTTTAAGTGTGACAAATTCTAAGGCTTTATCATCCCTTGATACCATGGTACTGAGCAGTTTCTGTAGCTAGTCACGTAGGCAATTAATTAGGTAAAAGTGACCACAGCATGACTACCATAAGGCTTTTCTCTCCAGGGAAAGGAGACTGTCTTGTTAGTTGTTTACTACATGGTGAGACCTTGGCCCTGTATTCCCCAGCTGCAGCACAACCCACTGTGTGCATAGTCACCGTTTTGGCCTCTTGTGTCACCTCGTAATACTTGAGGCAGAGGAACTGGTACTACCATGCTACTGTTCCTGCTATTTGCTATATTGTGAATATTAAAGACTCATGCTCTAACCCATTGAATCTCATTGTCTACTTTGAGCACCTATGGAGTTGTGACAGGCCAACATTTTGCTTGCTTAGCCATCTCCTTTGAAATCTTAACCTTTGCCACCCTCCATAAGGTTGGATTCTTACCTGAGAATATAGTGAAAATAAGTGTTAGCTCAGCGAACTTTTGTTTGAGTTGCAGGTGTTTGTAGGCAAAGTGCTGCAAAACTCCAGGAGGTGTCACGAGTGTTACAGTATTGTATATGTGTCAATACATCAAAAAAGTTTGAAAATCACTGCTGTAGAAAATACAAGAAACAGGCCAGGCAGAGTGTCTCATGCCTGTAATTCCAGCACTTTTGGAGGCCAAGGCAAATGGATCGCTCGAGTCCAGGAATTTGAGACCAGCCTAGGCAACATGGCAAAACTCCATGTCTACAAAACAAAAATTAAAAAAATTAGCCAGGCGTGGTGGCACGTGCCTGTAGTCCCAGCTACTAAGGAGGCTGAGGTGGGAGGATCACTTGAGCCTGGTAGGTTGAGGCTACAGCGAATTGTGATCGCACCACTGCACTCCAGCCTGGGAGACAGAGTGAGACCCTGTCTCAACAAAAACAAAAAACAAAAAACAAAACAACAACAACAATAACAACAAAAAAACAAAGAAACAAATAAGCCTAAAGTCCAATTTCGTTGACTAACAAAACATGCTTGAAAGGCTCATTAAGACCATAAATCTGAAGCTATTTGTTGAGAGAGTTAATGTTTAAGGAAGAAGTGATCATTTTCATTTGAGTTCAATTGAGAATGTAGGATTTAATCCAACTTTGCGGATGGAAGGAGGGGCCAGGAGATACTTGTTACTGTGGTTCAAGCAGAGAATGGACCAGATCAAGCTTCTAAAACTTTCAGGAGATTGGGGGCCAGGGGAGACAGTTTATAACATATAAGTAATAAACAAAACAATGATAAAAAAGTCTGAAGCCAAGATAACAAAATGACAGCAAAGAAAACAAAAATGCTGTTTGCTGTCTCTATGATTTCTATGATCTAATTTTGATCCTCTATATCAGCATGTTTTGTCATAAAAAAAGACATAGCCTCAAGAAATCATGGTTAAATTACTCAATTATTAAAGTTTTTCATTATTATTTTTCCTAGATTTTCAACAATTAATAAGAATATTTTGCCCTTGTGTCAAATCCCATATATATTTTTTTCTTCACCTAACTGTCCTATTTATAATGTTCTGCCTCTCTATACTTTATGGGATGAGACCATTTTCAAACAAGTTATATCCATGATCTCATCTGTTTCTCCTCTATGTTTTATCATCAAAATGACTCACGATTCAGAACTTATTCATGTAACAGTGTCTCATTACTTGTATATCCACATTACACAATTTATATCTATACCAATCTATGAATATGCATACACATAGAAGATAAACAATCTTTTTTTTTTTTTTTGAGACAGAGTCTTGCTCTGTGGCCCAGGCTGGAATGCAACGGTGCCATCTCGGCTCACTGCAACCTCCGCCTCCCAGGTTCAAGCAATTCTCCTGCCTCAGCCTCCCAAGTAGCTGGGATTACACCACCACACCCAGCTAATTTTTTTTGTATTTTTAGTAGAGACGGGGTTTCGCCATGTTGGCCAGGCTGGTCTCAAACTCCTGACCTCAGGTGATCCACCCACCTCGGCCTCCCGAAGTGCTGGGATTACAGGCATGAGCCACCGCACCTGGCCCAATCCTTTAAAAAAAAATCTTGACAGCCTTTAGTATTTATATTTTAATGACATATTATATTATATAGTAATATATAGTTTAAATGGCAGTTTGTTGCTTAGTCAAATTGCATAGTTATTGCTGTTAAATCTATTTAGTAAGGACTTATTTAGAAAAAAGTTTGTACTCCATTCTGCTAATGGAATTATGGGATATAATTTGTACAATGATTAAATATACAGACATAATTTACCCATTTACTTGCATTAGTTATTCACAATGAATGGAAATTTGGGTAAAATTCTTTAGACAGAGCCACAGTTTAGAACAACTATCATTTACAGTTGAAGGTTTAGTTTATAAATGACATTCTATTGGATTTTCTCTCTTTATCTTCCTTTATGTTTTCGTTATACTGTGGAATTATCTCGGGGATCCCAATGATCCTCTTAATATCTGATACAAATGATCTACTTATAAAATGATGGCTCTAATAAAAGATTTTTTGAGTAGTGAGGGACTTCAGAGGTTACCAATTTTAATTCTTTTATTATGGGATATTTCAAACATGCACAAAAGTAATGAGAACACTACAATATACTCCTATGCACCTATCACCCCTCATCAACAATTAGCAGTATTTGCCAATTTTGTTTGATTTATTCCTTTCACTTATTTTTTTTCCTGGAATATTTAAAACCACATCCTCAATTTCATATCAGTTTATTTCTAAATACTTCATTTTGCATCCCAAACACATAAGCCCTTAACCAAAGGGCTTATGATTATCACATGTATTGACATAAGAATAATTTTTTAAAATAATGGAATAACAAGCCATGGTCAAATACCTCTTAGTATCTCACTCTCTTTTTTCTTTTTTTTTGCATTTGATTTCTGAATCAGGATCCCCACAAGACACAAAATGTACACATGTGCGCTTGGTTGACATATAGAAACCATTTTATTTAATCTTTTTAGTTTGCACAACTTGAGGTGCACAGAGGGTAATTCATTTTCTTGACATCACTGGGCTTCTTACTTTATCTATTCATTCTGCAAATATTTATAAGCATCTAGTAGATACTGTCCTAGGTACTTGGGAATTATCTATGAGCAAAATTGACAAAGATCTCTGCCCTTATGGAGCTTCTATTCCTGTTGGAGGAACGTAATATAAACATTAAAAATAAATCAAGTACAGAGTATATTTGAGGATGATAAATGTTATGGATCAAAGAAAATTGTAGGGGAAATAGGTAGGTGCTGGAGGTGGGGGAAGTTACGCTTGAATTTTAAATTGGCCTCATTGAGAAGAATATATCGAAGTAAAGACTAAGATGAAAAAGTTAATTCTGGCATATCTGGAAGGACAGCCTCCAGAAGAAAGGAGAAAGAACAAGCAGTGTCCATGCCCCAAGGCATGCACAGACATGTATGTGGGAAGCATCTGTGGCTCAAGTGAATTGACTGCAGATGAGAATAATGAATAAGGTTAGAGAGGACACAGGAGGCCACATTATAAAAAGCCTTACTAGCTCTTGTAAAAACTCTAGCTTTTCTTTGGAATGCAATGGAAGCAATTGCAAGAGTGGGCACAGAGCAATTACACATTCTGCTCTTTGCTTAAAGAGGAACATTCCGGTTACTATACAAAGACTAGGCAGTTTGAGGCATGGGTAGAAAGTGCTGATTTTCAGACCACTTGAGAAACTCTAGCAGTAATTGAGACAAGAGATCATAACAGTGATGAAGATCGGGAATAGAGATTAGAAGTTGTCTAATTCTGGCCAGGCGCGGTGGCTCACGCCTGTAATCCCAGCACTTTGGGAGGCTGAGGCGGGCAGATCACCTGAGGTCGGAAGTTTGAGACTAGCCTGACCAACATGGAGAAACTCCGTCTCTACTAAAAATACAAAATTAGCCAGGCGTGGTGGTGGATGCCTGTAATCCCAGCTACTCGGGAGGCTGAGGCAGGAGAATCATTTGAACCTGGGAGGCAGAGGTTGCGGTGAGCCGAGATTGTGCCATCGCACTCCAGCCTGGAAGACAACAGCAAAACTCCATGTCAAAAAAAGAAAAAAAAAAGTTGTCTAATTCTGAATATACAGTTGACTCTCGGACAACACAGGTTTGAACTGCACGGGTCCATTTACACATGAATTTTCTTCTGCCTCTGCCATCTGTGAAACAGTAAGGCCAACTCCTCCTGTTCCTTCTCCTCAGCCTACTCAACTTGAAGATGACAATGAAGATAATGAAGACTTATATCATGATCCTCTTTCAGTTAATGAACAGTAAATATATTTGTACTTCCTTATGATTTTCTTAACATTTTTTTCTCTAACATACTTTATTGCAAGAATACAGTATGCGATACATATAATACACAAAATATGTGTTAATAGACTGTTTATGTTATCAGTAAGGCTTCTGGTCAAGAGTAGGCTATTAGTAGTTAAATTCTGGGGGACTCAGGCTGGGCGTGGTGGCTCACGCCTGTAATCCCAGCACTTTGGGAGGCCGAGGTGGGTGGATCACCTGAGGTCAGGAGTTTGAGACCAGCCTTGCCAACATGCAGAAACCCCGTCTCTACTTAAAATACAAAAATTAGCTGGGCATGGTGGTGGGCGCCTGTAATTCTGGCTACTCAGGAGGCTGAGGCACGAGAATTGCTTGAACCTGGGAGGCAGAGGTTGCAGTGAGCTGAGATCGTGCCACTGCACTCCAGCTTGGGTGACAGGGTGAGACTCCATTTTGAAAAAAAAATTGGGGGGACTCCTAAGTTTTACATGAATTTTCAACTGCATGGTCGTGGGGAGCTGCCAGACCCCTGAACCTCCATGTTATTCGAGGGTCAGCTGTATTTTAGTGTTAAAGCTGATTTATTAGGGATGGGATGTGAAATGAGGAGAGAAGTCGGGGCAACACCAAACCATTTAGCCTGAGCAAACACAGATGAAGTTGTTATCAATTAAAAATTGAAAGTCACAGGCTTTGCGGGGGGACAGGAGTTCAGGTTAGGACATGTGAAGATGTCCACTGACTTACTGTTAGAGATGTTGAGTAGCAAGTTGTATATCCAAGTTTGGATATGAGTAGAAGGCTTTGAGCCACAGATGTAAATTTGAGGGCATTGATATATAAGGTGATTTTCTGAGACTATAAGACTGTAAGTATAGAAAGGGAAGATCCAAGACACCAAGGACTGAATCCAGGGCATGCCAATATGTAGAGATCAGGAAAACCAGGATGGTAACAAAAATGGTTATTGCTATTGTAATAATTCATTTCTTCCAAAATTTCATTTTAAAACTCCCAAGTTTTGCTTGACGAGGTACAGTCTCGTACGGATTAGGAATTCTACGTCTGACTTCTCCTTGCCTTAGACTCATCATTTTGCTCCTTGGTTCAGTATCATACAGGTTTAACTACTCCCAATTGAATGTTTTTTCCACTACCTTGGCCACTTTACAGGTGTTCTACAATGTTTCTGCGTCAAGTATAAGAGGCTTTCTGATCCTTCAAGTCATCATGGTGGCAGCGAATTTAAAAGCTACTCATTCTGATGCTTCCTGAGGGCAGGATAAGCATATGTCTTGTTTCACCCCTGTTGTCAACAGAATTATTAACAAAGCTAAAAGCCTGCCCCAATTTCAATAATACATTTTATGGTCACCTACTTCAGGACACCCATGGCCAAGTAAGCAACAGCACAGTCAAGAGGATGTGATGCCATTAATTCTTTAGAACACAGGAAACTTTATGTCAATAGCATTGAACAAATAATTGGGAATGAGATGCTCACTCTATACAAACAATTTATGGCTGTTTTGCTCAATTTTTGTTTTCATCTCAGACCGGCCCCACCTCTATCCCACAATGGTTACTAAAATTAATTATATTTAAAAGAGAAGAAAGTGAGAGAATACTTTGTTTCGGTTCTCTCTCTCTCTCTCTCTCTCCCTTTCTCTTTCCCTCTCTCTCTCTCACTCTGTGTGTGTGTGTTTAAGAAGGGATGAAAGCTAACTAAACTGTTATAATAAACTGTTAGAAGATAGAATACAGCTAATCTGTCACTCTCCGTTTTTATTCTTCACCTATATAAGCAGTTGAATGACGAAAGACAACAGATGGCATAAAAGTAGTGTGCGGACGTGCAAATGCAAGACTGAGACGTGGCAAAACATTCAGTAAATATCTGGTATTCATATAGAGCTGAAGAAAAACACTTTCTCTACAGAGTCAAAGAATAGAAGATTTCATATTTTAAAAGTTACCTATCAGTTAGTTGGTGCATATTTACTGAGTTCCTGCTATTTACCTAGCATTATTGTAAAGGACAAGGGGAGCGTGACTCTTAAGTTGCACCTGGAATGACATTTTATCATGCGAGCTTAGAGAAAGGGCAATCCCAATGACACAGTGAGTGGGCCAGGCAGTGTCACTCATGAGAATTACATATTTCATGATAATATGACTGAATACATTTCTGAAGCTGGCTGAAGTTAGATTATTGTCATTCATTTTATTAGAGAAGCAAATGAGTAAAGAATAAATTAAATGAATAGATTAAAATATCTAAGATCACATTTAAATGATGCACATTTGACTATCCCTTCCTTAAGATATATTTGAACATTATCAGATCAATGGGAAGAATTTCCTTATTCAGAGTCCTTTGCTGTAAAATTCAGACATCTGGGTTTAAAGTGATGACACATTCTATCAGAAGAGCGTCACGATTTATATTATGCCAACTTCCCAAAATATAACAGTAAATCCTCGTGATCCATGACATTCATACTTGACAGGTTTAGAAGCGTCATATTATTTTTGACATTTTCATTCTGTCTTAGTTTAAAAAGCAAATAATGGGTAAAATTAAATCATATTTAATTGGGTGAAAGAAAGAAACAAATCAGAGATAAAAGCAAAACAACTCTAAGTTGGGTCTGATTGAGAACATTGTTTAGCTCTAAAAACACAAATTAAACAACAGTTATACCTCACAAAACACATGATTAATTTGAACCACTTTGAAAGTTGGTTGACTTTCACCTGCCAAGTATATTCACTGGTAGTTTAATAATTCCTAGGATTTATAATCTGAGCCATTTAAAATGGTCCCTTCCTTCACTGCAGCTAGAGAAACAAGGCAAGAATATATGAAATACAAAAGGAACCAACCACATGTATATGGTGACATAGGAGCCTTGGTGCTCTACTGGTGGTAGGGTAGACAGCAGCAGCAATCTGCCTATCCATCTGTTACTACTTAGTCAAATTAAGTATATACATACCCTTTGACATAGCAATTCTACAATTGGCATTTATCCCAGGAAAATTTTCACGCAGGTCCATAAGACACATATACAAGGCTATTCATTACAGTGCTATTGGTAATGGTGAGAGCTAGAAGTAACCTGAGTTTCCATCAAGGCCAAAGAGGCAAAATTTGCTGGATACACAACCATGGGCTTCATTGCAGATATGTACAGATGCATAGCTTGTGCCTGTATAAGCGCACCTAGCCAAGGGGCTGCCTGGCAAGGAAATAAATAGCTTGGAATTCGCTATTCCCAATTTTCATGGAGATTCAATATATACACACCATGAAGTGAGAAGTCATAGAGTAGGTGTATAGCAATGTGGAAGGATCCTAACAAATAATAAACCTTAGTGAGAAAACAAGATGAAAAATGAAATATCTAACAGAATGTATTTTACATAAATTATAATTCACAAACAGAAAGCAATTCATACTTTGAAAGGACACCATTCAAATAAAAAAATTTATACTTAAAACACAATGTTTGTACTGGGGAGGAGAGTGGAAATGAAATGCAGTATGCAGAAAAAAGAACATACACATGCAGTCACACATAGAAACAAAATAAAAATAGATTAAATGTCACGAATTGAATATCATGGTTCTCTTGACCCACTGCACCTTATATCAAAACAATGACAAAAGTACGAAACTAGACACATTTTAGGCAGTGCTATCAACATGGCATCTGGGAAAGAGTGCTAAATAGAAGGTAAGAGAATCAGGCTCTACTACTATTTTCATTTCTTTCTTGCTGTATAACCTTTGTAAGTTATCTATCATTTCTGGGTCTCAACATTCTCAATTGTCAAATGGGAAAAATGATGCCTTCTTTATCCTAAAGCAGGAAGTTGGCCAAAAATGCTTGGCTGTATACTGTGTGATGTCTACTGCCAACACTTTACTCTCCATCTTAGACCTCCCACCCCTTGCTTGGAGTTTTTAATGTATTCTTCCTATACTCTGAGAAGTACTAATGAAGAAAGATTAGCTAAGACTTTTATTTATTTATTTATTTATTATTATTATTATTATTATTATTATTTTTGGAATCTTGCTCTGTCACCCAGGCTGGAGTGCAGTGGTGGGATCTCGGATCACTGCAATCTCCACCTCCTGGGTTCACGCCATTCTCCTGGCTCAGCCTCCAGAGTAGCTGGGACTACAGGCGCCCACCACCACGCCCGGCTAATTTTTTGTAGTTTTAGTAGAGATGGAGTTTCACCGTGTTAGCCAGGATGGTCTCGATCTCCTGACCTCGTGATCCGCCCACCTCGGCCTCCCAAAGTGCTGGGATTACAGGCGTGAGCCACCGTGCCCGGCCCCTACCTAAGACTTTTAAATCCAACCAACTAAAAATGATTCTAAGTCAATGGATTCTGGCTCTTTAGGCCCAGTACTGTTTCTCGCTGCTCTATTTCTCATTGCCAAATTCATTTTGGGTTTTTAGACTTATGGCTTTTGTTGACTGAGTCTGTTGGAGGTTTGATCTGTAGTTTAGAGAGATGTTACTTCATCAGGAATTTGGGAACCTATGCATTACCTGTTAACTCTGTTTTCACCACTGACAAACCAGAGTTGGGACACAAGATTTCTAATATGAATCTTATTTGCATGATTCTGCTCATACCGTATCTACTCTTGCATAACATATCTCTGTTGCTTACATCAGATATATAGTTATTTTGTACCAGGTATAAGCAAAGGCAAACCTTAATAGTCCACTGAGAGGCAAGTAATTGTCTCTCTTGCATATTTCCAAAGGGAACAAATGTGATTTCAAAGCAGCTTAAAATAACTATCCAGATCAATATTTACAAATATATATGTATTTATAAAACCCAAGTTTTACGTTCTTAAGCTATTTTAACTGCTTATTAGAATTATACTGCTCACGTGTTGACAGGAAGTTTTGCTTTGATATTAACGTCTTCCTTCATTTGTAACATAATTTAGTAGTTCACTCTTTATTTTTGGTATGAATTGTTGCCTTCATAAGTCCATGATTTTTCAGTCTATATAAGATATCTATAATGAAGTCAAAGCAGTGAAATACAGGCAAATATGATAAAAGAATACTGTCTCAGATAACCAAGCACACATACTCCTCTAGTATATCCCATGCTAGGTCAGCATGGGTATAATGGTTCTCTTGAGAAACCACACTAAAACTCGTAAGAAAGAAATTAAGGTGATATAGTTATCCATTGAACTGTTCAGGAGCATTCTCAACACAACACTGGCCAAATGTAATGAAATACTACATAGTGCAAGAAAATTAAAAATAAGCATTGCTCTTTCTGCTTTTTGAGTTAGAAGGCAATATGCTTAGCAAACATGGTCAAAATTCGAAATTTTGGCTGACAGAGTTTTCAAAGAGTTTAGATCTTGAATGACTATTTCATTTTGACTTCATGACCCAGGATATGGCAAAATGTAAAGTATGTTTGTTCTTTTCGCAGATAATTCAACCTCAATCATTTATGTTATTTTACTTTATCTTTGATGACTTCAAAACTGTCTCTGTGTTTCTAAGTTTATTTGAGGAAATAGTTTATGGCCTCTCTTGTTTCTTGGATTTTAGAAAATGAAGAATACATTAAAATTCCACTTACAGAACAAAATTTTGAAATTTAGCCGTGCAGTACCATTCCCTCTTTCAATCCTCCCCCCTGCCCCCACTCCACAAAAAAAGGCAAGAAAGACTTCATAAAAGCACATTTCTAGCCCTTGGGGTGAGGACTGGAAGGCATGTGAATTCATGACATCTGAATTTGGGAAAGCGTTTTAAATAAAATAGTCTCTGATCCATCAATAAAATGTATGTGACTATTAGGTTAAACACTTATAGGCCAACTACAGCAAAGTTTCCAGAACTGTATGGCATGTATTTTGTGTATTAACTTACCACTATCTTCACCTTATTTTTCAATAATTATCCCTTCCAATTTTTACATTTTTTTATCTTTTCAGTACATATATCTTTTAAAAACTAGATCTATTTGGTATTAAAATGGTACAAATACTTGTATACATATGTATATATTACTGTTTCCTTCAGGGGGAAAATGTGTTTTATGTAATTTATGTAAAAATGCAATGAGATAATCCATGTAAACATCCGTCTAATTTTATTTTACTTATAGGAAAAGTATAATTACTACAACTATTATTAATCATTATAGTTGAGTATTAAATGAATACGTAACATCACTTGACAAAGAGTTTGGAATTGTATGCAATCAAGTTTCTCTGACCCCAAGATTAGCAATCTCAAATGTAATTGTCTTCCTAAACTCTGTGTTCAATTATAATTTAAAATAAACCTCTATTAATAAATAAGCCAGACTATATATAGGTTATACATACTCAAAGGTCTACTCCCTCTCAGGCGAGTTATGAATCAGAAGAAAAGATGTCTTTGTTCTTGAAAAAAAACAGAATTAACATTTAACTGATAAAATTATTTTCTTTTAAATATGACACATTTTAAATTAATTATCCTATACATACACAAAATAAATAAAGGAAAATGGGCTAAGAACAGCAAGTATACAGAGCAAATGACAGAAGAAAATTCAAATAAAAACTGAAATCTCTTATTTTCAAGAGTTTTCAAATAAGTTAATGATATAGATCAGGTAATTACTTTCTCCACTAGTACTTATTCAGTACTAATAATATCTAATACAAATTATAGAAACTAATATCGGCCAGGCGCAGTGGCTCACGCCTATAATCCCAGCATGCATTTTGGGAGGCTGAGGTGGGTAGATCACGAGGTCAGGAATTCAAGACCAGCCTGGCCAAGATGGTGAAACTCTGTCTCTACTAAAAATACAAAAAAAAAAATTAGCTGGGTGTTGTGGCATGCTCCTGTAGTCCCAGCTACTCAGGAGGCTGAGGCAGGAGAATCGCTTGAACCCGGGTGGCAGAGGTTGCAGTGAGCCGACGTCACACCACTGCACTCCAGCCTGGGCGACAGAGTGAGACTCCATCTCAAAAAAAATAATAATAATAAAAAAAATAAAATAAAATAAAAAGAAACTAATATCTATTGAGTCATTACTGCTGGCCAGGAATTCTGCAAAGCACTTGGATCATTTAATCCTCACAGTTACTTTATGCAATACCTATTACTATAATGCCCATTTTGCAGATGAGGAAACTGAAGCTTGGACAGTTTAATCAATTTGATAATGTTATACAGTTGATAAGAGGTGGAGTCAATTTTTGAGGTCATGAACTCTGAATCCAGAATCTACCACACTGATTATGCAAAATGTAGCTGATAACATGCTATATAACATCAATATATATATGACCAGGCTTACACTGGGATGGCATGCGTTTTGGGAGAATCTCACAGAATGTATAAAATCAAATATTATGGCCTAAATTCACAACTTGTTTCTTTAATTCGAATGTTTGAATTGCAACTATAAGTATAGAAAAGTAAAATATTTACAAAATTTACATTCACTAATATAAGCCATTACTTGCAGGCAATTTTCCTAAGGTGAAGGGTCAGTGAAAAAGACTCTTTCCTTGACCAACTTTTGTCAGTCTCCTCTGAACTCTCTCCTCGGCTAGGCCTCAACCTTGGTCTATGGGAACTGCAATTTTCAGTACAAACAATTTTGTCTACCCCCCATAATAAGAGACTTGAACAAATAATAGCATAGTTTCTAACAACTCAGGGCCAAGTCCCTAGGATGCTGACACCAGTTCCCTTAAATTTCTTCCTGAAAAAGTTCAATGCTACCAAAAAATTTTAATCTTTGTTCCAACCCAAACCTCCGTTTCTTAGAGCATTTAGTTTAGGAACCTTGCAATTATAAATCCTCTGACTGTTTGAGATGAATCTTCTACAACCCAAGAATGAATTTCTCAAGGGCCTAGGAACCATCCCTTTGAAGTGTAATCATCAAGAAGGAAACAATCAACAAAGTGAAGAGAAAGGCTGCAAAATGGGAGTAAATATTTGCAAAAGACAAAGGGATTAATAAGCACAATGTATAGGGAACTCATAACAGGATTATGTATAGGAATACAATATATCCGTCTAATTTTATTTTACTTATAGGAAAAATATAATTACTACAACTATTATTAATCATTATAGTTGAGTATTAAATGAATACATAACATCACTTGACAAAGAGCGTATAGGAACACATAATCCTATTAAAAATAAGCAAAAGACCTGAATAGATGAATAGACATTTCTTAAAAGAAGACATACAAATGGCCAACAGGTATATGGAAAAAATGCTCAGCATCACTAATTATCAGGGAAATGCAAATCAAAAGCACATGAGATGTCATCTCAGCCCAGTTAAAATGGCTATCATCAAAAAGACAAAAACAGTGGATGGTGGCAAGGATGTGCGGAAAGGGGAACTCTTGTACACTGTTGGTGGGAATGTAAAGTAGTACAGCCACTGTGGAGAACTGTAAGAAATTTATTCAGAAAAACTAAAAATAGAACTACCATATGATCCAGCAATTCCACTGCTGAGAATGTATCCAAAAGAAAGGCGATTAGTATATTGAAGAGATATTCTCACTCCTGTTTCTTGCAGCACTATTCCCAATAGCCAAGATATGGAATCTACCTAAGTGTCTATCAACGGGCAGTTGACTAAATGATGTGTGAATGGGTGAAGAAAATGTGGTGTATATACACAATGGAATGCTATTCAGTCATAAAAGTCATAAAATATTGTCATTTGCATCAACATGGATATTTGGAGGTCATTATGTTAAATGAAACAGGAAGATGCAAAATGACAAACAATTTCACATGTTCTTACTCATATGTGGGAGCTTAAATTTGGATCTCATGGAGGTAGAGTAGAATGTTTGCTGCCAGAGACTTGGGAGGGTGGTAGAGAGAGGGGGAGGAAATGAAGTTGACTAATGGGTACAAAAATACAGTTAAAAAATAAATTCCAGTGTTTGACAGTACAGTGGACTGACTATAGTTAACTATATATATATATATATATATATATATATATATATATATTTTGAGACGGAGTTTTGCTCTTGTTGCCCAGGCCGGAGTGCAATGGTACGATCTCAGCTCACTGCAACCTCTGCCTCCCGGGTTCAAGCGATTCTCCTGCCTCAGCCTCCTGAGTAGCTGGTATTACAGGCATGCGCCACTACGCCCAACTAATTTGTATTTTTAGTAGAGACGGGGTTTCTCCATGTTGGTCAGGCTGGTCTCGAACTCCCAACATCAGGTGATCCACCAGCCTTGGCCTCAGGCATGAGGCACTGGGCCCTGCCAAAAATAATTTTTTTGTATATTTCAAAACAGCTTGAAAGAATTGAAGTGTTCACAACACAAAAAAAAGATAAACATTTGAGGTGATGGTTATCCCAACTGCCCTGATTTGGTTATTACACATTGTAAACATGTATCAAAATATCACATGTACCCCACATATGTGTACAACTATTGTGTATCAATAAAAACAAATAAAGATAGGGGCCCTATCTTCCAGTCTCTGTGAGATGGTAGTAGCCTAACTTTGAAATGGGGCAATGACCACATATAGATGGTCCAATCACATTGGACAAATTTCCCTCCTTCCCCAGTGCCATTCGGTACTTTTCTGTTACTATACTTCAGCATTTAAAAATCCTCTCACCTAGTACAGATCTCAGTTCTGTACTAAAATCTTTCTCCCCTGTTGTAGTAGTCTGTCTTGACAATTTTTTGTTTTATCTTTTATTCTAGCTTCAGGGGTGGATGTGCAGGTTTGTTATATAGGTAAATTGCATGTCATGGGGGTTTGATGTACAGATTATTTCACCACCCAGATAGGCACAATACCCAATAAGGTAGTTTTTCAACCTTCATCCTACTCCCACCCTCCACCTTCAAGTAGGCCTTGGCATCCGTTGTCCCCTTCTTTCTTTCCACATGTACTGAATGTTTGGTTCCCACTTATAGGTCAGAACACATAGTATTTGGTTTTCTGTTCCTGTGTTAGTTCACTTAGGATAATGGCCTCCAGCTCCATCCATGTTGCTGGAAAGGACATGATTTCATTCTTTTTTATGGCAGCATAATATTCCATGGTGTATATGTACCACAGTTTCTTTATCCAGTCTACCATTGATGGGCATGTAGGTTGATTCCATGACTTTGCTATTATGAATAATGCTGTGGTGAACATACGCATGTGTGTTTCTTTATGATAGAATGATTTATATTCCTCTGGGTATATACTCAGTAATGGGACTGCTAGGTAAATGATAATTCTGCTTTGAGTTCTTTGAGAAACAGCCAAACTACTTTCCAGAATGGCTTAAGTAATTTACATTCCCAGTAGCAGTGGATAAGCATTCCCTTTCCTCCATAACCTTGCCAGAATCTGTTATTTTTAAATTTTTGATAATAGCCATTCTGACTGATGTGAGATGGTATCTCATTGTGATTTTGATTTGCATTCCCCTAATGATCAGTGATGTTGAGCTTTTTTTCATGATTGTTGGCTGTATGTCTGTCTTCTATTGAAAAGTTTCTGTTCATGTCCTTTGCCCACTTTTTTATAGGATTGTTCAATTCTTGTAAACTTGTTTTAGTTCCCTATAGATGCTGGATATTAGACCTTTGTCGGTTGCATAGTTTGCATATGTCTTGCCAATTGTATCAAGTGTCTGATGCAAAACTTTTCTTTTACAGTGGTAGGGAAACTTAATCATATTTAAACCTAGAAACTTCATTAAAAAGAAATCAATAGGTCGGGCTTGGTGGCTCACGCCTGTAATCCCAGCACTTTGGGAGGCCGAGGCTGGTGGATCACCTGAGGTCAGGAGTTCGCAACCAGCCTGACCAACATGGAGAAATCCCGTCTCTACTAAAAATACAAAAAAATTAGCCAGGCGTGGTGGCGCATGCCTGTTAATCCCAGCTACTCGGGAGGCTGAGGCAGGAGAATCGCTTGAACCTGCGAGGCGGAGGTTGCCGCGAGCCGAGAGCGTGCCATTGCACTCTAGCCCAGGCAACAAGAGTGAAACTCCATCTCAAAAAAAAAAAAAAATCAATAATGATTATACTAAAGTCAAAATAGTTTAATGCAAATTGAACTGTGTATAGGTCTGCCCAATAAAGAAAGAAAACGGAAAGTGCTATCTTGACAATGGTTCTATGTCTTTTGCATATGCATTATTTATTTCCTAAGTATGTTACTGGAATGGAGGACTCTCTGGAAGGGACTCTTTATATTATGACTTAAAAATATACAAATCCTTGTTAATGGTAATGTAAATTGCCTTTAGTTAAAAAACAGAGACAACGTCATATTTTTTTTTAAATGTGTTACAATGACTATAAAAACTGACAAAATGCACAAAAGTTACCAATGTAAAAATTACAGTTATCAAAATTAATTTTATTTTAGAAATTTAAAAAATATAATTTCAAAATAGGCAATGAAAAATATAAAATAATAAATATAAATGTACTTGAAATAACTATGCAAATATTTGGCTAAATATACTTGTAGTTAATAAGACATAAAATTGGTAAATAATATTCTGGATTATGATATCTAATAGGATGAAAGATAGAATTATAGACTCTAGGCATTGGAAAATGTCAGATGGAAAGAGACACTGTATCTATTTTTCCTTGTTTTTCTTGCTCCTAATCAAATACCAAAAATCATGAAGTGAGTAAAAGAGTGAATGAAAAATTCCCATGTAACACATGGAGGGGAACAACACACACTGGAGCCTATCAGAGGGTGGAGGGTGGCAGGAGAGAGAGGATCAGGAAAAATAACTACTGGGTACTGGGCTTAATACCTGGGTAATGAAATAATCTGTACAACACACCCCCATGACACAAGTTTACCCATGTAACAAACCTGTACATATACCCCTGAACTTAAAATAAAAGTTAAGAAAAAAAAGAAAAGAAAAATCCCGTGTAGTAATACATGGCCTGTAAACTGTCATATTTTATGGTAATATTAATGTGAGCTTAATAATATAAATATGTCTTAAGTATTAATATGAGCGTCATAGTTTTTATAGTAGAGAAAGCAATCATTACAGCTCTAGTTGCTATATCCTGCCCAGATATGCTATAAATATGTCAATCTTAACACATGCTGAATTTATGATAAAACATTATTTTATTGGGAAAAAATGGAGTACCTGCAAACGTTCCACTGTGGCAGTTTTCTCTCCCCCTTTCAATGTGATTTTGAATTGAGAAAAAACAATCTGCTAAAATTTGAAATGAACTATTTGCAATAGTCATATATTCAAAGATGCCAAATAACACATCACTAGGATGAGTGATCATTCTATGGTTTCAAATTTTATTGCTGTGTCACTTTTTTGAGTAGAAACTGCTAAGCCCCAAGCTGGAGGAAGAAGATACTAAATGCAATCAAGGGGGGGCTGTGCCACAGAGAACCATGATAGTATTAGCTATGCAGAGCCTCTGAATGACTCTGCCAAGGAACCCAACAGCGATGATAACATCTGGGCAATGTAAAGCACTGCAATTTTCCAGGAATGCTGTATTTCTTATAACATAGACCTGACTTTTTGACTGTTGGATTTTTTTTTTCTTTTTACACAAGCATTTGCTTTCAGGCCTATGTTCTAAATACACAACTTAAAAACCAGAACATTATTTATTTAATACATAGCCTTATAAACTTCCATCAGTATAGCAAAACAGCCATGGGTATATCCTGAACAAACAGTAGGTACTTAATGAATATGGTGTAAAAAAAGTATAAATTGCATTTGCTTCAACAAAATTTAAAAAGTAGAACTTGGTACATATGATTAAATAAGTGAATTTTATCACATCCTATTGAGACCCAGAAAAAATTTTTTCCTAAATCCAGTCAGAATTTACTTCCATTCGTTTCATACCATTATTCTTTATATTTGCCTGTATTAGAAAAAAATAATGTTTTATCATCTAGAACAGAGGTCCCCAACCCCAAGGCCGCAGACCAGGGCCAGTCCGTGGCCTGTTAGTAACCAGGCCGCACAGCAGGAGGCTAGCAAGAATTACCACCTGAGCTCCGCCTCCTGTCACATCAGCAGCAGCATTAGATTCTCATAGGAGAGCAAACCTATTGTGAACTGCGCATGCGAGGGATCTAGGTTATGTGCTCCTTATGAGAATCTTAGTAATGCCTGATGATCTGAGGTGGAACAGTTTCACCCCGAAATCAGCTGCACCGCCCCCTAATCTGCGCAAAAACTGTCTTCCATGAAACCAGTCCCCGGTGCCAAAAAGACTGGGAACTGCTCATCTACAGTATACTTTATTATTTGAGGTAATTAACAATATCATAGTTTTTATTAACTTTGAAAATTAATTTAAGTATATAAGAGCATATTCATAAACAGAGACTATTTTGCAAAAAAAAAAGTGATTATAGTATCATTCAAAGAAAACCACTTATCATTTGGGTGTATTTTTTCTGGTGTTATTTAATGTGCATCTTCTTTTTAGACACTTGTAATCAAAATATTTGTGTAACGTTATTTATACAAACATTTTCTCATGTTACTATCTGATATTCACAACAATCTCTTTATGGTAGTGGATATTTATCAGATATTCATGAATAACAGTCAAATTAACCACCATAATTTATTTAATTGTTCAATTATATCCTAAATATGTAAAAGTTCCATTTTCTCCATGCATTACTCATGGACATGAATTAGTTCCCCATTTTTGTAAAGTTGCTTTTTTCCCGAATGCAGCCAAAATTTCACACCCTTCTTAAAGTATAAGCAAGAGAGTAAAACGCAACTATCCTGCAGTGATAAAACAGGATAAAACAGAATAGCATCAAAATTGCCCTTAGTCCATTTTAATGGTTATTAAAGTTTAATTTGCATAAAAACTGCCTGAAAGTTTTTTTAAAAATACAGATCCCACACCAAGAGATTTCGTTTCAGTGGATAACTTGTTGGGTCTTGCATTCTATACTTTACAATTTCTCCAGGTAATTTTGATGCAATAAGCCACTCTGAGAAATACTGACCCAGGGAATATATTTATATTAAAGTGGCCAACAATTGCCATTGCCTGCTTAATAGTCACATCAAACTGTCAACTTATGCTGAGCTTACCAATGCATGAAAACTCTAAAATCTGGCTGGGCGCAGTGGCTTACATCTGTAATCCCAGCACTTTGGGAGGCAGAGGTGGGTGGATCATGAGGTCAGGAGTTCGAGACCAGCCTGGCCAACATGGTGAAACTCCGTGTCTACTAAAAATACAAACATTAGGTGGGTGTCGTGGCGGACACCTGTAATCCCAGCTACTCGGGAGCCTGAGGCAGAGAATTGCTTGAACCTGGGAGGCGGTGACTGCAGTGAGCCGAGATCATGCCACTGCATTCCAGTCTGGGTGACAGAGTAAGACTCCATCTCAAAAAAAGAAAAAGAAAAAAAGAAAAAAAAAACCTAAAATCTTTTTTGCCAAATCTAGCGGCATCTTCCTTGTTCTTTATTTCTGCAGTGCACTACTGTGACCAAGAACAGGATTCTGTGTGTATCCTTATTAAATGTTCTCTTATTAAATTGTCACTTCCTTCTAGCCTGAGAGTGGTTCATAAATCTCTATTCTGTTACTTTAATTTGCATAATCCATATATTTGAAAAGCATGTCTTCTATTTTTATCCAACTCAAGGATCAAAATATTGTACAATGATGGCCAAAATAAAATGGGTAGAAGAGGCCGGGCACGGTGGCTCACGCCTGTAATCTCAGCACTTTGGGAGGCCGAGACCGGTGGATCACCTGAGGTCAGGAGTTCAAGACCAGCCTAACCAACACAGAGAAACCCTGTCTCTACTAAAAATACAAAAATTAGCTTGGTGTGGTGGTGCATGCCTGTATTCCCAGCTACTCGGGAGGCTGAGGCAGGAGAATCGCTTGAACCAGGGAGGCGGAGGTTGCGGTGAGGCGAGATTGCACCACTGCACTCCAGCCTAGGCAACATGAGCAAAACTCCATCTCAAAAAAAAAAAAAAAAAATTCTCACTGAAATACCTCCTTAAAGAACTAAG
The DNA here is from genome assembly GCF_000001405.40 of Homo sapiens. Lineage (NCBI taxonomy): Eukaryota > Metazoa > Chordata > Mammalia > Primates > Hominidae > Homo > Homo sapiens. Next base: position 29,197,675 of record NC_000023.11, on the reverse strand, counting down.
AAAATATAATGCTGATACCCAGTAAACTTATAATTTAAATAACAGTCTAAATTGCCTACTTTAAAAAATTAGAATGTCACTCACATGCCCTATAATATAGGATGTATATAAAAAATCAGCAACCTTTCTAAAATTTACTGCCAAGAATGAAGGAAGTATAGGCATAGAGAATGCAGAGAAATTTGTGGGCCATTTGTATAATCAGATAGTGATTCACTCAGGAAAGTCAGGCTGCATTTTCATTAAAGTGGGGCTGTCAATTGGGTTTAGAGATGGGCAGTATGAATCAAATACACTAATTCTTTTTTCCCCCCAGAGAGCCTGAGATAATTCTCCAAACAGACATCAGACATTTAAAAATCATGGATTGTTTTTTTCTAAATCAAGCCTTGGTTACAATAAAGCAGTTGTTTCTTTGGAAATGATTTCTATATTTCTAAGTAGAAAGCAAGAATGATAACTTTCAGATTCTACTTAATTTTTTGTTCAACTTGTATATAAGTAAATTAAATAATTCAGTTAAACAAAAACTCACAGTGAATAATTAAAACTTAAAACGCATATATTTAGGCTTTATAGATGTAACCTAAAGGGCCAACAAGACTGAAGGGACACAGAATAAGGAAAGTATGTGGCTCTAACCTCTAAGAATCCTAAAATCGTATCTAAAAGAAAAAGATGAAGTTGGGTTTGAGCAGGACTGGCATCGCTATCCAAAAGCCAGCTCCTATGATTAGGAAAATATACACTAGATAGAAGGTAAGGCAGGATGCAATATTATTGCTTCCCATTATATTAATATAATAGTATAGTATTATATTATATAGTATAGTGTAATACCATGCAGCATCATGGAGAATTACCCTTTACAGGAGTTGGCAGTTAAGATATAGGAACTTACTGCCCCCAAGAGAAAAAACTGGCCAGACCTAAACAATGAGTTATGGCTCAGTCAAGCAAGTGTGAGGTTCCCTGCAGAGTTCTAGTTAAAATGGGAGGAGGGGTGGTGGGGGAGGTCTGCACTGCTGATTAGAAGGGTAAGTCTGATGCCAGGTCATAGGAACAAAGCAATAATGATGGGTTAACAAGAGGCCTTCAACCAGTAACTGTTATGAGATTATTCTGACCTCCAATCTCCTCCATTGTCAGGCCCATAAACCAAAAGCATTTGTATGGATAAGACCAAATACAATCTAGGAATTTATTTTTGGTAAGCCTAGATGTGTTGACTTAATTGTGCATTATCCATGGCAGCTTTAAGTAGGAAAGCAACATAGCAAAATATCATTGCTTTACAAGGATGTGAACTTATCTGAACTTATATTTCAGTTAGTTTCCCAAAGGACATACTACGATATTATTGTTATTACTGAGCTAGAACAAAGCAGTTGTCGTTCTTTATTGCTAAGGAGAAACATTCTCTAGGTAGCTCACTCAAGATGTGCAGGCTCATTAGTTGTAAGTGCTTCCACCTTATTCAGCCCTTAATATTCTTCAAAGTACAAAATACATCTGCAATCTCTATTTTATGACAAAAAAATTAGTGGATGGAAATTTAAGCACTTTTGGAAATGTTTAATATCTACTAATGCAGAAATTTAAAATCATCATGGTGACAGCCTGGCATAAATCTGGACTTTTTGGCAGCTAACTTCAAGTTATTTTGATAATGGGGTAGTATTGTCAAGTATTACCGAAGAAAATTTGTTTAGACATATTACTATCTAGGAAATTTAGGAATCCACCTAACTGCTTCAGAGTGTAAATTTCTACAGAAATTGGAAGGTTCAGGGATTTAGGTTAAGAAGTTAGATAGGCCGGGTGCAGTGGCTCATGCCTGTAATCCCAGCACTTTGGAAGGCCGAGGCGGGTGGATCACCTGAGGTCAGGAGCTCGAGACCAGCCTGGCCAACATGGCAAAACCCCGTCTCTACAGAAAAATACAAAAATTAGCCAGTCGTGGTAGCGCATGTCTGTAATCCCAGCTACTTGGGAGGCTGAGGGAGGAGAATCGCTTGAACCCGGGAGGCGGAGGTTGCAGTGAGCCCAGATGGCGCCACTGCACTCCAGCCTGGGTGACAGAGTGAGACTCTGTCTCCAAAAAAAAAAAAAAAAAAAGTAATTAGTTAGATAAATGAACAAACTTTTGGACGATATTGGTGAATTTACTATATTGGAGAGATAAAAGTACTTATCCCAAGTACAGCCTCAGTTCCATTGCCACAATCCTCCCAATTCAAAGCCTAAAACAAAAGCCACTTCCTTTGGGAAACCTTCCTGGGTGTCTGGAAATAGAAGCAGTTGATCTTTCTGTGGTCTTCCATAGCACTTTATCTATGCCTCCCTCATGGCATGATCCACTTTCTCCCTTGTATTAATACTGTAATCATTTGTGCACACACAGAATTTCTACTTCACAGTTTAGGACTGACGTCAGAACCTAGGTCTCATTCTTCACTATATCTCTTCTCACCCCCAGCACCTAGAAACCATGTACATACAGAGTACTCAGTAAATATCTGTGAAAAGCATATCAATATATAAGACTCTGGGAAAATGAAGTTGAGAGTGTTGTGCTAGATCTATTTGAAAAGATATTCTGAGATAATTCTTCCTACCCTGAAAGTGTTCTGGACTTGGAGTCAGAGGACCAGAACTGAAATTCATCTTTGCCATTTGCTGATTAAATGGGTTGGGGCGAGTTAACTTCAAATAGGTTTTCTCACCTATAAACTGAGGTGACTGTGGAACTTGATCTCCAATACTGGAAGACCCACTTCAAGGGGAGCAGTGTTAAAAAAAAAAAGTAATGACAATGCATTCAAATTATATATAGGGAACATTTCCTCTGGTAAAGGAACTGTGGGGCATGTGAGAAAAAAGATATGCATCGACTCCACTCCTGAGAATTCTCTAAATGCTGAGTATGATGCTAATACTACATTTGTGGGCTCTATTAATAAATATAATTACCATTTCATACCCAAGTAATTCCTTCGTCTTTATTAAATACCAGTGTCTTTTAAACAACTTTTTATAGACCAAATCTCGTTTTAAATATTTTTACCTGAAACACATGTATTTGTTTTTCCATCTCCCCAGAACAGAAAGAAAAGTCTTTGAGGAAAAGGGGTTTGTTTTCTTTTTCTCCCCAAATGCTACACCACAGCTTCTGTAATAGTGTCTAGCACATGGTGGGTACACATTAGATATCTACACATGAATGCAGCAATACATTTAGATCTCAAGGTCCTATTTGCTTTAGATAGCCCTTGCTAACAGTGCAATAGAGGACTGATCTTTTAATACACTGTATAAATCATTTTTGTGTTAATGTTTTAAAAAAATGAAAATCTATAAAAACAGAGGTACTAGCTTTTACTAACAATGCCATGAATATAAATGATGTTCATGAGAAAAAAACAAAGCATTTACATGGCTAAATTTATTTGTTAAATAATCATAATAATCTTTGCCTAATTTATATATGGTAATGTTTCTCTTTCAGAATTTGATTCAAAGTATTTCAGTCCAATGATTTTTAAATGCTCTTTTAATTTACTTAAGTATATTTGATATTAATGATATACCTAATTTCCTAGGCCATTCTCTAATTTTAAGCAACCTTACTGTGAAAAACAGGTCTCTTGAGGAAAAACAATTCACAACTTTGGTTAAATGGAAGAAACTCTAAAACATTCAAGAGGTTATCTTTCCTCAACGTTTAACTTGAAATAAATATAGATCAAGAAGTTGCAAAAATAATACAGAGAAGTCTCCTGTCCTCTTTATCCAGTTTACTCCATAAGTAACATGTAACCCTAGTACAATATCAAAACTAGGAAATTGACATTGGTACAATCTACATATAGTATTTTAGATTTTGCCAGTTTTTATTGGAATTTATTTGCCTATGTGTGTATTAATTCTTTACAATTTTATTATATGTATCATTTTGTGGAACCACTATGACAACCAAGATATAGGCTGTTTCATTTCATCATCATAAAATTACTCCCTTGTTCTACATTTTTATCATGACACCCGCCTCCAACCTGCCCTAATCTTTTACTACACTATATCTATAGAATAATTCTATATTTCAATTGATTTGCCTTTCTATAAAAGAGTAGTTTTACCCTAGATCTACGATGTATTGGGGGAGAAATAGGGTACATTTTTTCCTAAAAGGCTATTTATCTTTTATTCTGCCAAAATCTTAAATGCAAGAGTTAATATATGGGCTATTTTCTGATGCAGTTTCTATTGATGAATATTATAAATTAAAAAACAGAAAACTTTATTTTAGAAGATGGTAATATGGGAATTCTGAGAATTTGTGTTATATAAGACATTTAATTTAATCACTAGCAATTTAAAAAATTAGTAGGAAATACTAATGTAGCTTGGTTGTTCAATTTACCTATTTCTACTTGTCAATATTAACAACACTGACAATTTGAAAAAACAAATACAAAATTCAAAGTGGAAAATCTGATAATCAATATGATATTCATATGGGAAAGATTATTATAGCAAAGTAAATTATAAACTAAAAAACAATAAAGTTATCTTCAATCACTCAACTTTTAGCTATATTTTATATGAAGAATGTTTATAAGCATGCTATCTAATAAAAATCCTATAATGTAAATATAGAACACTCAACCAATAATAATAATAATACTATTCTTTGGCTAATATCTAAACTGTTCTTTAAGGTATGTGCTTAAAACGCTATTGTTAATATTATGAACATTTAACATATTAACTGTTCTAGTTAATGGTTAGTACTAACATACTTCCTAATCATTTTTCCTCATGAGAAAAAGTTAGATAATAAGTTCTGAACATAACCATAATATATTCACACACGCCACATATCCAATAGTTTTTATGACAACAGTCAAAGAAAATAGATTGCTACATATATTTTTTGTCTGTTTTATATTAGGAATTTATGGTAATATCATCAATAATTTTAGTGGAATCACATTTTATTTGGAAGATATCATAAATGGATAAATAGGAAAATAGCTTTTTAAAATTATATTTAGTTCTTATTATAAGCCAAAACCATTAATCTTAAAATGGCATTCAATGTTGAGAATAGAATTGTTCCTCAATGATATAGATTTGGTTTTCTAGTTTATAGTTACTTTTAGTGCATTACAATGTAAAAGAAATAAACTAGTTGGTTATATTAAACAGTTAAGAGTTCAAATAAATGCTTCCCTGTTAAATAATCACTCCATCTATTAAATGTGTTCACTGCAAAGAAATTTTGGGGCCACCAAAATGCACACTAGGGATGCCAGATACCTTGTTTTCAGTAAGTATATGTTCTTTTGTAAAGATAATAGAGAAATACTGAAAAATTATGTAATGCAATTTAAAATTTAAGTTTCAGTTGAAGAACAAGACACCTTCTATCTGCCATGGCTCTTGACTACCCACACACAAGGGCATAAAGGGGTAAGAAGTTGAAACAGCTTTTGGAGTCAACTGTCCATATGCCTGCGAGTCGTGTCCCCTTTGGAGGGGTGGGGAATACTTTCCCCTTCACTCTGAGTCAAGAGAAAACCTTCACCCTTCGGTTTGTGGAGAACGAAAGAATAGACTGCTGCCTGATACATAGCTGAGTAGACTGGCTAGCTGGGGAGTTCCATAGCAAAGGAGAGTTTGCTCTTGCATTGGAGTTGGTCTCAAATTTTGTTGGAGCATGAATGGAACAGAGGTGGGCCACGTGCGACAAGGAGCTGGGGTAGTCGCATCTTAGACCCTGACCAAGATAAATCTCTGTAAGGGCCACATGCCTCAGCAGAAGGATGTGAAAAGAGCTTCTAAATGCCTGGGGATGAGGGCGGAGACTGTAGTAAGCTGAAATGGAGGTACTTTTATCCAGTGAAAGAAACCACAGGCAGAAGGTTTCTCCATGGGGGAGGTCGGTGCTACCTCTGAAGCGCCCTGTGGACTATTACCACAATGCCAGTTAAGTTAACACTCTGCTGCCCCCTTTATTTCTTTTCCCTCCCCACACTCTAATCATAAGGAATCCAAAACCTGGTTTGAAAGATACAGCAAAAGGTGTCAAAGTACATGGCAGGGAAAGAAAGAAGAAATCAAATAATATCTCCTTTTCTGACTGGGCTTTTAGCTTGCTGCTGGGCCAGACTGATGGGGAGGTGGGGGGAAATGAAGAAGGAAACCACTGCTTTAAAATAAGTACAGAGTTTTGATTATTACAGGCCACATTAATCACTGAGAGGAGGGCTTTTCTTTTTTCTCCTGAAAGTGACTCCGAGGGTTATAAAATGCGGACTAGGTTTCATGGAACATGAGGAACAATAGCCCAATACACTTAAAAGAAAAGTAAGTGATAAGGTTGATTTCTGTTTATTACATTATATACGTAGTGCTTATTTATTTAATTTTTATAATTATTAAATCATTACCTCAATTAATGTACATCACAATTAGTTATATAAATAGGCAAGAAAGCCACATTTAACCTTGTTTGATCAGTGCAAACACAAATATATACATATACCTATATATATTAGATTGCAAATACATGAAACTCATTTTTTGCTTGAATGACAAATGTTTCTTAACTATATACAATCTATTATTTGAGACATGGTGAAATATATGCGCATTTCAGAGAATATAATATCAATACAGCCAATTCCAAAATAAGTATTTTTTCATGTCAACTGGTCAATATTATTTGATTTTCTCGTATTATTCACCTCAGTTATAGAGAACAGATCCTCAATACACCAGTATATAATTGAGTTGGATACAAGATTTTAAAATTAATGTTATTTTATTAAGTTTATAAAGGTCATTGCAAGATTCATCATGCTTTCATCAGGGAAGAGTTCTGACTTAATACTGAATGTATTGGCATAAGCCATAAACAGTACTTAATTGAAAAAAGGATTTCCATAAAGACCATTCTAATCTATGGAGGATAGTACTAATTATAGTTCATAATTATGGTTCAACACACATCGGCATCAATTACCAGGAATCTGTCAGCCTTCTCAGCAAGGAACAGTCTTTTGTAAGCTCTGCCTTACAAAATTGGTTCTTGACAAGAATATACAAATGGGCAACATCTATAAAATTACTGGTGTATCCCATCAACTGTGCTAAGTGCTTTTAGTATTTTGTCATGTTCACAACAACTTTGACTAATCCTTAACACCAACATAAGTTAATATCAGTAGAATCCCTCTGCAGCAGGTACCACAGTTTGATAGTCCGTGCAAGGAATATGGTTGCTACTGAAATCGATTTGGAGAGTCAACCAATGAAACTTAATCTTTCTTATACCCATTTAGTACTTTTTAAAAAACCTCTATTATTGGAAATAGGACATCTGGCTTCATATGATACCAAATAGCGTATGATCCTCTATTCTCAACTACACTGACAGTCCATAAGGACAGATGTCTTGTCTTATTAGCAATAGTACTAATAATTACCATTTATTAAATTTGCATTAAGTACTAGTCAGTATACATCACACTTTGCATACATTATCGTATCCTACAATGATACTGTAAGGTAGTAAGTATTAGTCACATCTTAGAGATGAGGAAACTGAGGCTTGGAGAGTTTAGATGATATGTCTAAGTTCAAACAGTGAGTGATAGTCAGGATTGAAACAAGATCTGCCTAACTTCAAGGTCCATGCTCTAAACCACTTATCTCTTAAACCATGACCCAACATGCCATTCACGTCATACTTCTTCTAATGCCTCATACAATGTGTGGCCCATAACTGGATTATATTATTATCAATAGTAATGCCTTGTGTTTGTGGTATAAAGATCTAGAGTTTTCAAAGTACATTTCCTGATATACAGATCTGATAGTGCCAGAGTAGAGATATAAAATATGAATCACACATTATCCCAGACAACTTTTGAATGATTCAAGTAATTTATGAACGTATATATAAAAATTGAGCTTTTAGTGCTAAGCTTTAGGAAAAAGTTGGGTAGGAAAATATATAATATTTTCCCTCTTCTTCTTGTTCTTTTCATATTTACCAGCAGTAATGAAATAATTCTAATTTCTCAAATGGGAGATAATGAAATTACTGAAAACAGGTGAACACTTACTTTATATGAATATATAATTCTTCTGAGAACTTATATAACAGGAAGAATTAGATATTAAGATAATTAGGGAACATAAGGGAACAAGAAAAACTAGGAAAAAGAGGGGGAAATGAAGATAACATTTAAAGAGTTCTAGACACTGATTTAGATATCTTTATAATTTATTCCATAATGCCCTCACAAGAGATTTGCAACATAAATATTATCACCAGCTTAGAGATAATGAAAATAGTATCAGAGAGGTTAAATATCTTGTCCAAAATCATATCATTAATACATTCAGAGCTTATAACACTTAAGTGTGATTGAGTCCAAAATCCATGCCCTTTAAATGGCAATACGTTGCAAAATGCACAGACACATCTTATATTCTGCTTTATTCTTATTCACACTGAAGACGTTCTGTAAAGAAGCTCATAAGAACGTTTACATATTTGGCAAATAAAAAACACGTACTATCTAAACTATACCAATTATTAAAGAACCACAGTGGAAAAACAAAAAACAAAAACAACACAATTCTCAATTGTTCCCTTCTTATGGCTCACAGTTGTATATTAAACTCATTACAGTAAAAACATTTTGCAAGCAATAAACACTCAATTTTTGTTTAAAAAGGGCTTTAGGAGACATGACCTGACATACTGATTAAAATAGTGGGCGGGCGTGGTGGCTCACACCTGTAATCCCAGCACATTGAGGCCGAAGCTGGTAGATCACGAGGTTAGGAGTTCGAGACCAGCCTGGCCAAGACAGTGAAACCCTATCTCTACTAAAAATAAAAAAATTAGCCAGGCATGGTGGCGGGCACCTGCAATCCTAGCTACTTGGGAGGCCGAGGCAGGAGAATCGCTTGAACCCAGGAGGCGGAGGTTGCAGTGAGCCCAGATTGTGCCACTGCACTCTAGTCTGGGCAACAGAGCAAGACTCCATCTCAAAAAAAAAAAAAAAAAAAGTGTATGTTTTAACCCAACTACAGTACTTAAGAGCTTTAAGCTCTTTCAATTTTGAAAAAATATTTAATTTTGCTGCATCCTTCTTTCTCATGCAATCCTATTTATTTCAGCCTTATTCTACCCTGGATTTGTTTCACTTCAATAAATTCGGCATTTACAGTTTGAGAAATTATAGATAATTAATTACTCTCTGTCCCTCCAGATCAACTTAAATTATTACAGAAAATGGGATTCAAAATTTTTAATGTGCACTAGGGGAAAAAATCACATTGGTGGTAATTATTGGTAATTAAATGCTTTTAAAATTAGGAAGATAAATATAGTCCTATCCTGCCAGTCAAATTTCTCAGAGTCACAAAGGAAGAGACATGCAGAGATTGCTTAAAGGGATGGAAGTTCATTGTAAAGACACAGAGGAGTAGTCTGTGGAAGGAGAATGATTTTAACCACATGGTTGAGGCTGTAAGTATTGCAGGCTCCTGGGGAAGCAAGCTATTCTAGTTTAGCCAGAAGCTGGGTGACCCACTGCTTACTTAGCTCTTACTTTTCATTTACAAAGAGAGGAATATGCATGGGAACTGCATGTAATTGGTTAGATTTGGCACTAATTGGTAGAGTAGAGCTCTAGAGGGCAGTTTAGACCAGCTTTTCAGAGTTAGCCAAGTTCCCTTGTGCCAAATAAGTATATGGTTTCCTTCCAGTTTCAGGCTGGTCAATGTCAGTTTGAATGTATTACAGCTAGAGTCTCTCCTATGGCAGCATGGTGGAATCTAAATAACAGTTAAAGCAGAAGAGTATGAGGATAGGGGAGTAAGGGGTGAAAACGGGATAGATTGGTTCCATGTGCCTAAGAATACATTTGTGTAAATGAAAGGTGTTAGGAGAAAATTCTTCTTGAATTGCTCACATTTTTTTAAGTCTTGCAAGTAGAGGTACTTTGGTGCAGATGATGTTTTAAAAGATGTTTGCATTGTGAACGGCCTTGGAAGATGAAGACAGTGTCTCCTTTCAGAGCAATGGGCATGCATGCTTACTGTCCAGTATAAAGATTTACCTTCCCTATACTCAGGGTTCCTATCCTATAATGCAACTCACAGTACAAACAGGCGTCATCTGACCTTTTTCATGCCACACCCTCAGAATTGGGGTTTGGGGAGTTTTTATTGCCATGAGTAATAAGGCCATTTGCCTCTGTCCCAATACTCTGTGTCTTTTGTGCCAGTATTCATGAACCTGTGGCAAGCTACCTTGTTAGCTTTCAAGTAGAGTCAAGTCTTACACATGTCATAATTCTTGGCAGAAGATTCTGAGGATTAGTAAATGTTTTCATAAAATATTCATTTGCTCCTCAATTTATAAGCCAAACATCATGCAAGACCCTTCTAGACCAAGTCTAGAACAGAGGAATGGCTAAATACTTTGTTGTTATACAGAACAAGTTTCTTTATTTTTATTTTGGATTTCCAACTTTTAAGTTCAGGGATACATATGCAGGATGTGCAGGTTTGTTACATAGGTAGATGGTGGTTTGCTGCACAGATCATCCCATCACCTAGGTATTAAGACCAACATCTATTAGCTATTCTTCCTGATGCTCTCCCTCCCCCCCAACTCCAACAGGCTCGAGTGTGTGGTGTTCCCCTCCATGTGTTCATGTGTTCTCATAATTCAGCTCCCACTTATAAGTGAGAATATGTGGTATTTACTTTTCTGCAGAAAAAATTTCAAATGCTGATTTTGTCACTTATTCATTAAACCTTGACTTCCTTACCTATGAAATGTACATACCTTTTTAAAAATTTCTCTTGCATTATAAATTATGTACACAAACACCACATAGAATATCTGTCATATACTAGTCAATAAGTAAATACCTATTATTATCATTATAATTATTAGTAATAACAGAAATATGTATTAAAGATATGACACTCCAGTCCTACCTTAGATCAGTTTAGAGATGAATTTTCTTTTTCCTGCAACCGTGGTAACTTAATGCCACAACTATGGGAACAAGATTACAAATATACTTGTCTTTCCTCCTCCTTTTTCTTATATTCTATCTTTCTTTCCTTTCTACTAGGCCATTGTTGCAAATAAAAGTCTTTTAAATCAAGGGTTTCTCAACCTAAACTGACTTTTTAATATTTTTACTATTGCAGAGTTCCTAGCCTTTTTCAAAACTGGACTAAAGGATTGTACTCAAGGTGTCAAACTCATTTCTGGCATCCTAATAGTTGATTATAGCAAAACGAATTGTATCAGCCAGAGCAACTGTCCAAGTTGGTCACAAAGAAGACTTATGAGGCCAATTACATCATTTTTCATACCAGAATTTTTGTTATTTGCTTTCAACTCTGCTGCATGTATCTAGCTGTTTAAAAAATTGGTATGATCATCATTCATTTTTATAGCAACACTATATTTTGTATGTGTCATAATTTTTATGAATAAAAAAACCTTCACACATCAACATGAAAACAAATATTAAAAGCTTATTACAGGCTGTTATGTAAACACCTATTAACAGTGAGTTTTATTTAGAGATAAAGGTAATAAAAATTCTCAAACTAATAGTAGGGTGACTGAAGTAAAACTAAAACTATTTGCTTTATTTAAGTATTTCCACTCTCCTCCTTCTTCTTAGTCATTTGCTGCCCCTTGCCTAGAATACCTCTTTATTTCCTTTGTCAAAATTAGACCCATTCTTAAATGCTTAAATGGAGCCTTTTTTTTTTGCTGCTGTGACACCATGATACCTGAGCCCAGCTAAAAATGTCATTTCTGCTTTCTTTATAAACCTATTACACATTTGACCTTCTCAAGCAATTAATCATATACTTCCTTATAATTAGTTGTAGATTTATCATATCTCTGTTACATTGTAAATCACCTTGACATCCAGGTTTGTAGTTTAATTATGTTTTATGACTTGGAGTATCATGGAGTCAACAGCACTCATAGAGTGCCTCCTAAATGAAGAGCATTATGTCATAAACAAATAAAGCACAGGTATCCACAACTAGTAATGATATTTATAGCTAATCTTGATCAAGCGTTTACTTTGAGCCAGGCATTGCGGTAAGTGCTTTACTGGCATTTTCATTTGATATTCACAACAACCTCCTGAAATTATCAACATTATTATTCTCATTTTAGAGTTAGAGAAGCAGAGGCCTAGCATGGGTAAGTAATTTCCCCAAAGTCATATAGCAATATAAAGTCAGGTTAGGAATACATGCCATTAAGATCCTCTGTGAAAAAACAAAACGTAAGAATATAGACATCATTGGAAATTTACCACCATGCTTATTTAAGAAGAAAGTGTTAAGGAATGTTTCCAGTCAATTGAATATTCTGTAATTACATGAATGATAAATGCAAACTTTTACTTAGTGATTCACTTGACAAAAAGCTTTCATTATTGCTTTGATACCTAAAAATATAATTTTTAAAATCACAAATTACTCACGATCATTTAGAAGGTGTTACTGAAAGTGATAAAGATGGCAGGTTTTTAACACTGTACAATTTACTCTGTGAATGCTTTATTAGACTTCTATGGAATAACAGAAATCATCATGGCTTTAGGAACAACACAGTACATCTCATATAGACTCACAAAATTGTCTTCTATGACAAGTCCAGTGTACTAATAGGAATTGATTTATTTAATTTGTTTTGACTTGAGAACATTATTTTACTTGTGCTTTCACAAAATGCTCATCAAGAAATCCGGGGAAAAAAGAATAGGAACACAGTCTCAATGAAGAATACATAATGTGGGTGGGTGCGGTGGCTCATGCTTGCAATCCTAGCACTTTGGGAAGCCGAGGCAGGCAGATGACTTGAGGTCAGGAGTTCGAGACCAGCCTGGCCAACATGGTGAAACCCCATCTCTACTAAAAATACAAAAAGTAGCCATGTGTGGTGGCATGAGCCTGTAGGCCCAGCTACTCAGGAGTCCGAGGCAGGAGAATCACTTGAATCCGGGAGGCAGAGGTTGCAGTGAGCCCAGATCAAGCCTCTGTGCTCCAGCCTGGGCGACAGAGATAGTCTCTGTCTCAAAAAAGAAAACAAACAAACATACAAAAATACATAATTTAAGTGGCTCAATGGCATTCTACAGGGGCATGTTAAGTGATGCGTTGAAGAAAACAAACCTTGGCTGGATAATAATTTAAATATCATTTCTTACAGCTGAAATCAATGTATAATTTTCATCAAATGTCATATGTCCTCAGGTGAGCACTGGTTAATTTAATTCACTCATCAAGCCTTTATTAGGCACCCTACTACTCTCTGAAATACTATATTCGTTGCTGGGAACACAGAGACTAATAAAACATCATTCCTGCCACCTAGGCACTCATGGGCTAGAAATGAGAAATGGAAACGCAAACAAGTCAGGATGACGGTGTATATTTTATAATAGAAATATGTGTATATTTTATAATAGAAGTATATACACGTTGAAATGGGTTCCTAAAGAAGAACATGGTCAGTTCTAACTAGAGGAATAACACAAAGCTTCTTTGAGCAAACGTCCTAAAAACAAGAAAAAGTTTTGTTTTGTTTTTAAAAAAAGGGGGGCTGGACACGGTGGCCCACTCCTGTAATCCCACCAATTTGGAAGGCCGAGAAGGGCAGATCATCTGAGGTCAGGAGTTCGAGACCGGCCTGACCAACATGGTGAAAACCCATTTCTACTAAAAATACAAAAATCAGCTGGGCCTGGTGGCACATGCCTGTAATCCCAGCTACTTGGGAGGCTGAGGCAGGAGAATCGCTTGAACCCGGGAGGCAGAAGTTGCAGTGAGCTGAGATCGTGCCATTGCACTCTGGCCTGGGCAACATGAGCAAAATTCTGTTTCAAAATAAGTAAATAAAATAAAATAAAATAGGGAATGGGAGTGAAGAGGAGAGAGGAGGGCATCTCATTCAGTAGGAAAAGTTTGAACAAAGAGCCAGAGGCAAGAAAATAATCTCATCTGTACTGGGGATGACAGTTTGTACCACAGGGTATAGAGATGAGTATGTGATGAGGGAGATGACTGAAAAGGCAATCAAGATGTAGATCATGGAGGGGTTTGTCAGTCAAAGTCACCTGCTTGCACTTTATTCCACAGAAACATAGGAGACCATAAGGATGCTTAGGCAGAGAAATAACAGGATTTAGGTTTGACAAAAAATGTTTGAACAATCAAATGGTGGGGGGCTGGATTGGAGGGATGCAAGTTTGAAGAATGGGAAAATTCTAGAAAGCTATATTGATTCAGATGGGAGATGATCAGAGCGAACTCAGTCAGCATCTGCAGGGATGGAGAAGAGGGAAAAAATCAGAGTAGTACATCTCCACAGGAAACAGTATAGAAATATTTGGTTTCTTTTTTTGACGTCACATTCATTGGAAGACAATACTGGCCTTAAGTACTTGGGACATGAATTAATCTCCTATTGCTGCTGTAAACAAGTAACCAAAACTTAGTGCCTTAAAACTACAAAAATTTATTATATTTCTGGAAGTGAGAAGTCTAAAATGGGTAAGCAGGAATGCTTTCCTTCTGGAGGCTCTAAGGAAGAATCCCTTCTGTTTGCCTTTTTCAGCTTCTAAAGGCTGCCTATATTCCTTGTCTCATGGTCCCGCATCACTTCAAATTCTGCTTCTATCTCATCCTCTCTGACTCTAACTCTCCTGCCTCCCTCTTATAAAGACCCTGTGAATACACTGAGTCCACCTGGATAATCTAGGGCAATCTCCCCATCTCAAGATCTTTATTTAATCATATCTGCAAAGTTCCTTTTGCCATGTATGCTAACATATTCACAGGTTCCAAAAATCAGGATATGAATGTCTTTGGGAAGGCCATTATTGTGCCTACCACAGGGCACATATGTTACAAGTTTTGTCATATGCTGGCCGTTACCAAATGACAAAACAATGTTTCACAATTTTTGTGACTTTGGGATGCCTCTTTAGACATTGACAAAGGTGAAAAAAAAAAAAAACTAAGTACATGAGCGTGTAATTTAACTCCACGTAATATAAACATGTAAAATCTTTTTTCAAAGTTTAATGTAATTGATTTCTCTAGCAATTCAACTATGTGCAATCCAAAGGAAGATTTTGGTTTGTTTTCTTTGCAATTTTACAAAGGCTTTTTTACCATTTTAGAAAATCAAATCACCTTAGCTCTGCCACTTCTGGAATGCAGTCATTAGTGCTACACACCTGTCTGCAAATCAACCAACACAAAACTTATTTTTTCCTTTGGATGCTACAGAATGGAAAAGCCCAGGAGTTAGTCTAGTAAAGCAGAGTGCCAGATTCAGTTTTTCTGTTTCCATAAGAATTGTGGGGTTTTATGAAGGCTTCATTACATAGGCATGATTGATTAAATCACTGGCTATCAGTGATCAAGTCAACCTTCAGCCCTTCTCCTCTACCAGAGGTCAGGGAAGGCATGGGGTGGGGGGGGGCAAGGCTAAAAGTTCCAACTCTCTAATAACATGGTTGGTTCCCCTGGCAACCGCCCTCCATCTTAAAGCTATCTAAGAGGCCAGAGCCATCAGTCATCTCATTATTACACACAAAGACACTATTTTGGAGATTCCATGGGCTTTAGCAGTTGTTTGCCAAGAAATGGAGAAAAAGACCAAATACATACTTACTATAAATGACAATATTTCAATGACTTAGAGATTATTTATTATTAGTGCTTATGAGTCTAGATGAATTGTAAAAATGAACGTAAATGGTCTTCAGTTGCATCTGCTTTATTATGATAATTTAAAAAGGAGCATTTCTTGAAAATCTGAAACATGGATAAAGTTGAATTAGCAGTTATATAAATATAATTGCCATCCTTTATTTTATGCAATTTTGAGAGCAATCACTCCACTAGAATATAAATACCACAGGGGCATAATTTTTGGTATGTTTGGTTCACTGCTGTATCTCTAAAAAAGAGTATGTGGTACATAGTAGGAATTCTAGAATTGTTCCTTGACTGAATTAGTCAGTGAATGCTTCTACCTAATTCTTTCTAAAGTTTGCCCCATCAGTGAACTTTAGCTGAAATGATCAAGGTATTCAAAGTACAAGGAAGAGGTCAGATGCTTAACATAATGTATTTCAAACAGTAATACCTAGACTATTAGCATGTAAAAAATTATAGGTTTAGATGCTGAATCATAATGTTCTTATGGTCAAAAGATTTATTCAGAGCTCCATGGAGACCTAACAGTGCTATTTTGCAAATAGGAGTAGTGAGAATATAGTATTAAATAGCTGAGAATACTAATAAGTAATTATTAATGAACACATGGTGTGCTAAAAACCTTCCAAGTACTATATTATATAATCCTCATCAGAAACCTAGGATGAGACTATTATTGTTTTCACTACAGATGAGAAAATTGAGACTAAAAGAGGCCAGGTAAACTCCTCCAGGTCACATGTTAGCAACTCAGTCAGATCACATGTTCCTTAAACTCTTTCTTTGGGAATTTTAAATAGTTCACACAGTGGAAAGACAATATAGAAGGTTTTATTTTAAAGTAATTATATTTATCAAAAGAAGGAAACACAAAAGCATGGATGCATTTTCCAAGAATCAATTCAACTCTCACCACCCCTCCGTTTCTTTGTTTCACAGAAACAATTTGATATATACACAGACATACTTGAGCATGTATTGCACACACATGTACATACAGATAAAGATACAGGAATCTAAAACGTCACTGTAATGTTTACATTCTTAGCAATGTAGCAAAGTATGAAAAAGGAATTATGTTTGGATTAGGTCATGAGGATCAACTGATAGAGCACAAGATTTGGAATTAAGGGAATAGCCTAATGGAGGTTCCACTATTTTTTCAAAAAACAAAAATAATTGAGTTTCTGGCCAGATGTGGTGGCTCACATCTGTAATCCCACCATTTCGGGAGGCCAAGGTGGGCAGATCACCTGAGGTCAGGAGTTTGAGACCAGCCTGGCCAACACGGTGAAACCCCGTCTCTACTAAAAATACAAAAATCAGCCAGGTGTGGTGGTGGGTGCCTGTAATCCCAGCTACTTGGGAGGTTGAGGCAGGAGAATTGCTTGAACCCGGGAGGTGGAGGTTGCAGTTAGCCAAGACAGCACCATTGCACTCCAGCCTGGGCAACGACAGCAAAACTCCATCTCAAAAAATAATAATAATAATAATAATGAGTTTCTTCTTGAAAATAGAGAAGTACTTGAGTCTTACTAATCTCAAAAGGATGAAAAAGGATTAAAAATATTTAATAATAAATATTCGTTATATCTGCAGGTTTTCAGAGGTGCTTTATATAAAACATTGTTCCTCAATTTTTTTTTTTGACAGTAGTTCTCATTGCACTGACAACCATCCTTATATGTGATGCTATCCAATGTAACATGGCTTATTCAATGAGATGATCAACAAAGGGCCTGAAATACAAGGATTAGTGAAATCTTGAGAGAGAGAGAGAGATTGATTTGTTGTTAATTTGATCAATAAGCCTAAAGTAGATTTTTTTTTCATTTCCTTCAAAGATTATGAAACCTTCTTCTGGGCCAGTAGTGCTCACGAGTAGATTACCCATTCCACTCATTCACAAACCCACACCTGGAAAACTTAGAAATGCAAATTTCTGTGCCCCACCCAACTTTCTGAATCGGATACTTTTGTCTTTTAGCAAGCCCTCCAGGTAATTCCAGTGCAAACTAAAATTTGAGAACCACTGTTCTAGTCAGCAGTGAGGTAGGAACTGTCCTTTCATGTACTCTTATAAGGACTCAATACTCAAAACCAATAAGAGAATATCACTTATGTTTTGGGGTTGTACAAAAAAATTAAAAGTCACAGCAGAGCCTATTCAAACTCAGCATGCGTTCAGTAATAATGTTGATTACCAAAGCTTTACTTAGAGTTCCTTTTCTGAGTCAGACTTTATAAGAACCATTGTGACTGCACCAGGCCCACCCAGATAATCCAGGATCATATCCCATCCCCTAACATTTAATTTAATCACATCTACAGTCTTTTCTTTTTTTGCCATACTAGGTAACATAGCTCCAGCTATAAACACATGAACATCTCTGGGGAGTCATTATTCTAACTACCACACTAGCTATCCTAGAATACACAAATATAAAACTTGAACTGGTTGAGAAGGATTTTTTATTGCCAAATCATGAGTGAACTCCCATTCACAATTGCTACAAAGAGAATAAAATACCTAGGAATCCAACTTACAAGGGATGTGAAGGACCTCTTCAAGGAGAACTACAAACCACTGCTCAATGAAATAAAAGGGGACACAAACAAATGGAAGAACATTCCATGCTCATGGGTAGGAAGAATCAATATCGTGAAAATGGCCATACTGCCCAAGGTAATTTATAGATTCAATGCCATTCCCATCAAGCTACCAATGACTTCCTTCACAGAATTGGAAAAAACTACTTTAAAGTTCATATGGAACCAAAAAAGAGCCAGCATTGCCAAGACAATCCTAAGCCAAAAGAACAAAGCTGGAGGCATCACACTACCTGACTTCAAACTATACTACAAGGCTACAGTAACCAAAACAGGATGGTACTGGTATCAAAACAGAGATATAGACCAATGGAACAGAACAGAGCCCTCAGAAATAATTCCACACATCTACAACCATCTGATCTTTGACAAACCTGACAAAAACAAGCAATGGGGAAAGGATTCCCTATTTAATAAATGGTGCTGGGAAAACTGGCTAGCCATATGTAGAAAGCTGAAACTGGATCCCTTCCTTACACCTTTTACAAAAATTAATTCAAGATGGATTAAAGACATAAATGTTAGACCTAAAACCATAAAAACCCTAGAAGAAAACCTAGGCAATACCATTCAGGACATAGGCATGGGCAAGGACTTCATGACTGAAACACCAAAAGCAATGGCAACAAAAGGCAAAATTGACAAATGGGATCTAATTAAACTAAAGAGCTTCTGCACAGCAAAACAAACTACCATCAGAGTGAACAGGCAACATACAGAATGGGAGAAAACTTTTGTAATCTACCTATCTGACAAAGGGCTAATATCTAGAATCTATAAAGAACTTGAACAAATTTTCAAGAAAAAAATCAAACAACCCCATCCAAAAGTGGGCGAAGGATATGAACAGACACTTCTCAAAAGAAGACATTTATGCAGCCAATAGACACATGACAAAATGCTCATCATCACTGGTCATCACAGAAATGCAAATCAAAACCACAATGAGATACCATTTCACACCAGTTAGAATGGTGATCATTCAAAAGTCAGAAAACAACAGATGCTGGAGAGGATGTGGAGAAAAAGGAATGCTTTTACACTGTTGGTGGGTGTGTAAATTAGTTCAACCATTGTGAAAGACAGTGTGGCGATTCCTCAGGGATCTAGAACTAGAAATACCATTTGACCCAGCCATCCCATTACTGAGTATATACCCAAAGGATTATAAATCATGCTACTATAAAGACACATGCACACGTACGTTTATTACAACACTATTCACAATAGCAAAGACTTGGAACCAACTCAAATGTCCATCAATGATAGACTGGATTAAGAAAATGTGGCACATATACACCATGGAATACTATGCAGCCATAAAAAAGGATGAATTCATGTCCTTTGCAGGGACATAGATGAAGCTGGAAACCATCATTCTGAGCAAACTATCACAAGGACAGAAAACCAAACACGACATATTCTCACTCATAAGTGGGAACTGAACAATGAGAACACTTGGATACAGGGAGGGGAACATCACACACCGGGCCTGTCATGGGGTCGGGGGCTGGGGGAGGGATAGCATTAGGAGAAATACCTAATGTAAGTGATGAGTTGATGGGTGCAGCAAACCAACATGGCACATGTATACCTATGTAACAAACCTGCACGTTGTGCACATGTACCCTAGAACTTAAAGTATAATAATAGAAAATTAATTTAAACAATACAGTACCTTAAACAATACTTTTATTGTAAATGTTGTATTTTATGCAAATGTACTTATATGTATACACAGTGATTCTTATAAGAAAACCAAGTATATTTCAAATGAAATTAACCACTCTGCCCTAGAAAAGAACAGAAGCATTTTGTGCCAATTTTTCATAAAATAAAATAGGTCTATTCAGCTGGAGACAGCAATCGAATTTTTGGGAGAAGTTCAGTGTAACTACAGTGAGAAAAAATAGTTCATTAAGAGTATAATTGTGAATGTAATGATCAGATGATTCAATACATCTTCAAAATGAGCCAATAAAACAAGTGATTAAAGCAAAACTGGTCTGTTCTTTCTCAGAGAAAAAGAAAGGCATCCCCCCTGCTCCATCATCAACAATGTATTATGGTATGTCCTCTAATGGGCAGAACTGCTTCTCCCTTATTTGTTTCTTCTCCACTGAAGCAGAATTCAGCTCAGTTGACTATACAGTCATCTCCCTTTATAGGAGAAGGGAGATGAACACTACTTGACAGATCCCCAGTTCCTCTGGGGCCAGCCTTCAATTGAGTTGTAAGGGAAATGAGAATGCTGAGAAGACTGATGAGTCAGGAAGTATCACGACCATTATAACCAAAATATCCAAATCCCCAGAACAAAACGTTGGGTAAATTTAGAGTCTTGAAATCAAATGCTTTCTGGTTTTTGTCAACCTCATTTGAATCACGGTCCAATCTCCCTCTGCTTGTCAATAACAAGAAATCTTCAGGAAAAGATTGGTAAATGGCATTGAGGATTTTAGTGGGGAAGGGGGCACAATACAGCAGAAAGGGGACACATTTTCAAACTAATACCCATTCATCATACAGAAAGTCTATTCACCACAAACAGAATTGTATCGTATTGTCTTTGTAAGTCCAGAAATGACCATCAGACGTAAGTATGGATCCCTTAAGTTGCTAGAGAGGAAAAAAATCGAATGAAACAAATGTTCCTCTTTCAACAATCCCCATAAAATTTCAAGATTTTTCCTTGTAAATTTTCTAAAGGTAACCATCCATAGTAAGTGCATTTATAAAACAGTTGAGGAATTCCTTTGAAGTTGCTTTTTTTGTTTGTTTCAAATTTGCTTATGAGAAACTCGGACAAGGGTTCTCAAAGTGTGGTTCCTAGACCAGCAGCATCAACATCACCTAGAAACCTGTCAAAAAAGCGAAGTACCCACTTTGGGAGGCCTACATGGGTGGATGGATCATGAGGTCAGGAGATTGAGACCATCCTGGCTAACACGGTGAAACCCCGTCTCTACTAAAAAAATACAAAAAAAAAAAAAAATTAGCCAGGCGTGGTGGTGGGCGCCTGTGGTCCCAGCTACTCAGGCGGCTGAGGCAGGAGAATGGCGTGAACCCGGGAGGTGGAGCTTGTAGTGAGCCGAGATCGCACCACTGCACTTCAGCCTGGGCGGCAGAGCAAGACTCCGTATCAAAAAGAAAAAAAAAAAAAAAAAAAAGCAAATTACCAAACTCTACCCCAGACCTACGGTATCAGAAACTCCAGGGCTGAGGCCTAACAAGTTGTGTATAACCAGCTCCCTAGCTAATTCTGATGCAGGCTAAAGTTTTAGCACTACTAAGCTAGAGTAAATAAAAGCATCATATTGGGCAGTATACTATTTCAAGAAAAATGTAAATTTTCCCATTTCTACATGGAATATACACTGGAATCTTTTTTTTTTTTTTTTTTTTTTTTTGAGACAGAGTCTCACTCTGTTGCCCAGGCTGGAGTGCAGTGGCATGATCTTGGCTCAATGCAACCTCTACCTCCTGGGTTCAAGCAATTCTCCTGCCTCAGCCTCACGAGTAGCTGGGATTACAGGTGAGTGCCACCACACTCGGCTAATTTTTTATATTTTTGGTAGAGAAGGGGTTTTGTCATGTTGGCCAGGCTGGTCTCAAATTCCTGACCTCATGATCCTCCCGCCTCGGCCTCCCAAAGTGCTGAGATTACAAGTGTGAGCCACCACACCCAGCTTGGAATCTTATTTTTAAAAGCTACTCCATGTCGTTTCTAAATCCTCGCAATTCTCATTTTTCTATTTCTTCTTCTGCATGGAAAACTCCAGAGGGCAGTATGTGGCATTTTCAAATACTGAATTGCATTTTACTTTTACTTATAGCTACTAAGCTTAAGAAATAATAAACTGATTAATCTCAGCCCATGTATAACTCACTTCATTGGCTTTCCAAGGCCCTTGAGCATATATTTTATGTGACAAGTGCTTTGCAATAAGGCAGTGGAAAAAAATAAACAAATCTCAATTCAAAACATAAATAAGTAGTGACTTGTCACTATAACAAAAGGATGACCATCATTTTTCTTTAAAGATTATGCTAGAGTATTTTAAACACATTATGACAACCAATATCCATTTTGAGCGTGAGGTTTTTACTTGGTATACAAAGTTAAGACTCCTGGATCCTTTCTTTTTTTCTATTTTTCTCTTTTTTTTTTTTTTTTTTTTTGAGACGGAGTCTCACACTGTTGCCCAGGCTGGAGTGCAGTGCCGCAATCTCAGCTCACTGCAAGCTCCGCCTCCCGGGTTCACGCCATTCCCCTGCCTCAGCCTCCCAAGTAGCTGGGACTACAGGTGCCCGCCACCACGCCCGGCTAATTTTTTGTATTTTTAGTAGAGACGGGGTTTCACTGTGTTAGCCAGTATGGTGTCGATCCCCTGACCTCGTGATCCACCCACCTTGGCCTCCCAAAGTTGCTGGGATTGCAGGCGTGAGCCAGCACGCCAGGTCTCCTGGATCTTTTTGTGCCTCCTTTTTCTTACTATAGAACTTTATCCACTGAAGTTAGTAAACAAACCCACCGCAATTTAAATAAATCAACCTTTATGCTTTTTAATGAGAGTTTTTTTTCTGTACTTTACTGGAATAGCAATTCCTATATCATTAAACCCCATTGGTTTTTACTATAAATCTACTTCTGAATTTTCTGTGTTTTATGCGATAACAAATATTACATAAAACTATTAACCACTGGTCATCTCTCCATGAAGTTTACATTTGATATGTACTATTACTTAGCTGTGTCTTCATAAGCAAGACAATGTAACCTAAACATCACATGCATTTTGCAATAACACCTTAATATATTTCATTTTTCTATTTGATATATTTTCCTTTATGGCTCCGAGTCACGGCACAAGTGATGGGTTACCATCAGCCAAGCCAGAACAATTTAGTAAATCTTTGTCTGAAATTATGTCTCTTGAAAATCAGCAATTTTTCTGCACATTCATCTTCCTACTTCCATGCAAATCATCTCATATCAATACACTGTCAACTACTTTAAACTTGTTGACTGTGGCGGGCGTGGTGGCTCACACCTGTAATCCCAGCACTTTGGGAGGCTGAGGCAGGCTGATCACCTGAGGTTGGGAGTTCGAGACCAGCCTGACCAACATGGAGAAACCCCGTCTCTACCAGAAATACAAAATTCGCAGGGCATGGTGGCTGGCTCATGCCTGTAATCCCAGCTACTCGGGAGGCTGAGGCAGGAGAATCCCTTGAACCCAGGAGGTGGAGGGTGTAGTGAGCCGAGATCGTTCCATTGCACTCTAGCCTGGGCAACAAGAGTGAAACTCCGTCTCAAAAAAAAAAAAGCATCTTGTTGATTGTTCATTTTTATAAATCCATATGCTTATGTTGACCTTTTAATACATATATGGAAGCATTATGCGGCTTATATTGAAGATTTTTGAGTCATCTTTTGGCAAAGTTTCACACATATCATCCAGACAGTTTCATATTCTTTTATGCTTTATTTTTGCTTTTCCCTATCTGCGTCTTCTACATTTTACCTTTTAGGTTTCCTCTTACTCTATGGAAGTAGCATATGCCATGCTAATTCTGAATTTGCGGGATATCTCTTCACAACCAATTTCCTCTTATAACTTGTAAATGATCATTGAAGTAGCCTCAGCTTCCAGGTTGCTTGAGCTAACTTACAATAATAGAGTGGCCCTGTAATCACCATTAGCAATGATAAGGAAAGTACTTACAGAACAGTCAAAATGAGACTTTACTTAGAGTAGCTGCTGGACCACAAAGGTATGAATTTTCTGTTCCTTTCATAATGCAGAACACTAGTAAACCATAGAGTAGCTATCTATTCATTGTCATTAACAATATAAACAATTATCTGATATTATTTTTAGTTTATTAAATCAGTGATACTAGAAATTGCACCAAAAAGTATTTCCCATATGTGGAGATTCCTAAAACAGCTTTCTTGATAATACTTTATTTAAGTGTTTATTTTTTTATTAGCTGTTTTTCAATCCAAAAATAATACTGATTTTGTACAAGGCATCTGAATAAAATCATCCGCCTACCTACAATCCATTAGCACTGTTTTGTAAGTATGTTCCTTGGACCTCCTAAATCACAATCTCTCAGGAAGTGACTCAGGCATACGTATTCAAAATAATTACGCAGGGGATTATCAAGTACACTGGGATCTGAGAACCACCACTTTACTGGAATAAAAACAACCATAATTTGGTTGCCTTGGGTGGGTTTAGCAGCAAGTCCAAGACCTCTCTGTTCTGTAAGAGACATGACATCCATGAAAAGACAACAGTCTCCCTGCTCAGCTTGTGGTCAGATAAATGATCCCATGCCAAATTCACCAGTTTTTCTTTCAGTGCCTCCTCTTCCCATCCTGATTCTCCAATGTTTAATGAATTGCTGAAGAAAGTTATCCAATGAGACTCTCATGACTCGAATGATTCTTATTATGATTCCCCAAAGTCTTCCGGCTTGTCAATGTTTAATCACACAAGACTCATTAAACTTCATTAGACCTATCTGATGAGGGCTCTCTCCTCAAAACTTTTGCTTCCCTGCTGCAAACACTAATGTATGGTATTAAATGCCAGATATGGACTTGATAGATTTTCAGAATGCATTAGAATCACCTGGAGGGCATGTTAATTGTATTGTATTAGCAATTTTTGTTAAGTAAGTAGATTTTTGTGGTTCTTGTCACATATAAACAAGCTACACCAAGACAATAGCTTTCCTAATTTGCTTCACTAGAGTAACTGTCTATATGTAACCCAAAACATTACGTTGTAAGCCTCAAATATATACAATAAAATTGATTTAAAAAAATAGGTTGCTGGGCTCCAACTCCTGAGTTTCTGATTCACTATGTCTTGAACAGGGACCAGAAATTTGCATCTCTAGGTTCCTGGGTGATGCTACTAGTGTTCAAGGAACCACACGTTGAGAACCAATGCCATAAGCAATGAACTGAAAACCACATATGTATTCTAGGATCATACAATTGCTTTCACGAACAAATTCAATTACTGAGATTTAGCTATACCTATAGAGTATTAAAAAACCTTTAAATTAGAAAAACTTCAGTTCACAGCTAACTTAACCTTTTGAAAAGAAAAATGTAGTAATTTTCTTGATGCTGAAAGAAACTGCATGTGTGCTACTAAGCAGAATTTGGTCAAGCCAGTTTAATGGTTCAAAATACCTTGGGTTATTAAAGACATCTTGAGGTTATTATTGGCAAAATGGGTCATTATTTTCAATTTGGTAAGAAGCTTAGAACAAATTGAAAACCACTATTTGAACACAAATTCATTCTCTCAGTTAAGAAGCCCTATTTTACCCATTAAAAAACCACAATAAACATTCAAATGCATGGAGTGTTATGCTGAAAGCAAAATGTCCCTTTTTTTTTTCTTTCCCTCCATTTGCTATTTGTACTGACATTTAGAAACATAGACATGATATTTAGTTTTGCTCTCAGATAATTATTTTTCTATGTCTACAGCCTTAATTTTGCATGCCTAATAAATTACTGATTGAACACTGTATCTCCCAAATGTTAACTAACTTTACTTCTATTTATATATTTCATAATTCTTGATAATTCTATAGCTATAATCTTTATCTTCAGCCTGTTTTGAGAAATATCTTTTGCCTTATAAAGTGTTACTTTTTTACATTTAATCATACTCACATAGAGACAATAGAATTAATATCAACTAAGCGTTTTATATTAGTTAGATGCTGTGGTACATGACTCATGTTTGAATTTATTCAATAATGACAACACCATCCTCACCACTTCCTGGGAAAGTAGGAAATCTAACACCGATTTTATGGGTGAAAAAAATTGAGGACCAGAGTAGTTCAGGTCATTCACACAGACCTGCATTTTAATTCTGGTGTCTGTGCCCTTTCAATTTTACCCTATGACTTAAAAACAATTGGTATGACCGGGCACAGTGGCTCACGCCTGTAATCCCAGCACTTTGGGAGGCTGAATCACCTGAGGTCAGGAGTTCAAGGCCAGCCTGACCAATATGGTGAAACCCTGTCTCTACTAAAGATACAAAAATTAGCCGGGCATGGTGGTGGGCATCTGTAATCCCAGCTACTCGGGAGGCTGAGGCAGGAGAATTGCTTGAACCTGGGAGGTGGAGGTTGCAGTGAGCCGAGATCGTGCCACTGTACTCCAGCTTGGGCGACAGAGTGAGACTCCATCTCAAAAACAAAACAAAACAAAATCCCACAACACTGGGTGCAACATTCAGTAACAGAAAGTAAACCACCATCCATATAAAATTCAAATCATGGTCATAGTTCATTAAATATAATTATTCACTCTTAATAATCACCACATTGTTATGTTCTTAAAACATCTAATACAATAATGGAGGGAGGCACAGAATACTTTTAACAGCATTTTGCTGAAGTTATCGGAGTTCAAGTAAAAATAAAATATATATTTCTAACACCAAAAGTTATTATATGGTCATATTAACTTCAAAGAAATTTTATCGAGGGGTTGGAATGTTATGCATTTTTCTTCATAATTTATGGTGACTTTTCAATTTGGTTTCTCAAATTGCAATAAATAATATACTAATCACTTCTACATATACGTTGAATATTCACTAAACATATTTCCCATTTTTCTAGTAAAGGAGACATCCAACCTATTCATAAAACAAAACTGACAAGGTTTGTATTATCTGAAATCATAGTTATATTGAATTTCTAAACTAAGAAAGAGAAACAGAAAAACAGGTTGCAAGTCATCTCAAATACTCGCCTTCATCTTCATATATAGTTTTTGTCAAATTTTCATAGTAATCCCTAAAGACATGTTCATTCTCTGTCTTTTTGATGAATAATAAGATTCATAGGTTATATCTACTATTTTTCCTTCAGATAAAGAAAGTCATGTGAAGAATGAATAAAGAAAAATCCAAGAAGTATTGGCTGTTTTCAGATGGGCACAGATTTATAAAGAAAGTGATTTCTACATGAATTGAAAGGGGAATTCTCTAGCAACTTGACTAGGTAAAGGAAAAAGATCATTGTTGATATAAAAGGGAACAATATAGATAATGTAAAAGGTTTTAGTTTCATCTAAGAATTGGCATTATCAAATAACTTGTTGACTTATTTGTAATCTGTGTAGACATCTATTCTATCACTAATGCTGGGGTACAAATTTAGTACATTCCTTATAGAATTTTTACTTTTTTGTAAGGTATTTGCTTCAGGTTCCATGGGAAATGTGGATTGAAATGCAATCAGGTACATAAAAATTATTCTCAAGAGTAATTTCTATTGTGTATTTTATAATTAAATATTATTATAGGGACAAAGTTTCAAAGTAACATTTGATTTTTCCATGAACCACATATAGATATTAAATCTAATTATTTTATTACATATTTTCTTATCCTTTATTGCTTAATTTAAATATGTAAAATTCCATTAGTGAAACTTTGGGACCACTGATAACATTTTCAGGTTAATGATCCAGTTTATTTATTTAGTTTCCAAATAACAAAGAGATTTGGTAGTTATTTTCATTAAAAGTTAAGGGGAGGCAACGATGAATACTCTTTAAGAAATCATGGTAAGAATCATTAAATTAGATCCTACCAGGTAGTTTGAAATTGCTTTTAAAACTAAATGACCATATATTTTTGGAGTCACTGAAGATTTTTATATTTTTTTATCTGATGCATGTTTCTGTCATTTTTTTCATATGAGATTTTGGCTATAATTGTACTTAAGGAAGTCTTGAGACCCTAATTTACAGAAAGCAGGAAAATAAATACAGCTGCCATAATATTATCATAATAGATGACACTTTTTGTTTAAAACACAATGATGCCACAAAATCAGAGTAAAATAACTTCTATAGTGAGGCAGTGACTGTATAGGTTAAGGCAATGCCTAAAGAATTTACCTTATATATTGTTGGTGGGAATGTAAATTAGAATAGCCATTATGGAAAACAGTATGGAGTTTCCTCAAAAAAATAAAAATAGAACTTCCATATGATCCAGCAATCCCATTACTAGATATATATCCAAAGGAAATGAAATCAGTATGTCAAAGAGACATATGCACACCCATGTTTATTGCAGCACTATTCACAGTAGCCAAGATATAGAATCAACATAAATGCCCATTTACAAATGAAGAAAATGTGATATATATCACATTTATTAATATATCACATTTATCATATATATTCATATATATGAAAATATATATACAATTGTACATATGAATATATATACAATTGTACATATGAATATATATATACAATTGTACATATGAATATATATACAATTGTACATATGAATATATATATACAATTGTACATATGAATATACATATACAATTGTACATATGAATATACATATACAATTGTACATATGAATATATATATACAATTGTACATATGAATATATATATACAATTGTACATATGAATATATATATACAATTGTACATATGAATATATATATACAATTGTACATATGAATATATATATACAATTGTACATATGAATATATATACAATATATATACAATACATATACAATACATATACAATAGATGTATATATATGAATATAAATATACAATTGTATATATGAATATATATATACAATTGTGTGTGTATATATATATATATACAATTGAATACTATTCAGCCATAAAACAGAATGAAATCTTGTTATTTCAACAACATGGATGAACCTGGAGGATATTATGTTAAATGAAATAAGCCAGGTTCAGAAAGAAAAACACTGCATGATCTCACTCCTATGTGGAACCTAAAAAAGTTGATTTTATATAAGTAGAGAGTAGAATAGTAGTTAGCAAACATTGGTGAGGGTATGTGGGAGGGGGTTCTTGGGAAAGGTTATTAGTCAATTGGTACAAAATTAGTTAGACAGGAAAGAATAAGTTTTGCTATTCTATTACACACTAGGGTGACTATAGCAAATAACAATGTAATATATATTTCAAGACAGATAGAAGTGAAGATTTTGAATGCTGTCACCAAAAAGAAATGATAAATGTCTAAATTGGTGTATATAATTACCCTGATTTTATCCTCATACTATGTATACATGCACTGAAACATCATATTGTACCCCAATATTTAAATTATTATGTGTTAAGTATAAATAAAAAATGTAAAAGTAGAAAACTTTTTAAAAAATTTAACAATAAAGAGGGTAACCAAATTAAAAGGAACAGAAAAGCAAGCCAACATTACCATGGTGATAATCGCTTTTTAGTATAGTACTTCCATTTGACAATCCTTCCTGCATATTTCATTTAAAAAGATTAGAGGGAAGTGTGATATTTATACAAATTTGTACCATTACATCTAATAATCAATTTAGGTGTTGGCCAGTAAGTAAGCCGATTTATTGGTCTATTTCATTTTACTCTTGATAATGTTGGTGGGGGGGCATGCTTAATTTAAAATGTCTTTTATTCACCCTGTATTAAGTATTTATGGCTTCTGGCATATATACCATAGATCAGGAAAGAGATCTGGAAAGAAAACAGACCGAAAATAAGAGTAACATGATTTCACAACACTATCAACTTTATTGTCTTTAATATAAAGCTTTTATTATTTTGTTCACTACCCTTTCTTTAGGAAGTAAAATAACATAGTGTCTTCTCACAAACTATGGCAGAGCAATTTTTGAATCATATAGTAGAAATTTAGGCCATAAAATGCAATTTAAAAGACAGGCCAGTCTCCTTTTATTAAATAGAAGGAAAATACGTATTAAGTAAAAAACAAGCAGAAGTCTCCAGACTTTTTGATTATACAATATTATTAGGTTACAGAAAAAAATAAGAAGGAAAGGAGGAAGTGAGGAAAGGAGGGAGGGAAGGAAAGGAAGAAGGGAAGGGAAGGGGAAGGGGAAGCGGAATGGGAAGGGAGTACATATTCTCTCTCTACATTTATCACTATATAAATTATATACCTGTAATATTCTACCAATATATTATGTAAAAAATAAAATAGGCACAAAAAATTTGAAATGATAGGAAATACTTACTGAGAATTCACCGTGTTCAAAACAAGATGCAAGGTTCTCATGGAGGAAGTGAACAAAGAACATACGGCCTTATTTAGCATAAAATTTAACAATAAATTCAACAAAATCAATAAATTCCACATTATATCTATGATTATTGCTGTGAAGCAGGACTGCACGGTGTTAGGTGTTAGAAGGTATGTGACAGGGAATTCTAACCCAGTCTTTGAAGAAAAAGCTTTCCTAAGGAAGTGACATTGAATCTGGAAATTCACGCATGAAAAGGAGATAATTGGCTGAAGTGGTGCAAGTCATTTGACAGACAATACTTTGCAAATGGAGTAAGCAGCATGTGCAAAGGCCCTGGGATGAAAAAGTCAAGGCATGCACTTTCATGGTGAGAGAAGCTGAGAGAGTAAGATGAGAGGAATGGGGTGAAGATAGGAGGAGAAAGAGAAAAAAGTAAGCAAAATATGTTGGTCTCATTAAGGATTTGGGAGCAATGGGAAGTTATTAAGACCAACAGGAAGTTACCAAATGGTTTTAAGTCAGAGAGCAGCTTGATCATACTTGCATTTTTAAACAAAAAATTTAAAATTTTACACATTAAAAAATAGGCCTGAATGATGAGTAAACAAACCAGGCAAGAGTGAATGCAGTTTCAATTGTTCAGAAGATTGTCACTTCGAGTAGGCTGATGGTGTTGGAAATGGAGAGATGCAGAGATTCAAGGGAGATTTCACAGGCTCTGGATTGTTCAAGCCATGAAGATTACTTTATGACAGTAAGCAGGTAGAATTAAAGTCAATGGACTATTGCATGATGACTTCCTTTGAAAATCAAATAAAATAGGTTGTGCAAAACATTGTTTCATTCATTCTGTTATTTGCAAGAATGAAGTTATTAAAATAATTACATGCACTTCCTTGTGTTATTCTTCATTTTCCTGTGAACCACCAGACTATGAGCACTAACAGAAGCTATATTCTACATACATCTGACCGTCTTCCAGCATGAACACATGATAGCACAAGTCATAAACTAATTTTTGTGTGTTTATATAAAAAAGACTACAAAGAGTTGATGCCTCATGCTGAATGGAACTGGAAAATCTATATGCATATGCAAAGTTATTTTTACATATAGACAATGTGTAATGATAATATTTTGAGCTAAAGTGTTGCATGACTAAATACTACCCTTATTGACAAAGCTTAGAAAACAAACCTAGAAATTCGGTCTTTTGGAGTATCAATAAACTGAGAGGGTATCAAACAATTCCAGTACAAATTCAAGGTATATAGTAGTGTGTAGGAAGTGCTTCTTCAAAATGCCTGTAGCTCTTTTGCTTTTATCATATCTAGGCTCCCAAAAGATATGATGTTAACTATGAATCAGGCTTGACATTAAACATAGCTTCTCTGATGGCCAAAGGGAAACTATAAAATCTTTTAGTGATATAGCACAGCGTAAGAGAAATCACTGTCCTAGGGATTTGGGAGATTTTCATTTTTACTCCACTTTTTTCAATAACCAGCTATATGTCCTTTGTAAAGTAACTTAACCAATATGAGTTTTTATTTTAATATCTATTCCACGGAAGGATTCTACTAGATGGTCTCCAAGGCTCTGCTCATATCTGTGATTTTAGAAAATGAATTAAATAAACATTTAAAGGAACAGTGAAAATTAAACTAAAACAATGTGCTAGAATCCTAAGAGTTTGGAAACAGTATAGCAGCATGAGTAACTAACCTGATAGAGTAAACAATCTGAATGTATGACACTTTTTTAGCAGAAGACTGTGAGTTAGCTGTTAGTTTAATTTTATTTTTTTCATTTATTTTACTTTATTCTGTTTTGAGATGAAGTTTTGCTCTTGCTGCCCAGGTTGGAGTGTAATGGCGCGATCTCCGCTGACTGCAACCTCTACCTCCTAGGTTCAAGCGATTCTCCTGCCTCAGCCTCCCAAGTAGCTGGAATTACAGGTGCCCACCACCACGCCCAGCTAATTTTTGTATTTTTAGTAGAGATGAGGTTTCACCTCATTGGCCAGGCTGTTCTCAAACTCCTGACCTCAGGTGATCCACCCGCCTCGGCCCCCTAAAGTGCTGGGATTACAAGCGTGAGCCACCGCACTCGGCCTAGTTTAAAACTATGTATCCTGAAGACGTAATCACAAATTACAAGCACAAGTTAGACGCTGTGCATGCATAGTACAGAAAGAACTGATGGCTAGATTCCTGCACTCACCCTGTTTATGCTCACGGACAAAGATTCCCACATTATATTACAGAGGATAGTAACAAAATACCCATAGAAGAGGTTAGTTTTTGACTTAGACACACATACACAGATACACATACACACACACACATACACAATAATGGAGTATAATGAAATCATTTTTTAAAAAAAGAAAAAATGGGAGGCTTAAAAGGATGACGAAAAAGTCTGTGAGTGAAAAAATGGTGAACTGATTTGATGTCAAGGAATCTGACTTATATTTATACTAAACCACAATGCACAACACACACATTTTTCTCCTATAATAAAATTTAGACTTAGACTTTGATTTCAAAGTCACTATATAATGTGAAGGCTTCTTATAGTATGTGGACATGAATGAGTGAAATATTGATCACATACTTTGAGTAGAATAAGGTTGGTGCTTATCTAGTAATAAAAAAACAGAACCTGTCAATGGCCATTCTAAGGGCTAAGTCAACATTCATTCTTTCACTTGCCTACTTATTAATTCATTCGTTCACTCCAAAGGAATTTTTTTTGTGTTCATATCTGTGCTTGGTTCTGGGATCATTTACACATTTATTTATAAGTCAATTATTCAGCATCTGCACTGGGATCTGGGGATACAAAATGAATAGTACACAGTCTTGGCTCTCAAGGAGCTTATCTTGCAGTAGGAGCAGCCAGACATTGACAAGTACAAGTAAAAGGAACATAATGGTCTTCCTGATTGATAATGTGTGCCGTCCAAAGTCAGGTCACAAAGGAAGAAGTGGCTAAATAGCAGAAAACAGCTATGGATATTCAGAGCCTATAATGAAAATACATGTCTCCTTGCCACTTTCACCTTCCTTATGCTTCAAACATTTCAGAGATTTGTATAAAGACATTTATGTTTTTCACCTAGAGGCAAGTGAACAGGAAACATTTGCTCAATATGAATAAAGCTCTATTTACAATCATTGAGATTTATTGGACCTCTATGGACATATACTTCCAGGACATGTATTTCTTTCTGGAAATAAGGATCAAGGAAAAAGACAAACATATTCAAAGCCAGTTTTATTTTGTGATATTTTCTACCAGAAATTTTCTGGTGGTTAGCTGAAAATATCATTTATGCATATGTATTTAAATATATGAAAATTCAAATTTCCAAATTACTAGATGAACAGTAAAGGACACATTTCTCATTAGTTTCTCTAGTCTTCGTTTTAATTTGTTCTATATATTATACCTGTGTTCCTTTGTTATCTCTCTTCTCAGGTTGATTCTGCTTCTACCATGTCCCTTTTCTGTGTCTACTGCCATGTCCTACTTCAGAGGTCTTATTACCTCTCACCTGTAATTGCCTCTAGACTTATCTCTCTGCCTCCAGTCTTGGCCTCCAATCTATAAATTACTGCTAAATTACTTTGCCTAGAGTTCAACTTGATCATGTTGCTCTGAGCTGGAACACCTTTCCAAATTGCCTACTGCCTATCAATTTAAGCACAAACTCCTCATTTTAGATGAGAAAGTCCTTTAAAGCCTTGACACTGAAAGTGTGGTCTGTATACCAGCAACATTAGCAGCACCTAGGAGCTTGTTAGAAATGCAGACTCCCAGGCCGCAGCTCAGATTTCTAGCTGATTCAAAGACACATTACACTGGGAGAAGCATTGCTCTAAAGAACCATCATGCTGTATTTCCAGCCTTTGTTCCCTATTACCTTCCTTTCTTTGGCCCCAACTTACAAGTAAATTTGCCCTGAAAATATCTTCCTGACTTTGAACCACAACAGCTCTAACTTCTAATACCACAGGGCACAGCATTTAGCTTTAGTGAACTTTTCTTCTTTCTTTCTTTTTTTTTTTTTTGAGACGGAGTCTTGCTCTGTCGCCCAGGCTGCAGTACAGTGGCGTGATCTCGGCTCACTGCAACCTCCGCCTCCCAGGTTCAAGTGATTCTCCTGCCTCAGCCTCCCGAGTAGCTGGGATTACAGGCGCCCACCACCATGCCTGGCTAATTTTTTGTATTTTTAGTAGATATGGGGTTTTACCATGTTGGTCAGGCTGGTCTCGAAATCCTGACCTCATGATCCACCTGCCCTGGCCTCCCAAAGTGCTGGGATTACAGGCGTGAGCCACCATGCCTGGCCCCTGTGAACTTTTCTATTACCATATTGCTGCCTCCTTGAAGGTAGACATAACAGTGTATTCATTTTTCTTTTCCCCATTGTGATGGTATGCAAAATAAGCTCCTACTCCCTGGGCGATATTTAAGATTTCCTCGATTGAGCCATGAGAAAAATATTTACAGCTGTTTAAAAATTTATTTGTATTCCATTATTTCAATTCTCTATTTTATTTAGGTATTAATGTATACTATATATTAATATAGTAATATATGTATTATTTGTTATTAGAAAAATATACACATATTGGGGTATTTGCTCAAAATTTTGATTGGTGTGATTGCATGAACAAAAATACTTACAGATCACTGCCTGACACACCAAGTATATTTATGGTCTTCTGCAGAAATTAAACAGATATTTATTTATTTATTTATTTATTATTTTACTTGAAGTTCTGGGATACATGTGCAGAACGTGCAGGTTTGTTACATAGGTATACATGTGACATGGTGGTATGCTGCACCTATCAACCCATCATCTAGGTTTTAAGCCCACATGCATTAGCTATTTGTCCTAATGCTCTCCCTCCCCTTGTCTCCTAACCCCAGACAGGCCCCCGTGTGTGATGTTCCCCTCCCTGTGTCCATGTGTTCTCATTGTTCAACTCCCACTTATGAGTGAGAACATGTGGTGTTTGGTTTTCTGCTCCTGTGTTAGTTTGCTAAGGATGATGGCTTCCAGCTTCATCCATTTCCCTGCAAAGGACATGAACTCATTCTTTTTTATGGCTGCATAGTATTCCATAGTGTATATGTGCCACATTTTCTTTATCCAGTCTATCATTGATGCATATTTGGGTTAGTTCCAAGTCTTTGCTATTGTGAATAGTGCTGCAATACACATACATGTGCATGTGTCTTTATAGTAGAATGATTTATAATCCTTTGGGTATATACCCAGTAATGGGATTGCTGTGTCAAATGGTATTTCTGGTTCTAGATCCTTAAGGAATCGCCACACTGTCTTCCACAATGGTTGAACTAATTTACACTCCCACCAACAGTGTAAAAGCGTTGTTATTTCTCCACAGCCTTGCCAGCATCTCAACAGATATTTATTAACTGAACTAAATCTTTACAACTGGCTCCACTATAGCATACAGAAGAATATTTTATGCAGGTGAGAGTGCTTAATTTCTTCAGTCAAATAAATGTTTCCAAGATTAAGGGAAAGCTGATGCAAAGTATTATAGAAAACATGAACATTTTTATTTACTTATTAAATAAAAGGTAAACCTAGAGGTGTCTGCGAAAGTTCAAGTGGGTTCGTTATTTCAACTCAGCAGTAGGAAACATCTATTCCTAATACATTAGCTAATACATCTATTCCTAATACGTTAGCTTCAATAATCATCAAGCAATTGGAACATGATGATTTAAGATTGTTTCCTTGATTATGATACCTATTTTGAATACACTATTTCAGTAATTAAGTATGCCCTTAGAATACAGATTACATTTCTTACTATAGTTCAGAAAGTTCTCCATACATCACTTTCTCTCCTGCATCACCAGTAATTGATTGCCTCATTTTATAGCTGTACTTGAGCAACTTCACTGACCTAATTAAACCTTTCAATGGATGGTCAGCCCTTTTTCCTCCCAGGCCATGTATCCCTGCTGTATACTCATAGAGCTTCTTCCATCCATCCACTTGCTGTATCAAAACAGTTATCACACTTTTTTTTTTTTTTGAGACAGAGTCTCGCTTTGCACCCAGGCTGGAGGGCAGTGGTACAATCTTCTCTGCTCACTGCAACCTCCGCCTCCCGGGCTCAAGCGATTCTCCTGCCTCAGCCTCCCAAGTACCTGGGATTACAGGCATGCACCACCACGCCTGCCTGGCTAATTTCTGTATTTTTAGTAGAGACAGGGTTTCACCATGTTGGCCAGGCTGGTCTCGAACTCCTGACCTCAGGCGATCTACCCGCCTTGGCCTCCCAAAGTGCTGGGATGACAGGCATGAGCCACCCAACCCGGCCCACACTTTTTTCAATGTCTTGTTTAACTGTTAAATTTTCTCCCAGACTACAAGCTTTCTGAAGGAAGGGATTATATCTATCTTGTTAAGTGACTGATTCATGGTTGATGGCATAGTTGTTGGCACTTAGTAGGTACTCCATTAACATTTGTGGCATAGATGAACAAACCAATGAACATATAAATTTGAAGATATATAATGGAAATTTGGCATCCTATGTAAATCATAAATCATGCTTGGCAATTGTACATATTCAGAAAATAGTAGTTTTATTAGTAGTAGTATCATCTATATTATTATTACTATCGTTTTAGTAAAATTAAGACATCTTTACACAATATTTTAAAGAAGATACTTTCATAGAACACAACAGTAAAATTAAATAAAAATAAAACCCATCTATCATCATTAAATTGGAATAAAACTCCATATCTAATGAACAAATTTTATAAAAATAACAAACATAATATTTATTAAGAAAAATGAGAAGCAGTGTCCACATCATAGCAGAGTTACTTTCACTGCTAAGTGAAACTACTCTACAATGATAGTACTTTTGCTGTGAATATATCTGAGAAAACTAAAATAGTAAAACTACTGCATCTAAAGACTAAAATAGAAAACATAATTTGCATAGTTCACATATACCAGATTAATAAGCAATTTTTCAGAAAACGTAGTGTCCTACCACATAAGGACATTGAGTCCCAAGAGCAATATTGTGAAAATTTCCTTGAGAAAGACTTATTTAAGAAGAAAAGAGGCTGGGTGCTGTGGCTCACACCTATAATCCCAGCATTTTGGGAGGCTGAGGTAGGCAGATCACCTGAGGTCGGGAGTTCAAGACCAGCCTGACCAACATGGAGAAACCCCATCTCTCCTAAAAATACAAAATTATCCAGATGTGGTGGCTCTTGCCTGTAATCCCAGCTACTCGGGAGGCTAAGGCAGGAGAATCACTTGAACCTGGGAGGCAGAGGATCGCGCCATTGCACTCCAGCCTGGGCAACAAGAGCGAAACTTTGTCTCAAAAAAAAAGAATTGTGATACAGTTAAAGATGAAATCTGGAAATTAATCCTAGAGTAGATTTATGTAGGGCCTCACTGATGAACTTGACATGTAAATCTGA
Organism: Homo sapiens; assembly: GCF_000001405.40. NCBI lineage: Eukaryota > Metazoa > Chordata > Mammalia > Primates > Hominidae > Homo > Homo sapiens. The sequence goes on along the minus strand of NC_000023.11, from coordinate 29,159,642 downwards.
AAAGAATGCTGGGCTATCCAATTGATGTGCTATCCATTACAAAATGGCAGTTTTCTATCAAAAATGTGTGTCACTTCAGAAATTCACAGACATTTCTGGACTGTATGACCCTCGGCATATTAAATTATGAACACATTGACCTTTGATCTGGTAAATAATGTATCTTTTATACAATGCACTTAGCTATCATCTGCCAAAAATTATGTATACTGTGCCACAAACTCTAGATTGAATATCTGCAGAGGAGAGTTAAAGAAGAAGTGTCATGTAAACTGAATATTAGAATGATGACATGCCACATAACAATTTATCCAGTGAAAAAGAGCAATGTTAACATCATTGAAACAATGCTACATAATTGATTATGACAACTCCAATTATAATTTTAGTGATTAATTATCTAAAACAGACTTTTAGGAAGGACTCTATTTCTACCTTATCTGTAAATGGCATTCTATAAACATTTCAAAATGAATTACTTAGTTAAAATATTATTTATATAAATCTGTGAAGAAGTCATTTTTATTCTCTTGTTACAGATGAAGAAATGAAGAGGCAGAGGTTGCAGTGAGCCGAGATCACGCCATTGCACTCCAGCCTGGGCAACAAGAGGGAAACTCCATCTCAAAAAAAAAGAAGAGGAAGGAAAGAAACAAAGAAAGAAAGGAAAGAGAGAGAGAGAGAGAGAGGGAGAGGGAGGGAGGGGGGGGGAGAGAGAGAGAGAGAGAGAGAAAAGAAAAGAAAAAAGAAAAGAAAGAGGTTGTTTATCCAGGACCCCAAAGACAGCGCAACGTGCTACTCATTCTCTGCTATAGGCCTCTTTGAGATGAAAGAGCAATAGAAAAACACAAATTTTTAAAAGATGTGTGTCAAGTGTGATGAGACTCCTTTAAGCAGTATTTGGAGGATTTTTTTTGTTTCTATGAACACCACAGATGGCAGTATTGCTAAATATCAGCACCAGCCCAGGTGCAGTGGTGGCTCACGCCTGTAATCCCAGCACTTTGGGAGGCCGAGTCGGGCAGATAACCTGAGGTCAGGAGTTCGAGACCAGCCTGTTCAACATGGCAAAATCTCATCTCTACTAAAAATATAAAAATTTAGCCAGGCATGGTGGCAGGTGCCTGCAATCTCAGCTACTCAGGGGAGGCTAAGACTTGAGTATCACTTGAACCCGGTAGGCAGAGGTTGCAGTGAGGGAGATCGTGCCACTGCACTCCAGCCTGGGGGATAGAGCGAGACTCTGCCTCCAAAAAAAGAAAAAAAATGACCATCAAATTAAAAGTGAATATTTTCTATGCTAAGATTAATACTGGCCAACATATATTGGAGGTGTTCCCATTGCATTAGCCAGTCAAAACCATTACCAGTGATTTAAAATTGAGTTTGGAATGCAAGGTACCCTTTCCTATGTTTTCCTGTAGTTAGACAAAGTACAAATGTTTGCAACGGTTATACCCTAGTGGTCTTTGGAATGGGAGTGAGATAAGGGGGAAGTAATGCTCTTTAAAGTGTAGCACTGCTAATCAAATAAGGAATGATTCCCTTGGGGTCATTCTAAATAACAAAAGGACTCAAGGTAAGAAATTAAAATCAAGGGCACAAATAGTCTTATAATTTCAGTCCTTTATTCTCTTCCTTCTACTACATGGGACTCTAATCATTATAATATTGCATACTTTTTATTTAAAAAAGAAACTGAACACATTACCCCGTTGACTTTCTTTAAACTCTTCATATGATTTAATAGGGGAACTAAATTTTTTAATGTGATTTAATGTAATTACAATGACAATAATAGCTTTATTAAGCATTTACTACACTAGTCACTGAGCTAAAATCTTCATGTGCTTTATCTCATATAATCTTAACTATAATCCTAAGAGGTAAGTCATACTGGTGGGCTAATTTCTTGAGAAATGAATCTGAGGCTGAGTAAACTAATTTGCCCAAAGTCATACAGCTAATAAATGGAGTATTTAGGATTCAGATCAATTTCTGCTATGCTATCAAGAAAGATCCCCCCTAAATTATACCCCACTAACAAAGCAGCACAATAATATTCCATGTATTAAAATACACTGAGATATTTAGGGTAAATATCTGCAGTGTGTTTGTCCTTGTGTTCATTTATTACACATCCTAGTTACACACAACTGATCAGGAGAAATTGTATTGAGGACAAATATATACACATGACATTTATAAATTTGTGTGTATATTTTTAAGTTTTTTCCCTTATTACTGAATTACTTTGTTTGGATATTTTACAGCACTTCAATGAATTATCATGAGAAAAATTAGGGCCTAGAGATAGAGTAGGTGTTTCCCTTGCTCCCAATTACTTCTTCCAAATGAATTGTCTTCTTTCAATAAAAGGAACTCATTTGAGGTTGTGCCATCAGCCACCATCACCCATCTTCCCTCAAAGCTATAGTTATCTACAGATCTCCCTGTCATTTTCTCTCATTTAGTAAGAGTTTTAGAGCCTGGATCACTGTCCCATTCACCTACCCACATGTCCACATTTTGCTTATTTCAACATATACAAAGGGGCTCTGTCTAACATTCTAGCCTCTCTGTTCTCTTATCTCTTTAACTCCAAGGATCTTTTTCTCCACTCTTTCTCAGCCACCAACTGTTGAGGTCATATCCAAATCCTCCCATCCTTAAAAATAGAACAAAATCCTCAAAACTACTTTTCAAGAAATCCATTCTGTAATTATTTTGGGTAAAAGGCTATCAAAACCCTTCGACCTGTGTTAAAATTGGATCTTTGGTAACTTTTTAGTTCTGATCCCCTGAAGACAGATAAACGTGGTATGTCAAATGTGTTACAAGGTCATACTGGCTATGATAAAAATGAGTCCTGATTGGTAAGTTTCACATGAACTAGAAGAAACTATAAATGAAGTATAGATGCCTGATCTGGATGTCATATCTTTGCACTTCCCTGAGTGTGATGACTTGCAACTGAGCATGTTTTCAGGGGCTGTGACTACAGATTTGATATAAGAGATACTGGCTACTGGGGAATGAGGTTTTTACGCCCAGGTGATTTCTACACCTACACAATGTGATTCGTATTCCATGATGTGAGACATGGGGGAAAGGAATCGCTAAAGATAACTACCCAGATGGCTGTGGGAACTGCTACATAGATTTGTGTGATGACTATTCTCAAGGAGGAAGGACACATAATGTTCATTTGTGTTTTATATTCTTCTAAGTGAATCTAATACCAACTGTGATCTATGATAGAGTTTAAGTCGAAGTCTTTGGTTCTAAGAACACACCTCAGTAGGTGTCCCAGTTACCATCTTCTCCTTCCATCTCATTTACCACAGTATCTCCACTCGAAAATATGCTTCAATCCAACAGGATACACTTTGCTAGGCTCATGGAAAATTGCAAGCAATGTAGCACACTAAAAAGGAATAAAATCCATCTTTGGAGTCAGACAGACCAGGGTTAGAATTTTTCCTTTGTCAAATGCTAGCTAAGAGCCCTTGGAAAATTTGCTTATCTTTTCTTAGTTTAGATTTCTCAAAGCCAAAGTGCAATACTTATGCACACTTTGAAATAGTGTCAAGAGGGTAGATGCAATAAATAAATAATGTAATAATGAATTACAAATGTATATTTATTATAATATAAATAATGAATTCTAAATTCATATACTATAAATTATTAGATTCCTGTATTAATTTATTTTTAATTATTGATAAATATTATAAAGTATTTATGTGTGACTATTACATTGTACTGCTTATAAATGTTAGAAATATAAAAGCAAAAGTCAAATCATGTGTTATGAAGCAGTTAATGACATACACGCCCTGAAATGGTAGCTACTATTATCTTGTTAGAATAAAGGTAGACTGTAACAAAATCCCTGTTTGCAAGAAACTTACAATTCACTTAAAAGCATGCATATTTGAAATTACCATATTCAAGGTTCTATTTTATATTTAAAGGAAAGACCAGTGAGAGAGAGTTCTATCCCAAAACTTAGTAAGAATCTCCGCAATTTTCTACAATTCAAAAATCAGCATAAGAAAGGTCATCCACTTCTGAATATTTTTGGTGGATATATTGTTGAATGAATGGTGTTTCTAACAAAGGAAGTTAATGAAGACAATGAGTGTACCTGAGGGCTCCCATTTAAGTGGGCTTTTAGCCAGTCCTAGAAGAATAGACTTATTTAAAGACAACAATAGAGCTCTCACCAGAGCTTATTCAGTGCAAAAAACAAAGGATGCCTCATTCAATGTATTTCAACTCAATAGAATGTTTGAGTTCCTCTTATGAAAAAGATACCACGTTTGTTTCACCAGGCATGGTGGCTCATGCCCGTAATCCCAGCACTTTGGGAGGCTGAGGCGGGTGGATTACCTGAGGTCATGAGTTTGAGACCAGCCTGACCAATATGATGAAACCCCGTCTCCACTAAAAAAATTAGCCAGGCGTGGTGGCATGTGGTGGCGTGTGCCTGTAATCCCAGCTACTTGGGAGGCTGAGGCAGGAGAATCACTTGAGCCCAGGAGGCGGAGGTTGCAGTGAGCCAAGATCATGCCATTGCAATCCAGCCTGGGCAACAAGAGCGAAACTCTGTCTCAAGAAAAAAAAAAAAAAGACAGAAAGAAAGAAAAAGATACCATGTTAGACTCTAGCCAGCTAAGTAATTGTGGGAAAGTTACTTAATCATTACTAGTCTTAATTTCTTAATTAGTTAAATGGGGGTACTAAGTATCAATATTGTGTGAATATTAAATGCATCTTTGTATTTGAAAATATCTTTTCATAATTCCCTAATTTTACTTTTATTAACACAAAATTAAATTTTATTTATAGCTGAATCACCTTTATACATTCTGGTTCTTCATTTACCACGAACTTCATAATAAACACTTTAAGTCATAATCTCTTTGGTTGAAAAATCGGGCTTAATCATTTTACAATCACATATTCAGATTACAACAGGTAATGTTTATTTTTTATATTGTGACAGGAAGAAAAAATAGTATAAATTATTAGGAACTTTTTATAGATTAATTTTCCAGATTAACTAGTAACAGTTTGGACTCCACAATTTTTTTTTTTTTGAGACAGTCTCACTCTGTCACTCAGGCTGGAGTGCAATGGCATGATCTTGGCTCACTGCAACCTCCGCCTCCTGGGTTCAGGTGATTCTCTTGCCTCAGCCTCCTGAGTAACTGGGATTACAGGCATGCGCCACCATGCCCAGCTAATTTTTTTATTGTTAGTAGAGACCAGGTTTCACCATGTTGGCCAGGCTGGTCTCGAACTCCTGATCTCAGGTGATCCACCCGCCTCGGCCTCCCAAAGTGCTGGGATTACAGGAGTGAACCACCGCACCTGGCCCACAAAATATTTTAAAATGCACAACTGGGTTAAGAAGATACCAACTGGCCATTTTGGATAGAGAGAACTAGGAATACCCAAATCATGAACATTACTGGAAGATGAAGATCCAAGTGGCCACTCTAGGAAACACATGCTTGTAAGGCTTTGTTGGGAGAGGAAGTGCAAAGTGGTCAAAGATGATAAACCTTCTCTAATAGATGTCACTCCAGAACATGCAAAGCCTAACAACGGCTCTTTCTGTTGATAGCAGCCACTTCGCAAGAAAAGCAAAGAGCTCGTAGGAGATGGTTTCTAAGTTTTCTCTCTAATTTTTCTATGGTATAAATTCCTTCTTGTGTTCAGTTTATGTACTAATATTATGATAAACTTCTAAAACAGAGATTGAATTATTTTGTAAGGACTTAGTTGAATGATGAGCTCCATATCCTTCTAATGTCCCTAACCACTATTAGAATCAAGTACAAATATAATATCCACACTCTATGACAAAGAGTTCCATAAGCTAAATGGTAATTTTCTCAATGTGGTCAATACAAATAATTTACTTTCTAATCAGCTATGATAATGACACAAATGACAAGTTTATTTTGAAAATGCTAGAAGTAGGCTAATCGCTGGATCTCAAGTAGCAGAACTATTATGTGTACACATGGAAGTCTAATTTTCTAAGTCAACTTTTCTATTTCAAAACGAAATATACATTATGAGACACAAGCCTCCATTTGTTAAAATCATAATTCAACATCTAGCATCAAGAACATCTGTACTACATCTTGAATATTTTACGAGATAAGGGTAAACCAGTATAGGATTGTCTTATTAAATTAGGAGGGAAGAGTGGGACATATCAATTGTGGTAGGCAGAATAATGGCCTCCCAAAGACATCTGTGTCCTAATCTCCTGAACCTGCGAATATATTACCTTATAAGGCAAAGGGGAGTTAACGTAGCAGATATAATTAGGACTACTAGTTAGCTGACTTTATGATACAGAGATAAGCCAGGGTTATCCAGATGAGCCCAGTGTAATCGCAAGGGTATTAAATATGAGAAAAGGAGGCAGAAGAGTTAATGTCAAAGGGATGCTCTGTGAGATTCAACTGGCTACTGCTAGCTTTGACGATGGAAGAGGGCCAAGAGATAAGAAATGTAGACAGTCTCTAGAAGCCAAAGAAGGCAAGAAAACAGATTCTCTCCCAGAGTCTCCAGAAAAGAATGCAGCCATGATGACACCTTAACTTTAGCTTAGTAAAATCCATTTTGGAATTCTGACTTCCAGAACTGTAAGATAATAAATTTGGGTTGTTTAAGCCACTAAGTTTATGTTAATTTATTATAGCAGCAATAGGAAACAACCCAATCAAAGAATATTTTACTGTAAGAATTATTAGTTATCTTATCCTCATCATGGGAAGCTATTTGGAAGTACCAAATATCGTAACTGAACAAATTCATTGCTATTATTCCCTGGTTACTATATATTAACATTTGAAACAAATCTACATTGACATAATTTCAAAGAGTTACATATTTGGAATTTTTCTGTTTTCTTTGAACAACGAAGAGTTCACAGGCTGTTACATTTTCAGACAATCACAAGTTGTTACATTTTCAGACAATCACAAGTTGTTATGTTGTCAGACAATGAGTCCAAAAACATCCATTAGGCCTCTATTATATTTAGAACACTGTGCTAGTGGATTACATCAAGTTATAATGTAATTAAAAATAATATGTAATCACAAATGCCCACAGTGTGAGTCTTCATAAATAGGTAACATTTGACTATGTGGGACGGGGAGTAGGGTAAGACTGAAAACAATAATCAAGAAAAGGAGACAATATGAGAAAGGCATGAAGGATGAAAGTCACAAGGCATACTCTGAGTAGCCTAATAGCTAGAGTAGCTTTCTCCAGCAAAGATGTTGATATGGTTTGGCTGTGTCCCCACTCAAATCTCATCTTTAATTGTAGTTTCCATAATCCCATGTTATGCATGGGAGGGGCCTGGTGGGAGGTAGTTGAATCATGGGGATGGGTTTAATCCCATGTTGGTCTCATGATAGTGAATAAGTCTCATGAGATCTGGTGGCTTTATAAAGGGCAGTTCCCCTGCACATGCTCTCCTGCCTGCCACCATGTAAGACGTGACTTTGCTCCTCTTTTGCCTTCCGCCATGATTGTGAGGCCTCCCCAGCCATGTGGAACTGTGAGTCCATCAAACCTCTTTTTCTTTATAAATTAACCAATCTTGGGTATTTCTTCATAGCAGCATGAAAATGGACTAATACAGATGTACACTAAGAAGATTAATTTAGAAATAATATATAGGCTGGCAGAGCAAATACAGTGACCCAGATAAACTCCCCTGGCCAGTATCTTTTCTCTGAACTCTGACTTCCAACTTTCATATCTAAGTCCTTTCATCTGAGGGATTTCCCTGGCTGCAGAAGCATTCTCTTCTCACTTGCACTACACGCAGGAAGAGTTCAACACCAAAAAGTTCTTGGGGGTAGCCTAAACCAATAACCAATGGGAACCAGTCTATAAATGATGCTCTTTTGATCCTCAGTTAGAATAACTCCAAGTCAGATGCTCTATCCTGTTTCCTAGGGTTCTCTGTTAGGACTAAGTTCCAGCTATGTACAGTTGTAACTTTCTTGATAACACACCTTTTATTGGTCAGCTTCCTTTTCCCATCTCACTTCATTCCCAGACTGTTGTGTTTGGGGGGTCATGCTCCAAATAAACTACCAGCACTTAAAGCCTTGTCTCAGGATCTGCCAGTGAGGGGATGCAAACTAAGAGAGTTGGATTCAGCATGTAAGGAGTCCAAGCCAGAGATGCTAGTATGGAACTTTGGCAACAATTATTAGAACTATCCAGTTCAAAACTACACAGAAGCAGCAGGATTAAAAACATTTTGAAAGTGAAACAGATAGGAATTGGCAACTTATTTTACATGGGATGACAAGTAAGGATGAGTCAACTTTGATTTAAGCTTGATGAGTTAGGTAGGATTTTGGAACCATCCATGGAAACAGCAAAATCAGAAAATGATCAGTTGGTGACTTGCTTCTTAATGTGATAGTTTGGTTTGCTTGTTTGTTTGTTTGTTTTTAGCACTGAAGCTTTTGTTTCATGTTCTGGATGTAGTCAACATCCAGATGTGGTGGAAGGAGCCTGATACAATGGAGATAACCTAGGCTTTGGAGCCAGGAAATCCTGGAATCAATCTTTGCTTGCTTCTCTGCTCATTAGGTTTAGCATCTAGGGCAGGTCACACGATCATATTGTGCTTTTGTTTCTTTTTTTTTCTTTTTTTTTTTTTTTGAGATGGAGTCTTGCTCTGTCACCCAGGCTAGAGTGCAGTGGCACGATCTCAGCTCACTGCAACCTCCGCCTCCCGGTTTCAAGCGATTCTCCTGCCTCGGCCTCCTGAGTAGCTGGGATTACAGGCATGCACCAACACGCCCAGCTAAGTTTTGTATTTTTAGTAGAGACGGGGTTTCACCATGTTGGTCAGGCTGGTCTCAAACTCCTGACCTCGTGATCTGCCCTCCTCAGCCTCCCAAAGTGCTGGGATTACAGGAGTGAGCCACCGCGCCCAGCCTTGTTTCTTAATTTATAATATCAAGATGGAAACACCCATCTTGTATTTACTGAAAGGAGCTCATTATGATTATGTACCCTCAGATGTTCATAACCAAACAGAAAGGAATGCTCAGATGCTTTATTTGCTTTTGGGGTCATGGTTCCCCTTGTCCCCATCTTGGCCTTCTTTCTACTCCACCACATTTCTGTATTTAAACAATCTGAAATTCTTTTTTTACATTGAAATAATAGAAATGTTAGCTGCTGCTGCTGCTGCTATTATTGTTGTTTTGTTATTATCATTACTTATCTATCCTGTCTGCCTAGTACTGTTGCAAAGCTCAAGAGGAACAACGGATAAGAAAGCTCCTGGTAAGTTACATAGAGCCACATTTAAGTAATTATTTTCTAGAATGAAAATTCCTTAAACTATGATCATTTCTATTTTATTCAGTGCTCTATTCCCAGTGCCTTGCACGAAGCCTGGCATAGAGGAATGCAACGATATTTATTGAGGTATACTGCTTTGTTACCTCAAGCTCTGCACAGATTAAAAAAGCATTTTCTGATACTGATTTTGATTCTCTCAACCTTTCTAAATGATGGTCAAAGCATGCATTATTATTCCCATTTTAACATAAAAGGAAACAGAGGAGGTCAAGGATATTTAAGGGTTATGCCATAGGTCACATCTAATCGGTGACAGTACCGGGAATTAAAAGAGGTCTTCTGACCTCAAATCCAGCACTCATTCTACAACACTCTACTTTCCTTTCCACTTCTGATGCCAAGCCATGTGTTTTTGCCTCTAAACCTGCATAAAGTACATCACAATCAACGAATCCCCAGGGTTATAATTTCAGCCTCCACATCTTCATCTTCTGAACTCAATCTTCTGGGATTGAGTGTAAGGGTATTACCCAACACTGCGATAGTGCTTACTACATTTCAAGATAGTTTCAAGTTTGTATAATCCAGGTTTAGGCCTGGCTTTGCCATCAACTTCTTGGGTGCCCTTAACAAGCTACTTGACCTCTTTGGATTACTGGAGAAAAAGAGAGGGTTGGGCTCCGTGGTTGCTCAGGTTTCTTTCAAATCTGAAATTGTCTTATTGTTCTATCTCTATTGGTCACATGTATTTCCCTACTTCAAAAGGCCCTTGGTGTACAATGAGTCAACAGGGCCATCAGACGATGGGACAATGAGTGATAGAGTAGTTCTTTCTTATTTTCATACTCTGTATTTCTTTGGAAAATATTTTCAGTGTCAAATGTGGTAGGTCATTGGACACCTGATGTTATCCACTTTATATCAGTTGTTTCAAACTATTGGTTCTCGTGCTTCAAGATACGGATCTTTGAGAGGGCATTCTAGTTGAAAGGATTAGGCAAGTCCAAATGCAGACTAGATAAATAATATATATTAGTATTTTTAAACATATGTAGCTGATGTAATAAAGCAGAGTATATGCTTAGCACGACTGAATTAAAACTAGATTTTTGTCATTATGCATTTCTTACCCAATGGCTACTACAATTATCATAATTATTTTGTAGGGAGTCTACAAAATATTTTGATCATAAAGAAGAAAGAAAGTTGGTCTCTTCTGGTCTAAATAGATTATTTGTGTTGTCCCTAAGTAAAGCAATGATAAAGAAATTACAGAGACAAATGATTATCAAGCAGGGCAAGACTTCAGAGTGCTGGTATTGACAGGACTGAAGCAGCTATAAGCATCTGAAATTAAAGGATTATACAAAAAAGAGGCTGGTATTATCTGGGTACGTTGAACACAGTCTGTTCTTTTTATGGGAAAGTTAGGTCTGTATCTGTCAGTATAAATATAACCATCCCGAAAGCTTCAGAAAATCATTAGCTTGGAATAAACTACATCTCAGTTATCCATTGTGCAACCGCTACTTCAAGTTGTTGGCAGAGGTTGATAACTCCAAAGATTTCAGCTGGCTCAGGCTGACAAAAGGGAATACGATTGTTTCAATGTGGTTTTTGTTGCCAAGTAAAGAAGGTATCTTGCTAAGAGAGTAAAAGTGTTTTCAGAGACTTTATAAAGAATATTCCTCAAAAACAAAGAACCATGTTTGAGTCTTTAAATGGGCAGTTACGTGAGAAATTCAATTTTAAACCATTTAGATATTGAGAAAAAGCATCTTCACCTAATGATTGACGTTTGTTTTCACTCTAAATAAATTGATTCATGGTGTTTTTGCCGAGGAGAAAGAGGGAGATACCATCTTGACAACAGGGGCAGTAACAGTGAGTTCATTTGAAAATGTGCAATCCCTTGGTGACTATGTATCATTAAAATATTCTTTTACTCTTGTGAGAATAGAGGACTAATCAGTGATTTATAAACTCATAATTCTTCCACCAATAAACCTGAACACTCACCAAAACAAATCCAATAAGTTGAAATTTGAAAAGCTTTTATAACATCTAGAGAGTATATCACATATAGCTATTATGTATAGACTATATATGTATGTATATATGACTGTATTTGTATGTCTATACATACTTTACATACACATACAATATATGCATATATAATGCATGCAGATATATGTACATTTATATATGTTTGTGTATACACACACACTGTCTCTCTTTCTCTGTGAGCAAAATTCTTCCATGGAGAAGTAATTGAATAGCATTATAAAAACCTCTTACAAAATTCTACCATGTGGCAATTCACAAAAAGATATCTTACATTTTTAATCTAACTTATCTTCATTGAATATAAAAACAGTACTGTATTGCCCCTAAAAAGTTCTACTCTATAGACAATGATCACACACTTTGAGAGATTTCTGACAAGGCTGTGTTATTTATCAGTAATATTTAATATCTATTTTTCTAAGTTCGTATGATTAGTAAAAAACTAATTGGCTTCTTTGAAAAAATAGTCTTTGTATGTGGTAGCTTATGATTGAGGAAGCCACAGGGCCAAAAGAACTTCCACAGAATGCAGAAGAGAATAAACTGTGGCAAGAAAACATAACAATGATGAATTTGTCAAAGCATTTTTCCCCTCTCTGGTAGACAGGATACAACCATCACTAGTATAAATGGGAATTTGGTTATAGTTCTGGTCACTGTGGTAATATCACCCCAACCTTGGTGACAAAACATACACAAACCCACATACCCTAACCTCAATCCTCTAAAAGAAAGGGACTAAGAATTCTAAATCAAAGACTGCTTTATTAATACAGACATAAAGTTTAACTGGGTACAATATTTTTTGTGTTAGCATTCTCCCCCTCCCTTTATATTTACAGATATTTGAATCAGAATAATCATGAACTGCAAATAAAACATAAATCTCTACCTTGAAATGCCCAAGAAATTTCAACTGCTGCTATTAAGATGGGAATGTGGCTATAATCTGTAACAGCCAATTTTGTTACTTCACAGAATCCTTGGGCTGTGGACTGATTCAGAAGAAAATGAAAGAAACAACAATTGCTCCTAACGTATTTACATTATGTGTCTTCCACACTCTAGCAGGTCTGCTTATGGGAAGGAACTGCTGGAACTTCAGCCTGAATAAGCATATTAAGACTTGTGCCAAACTTCCTTGGAATTGCCACTTTTCAGGGATTATGGCCCATCTTATACCAAACCATCTGAACTGGAAATAGAAATCTGAGTTTATTTTATAATTAAGATCTCAAGTAGAACTGAAGATGATAGGCTTAATTTTTTTCTTCTCAGAGTTAGGTTGCTTCTGCAAAAGAAGTAGCTTCTTCCAGTGGGTCATTTTGCCTCACTGCTTCTACAGGCCAGAGCTGGCAGAATTTAAGTAAGGTTAGAGGCTATGAGATATTTTCCTGCTCAAACTAGAGAGCATCAGCCCAGATTTCACTCTTTTTCTTGTAACAATGGACCATTAATACTTGTTTTCATGCCTACTCCCCAATAATCTCAGACATCCTAAAATGCATTATGCCCTTATGTTCTAATCAAGTACATAAAAGGTGCTCAAAATATTTTGCCTAATGATTAAATTAAGAAGAAAATCTGGACTTACTCTAGGCAATATTTCCTATTAAAATTAGTCACCAAATATTGTCTTATAATTATGAGATTTAGTGTAGAGTCCTGAAAAAACAAAAATTCTTGCCTTAATAGAGTTTACTTTCTAATGGGATGGTTGCGTAAGAGATAAAAAACAAGTAAGCAAAAACTATAGTAAATTACATGGTGATAACAGCTGTAAGGAGGGAAAGGGTGCAAGGAATGGAGGTAAGTTTGCAATTTTAGAGTGGCCTGGAAATGCCCTATTTATAGGGTGTTTCAAGTCAAGACCTGAAGAAGGTGAAGGAGTGAACAAAAAAGGCATTTGGAAGAGCAGTTCAGCTAGAGGAAAGAGCAAGGTCTGAGTCTCAGAGGCAGGAGTGTTCCTGCAGTGATTGTGAAAAGGGAAGAAGCCTTGTGTTGCTGAAAATAAGCAAGAGTGAGCAAGAGGGAAAGGTAGCGGTAGATGAGGTCAGGCCAGGTCAAGTCTTTCTGGGGCCTTACGGACCCTTGTAATTTTGTATTCTGGCCTTTTCTCACAGTGAAAGTAGAGGTCTTTGGAGGTTTTTGAGCAAATAAGTGACACATACTAATCTCTGTTTTAACAGAATTACTCCAGCAGCAGAGTTAAGAGTGAATTGATGGGAAGCAAGGCAGAAGTTGGAAGTCAGTTAGGGTGCTCTTGCAATAAGCAAAGTGAAATGTGGCTCTGACCAGGATGCTAGCGTTGGAGCTGGTGAGAAGTGGTCAGATTTTGGAAATGATTTGAAGGTACAGACAATAGGATTTTCTGATGAATCAAATGATGGGTGAGAGAGATATGAGTCAAGAATTACATTAAAGTTTTTGTGCCGAGTAACTAGAAGAATGACGATGCAATTAACTGAGATGGGAAAAGAATGATGAGATAAATAGTTTTGGGGGACAATCCAGAGCTTTCCACCACGTGAGGATGAGGTTGAGCTACCTATTGAAAGTCCAGTGGCCTGTCTCGTGTTGGAGAGAAAGGTCTGAGCTGGAGATTAGTATTTGGTAATCATCAGAAGACAAATGGTATTTAAAGCCATGAGATTCAGTGATACCACCAAAGCAGTGAGTGTAAATAGAAAGGGTAAGAGTTCTTTCTTCTGACTCACTTCAGTGTTTAAGGAGAAGCATAGGAGACGGGGTAAAAGTAATCATTTGCATTTCAACATATAAGGCTGTTTGCCTGAAAGCATCTATTATTACTTGACGAAATATAGATTTTTGGCATGGAACAAAGAATTACAGACTGGATAATAAGATGATTTGTGGACTAGGGAAGTTTTCCCATTAACCTTACATCTTTTACACCCAATCATCCAACTTTCTTCACTCATAAGGCATCATTAATGGCACTATTGTAAAAACATAAAATGGCTGTGCATAGTCTTTACTGATTTTCAGAAATACCCCCAAAGGATATGAACAAAATTATTTCATTAGCTCATTTCAGACAAGCACAATTATCCGGCTCAGGTTTTTTTTATTATTATGTCCGTATCTCTCAACATTCTCTCTAAAGTTTAAATTTATAATTAGATTACATTTACACTCTTTAAAAATAAGATCAGGCCGGGCATGGTGGCTCATGCCTGTAATCCCAGCACTTTAGGAGGTCAAGGCGGGCAGATCACTTGAAGTCAGGAGTTCAAGACTAGCCTGGTGAACATAGTGAAACCCTGTCTCTACTAAAAATACAAAAAAATAAGCCAGGCATGGTGGTGCGCGCCTGTAATCCCAGCTCCTCAGGAGGCTGAGGCAGGAGAATTCCTTGAACCCGGGAGGCGGAGGTTGAAGTGAGCTGAGATTGAACCACTGCACTCCAGCCTGGGCAACAGAGCAAGACTCCATCTCAAAAAAAAAAAAAAGAAGATCAACATGCCTTACTCCTCTGGCCAGTCTCATCAATTAGTTGTAATTGTAATCATTAAAATTTATATTAAGGAAAGGAGATTATTTATTCAGATCTTTCCTTTTTTTTTTTTTTTTTTTTTTGAGACTGAGTTTCATTCTTGTCGCCCAGGCTGGAATGCAATGGTGTGATCTCGGCTCACTGCAATCTCTGTCTCTCAGGTTCAAGCGATTCTCCTGCCTCAGCCTCCCAAGTAGCTGGGATTACAGGCACCCACCATCACACCCAGCTAATTACTGTATTTTTAGTAGAGTTGGGGTTTCACCATGTCGGCCAGGTTGGTCTCGAACTCCTGACCTCAGGTGATCCACCTGCCTCGGCCTCCCAAAGTGCTGGGATTACAAGTGTGAGCCACCGCACCCAGCCAAGATCTTTATTTTCCTACCTTTAAAGATAACAGTAGCTTGACATAATTACAATAAGTTCAATATATTATTTTTTGCTATTTTTTATTTGTTCTCATCCCCATTGCCACTGCCCTCCTTTAATCTTTTGTAAATTGCTCTTAAGGTATATAGCCCTTGTTGCCTCTCTGGTCTCCTGGAAACCCATCTTGCCTCACTCCAATTTTCACTTGATATCGCCATTAACTTTGTGAACCATAGAACCAATTGTGTGGTTTATTTGATCACTTAAGACTGACTACACAATGAAGGTTAAGTGCCCTAATATGGCATTAAAAATTGGCCACAATTGGATTAATTCCAGGCTTATTTCCTGATATTCATACTCAAGAGCTCCAAGCATGACTCAATAGTTCAACCACTGTTGTATCGACAT
This sequence comes from Homo sapiens, assembly GCF_000001405.40. Lineage (NCBI taxonomy): Eukaryota > Metazoa > Chordata > Mammalia > Primates > Hominidae > Homo > Homo sapiens. Next base: position 29,143,906 of record NC_000023.11, on the reverse strand, counting down.
ATCGTAGTTCCCTCTTATCTGACGGGAATACATTCCAAGATCCCCAGTGAATGCCTGAACCTGTGGTTAGCACCAAACCTGATCTATAATACATTTTCTCCTATACATACATACCTGTGATAAGGCTTAATTTGTAAATTAGGCACAGTAAGATATTAACAACGAATAATAAAATAGAACAATTATAACAATATGCCATCATCACTACTCTTGTGCTGTGGAACAATTACTAAGTAAAATAAGGATTACTGTCATGCGATACCATGACAGTTGATCTGATAACCTAGCCTGCTACTAAGTGACTAAATGGGTGGGTAGCATATACAACATGGATCTGCTGGACAAAGGGATGATTCATGTCCTGGACAGGACAGAGGGAGACTGCACGAGATTTCATCACACTACTCAGAATCGTGCACCGTTTGGTTCTGGAATTTTCTGTTTAATGTTTTTGAACTGTGGCTGACCACAGGTAACTGAAACCATAGAAAGCAAAACTATGGTTAAGGGGGAACTACTGTATCTTTGTTCCCCCTAAACCCTAAATTAGAATCAGATTCTCCTCAACACTTTGTATGGATCTTCTAAATTCTGGAACACTGTGTCCCAGATTCAAATAATCTCTTTTCTTATCATATCAAAAAGTGTGATTGTCCATGTCTTTCATTTTGTTACATAATTTTAGAAGCTTAATAAATGTCATCATAAAATAATAAAAAAAATAAATTGTCTCCATGTTTCCGTCTCATACAGCACCTTGTAGCCTTGCGTAGCAGGCACTCAGTTTGCAGATATTAATATACTCCATGGGAGGTTTAAATAACCTCAAATAAAAATAATATTTTATTTTTTCTGATTCCAGAGATTGGAGTTCTTCTTTGCTCCCGAAGTTAAAAATATTTCTTTGACATTTTGGCCAGGCGCGGTGGCTCACCTGTAATCCCAGCACTTTGGGAGGTCGAGGCAGGCAGATCACTTGAGGTCAGGAGACCAGCCTGGCCAACATGGTGAAACCCTGTCTCTACTAAAAATACAAAAATTAGTCAGGTGTGGTGGCACACATCTGTAATCCCAGCTACTTGGGAGGCTGAGGCACAAGAATTGCTTGAACCCGGGAGGTGGAGGTTGCAGTGAGCCAAGATAGTGCCACTGCACTCCAGCCTGGGCAACAGAGCAAGAGCAAGACTGTGTCTCCAAAAAAAAAAAAATTCTCTAACATCTTGAAATAATTTTAGATTTACAGAAAACATGCAAGAATAGAAAATAATTACTGCACATCCTTCAGGTAGGTTGCCATAATGTTAACATTTTCCAAACCCTAGAACAATTATTAAAATGAGGAAATTAACGTCGATACAATATGATGAACTGATCTATAGTACGTATTCAAATTTCAAAACCAGTTTGTCCACTAGGGTTCTTTTCTGATTCAAGGTCCAGTTGTTCCCACATTGCATTAGTTGCCATGTCTTCTTAGTCTCCTCCAAACTGTGACAGTTCTACAGTCTTTCTCTTTCCTGACCTAGAAACTTTTCAGAGTACTGGTCAGCCATTTTGTAGCATGTAACTCAATTTGGGTTTGTCTAATGCATTCTCCTTATTAGAATCAGGTTGTAACTTGAGGCAAGACTATCAGAGAAATGATCTTCTGTCCTTCTAAGTGCATCATAAGAGTCTAATCTATTTTTAGTAATTTTTATCTTAATAAAAGTTATTTTTAAATAATAAGATTGAACAAGGTTTGTAGATAAATTAATTCCCTTAGCAATTTTGACTAGTTTCATGCTATTCATCCATACTCTGTCAGAGAAAAATGGAATAAATATAAAAATCAAAGGTTATCTATTTTAAGGTTTCTGTTCTGACTGAAAAAGAAGTCACACAAGAGTAAGAAAAAAATGACATATTTTAAATACAAAACTAAAGAAAATATTGTTTGCAAATATTACTACAATATTCTCCCTTCACTGTTTGTCTTGTGAAATATTAGCATATCACCCAATGGTTTTGTGAATTTACTAGCTATTGATAGTCTGCTGTCTTTCAGCATGCATATTTGATATTGACAATATGCTGCAAACAAAGAAATTGGTCCTTTTTTGACAATAGAGGTGTACTGTTTGCAACTTAGAGAAGAGTTCACTGCTAAAGAACTATGGAACATTTACAAAAAGAACCCTAGAGTAATAAATACATAAACTATGATTAATTATACCACACTTTTCCTGAATATTACATTTCTCACCCAGAAGATAAAATGCCCCAATTTTGCTCATTAATAAAGCATTATGTAGAAATTTTTGGCTACTTACATTTTTCCCCTTTGAAATTTTATTTCTCATTTACATAAAGAATATATGTAAGAGTGGAGATTAATTCTATGGAAAATAATGATAGAACTACATATTAAGGGTAAGAATAAAAGTAATAGAGTGTAAAAATATTTTTCAAAACACCATCAATGGTTCATACTGTTTTATTTTCCCCAATAATTCAAACAAAGAAATGTAGCATCTCACCAATTGATTCTACCCTTAGGACTCATGTTTGTAAGTTTTATTGAGATGGCTTTGCAAATAGCCTGTGATTGCTTCTGTTAAGAAAATGCTTTATGAGCTTAGGCTGCGGTAACATTCACAATCAATATTGCAAGAAAACAGGCATGGAAACTTTTCATTCATATATATATATATATAATCTCATAATAGTTTTGTTTTACAAACTGAATATAAACACCATTAATCCACTCAGGTACTACAAGCTTTATAAATAGTCTTTCAATATGTGTCTGTGCCTTTATATTCTCATCTGTACAATGAGAATAATAATTGAATTTATGTCAAAAATTCATTGTGAGAGTACAATGAGGTTTCTAAAGTACTTGATATATAGTAAATGCATAAGACAGATAGTTATTATTACTATTAATATCTTTATTATTATCCTCATCTGCTATGGTCTGACTGTGTCCTCTCAAAACTCATATGTTGAAACCTAATCACCAATGTAACAGTATTAAGAGATGGGGTGTTTAGCAGGTAATTAGGTCATAAAGGCTACACCTTCATCGATGGAATTAGTGCCCTTATAAAAGAGGCTGATGAAGCCCTTCCACCATGTGAGGACTCAGCAAGATGGTGCCCTCTGTGAAGCAGAGAACGAGCCCTCACCACACACTGAATCTGATGGTGACTTGATCTTGGACTTCTCAGCCTCCAGGACTGTGAGCAATAAATTGCCTTTCTTCATAAGCTATCCAATTTAGAGTATTTTGCTATAATAGTCTGAATGGACTGAGATAATTTAACAGATTCTTACACAGAAACTATCCTAAGGTTTCTAGGTATCAGTGGTTGACAGTTTCATTCACAGTTTCTGCTTATTAGCACCTCTTTTAATCCTCAAGAAAGCACTCATCAGTGGATGCATCTATATTGGTTTTATATATTTTGCTATATTCCTCACTGAATCCAGAGAATTTTAAATGTAGAGTACAGGTATTTATTCATCTTTGCTTCTTCCTGGTATCATCTGTATCGTAGATGTTTGATAAAATTTTAATAAGTGAAAATGATGCTAACCATTTCATATAGTTTGGGTATTTGTCCCCGTCAAATCTCATCTTGAAAATTGATCTCCAATATTAGAGGTGTGGCCTAGTGAGAGGTGTTTGGGTCATGGGAGTGGATTCCTCATAAATGGCTTGGAGAATGCTCCCAGGATGGAGTGAATTCTAGTCCTAGTTCCTGTGAGATCTGGTTGTTTAAAAAAGTCTGGCACCTCCCTCCCATCTCTCTTTCCTTCTCTCTCACCATATTATGTTTGCTCCCTTGCACCTTCTACCATGAGTGGATGCTTCCTGAGGCCCTAACCAGGAGCAGATGCTGGCTCCATGCTTCTTGTACAACCTGCAGAACCATGAGCGAAATAAACCTCTTTTCTTTATAAATTATCCACTCTCAGGGATTCCTTTATAGCAACACAAAATTGACTAAGACACTAAATGGTTCTTTAAGTTTCAACCTTAATATTATTCTTTTACATACATTAATATAAATTTTATGTTACTATATGACATCTTATTCCAGAATGGATTTTGTTGGTAGGGTAAATTATATTATTTTTTCAAATTATACTCAAATACAATTTTAAAAATCTATTGCATGTTTCTGCCATTGCTCTTTTCCCTATGCCTTGCCCCAGAGAGAAGTTATTTATTTATTCTGGACTCAAGAATGAAGAAGATACACAGAACCATAGAGAGCTGCCACATGTAAAATGAGAGAGAAGTAAATCAATGCTGTTAAAAGGCACTGATATTTGGGGATTGTATATTATTGTATTTTTACTAAGCAAAAGCTGACTAAAACAAATGGTTTATAAAAATCTATTCAATAACCTAAGGCTAAGAATATACAAATTAAGGTAAAGGTAGGCTAAAGATAAAATTGTATGATAAAGTCAGAAGAAAAAAAGAGTGCTCAGAATTATATATTATTGAGTTCTATTCAATAATTATAATATTATACTTTAACATAGCTGCTCTATTTTTTTTTTACCCTTTTCCATTATTTTTCTCATTAGAAACTCTCAAGATTATTCTTCTTGCCTTACCTTCCAAACTGCCATTCTTCCCTCCTGACTATCATCATGCTCCATAAATTTTTTTTCTAAAGGTGAAAATTATTTGAAGAACTTCTCATGTGAAACCAAGTTTTTGGGACACATTTGTTTTCCTCTCACTACACAGACTACAAGTAGAATGGAGAAATGAGTGACCATGGAAATCCAGTGCTACTGGCTGACCTTCTGTAGCTGGTTGCAAGAGATGGGCAACCAGGTTCACCTGGAAAATACAGAGCACTTTTCCCACAGTTTCTTTACACTGTCATGAGACTGGATCCAATGCCGTGTTGGAAAATGATTCTCATTACTTTCATATTGTGTTTAAACAGCACCTCTATGCTTCCTGAAATACTTCTATTTGTTATTATTCAATATATCCTTCATAATTCAAACACAAATTATAACATTAAAGATTAAAGGATGATATTTTGACATTTCTTTATTCTGCCATACTCCTGTTAATGTCTTTCATTGTTTGTTTTCTTTCTTTTTTTTTTTTTTTTTTAGATGGAGTCTCGCTCTGTCACCCAGCCTGGAGTGCAGTGGCGGGATCTCAGCTCACTGCAAGCTCCGCCTCCCGGGTTCAAGCGATTCTCCTGCCACAGCCTCCCGAGTAATTGGGATTACAGGCACGCATTACCAAGTCCTGCTAATTTTTTTTTTTTTTTAATTTTTAGTAGAGATGGGGTTTCACCATGTTGGCCAGGCTGGTCTCGAACTCCTGACCTCAAGTAATCCACCCACCTCGGCCTCCCAAAGTGCCGGGATTACCGGCATGAGCCACCATGCCCGGCCTACTAATGTTTTTAAATATTAATCTGGTATTATTGAGTTACTGTATGAAATATATATAAGTTATACCTAGCTGTCAACTGTCAGTTCTTTTATCTACATATTTACAGTTGATGCTAAAATGCAAATTAGCAAGTGGAGAGTTATTTGTGGACCAGCAAGATTTGATCACTGACATTTTTTTGTAGTGAAATAACTAGTGTCATTCTGATATCATGCAGTAAAGGGTGATAAGTTATTTTAATATAAAATCAAAGATTATTTTTAAAGTGCTGAATCAGCGTTGGAAGAAATGGAGTCTGATTCAGTGTATGTTTTAATATAGTAATCTCAGGGAAATCTGATAGCTTGTAGATGTGGCTTTCTATACGTGTTTGAAAATTTAATGAAATAAGGCATGGAAGCACATGAAGTAAAACAGGTATTTAAATTTTAAGGAAGAGTTATATGTACAAATTAAAATTGCTTCAGTGATTTTTATTTAGAAAAGCTAAAATAAATAACACTTTATAGTTGCTTTATAGTGTTCTTGCTAAAAGTCAACAAAAATATTAGGGTAACCTATTCAATATATTAAGTTTGTCAAATCTGGCACATTTAATTTCAAATGGGAAAGTGACTTATAAAAGGTCACATATTACATCAACTTTATCATCTTATATTTTAACTTTTAGCTTTGGCAAGCCAATAGCTGTTGCTTGCTAACCACATGTGCACCATTTAAGAAGCCACAGACAAGAAAATATATTTTTCAAGTAACTTAAGATTTTAGATAGGTCAACTAACAAAAAGGTTAAATATTCATCAAGTGAAATAGACATTTAAAGGTAAAATATCCTCATTTTAAAGTAGAGGTTTAGGTTTTATTCCTATTTTCAGGTATCTGTCTACCTATTCAGGACAACTTGAAGAAAGACGAAAATCTCAAGCATATTTTAGAACAATTTCAACTTAATTCAGCTATTGTACCACCTGATAAATGTGGTTCATACACTAAGGAAAAAAGTCTCTATGAAGTGCTTTTGTAATTTTTACCCAAATAATAGTGGATGTTATTTCCGTTACTTAAATTTCACCACAAAAAAATTATCCCTTACATATATATACCTTGTGTGGAATATGTATAAAACAAATCACCATTTCAATATCTGTGAAGAGGAGAAAATTATTTCATACGTTTTGGCAAAAATACTCTCCCACTGTGTGTGTGTGTGTGTGTGTGTGTGTGTGAGCGCAAGTGTGTGTGTGTAATTTTTTAAACAAACTGAAACAATCTTAGTCTTTAAATATCCTGAGGCCAAGGTAAGCAGTAGCTGAGGCCAAGGTAGCTGAGGCCAAGGTAAGCAGTAAGGTAGCTGAGGCCAAGGTAAGCAGTAAGCCGTCTAAAATAGGCTAATGGATTTTATGACTGTGTGTAGTTGGCAATGTGAGTGCATCACCAACTTTAGATTCAACTAATCACCAGCTTCTTTCACATAGCCTAGTACCTAAGTAGGTTCCTGCCTTCATAACAGTAGAGACACTTACAGAGTCAGTTCTCACACAAAAGACAGGCTCTTATGTGAAAGTACATGTCAGCTATGTAATATTAGGCCAATGCCCCAACCCTATCACTGCCTCAGTTTTCTCATAATAACACTTCTCTCTGCCTATAGTTCCAAACTATATTGAACATTTGCTATTATATCCCAGGCATTGTACTAAGCATCATCCATACATTATCCATACTGAATAATCAAAGCAAATTCATAAGGTTGTTACTAGTAAAAGTCTCATCTGGCAGGCAGAGAAACTAGGCTCAGTAACTTATTCAAGATCACACAGTGAGGCTGGGTGCAGTGCGTCACACCTGTTATCTCAACACTTTGGGAGGCTAAGGTGGGAGGATCGCTTGAGGCCAGGAGTTGAAAGTTGCAATGAGTTACAATCACACTACTACACTCCAGAATGGGCAACAGAGCAAGACCTTGTCTCTATGAAGTAATAATAATAAAAAAGATCACACAGTGAGTACCCTAAATAGTGAGTCCTATTTAGACATTAGAATAAAGAGTTCAAATGCAGCCGGGAGTGTTAGCTCACGCCTGTAATCCCAGCCCTTTGGGAGGCTGAGGCAGGCTGATCACCTGAGGTCAGGAGATCAAGACCAGCCTGACCAACATGAAGAAACCCCGTCTCTACTAAAAATACAAAATTAGCCAGGCATGGTGGTGCATGCCTATAATCCCAGCTACTGGGGAGGCTGAGGCAGGAGAATCACTTGAACCTGGGAGGCGGAGGTTGTGGTGAGCCAAGATTGTGCCATTGTACTCCAGCCTAGGCAACAAGAGCAAAACTCTGTCTCAAAAAAAAAAAAAAAAAAAAGAGTTCAAATGCTTAACTACCAAGCTATATGACTATGCAGTGACATTACGTAGATAATTTAAAGTTGTATACAAATGTAAGACTTAATGGCTGAGCACAGTGGCTCATGCCTGTAATGCCAGCACTTTGGAAGGCCAAGGCAGGCAGATCACTTGAGGTCAGGAGTTTGAGACCAGCCTGGCCAACATGGCGAAACCCCATCTCTACTAAAAATACAAAAATTAGCCAGGCGTGGTGGCGTGTGTGCCTGTAGTCCCAGTTACTTGGGAGGCTGAGGCAGGAGGATCGCTTGAGCATGGGAGATGGAAGTTGTAGTGAGCCAAGAGCACACCACTGCACTCCAGCCTGGGTGACGGGAGTGAAACCCTGTCTCAAAATAAATAAATAAATAAATTCTCTACTAAGAACCACATTACACAGTAAAGGGAATGTTCTGCAAATGTGTTTCTCAATTTGCTGCTGCAGGATATTTAAAAGTTACAAAGAGGCATGCTACTATCATGAGGCTAACATAGTGCTTACAGGGAAAGGAAATTGTATGTAAAAGTCTGGGGTCCAGGGTTCTAATCTAGCTATTTCATTAATTAGATTCCTGACACTGTGAAATTTATTGTATAATTCATTTACAACTTTATTAAAGATTTCAGAATAAGCATGAATTGATACACTGGTATGCCCTCTAAGATTAGCTTAGGAGAGAACCAGTAATGAACTGGCATTAATACAAAACAAAAAATTAAGTTATAGTAGTCACATCAAAATAAGTCAAACCTGTATGGAGGTTCTACTTATTTACAGGCAATACAGAATACAGAGATTATGTTAAACTACATCTCGGAAATACAATCAGTAAAAATATCAGATTATAAGATAAACTTTACAGGATAATTTTGATTATTCAATAAATAAATTGTGGGGGTTGGCAGGGCAAACAATAGAGGGAGAGCCCATAGATTAAAAGAGACTTAAAATATGCATCAACCAGTCAAAGCACATGGACATTATTGGATCTTAACTTTAATGAGATCATTATTTAGATATTTGATGATAATAAATGATTGCTGTTATTTTAGGTGTGATAATAATGCTATGTGTTTGTTAGAAAAAGAAGTCATTGCTCTATATCTTTGGTCACATGAATATGTAAAATAATATGATATCTGATATTTGTTTCAAAATAATACAACATTTAGAAAAAGTAAATGGGAGAGGATGGAGCACTATTGGCCATGGGTTGTTGGTGGCTGGGACTGTGTGATAGGTATACGTTAGTCCAGTATATCATTCTTTATGTATTTGAATATGTTTGACATTCTCTATAACAATATAAAAAGTAGGTAATAGACCCAAGGAATTAGAAGAACTTTACCAAAGGAGCCTGAAAGAGGAGGCTCATTTGGGAAAAATGGAATCAGAATAGGACTCACTGACATATTAATACCACTTTTTGAGTCCTGAGGGATTTATGCTAGACACTAGAGAGGCACATACAAGAACAGAAACTGAGTGCAGGAATAACAGCAAACTGGTAAGACAAGAATAGCCAACCACAGACCTGCTGAGAGAAGAGATAACAGTGAACTCTGGAGGAAGCTAAGGTGGGTGGAAAAAGAAGCAGGGTAATGATCCCATTTAACCATGATGCTATTCATTAGTAATTGGAAGAAACAAATGCCATGAGCACAAATTTTCTATTTGTTAAATGTTAAAAATAAAGCATGGCACACATTAGATTGGGTAAAATCCTGAACACTGACAACTCCAAATGCTGGCAGACAGGATATAGACCAACAGGGACCCTTATTCATTGCTGGTGTGAAACAAATATGGTACAGTCACTTCGGAAGAGAGTTTTATAGTTTCTAACAAAACTAAATATATTCTTCCCATAAGATCCAGCTGTCACACTCCAAAGTATTTATTTAAATGAGTTGAAAACACAGCCACAAAAAAACCTGCACACAAATATTTATAGCAGCTTTATTTATATTTTCCAAAAGGTGGAAACGACCAAAAGTTTAAGCCATTTTTCAACAGGTTAATGAATAAATAAACTGTGGTAAGTCCTTACCATGGAATATTATTCAGTAGCAAAAAGAAATGAGCTATTAAGTCACAAAAATACATGAAGGAAATTGAAATGCATATCACTAAGTGAAATAAGCCAATCTGAAAAGGCTACATACTTTATGATTCTAACTATATGACATTCTTGAGAGGCAAAACTATGGAGACAGTAAAAAGATCACTGGTTGCCAAGGGTTAGGGGTTGGGAGAAGGAGGGATAAACAAGTGGAGTACAGGAAATTTTTAAGGCAATAAAACTATTCTGTATGATACTGTAATGGTGACACATGACATCATGTACTTGTCAAAATGCATAGAATTGTACAACACAAAAAGTGAACCCCAGCATAAACTATGGATTTAGTTAACAATAATATGTCAATATATTGTATTACAACTGTCCATCAATTGTAACAAATTTACCACACAAATGCAAGATGCTATTAATAGGGAAAACTGTGGGATGGAGAATGAAGGTGTGTATAGGAACTCTCTGTACTTTTGGTGCAATTTTTGTATAAACTCAGAACAGCTCTAAAATAAACTGCATTAATCCAAAAAAAAACCTAAAGCATAGTAACTACTCAAATTTGCAATAAAAATTGTTTGCTATCCAGGCTGATAGTTTAAGACCTGAGGGGAAACTCAGTGGTTTGTTATTTCACTTCTTTCATGCTCTGAGCCAGTGATCTGGAGCAAGAAAGCAACACTATGTACAAGTTTTCCCTTCAGGGTCCTTGTTTCCCCCAGGGAAACTGAAATTGCAGTTGAGGGTGTGTCACTTTTATACAACCATTTACTGAATAAATAATGATTAGAATCAGAAACATAACTTAAAAGCCTGGAATTCTTTGGATTGTAGGGATTTGAGTGGTTTTGGTAGATAGATACTCCTAGAGACTTCTTATTCAGGGAAGTAGAATATGAGGTTGCTAATACCTGGGCTGCCAACTATTAGAAATCTGACCTAGCCAAAAATGTATGCTCATTACACTAAGTCCTTTTGAAAAATTATCCTCACAATAGAGGTTATTTTATTATGGCATGAAAGAAAGAGACAACTGAGGACAACTATGCTAAATCTCCCCCAGACAATGCCCCAGAACAAGTAATATATTTATCTATTTTTATCACCCTATATATCCAACTAAATGAAGAAGCAATTAGTTTATACACATTCAAAAAAATCTAAAAAGCCAACGAGTAAATGCACTCAGCAAAATCATTATAATGGATAATAATAATACCAATAAAAAGGTAGGAAGATACCAAGAAAAAAAGATAAAGGTAGAATAACGTCACAGAGCTCCTGATCAAGGGAAGACAAAAGCCTGGCTTAGAGCTTTACAGTATGGTCTGCCAAGTCATTTTCAATGTCCACAAGATAAAAATAAGCCATTTCTCCAGAAGCACACCACAATCGTGCATCACTTAATGACAGGGATACATTCTGAGAAATGCGTCCTTAGGCAACTTCACTGTTGTACAAACATCACAGAGCCTACTTACACAAACCTAGATGGTAGAGCCTACTACACACCTAGGCTATATGGTACAGCCTATTTGTTTCTAGGCTACAAACCAGTACTGCATCTGACTGTACTGAATACTATAGGCAACTGTAACACAATGGTAATTATTTGTGTATCTAAACATAGAAAAGGTAATGTGTTACACTATGACATTATAGAAAATATGATGTCATTAGGCAATAGGCATTTTTCAGCTCTGTTATAATCTTATGAGACCACAGTCAAATATGTGGTCCATCATTGACCAAAATGTCATTATGTGGCATATGACTGTATTAATAAGCACATTGTTTATAATTATAATCTGAAATCTTTGGGACTAAGATGTTTATTAAAGTGGACTTTTTTTGGATTTTGGAAGCTAATTCAGTATGCATTTCAAATATTTTGAAAAAACCCTAGCAGGCTTTAGGGCAGCACCCTAGAGTTAAGCGTATTAACATTTCTGCACTTAAACACATAAATATTTACACTACAAGGAATAATATATTTTCTTAAATTTACCCCCAAATGAATTTTGACATCAGACTTACAGAAAGCATTCCATTTTGAGAGATCTGTGATTTGCAGTTCACAGATACTGGGAGGGCTGTTTCTTATAACGTCGCCTTCAAGTAAAGCCATAAAGCAGGAGAGAGTTCAGTAAAAGTAGCCTGGGGCACGGGGATAGCAGGCCAATTGGACAACTCAATGCTGTCTGCATTTCTACCTTGGTCAGATCATCTGTCTTTTTGTTTTGATTTGTTTTAGTGTCTAGAGCAGTGGTTCTCAAACTTTAGTGCATATCAGAATTGGCCAGACTCACTGGAGTAAGAATCAGGGTTTTGTATTTTTACCAAGTTCCCTAGGTGACTGACACCTGTCAAATTTGAGAGCCACTGATTTAGAGGAATAGAAAGACTACATATCCTTAAGGCAATGCCATGTAAACCCTATTCAAGGTTGGAGGGCCAGATTAGTCCCAGAAGTGCTAACTGTGGTGCATTACTGGTTAAATGGATAGGTCAAAACAGCCAACAGGTAGGTTTTCCTTTCCTCTGCAAAAAAATTGAGAACTTTTAAATTAATGAGAACAAGAGCCAAAAATACCCCCCTCTATACTTTAGAGGGGTGGTGATCAGATGAAGTACCCTAAGTTAAGGTAAAGAGAAATAGAAATAATCACAATTCCAAAATATTAGACAAGATCTTCGATTAGTCTGCCTGGGATGGTCAGCTTATTTGTATTGCCAGCATATATATATATATATACACACACACACAGGCATATAAACTAGAGAGTGAGCACAATCTGATGTCCTCTATGAATTCAAATTCATTCAATAAAATGGAAAACTGCACATGTTTTTCTGTTACTATGACAAATGGCAAGAGCCTAGCACTGAGATTTACTGCAGTGAGTTGGCACTGGGCTACTATATGTAATGTGAAATGCAGTAACACATCATGCAGCAGCTGAATATGCATGTAAAACACGGTTTTCTTCTCCGCAGTGTCTGACATGACCACAGTCCAACACTGCTCTTAATTATCACAGACTCCAATGGTAAGATACATCTGACAAATCAGCCGCAATCCCCAACTATCACCAATGTGGCAAGTTTGACCTAAAAAATCCGTATTATGAATGCTTTCACATTTTCAGAATAAAATGTATTTTAAAACATGGTTAGCCAGGTAAGTAATTTTTAAAACTTGAAGTAAGCAAAGGAGATAAAGGGGAGTAAAGTGGGATAGAGAAAGGAAACTAGTACCCACTGGGTTTCTGGGTTCCAGCTACTATTACTCCTCTCCAGTGATAGGGGAAGGACCAGCTAATCTGGGCCATTTATGATGGCAAATACCAAATTTAACTGTAAATTTTGTATCTTAGTCCAAGAGGATCCATCATAATGCTGAAATAGTCACCGAACTTCACTATTAAGTGGCACAATTTAAAGTAAGGTAATGCTCAATATAGTCATATGAAGAGTAAACTAGTTTGGAGTTCTTCAGTTGGAGAATGTTTGGCTAAGTGAACAGTGAACATGCTGAGTTGAATAAGAAATTTGTAATACCTCTATTTTGGCTATTTTCTTAGTTAGCTTGTCAATAAGTAAGTTAAAATGTCTTGACTTATTAACAACTCTTTGTCATCGGATCAACATAAATAAGTGGATAAAGAACCAATGTAATCAAGAATTTTTAAGAAGCCAACTACAGATTTACTCTCACAATTATAAATGATACATAAAAAGTTTTTAAATGCCAATACAAAACAGTGAACACTTTCCCCTTCGTGATATGTTAGCATTTGTATACAAAAATCAAAGGAATGTACTGCTGAATTCTGGGTAATTAATACCTTAAACATATTGTTTTTCTCTTATGCTTGTAAACACAAGAGCTTGTAGAAAAGGTAGTGTCTTTGTATCATCCCTCGTAAGAATACCAGAGCTAGGGGTGGGTAGTAAATTGCTTCCAAGACTTTTGTGTATCAATTCACTTTACAGCCAAAAATGTAATGATAGTTGGTCAGAAAACGATTGAAAAACCCAAAATCTTCCCTTTCAAATAAATATAGAAAATATGAGGGTTCTTTAGAAAACCACATTCATAGCAAACATTGGCTATGTAAAAATTTTACACTATTGGCCGGGCGCAGTGGCTCACGCCTGTAATCCCAGCACTTTGGGAGGCCGAGGCGGGCGGATCATGAGGTCAGGAGATTGAGACCATCCTGACTAACACAGCAAAACCCCGTCTCTACTAAAAATACAAAAAATTAGCTGGACGTGGTGGCAGGTGCCTGTAGTCCCAGCTACTTGGGAGGCTGAGGCAGCAGAATGGCGTGAACCCAGGAGGTGGAGCTTGCAGTGAGCCGAGATCGCGCCACTGCACTCCAGCCTGGGTGACAGAGCGAGACTCCGTCTCAAAAAAAAAAAAAAAAAAAAAAAATTTACATTATTTCTGCATATACAGTTAATTCACATTAATTTAGAAAAGTTAAAAAATACAAAGAGAAGATTAATCTCACAATATAGAGATAAAATTTTGTTATACATATCCTTTTAGTCTTTGTTTTTTAAATTTTCCCACACATAAAAACAAAAAATTGTGAGTTTAAGCATTTATGGTTGCTATCAAATATAATAGATTAGTAAATATTCATATCTAAAACACTGATGTAAAATGATTCTATGTAGGCTGGCGTGGTGGCTCATGCCTGTAATCCCAGAACTTTGGGAGGCCGAGGCAGGGGGATCACCTGAGGTCGGGAGTTTGAGACCAGCCTGACCAACATGGAGAAACCCTGTCTCTACTAAAAATACAAAATTAGCCAGGCGTGGTGGCACATGCCTGTAATCCCAGCTACTTGGCAGGCTGAGGCAGGAGAATTTCTTCAACCCAGGAGGCGGAGGTCGCGGTGAGCCTAGATGGTGCCATTGCACTCCAGCCTGGGCAACAAGAGTGAAACTCCATCTCAAAAAAAAAAAAAAAAAAAAAGATTCTAGGTAAAATTAAAACTACGTTTTCTCAAAATTTTGTAAACTATTTTAAATAGTAAGGCAGAAAAGGTCCCTACACGTGGTGGTTTTGAATTGCAAATTAGATGAACACCAAACATATTCAATTGTCTTTATCCAGGACTCAGCACCAAATATAAAACTAAACATTATTGTTCATTTCCTCCATCAGTTTTCTACCAAATAAAAATAAACACTTAATGTGTTTATTAAAATGCATGACATTTTCAATTTTTTCTATCCATCCATCCATCCATCCATTCATTAAGGAACTGTATCTTAATTAACAGTATTCTAAGAACTGAGGAAACAATGGTGAATAACACAATTCCCACCTTTCAGAACTCAGAGGCAAGCCAGGAAACAGAGAAGCAAGTAAGAAATTATAATAAACTGTGGTAAGTGCTAGGAGGCCCCAAGCAGGACAGAGCTGTTAAACCACTCATGAAAGGGGAATCAGCATGGAAGTTTTCTCTGAAAAGATAATATTAATTTTAGTCTTGAAGGACCATGGGTTTTCACTAGTCAAAGAGACAGAAGGTGCTTGGGGAGGAGGCAAGGCGAGCCAAGCAAAGGAAATAGCAGGAATAAAGACCCTAAAGCAAGAGAGAATATGGCACGTTCTTCAATACTCAGGTGTATTGGTAAAACTGTAAAGCTGACTGTGAGGTGTGAATTGAGGAGAAGTGAGGCTGGGAAAGGAGGAGACTTGCATGGTAGGCCATGGGTTTGGGTCATGCTTAAAGAGCAATGAGGTAATGTATTGGGTCATGCTTTAAGAGCAATGAGGTAATGTATCTTAGGGCATTACATGATGCTCATTTGCCCCTCCTTGGTGATGATATTTTTGATCACCTTGTCCAAGATGTTCTTCAATTTCCTCAATGTATAGTTATTATTTTTCCTATGCAACTAATAAGTAATTTGTGGGGGGATCCTTTAAGACCATAAAAATATGCTCCTCATGAAAATGCGACAATTCTTGATTGAAACAATCTTCATGGGGGTTGACTTAAGAGATCCAATTTGGCCATGTTAATATTTTTTTTTTTTTTTTAGATCGAGTCTCACTCTGTCTCCCAGACTGGAGTGCAGTGGCACAATCTCAGCTCACTGCAACCTCTGCCTCCCGGGTTCGAGCAATTCTCTGCCTCAACCTCTTGAGTAGCTGGGATTACAGGCGCCCGCCACCATGCCTGGCTAATTTTATTTTTTTGTACTTTCAGTAGAGATGGGGTTTCACCATCTTAACCAAGCTGGTCTTGAACTCCTGACCTCATGATCCACCCGCCTCGGACTCCCAAAGTGCTGGGATTACAGGCGTGAGCCACGGCACCCAGCCAGCCATATTAAATTTAAAGATCCTGTGGGATTTCCACGTGGAGGTGTGCTGTAGGCAGTTGATATATTAGTCTGACACTCAAAAGGAGATTAGGGCTGGTGATTTATATTTGTGAGTAGCCACACGTGTGGATGAGATTGTCCACAGAGATTGGTGTGCAAAGACGCAAAGAGCAGTACTACTATACTTTTGGGCATAATTAGCATTAAAATGATAGAAGAAGGGCTAGATCAGGAAACAAAGAAGCATTTACAAGAGCAGGGATTCTCAAAGTGTGGTCCCTGGACCAGCAGCATCAGCATCATCTGGGTACTTGCTATGTATGCAGATCCTAAGGTTCCACATTATGTCTGCTGAATCAAAAATTCTGAGGCAAGCACCATGCATCGTGTTTTGACATGCCATCCAGGTGATTCTGATGTCTCTAGAGTTTCAGCACCACTGAATTGGGTCATTTTTGTAAAAGCATTTTTCCTGTATCTAGTAAGTATAGATGATGACAATAATAAAGAATAAGAAACAGGAGGAGAACAAAACCACCACCACCACCACCAACAGCAGGTTGTTATAAAACGCTCTGTTTATAAAAAGTGGTACCTACTTATAAAATGAGTCATTTGGATTGTTTATCCATGTATTATACTGTACAGTTCAACAGGCATTTGACTTACATACTAGAGATTAAGTTGATCTTGAGGACCTGCAGATAGTAATTACATATTGCCATGCATGACCAAAGGTACAGCTTAACTGTTGTTCTTCATTCTTTGAAGGACTCTTACCCAGAATTACAACTTGCTGGATATTTGTAATGTGCCTATTTCATGTGAGAAATGAATTATTCAAAGTTTCACACTATATCTGAGGTACTATAAAAATATAAATTTACTACTCAATAGATCCAAGCAATGACTTACTAATTATATTTTCAAAATGCCTCTAATTTAAATTCACAGGTGACTGATGTAGTAAGACAAGAAGCAAGTACAGGAGATAATTTTACCAACAAATGACCCTGTGAAAAATGGTGAAAGTAAAAGTTTATGTCACTTTCACATTTCTAAATTGTTAATTTCGGTTCTGTTCATAGGTGGGCATTCAATGTGTTACTTGCATTCATTAGAAAATAACCAACCACATTAAAAGGTCTTTTAAGGACCATGAACCACATTGCACTATCTGCTTATCTTTTCATTTTGCTCTGAGTTCTTGACCAGCTATGACATATAACTTTTTCTGTGTAGTTTAATATGTGAGAGCGTAACTCCCAAGATGCCTTGTGAAATTCTATTTAATACTGCACATTATTGAGAATAAAATTTTAAATGGGAAAAATTAATCACAGACTTTCTGAAAATGTTTTTAGATTATGAAACCCAAGAGTGGTTATAATCAAACTTTTAATCACCCCTAGAAATTATCACTCTGTGAAAACATATTTTTGACTAAAGTATGCACTCAACTCACAAAGCCATATGTGGAAAAAAAGTTGAATTTGAAATTATTCTGTTGGCTTTTGACAGTCTGTGTCCATGATACCATACTGTAAAATTAGCTATTCTTTGAAGCAGCCACTCTAACAACAATTTGAAAATTTAATATATGTCAGGCACTCTATTAAGTGAATTAAATATATTATACCCTTTAATTCTTCCAACACCACCAAGACATAAATGCAATTATCCGCATGGTACAGATGATGTATTTCAGTTGTAAAAGGTTATGTTGTGACTTTCCAAAATCTAAACCCTCAGCCACCTTGCTTGACTCACCTCACCTAACTCATCTCTGCCTTTTTTTTTTAACCATTTCAGAAATTTATTTAAAATAAATTCTTTATACATTGTTGAAAGGTCTTTCTTACTGGGTACTTCTTTGCTTGATCTAATCCCTGCCTCCCCTTCTATTCCTTGTCAAGTAATACACAGCAAAATGATGGCAGTCAAAACAAAAACCCCAGTTTCTTAAACTCCTGATGTTCTATACCCTAAAGTAAGATGACCATGCATGGAACATCCCAAACTTGATTCCAAACAGCAAATGGTGAAAAAGGGACTAGTGAATAGACTTACTGAATCTATTCAAACGTATTTCTCATACACATTTATCCTAACATCACTGAACTCTTTCAAAATGCAGTGTGCCTTACACAACATTCAGAATAAAATGCACCCTTATCATCTGCAGTTTCCAGGGGAATGTGTAATATAATAATGATGAACACAACAAGCAATTCATCTGGAGGCATTTGTTAAGCTGGCCATTACTTTTTTTGAGTAAAGAAAAGGCTTCAAAAATCAATCTTAAAGTCATTTACTTAGGACAGCCTTTGTACTTTCTCCATGTGACGCTTTTAACAACTAAAATCTACAAAGCTTGAATTTCTACCAATTAACTACAGATTTTGGTAGGAGGTGGATATAATTATCAGTGTTAGAACAGCAGCCTGACTAATTTGACCTATGATTCTTAGAAATGGCGCAGAGGACCATTTTATAAAAATATGCTACTCAGCCTAAGCTGCTTTAAAAATAAGTCTGGTTTGAGAAGGCAAGAGAACACTACAGGAATTAACGTTGAAAACACTAAAAGGAGTGAAGAATAAATCTTGGTCATGTTTAGAGGCATCAGCATTACTTCCTCTTTCCCTGTCTTCTCTAATCCCTAGCTTGTCTTGTTGATAGCTAGTTTATGTATATATGACATTAGTCGTTAATTCATTTTTCCCTTCCACAAAATGCTGGGCATTAGATTCAGTTTTGTAGATACATTAGTGAACAATACACTATTCCTGCCCAAATGTACCATTTGTGAGCAATTTATCCTATTAGCCTAATTATTATTCAGTACCAAATCCATTACCATAAATACCTTTCTGTTTAATGTCACTGTAAGTTCTGTTTTATCATTACTTTCTTATTCTTTTATATGCTCTATACTTTTTTATGGAAATGATGTGTTTTTCTCCCAAGAAAAAGGTGACACATGGCTTGCCAATTACATTGACCTTCCAGTCTCAATGATTCATTTTATAAGACTAACAATTTCAAATGCCAATTCGTTGGTCCACTTACAAACCCTTGCCAGAACCTGCAGTCTTTTTGCCAATCCTTTTCACCAAGACTTCTTGTTGGATGTAGATTCTGGAGGTTGGAGGCAGAGCCTTTTTTATGGCCACAGAGTGATTAGAGTAAGTTAGCTTTCACATGTTATTTAAAAACCAAAGTTGATAGTTAACTCTTTGCTAAATCTTTTCAATCAATTCACTTTTCCATAGGGAATCCTAATATAGCAAATAATTTCCGACGATAATTACTATATATTAGTGACACAGACTCTTCTGAGTATAATAGAATAGGCCAGAGGGCAGGATTTTATACATAGAGCTCTAGTACCTTCTATGCCCCTCTTTATTTTTGATGATGGACTATTTGTAAATATCCTCTGGATCAATTATTTTCCAAGGATTGACTCAAGCATTAAATGAGGAATTTTGAAAGTGCTAAATTTCATATTTTGATCTTTTAAGTATATTTCCGTTACTTGTGCAGTTTTACCATTAACTTATAAATGAAAACTGCATCCCAAAAAGTGATGAAGGGAAATGTCTCAGTAATTAGGAAAGTTTAGAACAACAGTGTCCATCACAAATAAGATGCAGACCACAAATGTGAACCCCATGTATAATTTTAAGATGCTCTAGTAGCCACATTAAACTAGGTGAAAAAAACCCTAAATTTAATTTTAATAATATGCATATTTAACACAATCTATCTAAAATATTACCATTTCAACATGTAATCAATATTAAAATTAATAATAAAGTATTTTACTGTTTGATATGAAGTCTTTGAAACGTAGTGTGTGTTCACACTAACAACATGTCTCAGTCTACTAGCCACACTTCAAGTGCTCAACAGCCACATGGGGCCAGTGGCTACCATATTGGGCAGTGCAGCTCCAGAGGAAATCTCAAAAAATTTTTAAATACATCAGGTTTATCACTTTTAAAACACCACATTTTCTCCTTTTAACATAACATAGTTACTCTTGATTGGCATATTATAAGGAAAAAAATCATGCTATAATGACATAGCCAACAGTAATGAGCTTTCTCATGATTTTAAAATCATATCCATATACATTGCCCACAGTTTACTACAGATTTCGTCATAATGCCATTTATTAGCGGGAAGCCTTAGTCATATTTTACAGTTGAATCTTTTCATATGTATTAACTGAATATATTTTAATCATCAAATTTTATTTAATCTGTTTACAAAGTTTCAGAAGCTGGTTGAAACTTCAAGAAATCTTTCTATTCATGTTACCTGAACATAAATTCACTTTAAAATGTGCTATTGGGCCGGGTGTAATCCCAACACTTTGGGAGGCTGAGGCGGGTGGATCACTTGAGGTCAGGAGTTCGAGACCAGCCTGGCCACCATGGTGAAACCCCGACTCTACTAAAAGTACAAAAATTAGCTGGGTGTGGGGGCAGGCACTTGTAGTTCCAGCTACTTGGGAGGCTGAGGCAGGAGAATTGCTTGAAACCAGGAGGCAGAGATTGCAGTGAGCTGAGGTTGCGCCACTGCACTCCAGCCTGAGCAACAGAATGAGACTCCATCTCAAAAAATAAATAAATAAATAAATAAATAAATAAATAAATAAAACGTGCTATTCTATAATTAACATAATACTTTTACATCTATAAACATGAAATGTGAAACTACACATATCCAAGATTGCCTATTCTTCTATTTTACATTGTCCCTTCAAAATTACTGCTTCTTTGCCTAAGGGTATGACTAGGCAGTAAGAAAGGAAAGCTCTTCCTGAACATGTCCTTTAGCATAACCTCAGAACTAAGAACTATTTATTTCAGAAATATAATTCCACAGCATCAAGTCAGAGTAATATCAAACACTAAGAGGCTCTGCAATCAGCAGTCTCTTACAGTGATTCAACGACATGTTTAACTTAATCTTAACACATTTTAATCCTTCCGCTGCTATTAATTACTACTTCTTTTCTGCCATTGCTAATTTTGAAGTCATTGATATTGCCCAATTTTGTTAAATGAATTTTCAAAATGCTTTCCTAGGAGCCTGAAATATACAAATGTTTCCCTTTAGGCTCATGATGGGATATGGAAAAATAGCCGATTTACAGCCAGGCAAGAAGCAAAGAAAGAAGTGTGTGTGGGTGGGGTGGGGGTGGGGGGGGCGAGTGTGTGTGTGTGTGTGTGTGTGTGTGTGTGTGTGTGTGAGAGAGAGAGAGAAAGAGAGAGAGAGATGTATATATCCCAAATCAATTTCTATGACTATTTATTGTGGAATTGTTCAGAGTAATTAACTCTTACAGTTAGAAAATAATATTTCATCTAATCTATTAATACAGGTTTACATTACATGTGATGCACATTGCTCTTATCTATAAATGGAGATTTTATTATAGCGATAATCAAAGACCCATATGAGGGTGTTAATTAACTATGACTTTTTAAGAGTTTAAATAGTGATGGCCTACTTCTAAAACGTTATAGTTCTAGTTAAATTTAAAGATAAAATATTTTCCTAATGCTGGATGAATACTCTTGCTTGTTGAATAAGAGTATTTCAGAGAATAATTACATAAAAACACAAAGATAAGTTACTTACATTAAATAATGAGTGGTGACCAACCCCTCCATCTATGTTTCTAAGGCTGATATCACTAATTTCACAGATATTTTAAAATATTAAATATCACCTAGCATAACACCTGGCAAATATCAAGTGTTATATAACATAAATAAGTTTTTTAACTGGAAGTAATTGACTGGATATAGAAGGCAAAACAAAGCCCTTTGCGAAAATGTTCATGTTCTAATCCTGGCAACCTGTGAACATGCAAATTTACATGGTAAAAGGGACTTTGCAGACGTGATTAAGGTTAAGAATTTGAGATGAGGAGATTATTGTGGATTATCTGAGTGGTCTCAACTGAATCACATGAGTCCTTAAGGACCTAAAGGTGGAGAACCTTTTCTGTCTAGGATCAGAGGGAAATGTTCCAGGTGTTTTTTTGTTATTGTTGCTGCTGCTGTTTTGTCAATTCTTTAGGGTTTTCTGCATAGTCAATGATACTATCTGAAAACAAAGACAATTCTATTTCTTCTTTCCCTGTCTATATAGATAGTCTACAACTTACAGTGGTTTGACTTGCAATTTTTCAGCCTTATCATGTTGCAAAAGGGATACACATTCAGTACACTCCTCAACTTAAGATAGTGTTACATCTGGATAAGCACATCAATAAGTGAAAAATATGGTAAGTTGAAAAATGCACTTTTGACTTAACAATATTTTCTACTGATCAGGGGTTTTTGCAGATGTAACCTTGTCATAAATCAAGGAGCATCTGTACCTTTTATTTTCTTTTTTTGTTGTTTTATTGCATTAGCTAAGACTTCCAGTATGATGTTGAAAAGCAGTGGTGAGTGGAGTCATCCTTGTCTTGTTCCTGATCTTAGCAGGAAAGCTTGGTGTTTCTCACCATTAACTATGACCTTAGCTGTAGGTATTTTGTAGATGTTCTTTATCGAGTTGAGGAAGTTTTCTTTTATCCCTACTTGCTGAGACTTCTTATCATGAAAGGGTTTTGGGATGTGTCACATGCTTTTTCTGCCTCTATTGATAAGATAAAGTGATTATTCTTCTTCAGTCCATTGATATTTTAGATTACATTAATTAAGTTTTGAGTGTTGAGCCAGTTTTGCATAACTGGGATAAATCCCACTTGGCCATGATGCATGATGCTATTTATACATTATTGGATTCATTTGTAATATTTAGTTGAGGATTTTTGCGTCTATGTTCTTGAGAGAAATTGGATTGCATTTTTCTTGTCAAGTAATGTCTTTGACTAATTTTGTAATTAAGGTAATGTTGGCCTCATAGAATGAGTTAAGAACTAGTTCCTCTGGTTCTAGCTTCTGGAAGACATTGTAGAGATTTGAAACAATTTTAGAAAAAAAAACTACTCTAAAATTCATACGGAACCCAAAAAATAGCCTCAATAGCCAAAGTCATCTGAAGTGAAAAGAACAAAATCAGAGGAATCACATTACCTAACTTCAAACTATACTACAAGGCTACAGTAACCAAAACAGCATGGTACCAGTACAAAACCCAACATATAAACCAATGGAACAGAATACAGAACCCAGAAATAAAGTCACACATCTACAGCCATCTGATCTTAGACCAAATCAGCAAAAATAAGCAATGGGGAAAGGACTCCTTATTTAATCAATGGTGCTGGGATAACTGGCTAGTCATATGCAGAAGAATGAAACTGAACCCCTGTCTTTCACCATATATAAAAAATAACTCGAGATGAATTAAAGACTTAAATGTAAGTCTCTAAGCTATAATAATTCTAGCAGAAAACCTAAGAAACACCATTGCAGACATCTGCCTTGGGCAAGAATTTATGACAAAGTCCTGAAAAGCAAGTACACCAAAAACAAAAATTGACAAGTAGGACCGAACTAAACTAAAGAGCTTCTGCACAGCAAAAGAAACTATCTTGGGTAAGTCTGTGTGATTAGACTGTTAGCTTCACAAGTGAGTCTGAGTTGTTTTCTTTCCCTCTTTGGGTGGGCAGGATGGCCAGAGCGGGGTGGAATTTGTTATTTCCCTATGCCCCTGTAGAATACTAGAAGGAGCTGAAGTTGAATTATTTCAATTCCTTCCAGGTAGGTTAGGCTCTGATTAAACCCCATAAGGCTAGGGTCTGGAAAAATAGTTTCTCCTAAGGGCAGACTTTGCTAACAACAGAATTATCTTGTGTATAATTCAAAATCTGTATTTTCCCCCTTTCCTTGATGGATGCACCAGGGATTTTTCTCTGATGCTCACTATTAGGACTTGGTAAGGCTCCTGAAGGTAAAACTCACAAAAGCATCAGCCCCCTACTATGATTTATGACTGGGCTGTCCTGTAGTTTTTAACTCTCAGACTTGGTCCACACTTAGCCTCCAAAGATTCGTCAATTACAGGTTTTTGTACCCTGGAACTAGTTCCCTTGGAGGTTTCTGCTCAGAAAATTGTGATTCTTTGTATCCATCAATCTGTTTCTGCAATTTTGGGGGCAGCTTTTTGCCCTGTGACCTCAGTTGTCTGACAGATCTGAGAAAAGTTGTTGATTTTCAATTTGTTCAGCTTTTTACTTGTTAAGAATTGAGTGGTAATTTCTAAGCTCCTTAACTGATGAATCTGAAACTGGAGTCCACTTAATTTGATTTTAAAAACTACCCCTGTCAGCTAAGTCTCTTGTAAGTGTGCCAATGAAATGATCTTTTAATTTTGAGGAATTTGGGTCCATAAGTAATTGTAAGAAAATGGTTCCCACTTTTGGAGAATTATAGAATATAGAATAAAATAAATGTAGGTATAATGTTTATGTGTTCTTTTATTATTTAAACATGTTTAAGGGTACATTTTATACATCCTTACATCTATGTAAATATATGTATTTTATGTAACTATATATTTACTATATATGATACATATTTACATATATTTATGAGAACATATATTGCATTTTTTAAACTATGATCCTAAAGACTCAGTTTTGGTCGTTTTGTATAAAAATTATATTCTTATGTGTTTTGTTAAAATGTATACTCTTAAATTCTAAATACAATGCTCCATGATTCTTGGATTATACATTTTTAAGATAAGTCACTATCAACTAAAGAATTGCTTCATACATGTTAGGATATCATATATGTGTGTATAATCAAAGCAAACAGTTTCTAACATATATTGTTGCAAATCTAGGTAAACTTGTTTCAAAATCTCTTGCCCATTTTATATTTTTTGTCAAAACAAATTCATTTTTTTTAAAGTAGAAATTTCACACAAAACATAACCTCTCAAATAATGCCACTACCACCTGGGCATAATAAGCATCAGTACTTGAGTATATTGTTCTAGACTATATAAACTGGTGCCTAGCTTGTTCTAACAACTTAGTAGTAAACTATAATATATATTCTTGGCTTACATGACCATTTCCTTAAGATGTCATCAGATAAGGGGAAATTTATAGATGTATTTTTATTCAGGAAAATAAATGGCTAGAGATAGGGAATTTTCTCACAACTTCTGCATCTTTGCATTTTGATTAATATAAAATCACAGTATATCCAGTTGATTACTGGGTACACAATAGAGTGAGCATGCATGGGTTAGAAATCTAGCTCTAGAACTTCCTGGCTCTGTAACCACGAGTAAATTATTTTAACTTCTCTGTGTCCCTTTATTCACCCCATTCTGTAAAATAGGAATAACCATTGTATGTTCCACAGAAGTTTATTTGAATGATTTGTACAATGATACCTATAAAACATTTTTATCAGAGCTTCGCACTTAACAATCAATAAATGTAGCTATTATTGCTATTATCAATATCTCACTGCTACATTTATGTAAGCATAGAGAGAACACATTTTAACTATTCTGTACTTATACAGAACACAAATATACATATGCAAATATGTTATACACAGAATAAGACAAACATTTATGCAACACAAATTTCAGGCGTTAGATTAAAATTTGAAAAACCGAACACATCTTGGCATAAGAGCCCACCTTGCATTGTTGATAATATTTGAGTCAATCCGTTGTTTGAGAGTAAGCCTATTAAATGTGTCATCAAATTTTTATCTTATGCTAGTGAAATCACTTTCAATAGGTACTGCAATGAATGCTGAGATACAGAGCAAAATTAACGTGGACAAAACTGCTTTGGGGACTTTAAAAGTCATCAGAAACAGTCACATTTAAGTAAACAACACATGACAGACTTATGGGATCTGTATTAAGTGGCTGGTATTATGACTGGGGTTGATGAGTTTTGGAAACGAATGAAAAACAGGGCTGCTAACATTTGAGATGAGTTATAAAATGCTATATTAAGAAGACCTCTTCAGTGTACTTGCATACACGTTTCCAAGTAAGAACCTATCTTTTATCAAAATTCACCTCTCTTTGGCCTTTAAAATGGTAAATGTCAATTGTTATTAATAGCAAATTAACATTTCTCAAGTAATGTTTTATCAACGCTTATCTTCCTACACTTGCTGTACATTTAAAAACACGTACAGAAAAGAAATCACAAAAAGTCCAAAGCTTGTGCTTTATCTGTAGAATTCCACGAAGTTGTGTTTCTTACAGATATTGCTGGAATTTTTAAATCACAGAACTTATCAATTCAGTAACTTTCAATTGCTTATTTGTCCTTCCCTCTGGTTCCTATTTTTCAAACTCTGAACACTTAGCTTTTCATTCAACAAATAAATTTAGTGTCTATTATGTATAGACAGTATGGTCGTCACATAACTTAGCTATTCTATTTTAAATCAGAAGCATCTTCTCTGAGCCTTGCTACAATCCCTTGTCACTGAATTATTAAGTCTTGTTTGCATTTCAGTGTTCACTGGCACAGGATTCATTTCCATATCAAGTCCTTACAGTTTTGTTTCTGTCTCTTTCCCTGGGAACTCATTATCTGCAAACGTTTCAATCACATCCTAATCACACAATTACATCTTCTTTAATTCTCATTCTCATCTTAGTGCTTCTGCATCGTTTGACACTGCTGAACACCTTGTTCTTTTTGAATGATTCTCCTCCACTGGTACCATACCACCTCCTCATTTGATAGTTATATCAGGTAATATATATGAAATATCTATCTCAGTACCACATATAGATGATATTCCACAAAAGCAGATTCTCCCTGACTTGACTTCTGTATCTCCAGTGCTGACTCTTGTTGGGCTTTCAAAATTTGAACATTTTCTTTGGGGGTATATCTCTGTCCAACATTACACAAAGCACTTTTATTTGACATCATTCACTCTCTTCGATATTTTTCTCCACTAATGACCCATATATGCTTACCACTATAACACCTATTTCCCCAGTCTTAACTTCTCTCAAGTACCCTATTGTATTTACAAGTACTCTGTTGTATGTAGACCTCTGTGCTGAGTGTATCATTGGTATATGCCATGGGCATTTCTTTATCTTTCTCCTGAAAGCAGCTCTTTTCTCTGACTTCCTACTTGCTAATATTTCACCAATATTTCAGTAACCTTGGTTCAAAAATCTCATTCTTATTTTTGTTTTCTTCAATACTTCAAGCAAACCACTTGTTAATTTCTGTGTATTCCTCTTTCACAGTGACTTTTACTTCCTGTTCTTACTCCTTTTCTCCTTTACCACCCCTCTAGTTCAAATCATTGTACCAAGTTCCCGGGTCATAGCCTTTAATTTGTGTTTCTACTTATCATCTCCTCCTCCCTCCATTCTTTTTTGACTGCATCAGATTAATCTTCCTAAAGTATCATTTTGATCATGTCTTTCCTCAGATGAAAAATGTCCATAATCCCCCCCTTGCTATTGGACAAAGTATCAATTCTTACCCAAGCATTTTGGAAATGGTATACAAAGAGTGTGGTAAACATGTGAATACATTTAAATAAAATTAATTATATAAAACTATAGCTATAATATGTAATATTGAAGATTAAAGTATACAAAATAGAACTAAACACTGGATAATGAGAACGGGTACAATGAGAGAGAAGTTATTATTCATAAAGGTTCTTAATTTATCTGGAAAGAAAAACTAAACCATTGATTATTCTTTAATTTGCTAAATAACCCATAGTAAAATTTTAAGAGTAACACCTAAAATAATAGAAAGAGTGCACAAATTCCAAAATGGAAGAAGGAAAATTAGAGTAAGAATATAAAACTCAACCACTCAAAAAGAAGGCAGTAAAGAAGGAAAAAGAGGAGCAAAGACAAAGAAAGTCAACATCAGAAAATATAATGCTATAAATAAGTTCAAGTATAAAAGTAATTGTAATAAATATACATGAAAATATGAGTGAACTAAAAGCCCTATATGAAAGGCAAAAGTGGTCAGACAGGATATCTGTGGAGTTACAGATTTTTTAAATCCAGCAATAGACTTTTTATAAGGGAGAGAGAGACATATAAACACCGAGAACAGAAAACTTGAGGATACGAGCTAAAGATATGCCAGGAAAATACAAACTAAAAGAAAGCTAACATATAAATTATATAATAATATATCAGACAAAAGACTACATAACAATAAAAAGGTCAATCCTCCTGGTGAATAAAATTATTCCAAACTTTAAATGAGTTCAGAAAACAGCCTCCGCATATATAGGGGAAACTAGACAGACAGAACTACAAGGTAACTAATCAAATCTGGGAGCTTAGTGGGTCATTTCAACACATGCATGTGGAAGATCCCATTAACCCAATCAACAAGCCTGATTTAATGAACCTGCAAAAATCACGTTTCCAAATGTGTACTCAACACATTCTTCTTAAGCACATATGAAACAGTTGCAGAAAGCTGTCATGCACTGTGCAATAAAACATTCTCAGAATTTTAAAAAATTGATACCATACAATATAATCAAATTAGACAGAAATAACACAGATAACCTGAAAATACATTTGAAAATTTAAAAATACAGTTCCAAATAATTCATGGGTAAAAGAAGAAATCATAATGGAAATGTAAACATAGTAGAAGTAAATGAGCAAAATATTTGAGGTCCTTTAAGGAATAATTTTAAAAATTCGTAATATTTATAGTAGAAAGTTAACATAAATACACATAATAAACACTTAATTGGAAAAACAAATAGGCTGGACTCAGTGGCTCATGCTTCTAATCCCAGCACTTTGGGAGGTAGAGGCGGGCGAATCACAAGGTCAGGAGTTTGAGACCAGCCTGACCAACATGGTGAAACCCCATCTCTACTAAAAATACAAAAATTAGCCAGGTGTGGTGGCAGATGCCTGTAATCCCAGCTACTCGGGCGGCTGAGGCAGGAGAATTGCTTGAAATCAGAAGGCAGAGGTTGCAGTGAGCCCAGAGATCACACCACTGCACTCCAGCCTGGCCAACAAGAGTGAAACTCCGTCTCAAAAAAACAAACAAACCAACAAAAGAAAAACCAAACAAATACTAATAAAGCAGCAGAAAAAAAAATAAATGGGCAGAAATCAATATAGAACTTCAAAATATCCAATATTTAAAGAGACAATATTTGAAGAGACAAAATTTTAAATTACTTGAAAAATTGATCAGGACAAAAGGAAAGAAGACATCAATAAAGGGAAGAGGTGTGCATATATTCTCACAAGAGATTTAAAAGCCATGAAGGAAGTATGCCCATAAACTTGAAAGCTAAAATAAATCAAACACATTTTTTGAAACACAGAATTTATCAACACTGATCTAAGAAGAGCTGAGAAAACTGAAAAGCTCTTTAACTATTAGAAAATCAAAATTAGCGTTAAAATGTCCTCTTAAAGAAAACAGCAGCCTCAAATGGTTTTATGGGTGAGTTCTACTATACTTTTGAAAAACAGATGATTCCAAACTCATAAGAAATTCTTAGGAAACAGAAAATGGGAAAATTTCAACTCCAAAATGAAGCTAGAATAATCTTGATACCAAAACTAAGCACAGAACAGTATAAGAACAGAAAATCATAAACTAATATTATACTTGTGAACATAAATGGAAAATTCTAAAGAAGATATTGGCAAACAGAATCACGCAATGTATTAAAGAAGATATAATGCATTACAAAAAAACTAGAGCAAACTATATATGATGATGAAATGTCAAAATAATTCCCTCTAAAATAAGGAACAAATCAAAGATGCCTATCACTGCTTTTCAGTTAGACAAGCAAATAAAAGATAAAAATTAGAAGAGAAATAAAAACTTATCATTATTCATATATAATATGATCATCTGCATACAAGCCCCCTCCAAAAGTTCTGAACACAAATTACTGGAATTAATAACAAACCAAACCAAGATGTCAAGATACAAAATTTACATACAAAAATCAATTTCATGTCTATGTATTGGCAGACATGAAAGGGAAGTTTAGAAAAGGCAGGTTATAATAGTAGCAAAAAAGCAGAATCTCTAGGAATAAATCCAACAAAAGTGATATAAGACCTTTTGAATAAGACTGTAAAGTATACTGAAAGACATTTCAGACCATGTAAGTAAACAGAGAGGTACACTGCTAATGGGTAAGTAGCCTCATTATGTAAATATATTATTTCCAGACTGCCCTGTAGATTCAGAGCTTCCCAATTCAAACAGTGACTTTTTTCTTTGTGATACTTGAAAAGGGACAAAGAATAGCTGAGACACACTTGAAGAAGATCAATAAAGAGGAGGGACTAGCCCTACCAGACAAAGACCAGTGCATATACGAAAACTTGATATAATTGAGACAGCTAGCTAAACACCCCAAATTCATATTATCCCACACTGTAGATAGAGATGCTTCTGAGAAGCTGCTTTCCATCAGGGAACATTTCCCAGCAATCTTTTCATTTACATAGGGCTAAATGACTAGTTTTCACCAATGGATTATGAACGGTTGTGATATAATCACTTGCTAAACAAGGTGTTTAAGAAGTTGACATGCTGACTGGGCACGGTGGCTCACGCCTGTAATCCCAGCACTTTGGGAGGCCGAGGTGGGAGGTTCACGAGGTCAGGAGTTCGAGACCAGCCTGGCCAACATGGTGAAACCCCGTCTCTACTAAAAATACAAAAAACTAGCTGGGCATGGTGGCAGCGTGGTGGCACACGCTTGTAATCGTAGCTACTCAGGAGACTGAGGCCCAGAGAACTGCTTGAACCTGGGGGGCGGAGGTTGCAGTGAGCTGAGATCTCGCCACTGCCCTCCAGCCTGGGGAACAGAGCAAGACTCCACCTCAGGAAAAAAAAAAAAAAAAAAAAACCAAAGTTGACATGCCTTCTCTACCCTTTCTTCTTCCATCTGCCAGCTGGCTGCAGTAGACTATAATGTCCTAGTGAATGGTCAGACATGAAAGAGAAGGACCTTGGGTCATTAAATAAGCAAGTGGAGGAAAGCATTGACTAAAACCAGTCACACTGTATTGGGTCACTGACATTTGGCGAATATTTATTATAGCAGCTGGTTCTATTCTAATACATGTGATACAGGACCAGGGTAGTTACTGCAGTTCAGTAGGGGAAGAATAGACTCTTCAATATGCAGTGATGGAAAACCTGACTGTTCCTATTGAAAAAAAAAAAAAAGAAATCAAATCACTCACACCATTCAAAGACTCAATTCCTGGTAGATTATAAAGATAAACAGAAAATGTATTAACATTACAGAAGAAAATATTGGAGAATATTTGTATGATCTTAGGGTAGGAAATAATCCTTTAAATGAGACTCAAATCACTAACCGTTAAGGCAAATATTAACAATAAATTTGATAATATTTAAAATTAAGAACTTCTAATCTTCAAATTATACTATTAATAAAGTGAAAATATGGCCAGGTGCCATGGCTCACACCTATAATCCCATCACTTTGGGAGGCCGAGGCAGGCGGATCACTTTGAGGAGTTCTAGACCAGCCTGGCCAACATGGTGAAACCCCATCTCTACTAAAAATACAAAAATTAGCCGGGCGTGGTGGTGCCTGCCTGTAGTCCCAGCTACTCGGGGGGCAGAGGTGAGAGAATCGCTTGAACCTGAGAGATGGAGGTTGCAGTAAGCCAAGATGGCGCCACTGTACTCCAGCCTGGGTGACAGAGTGAGACGCCGTCTCAAAAAAAAAAAAAAAAAAAAAAGAAAAGTGAAAATACAACCTACAAACAGGGAGAAAATATTTAACAATATAAAAGCTGATGAAAATTATAATACAGAACAGGAGGGACAGATAGTTACCTCTTATAAAATGATGTGCAACATCACTATCAGGGAAATGTAAATTCAATGAGATAGTATTTTATGAAGGCTTTAGAACAATATTAAGGATCGAGGAAAGTGTAGAAACTTTGACACAATGACATCTTAGCGTTATTTGTGAATCATTTTGGAAAATAATATGGCATCGCCTTGAAGTTTGACTGCATTTATCTAATAACCCAACAGTCTCATCCCTAGTCACTGGCCCTGAAGAAATTCTTGCTCATGTGCACCAGGAGACGTATACAGGAATTTTCATAAGACGATTGCTTGTCAGTGCAAAAGTTGAGATCAAGCCACCCACCATCAACAAGAACTTAAGTAAAAAGCACCATATGTTTATATCATACAATACTAAATAGCAGTCAAAACAATGGAACTACCAGTGTACTCATCAGTGTGGAGGCACCTCGGAGAAAATGTGGAATTATAAACGAGTCAGAAAAGATTATATGCATTATCACATTTATATCGAGTTCAAAAACACACCCAAACTAACAATATATTATTTAGGAACACGTATGTATTTAGTGAAACAGTTTTTTTAAAGGAAGAGAATGACAAATACAAAATTCAGAAGCGCAGTTATCTTTGCAAGATAGGGAAAAGATGAACATTTGGTAGAGACACATGGGGGTTCAAAACATTGGTACTATTCTGTAAGGTAGGTGGTGTTTACACAGGTGTTCATTTTATTATTCTTTGTATCATATATGCATATATATTCTTTTATATATATGATTACATAATAAAAAATTTTTAAAGTGAGTTACAAAAGAATCTTTCAAACAAAATACCTTTTTTTTCAAAATTTATATCTACCTATAGGAAACATATGAAAAAGATATAATCCCAAATGCTAATAGTGGTTATCTATGGGATGCAGGAGGATTTTTATTTTGTAAAAATCAGAAGAAATACAATCCAATGCCACTCTCCTTACTAAATGAAACCAGTATCAGCTGAGGCTGTTGGAATCCTGGCAAGAGATAACAGAAGAAGGTATAACTTGAATAGCAATGAAAGAAACTTAAGTTTTTGGCAAAGAGTTCAGCGTCTCACAGAAACTACACAATAATGTCCCATATGTGCGTTACATTCGGCAGCACTCAAAAAATTAGAACTGTTTGTTAAATCACCCCCGGAAAAACTCGTTTTGAAGTACGTGAAGCTCCAAGTCAGCTCAGCATTACAATTTTCGCAATATTAAATCAAGGCCAACTTGATTTGGCACCTTTGAAAGAACAGACACTAGGAAAACGTCTCGAAACCACCTTACAATACGTAAACCTAATCCCAGTCTTTGCAGCATTTTAGTGCAATGCTCTCTGAGGACCTGCTGCATAAAAACCGGCTTATCAATGTTTAACAGACTTCAGTACAATGTTGAATATAGGATTACAAACAAATAGAATCACATGAGGTAAAATCGTTAAATTCCAGACCATTGGCAGCTAATTGAGGAGAAGGAAACGGGAGGAGATAATTTCTATATTCGAACCAGTAAAAGTAAAGATAAAGACCCTTTAAAAATCAGAACATACATATAGGATTTATGTCACATTTTTCTTTAACCTCATTTTAGAAAGGGATTCAAGAAAATGGCTTACTGATATAAAGGAGAACATGGGAGGACTTGATCATTACATAAAGAAAGGCAGCAATGTTAAGTACCTTTTTGTTGTTGTTGTTCAGGCTTAAATTCATATTTGAAGAATTTTACCAAAGGCTTTTTTAAACAAAAGACTTCTGGTAATACAGCTGAAGAGCACAATGTATAAGATAAGTGCCTTGAGGCTTAAAAAGTTGCTTAAAGGTACATCTTAGACAAAATGGGATATTCTTATTCTAGTTCCATGAAACGTTAAAAGGATAAAAGGCAGACCTTCCAGTAAAACTCTCTTTTATATTTCTTTTCACTGTAATCTAATATTGGAAATTATTTTTCCTTCTCATTGAAGCAAACTGAACTGCAGTTTTCCCCAAGCCAGTGTTTCAAAATATCATTTAACTTTCTCACTTAAAATGACATTGGAGGAGACTTTTTGACAGTGAGAGATAAACTAAAAGAATATCATTGAACTTAGATATTCTTTTGAAAATTTGAAAATAAATCAATCCGAGTACAAACTAGCACTATATACTCAATGTCCACAACTCCAGCAGCCCCATAAAGGTTAATATGCAAGAGACAGCAGTGCTCTGTCCTCTACCCACAGGCTAGAATTGGTTGATTCAAAGCCCATCGGTCAAAAATTATATCAAGACCTTTGATGTTTCTTACCACAAAATCAGGCGTCCTAAAATAATTTAATATTACTAAAAAATAAAATAAGGGAGACTTAAATATAGCTACCAAAATTTTATTTAATGATTTAACTTTACATTAGAAAAACTGAAAAAAGAAAAAACAAGTGTTTGGATGGTTTGAGTCATTTCCCTTGAGCTACCCCAAGCTTAATCTTCATGTTTTATAGGTGGGTTTTATTTTCTACAAAAAAAAAAAAAAAAGAACAGGTACTCTCTGAAATGACAAAAATTTATTTTTCCTCAATAACCTATCTTCTTTAAAAGGGGAGAAGGAAAACAAGTCAATTTTCAAAAAGCCTGACTCCATCCTTTTTAACTCTATGATACACTCAAAATACAATTATTTGCTTTTTTTTGAATATGTTCTTTTGTGAACTAATACAAATATAACTCTCTCCTCCTACGTTTTTCAAATCTTTTGTTTTAAACTAAATGCAATTCATTGTATACATGCTTTAGTTTGCATATTATATTTTTTTCCCTGCTGATTGGGAAACGCATTTACAAAACGCAAAATATGATCTAAGAATGAAAAAAAAAGATGTCTTACTCTGGAAAACTGGTCTATTATTTTTAATTTCTGAAGTTTGAAATGCATTTTTTTCATGAATCTTCATTGAATCACATTGCATAATGTTTGCTTGTGTTATTTTCTCTTCAGCGTCATTGAAGCTCAACATATGTATGCCCTATGACTCAGTAATTCCTTTCTTAGATATATATCAAGCCGAATTGTATGTTTGTATTTACTCAAAGACGTATACTAAATGCTCATATACAAAAATGCTCATTGTATAGGCTGGGCGTGGTGGCTCACTCCTGTAATCCCAGCACTTTGGGAGGCTGAGGCAGGCAGATCACCTGAGGTCTGGAGTTCGAGACCAGCCTGACCAACATGGAGAAACCCCATCTCTACTAAAAATACAAAATTAGCCGGGCATGGTGGCGCATGCCTGTAATCCCAGCTACTCAGGAGGCTAAGGCAGGAGAATCGCTTGAACCTGGGAGGCGGAGGTTGCAGTGAGCCGAGATCATGCCATTGCATTCCAGCCCGGGCAAGAAGAGTGAAACTCCGTCTCAAAAAAACAAACAAACAAACAAAAACAAAATGCTCATTGTAACATTATTTGTAATAGCCATAAACTGGAAACTCCTCAAGCAGTAGAATAGACATATAAATTGGTGCATATTTCTGACACTGTAACACTATACAGTAATGAGAATGAACTATCTACAACTACAAGCCACAGTGTGAGTAAATCTCACAAGCATAATGTTGAAGAAAAGAAGCCTGACACAAAGGAGTATATCATGCATAATTGCATTTATAAAAGGTACAAAAATAGGAAAAATAACTTACATTGTCAGAACTCTGAACGCTGATTGCCTTTGGAGAGTGAGAACCAAAACAGAATAAAAAGGGAGTTTCTGGGGGTCCTGGTAACATTCTGTTTATTGAGCTACCTATGTGCTAGTTCTCCAGGTATGTGCCATTTATAAAGAAACAGGGAGCTGTCCACCTATCATACATGCACCTTTCCAACCACAGCAACACCTACCCCAGACTTCTGTTAAGTAAAGAGTAGTCATCTTCATGGTCTAAACTTCCAAAAATTGACTATTACGTAAAGCCAAATGCATCCTGATGGATATGTGCTCTCTCTGAAGGATCCAAGTATTGAACCAACGACCAGCATTTTAGCAGTAAACGTAACATTGTGTAATAAATTCAGACTGATTCTGAATGTAAGTGGATCAGGTAAAATAGACAAAAAAAGTCTCTTGAGTAAGTCTGATATATTTTCAAATAGACTAGGAAGAACCTTCCTTCTGTGGATCCTTTAAAAAGGGAAAGAGAATCTTGTAATGTTTCTTTGTTTTTGATATATTTTTTTTAATGGGCAAAGGTTCAAGCTTGCTGCTGTTGTTCTTTTTAAAGCACTTACTGCTAAATCCTACTGAAACCTCTTTTGGATGGAAATGTTTTCTTTCTTTTCCTACTGATAACTATAAATTGAGTTGAAATGTCCCAATAAGGCAGGAAAAGTCTCTCAAATGCAAAGTGTTTTCAATGCAGATATCAGGAGGAACATATGCCAAATCAAACAGCATCATAAAAGCCTGAATTCAGTAAGAACATTCCAATTTGAAAAGTTTATTTTTAAAAATGTTCTCAAGCCAAATGTAAGTTTGCATACATTAAACGCTTTCAGCTATAAAGAGAAAGGGTTTTGTAATTCCAATGAGTGAGCTCTTACAGCCAACAGAGAACAAATAATAATTTGAGATTCAAACAGTTGCAAAGATCCTAACTTCTTCGTAAGTATTTCAGATCACTGAAAACGATTACCTAGTACTATGGAAGAAAAAAAGTACTTACTCTTAAATAAGATGAAGAAAAATTCATTTAGAACTTAACTTGAATAACTAGATTTTACATAAAAGAATATATCATGAGCATTTAGTTTTTGCTCAAGAATAGAAAAAGAGGTCATCTTTATACATGTTTGAACATGAACTGAGATACTGAGTTACACCTATTTTATGGGGCCCATTTCCCCTCAGTAAGCAAAAGAGAATGTAGGTGTAAGAGTTGAACAGTGGCAAATACGTGTTTCAAACAAACAAACAAAAAATCAAAGAAAAGATATTGCAAGAGAAACAAGAAAATATAAAATAAAAAAATCTGTACAAAGTATCAATTATTACTGATTTATAATTTTTGGTATATTTTGAAGAACACAGTATATTGGAAAAACACAGAACTAAGAATAATGACCTTTTCTCTCAACCTAGATTATGCTCAAATTTCCACTCTGCTACCAAGTAATATAACAACATCATGCCACATACATACAAAGGGAAATATTATTAGGTCTATTATTTTTAATTTCTGAAGTTTGAAATTGTATTTTTTTCATGAATCTTCATTGAATCACATTGTATGATGTTTGGTTGTGTTATTTTTCTCACAAGTCAAGAAAATATCCTTATCTCACTCCATCTCAATTTTATTCCAAATATTTTTCCAGAATATTTTAGAAAAAATAATTTTTTTTTTAGAATCCCACTGAGTCCTTGTAGAACGGGATGTAAAGCCAAAAGAAAAGGAAAGAATGAATCCCTGTTGCCCTTAAGAATTTTTCATAGCAAGGTATGTGTGTTTGGCAAAGGGGTGATGGAAAGGGAGAATGAAAGGTTGGTCGGTTACAGCTCAAGACTTCCAAAACACCAGAGGCTATCCCAATATAAACGTAGAATCATTCCTCCTCAAAAGCTTGTGACCCCCTTGAGAACATGCCCTAAATTTTCTTGATCTCTATAAATCCTATCTTTCACAAAAGTTCTCGCACATATTCTATGCTCAAAAAGTATTTGCCAGATGAATCAATGAATGAAGCAAGGAATCAGTAAAAACATATTGACAATGAGGAAAGAATGGAAAGAAAAAATTAGCATGGTGTCAGTTTAGTTCAAGTCAAGTTGATGGAAGAATTATATCTTGCCTTGAGGATTAATGAAACATATTCTAGGTAGAAGGTATTTCCTTCAAAATAGAATAAGGAAGATTTTTTGGAGAAGACTTTCATAAATGTGAGGCTGTAAGGGTGTGGAAAGTGAAAGATCCCCCTGCAGCAGGTACAGCCCATTGATGGCTTTCTGGATGAAACAGAGCCCTGGAAGATTACTAACCCTGGGGTGGGAAGCTTATAACAGCACTATGAATGGATGGGTTGGAGGACAAATGGCCAGAGATGAAGAGAGCAGGCAAGAATTTCCTGAGATTACACATTTACAATTGACAAGCACTTGTTCTGTGGTGAATGAGATTGAGATGGTGATGACTGAGCTGTCCCAGAAACATTGCAAAGATGCTGCAAAACAGGGCAACAAAATTATGGAGGTTAAAAAAGAAGCAAGATCTCTCCAACATTGCAAAGGAGAAAGATTTGTATTTATCCTTTGCACATTTTAATTTCTGGCAACTTCTGTGATTATCTGTAGCAGCAGAAACACCTATGAGTATTTGCTATGAGCAGTTGTTTTCAGGGTCTGTTCTAGGGACAATTTTTTTCCTAGCACCATAGCAATGCTGCCAAAATAAATTATCTGTGTAAAGTTTCATTCCTTACTTCTAACACTTTAGTGGCAAAATACTGGGTAAGAGGGATCATCATATTTAAATATACATGAATTTCATTTTGTTTAAAAAGGTTTGATATGCTTCATTTAAAGGGTTTCATATTGACTTTTTTCTTTGGTTCATTGACTGGCTGCTGACTGATTAATGAGTACTATAGTAGATATTATGAATCAATTACCCCAAAGCCATTCAATTCCAATGTCTTCCTTTATATAGAGAATAGAAAACTAAAATACTTACCATCCTAGACTTTCCCGCAGCCAGGGGTAGCTACCTAGCCAGGTTTTTGCCAAGATGATGGAAGCAGAAATCTTTTCATAGGAAAACCAGGAAGGATTTTTTAGCATGGACAGACTCAGATAGCATTCCCCATCATTCCCAGGTTTTTGTATTTCCCCTTTTGCTCTTCTCCCCCATATCTTCCTGAAATATGAATGTAATATCCAGCTTACTGCAGCCATTCTGTGAACATGAGGATGAAACTTACAAATTAAAAGATAGCGGGGCAGAAAAATGAAAGAAACCTTAATGCTTAGTGGCACATCAGTTCTCATATGCCTGCCTTTAGATTTTTTCTTAAATTTTTTTTTGTGGGTACATAGTAGGTGTATATTTTTATGGGGTACATGAGATGTATTGATACAGGCATGTAATACCTGACAATCACATCATAGTAAATGAGATATCTATCACCTCAAGCATTTATCCTTTGTGTTAGAAGCAATCCAATTATATTCTTTTAGTTATTTTTAAATGTACAATAAATTATTGCTTAGTGTAGTCAGCCTGTTGTGCTATCAAATACTAGATCTTATTCATTTGATTTAACTAAATTTTGTACCCATTAACCACTCCCACTCCCCCTCCCAATTTACCCTTTCTCATATCTGGTAACCATCATTCTACTCTCTATCTCCCTGAGTTCAATTGTTTTAATTTTTAGCTCCCACAAATAAGTGAGAACATGCAATGTTTCTATTTCTGTGCCTGGCTCATTTCACTTAACATAATTACCTCCAGTTACATCTATGTTGTTGCAAAAGATAGGGTCTCATTCTTTTTATGGCTGAATAGTACTCCATTGTGTATATGTACCACATTTTCTTTATTCAGTCATCTGTTGATGAACACAGGTTGCTTCCAAATCTTTGCCATTGTGAGTAGTGCAGTAATCAAACACGAGAGTGCAGATATCACTTCAATACACTGATTTCCTTTCTTTTGGGTATATACCTTGCAGGGGGCTGGCAAGATCATATGGTAGTTCTATTTTTAGTTTTTCGAGGAACCACAAAACTATTCTCCATAGTGGTTGTACTAATTTACATTCCCACCAACAGTGTACAAGGGTTCCCTTTTCCCCACATCCTAACCAGCATTTGTTATTGCCTGTCTTTTGGATAAAACCCATTTTAACTGGGGTGGGATGATATCTCATTGTAGTTTTGATTTGCATTTCTCTGATGATCAGTGATGTTGAGTACCTTTTCATAGACCTATTTACCATTTACTTGTCTTCTTTTGAGAAGTGTCTGTTCAGATCTTTTGCCCATTTTAAAATTTGATTATTAATTTTTTCCCATAGAATTGTTGGAGCTCCTTGTATATTGTGGTTATTAACGCCTTGTCACATGGATAGTTGGCTAATATTTTCTTTCATTCTTGGGGCTGTGTCTTCTCTTTTCTGAATGTATCCTTTGTTGTGCAGAAGCTTTTTAACTTGATGTGATCCCACTTGTCTATTTTTGCTTTGGTTGCCTGTGCTTGTGGGGTATTACTCTAAAAATCTTTGCCCAGTCCAATGTCCTAGAGAGTTTCCCCAGTGTTTTCTTCTGGTAGTTTCATAGTTTCAGGTCTTAGACTTAAGTCTTTAATCCATTTTGATTTTGCTTTTGTAAATGGTCGAGATAGAGGTCTAGATTCATTCTTCTGCATATGGATATCCAGTTTGCCCACCACCACTTATTGAAGAGATGGTTTTTTACTCAATGTATGTTCTTGGCACCTTTGTGGAAGATAAGTTCACTGTAGATGTATAGATTTGTTTCTGGGTTCTCTATGCTCTTTCATTGGTCTATGTTTCTATTTCTAGGCCAGTACCATGCTGTTTTGATTACAGTGGCCTGTAGCATAACGTGGGCTCGGTAATGTGCTTCTTCCAGGTTTATTCTTTTCACTCAGGATAGCTTTGGCTATTCTGGGTATTTTTTGGTTCCATATAAATTCTTGGATTGCTTTTTCTATTTCTGTGAAGAATGTTGTTGGTATTTTGATAGGAATTGCATTGAATCTGTAGATTGCTTTGGATAGTGTGGATATTTTAACAATATTGATTCTTCCAATCCATGAACATGGAATATCTTTCCATTTTTTGTGTCTTCATCAATGTCTTTATTCAACGTTTTATAGTTTTTATTGTAGAGACCTTTTTCTTCTTTGGTTAATTCCTAGGTATTTTATTTTATTTGTAGCTATTGTAAATGGGATTACTTTCTTGATTTCTTTTTTCAGATTATTCATTGTTGGCATATAGAAATGCTACCGATTTTTGTATGTTGATTTTGTAACCTGCAACTTTACTGAATTTGTTTATCAGTTCTAATATTTTTTGTGGAGTCGTTAGTGTTTTCCAAATATAAGATCATATCATCTACAAACAAGGATAATTTTACTTTTTTTTTTTTTTTGAGATGGAGTTTTGCTTTTGTTGCCCAGGCTGGAGTGCAAAGGCATGATCTTGGCTCACTGCAACCTCTGCCTCCTGGGTTCAAGCGATTCTCCTGCCTCCGCCTCCTGAGTAGCTGGGATCACAGGCATGAGCCACCATGCCCAGCTAATTCTGTATTTTTAGTAGAGACAGGGTTTCTCCATGTTGGTCAGGCTGGTCTCAAACTCCTGACCTCAGGTGATCCGCCCGCCTCAGCCTCCCAAAGTGGTGGGATTATAGGCGTGAGCCACCGTGCCTGGCCAGTTTAACTTCTCTCTTTCCAAATTGGATACTTTTTATTTCTTTCTCTTGTCTGACTCCTCTAGCTAGGACTTCCAGTACTACACTGAATAGCAGTGGTGAAAGTGGGCATCTTTGTCATGTTCCAGATCTTAGAGGAAAGGCTTTCAATTTTTTCTATTCACTATGATACTAGCTGTGGGTTTGTCATCCATGGCTTTCATTGTGTTGAAGTACGTTCCATCTATACCCAGTTTTTTTTAAGGGTGTTTTTTTTTAATCATGAAGGGATGTTGAATTTTATCAAATGCTTTTTAAGCATCAATTGAAATGATCCTATGTTTTTTTCCTTCATTCGGTTGATATGATTTACCACACTGATTGATTTGCCTATGTTGAACCATCCTCACATCCCTGGGATAAATTCCACTTGGTCATGATAAATGATATTTTTTAATTATTTATTTTTTCGAGAGAGTTTCGTTCTTGTTGCCCAGGCTGGAGTGCAATGGCACGATCTCAGCTCACTGCAACCTCCGCCTCCCGGGTTCAAGCAATTCTCCTGCCTCAGCCTCCTGAGTAGCTGGGATTACAGGTGTCCGCCACCATACCCAGCTCATTTTTCGTATTTTTAGCAGAGACGGAGTTTCACCGTGTTGGCCAGGCTGGTCTGGAACTCCTGACCTCAAGTGATCCTCCCGTCTCGGCCTCCCAAAGTGCTGGGATTACAGGCATGAGCCACCGCGCCCAGCTGATGAATGATCTTTTTAATGTGTTGCTGAATTATGTCTGCTCATATTTTGATGAGGATTTTTGCACCAATGTTTATCTGGGATATTGGCCTATAGTTTTCTTTTTTTGATGTGTCTTTGTCTGGTTTCGGTGTCAGGGTAATACTGGCCTCGTAGAGTGAGTTTGGAAGTATTTCCTCATCCTCTATTTTGGGGAAGAGTTTGACTAGGATTAGTATTAGTTCTTCTTTAAATGTTTGGTAAAATTCAGCAGTGAAGCCACTGAGTCCGAAGCTGCACTTTGCTGGAAGATTGTTATTACAGCTTCGATCTCATTACTTGTTATTGGTCTGTTCAGGTTTTGAATTTCTTCATGACTTAATCTTGGTAAGTTGTATGTGTCTAGGAATTTGTCTATTTCTTCCAGATTTTCCAAGTAATTGGCATATAGTTGCTCATAGTAGCCTCTAATGGTCATTTGAATTTCTGCGGTATCGGTTGTAATGTCTCCTCTTTCATCTCTTATTTTATTTATTTGGGTTTCCCCTCTTTTTCTTAGTTAGTCTGGCTAAAGGTTTGTTAATTTTATTTATTCCTTCAAAAACCCCAGTTTGGATTTCTTTTTATATGATAAAATAAGCCATTATCAGTTTAAGTTACTGATAGGTTGCCCATGCTTACAGTTATACACATTCCCAAAACTACCCATTGTATACCAACATTCACATATAAAAGGATGCATGTGATAAAATCTCTATTGTCAATATTTCAAAATATAATAGTAATAGTTACTATTTATTGAGTGTTTAATTTTTGTAAGGCAATGTGTTAAGCAATTTACATAAGTTATCTAACTTAAACCTGACAACAAAACTGTGAGATAAGTGCCTTTTTTATATCCTCATTTTAACAATGAGATATTTGAAGTACAGAAGGCTAATAGATATTTGAAGTAGAGAAGGCTAATATGTCTAAGGTCACCCATCTAATAAATGCTAAAGCCCAGATCAGAACCCGAAGAGTTGGACTCTGAAACTAAGGGTCTAACTACCACATGTTAAACTAAATTTGACTTAAGCATGCCTCTGTACTTGAGTCCTTATGTAACAAACTACAATATAACTTAGTATGTAAACTAACTGAAAGTCTACCACAGGAGTAGACTTTCATAACAACTAGCTGAGTCTCAGCCAATCAAAGTAGCTAGTAGGTGAACTTCAGTCAATCACAGGTAGCCAACTGATCATACCATGTTCAAGGGAGGCAAGCTCCAGACTGTAACTCATCAAGTGGTCTCTTTACAGCTCTTCTGTTTTCTGTCCATAAAGGCTGCCTGTCCACATTGTGAAGTGGAGATTTCTGAACCTCTGTTGGTTCTGAGGGCTGTCTGATTTGTAAATCATTATTTGCTCAATTAATCCTGGAATATTAAATTTGTCTAAAGTTTTTATTTATTTATTTTTTGGAGATGGAGTCTCACTCTGTAGCCAGGCTGGAGGGCAGTGGCACGATCTTGGCTCACTGCAACCTCCACCTCCCGGGTTCAAGTGATTCTCCTGCCTCAGCCTCCCAAGTAGCTGGCATTACAAGCGCATGCCACCACACCCAGCTAATTTTTGTATTTTTAATAGAGACGGGGTTTCACCATGTTGGCCAGGATGGTCTTGATCTCCTGACCTCATGATCTGCCCGCCTCGGCCTCCCTAAGTGCTAGGATTACAGGCATGAGCCACCACGCCCGGCCTAATACATAATACTGAGGAGAGAAACTCATATAAATATAATTACAAAGTTACCAAATAAAAGCTATTAATAATTAATAATATATAATTGCAAT
This sequence comes from Homo sapiens, assembly GCF_000001405.40. Taxonomy (NCBI): domain Eukaryota; kingdom Metazoa; phylum Chordata; class Mammalia; order Primates; family Hominidae; genus Homo; species Homo sapiens. Next base: position 29,099,838 of record NC_000023.11, on the reverse strand, counting down.
GTTTTGAAGGTCTTAGAAATTATGGAGAAAACGTGTCTAACATAAAAAGACTAAAATGAAGGGAGATTATTTATTCCAGTGAGATTATTAAAAGAACTACCAACTTTCATTCTGAAAAGTTTACAAATGCCTATAATTTGCTGCTGTTATGGTATCATTGTTTTCTATCACTAGCATAGCTGATGAACTAAACTGTACATTATCGACTAACGGAGGTAATAACACATGGGATTTACAAACTGCAGTTGTAGCATGAGACAGACTTGGGTTTAAATCTCAGTTCTGCCCACTATTTAAGCTATGAAACTTGCCTTCAGATTCCTATTCTGAAAATGAAAGTTGTAATTTTGAAATTTAGTAATGTTATTGTAAGGACCAAATAAGTTAACTTTTATAAAGTGTTTTGTACACTGTTTGTCAAATAGTAAATTTTCCACAAACACTACCTATAATAGTATTATTAATAATCAAACATAATTGATTTATCAACCAAACATCAATATAATATAATTTATGGCCTTCAGACTTCAAAGGAAATAATTGAAGTTTATTTTTACCTGTGTCTTTTGACTGTATACATGTGATAAATCGTAACGTTTGCAAGACCTACTGATTAAAAATCTTCTTTAAATGACAGCTAATACCATCATACGTTAAAGATTGTTTTGTTTTGTTTTGTTTTGTTTGAGACGCAGTTTCACTCTTGTCACCCAGGCTAGGGTGCAATGGCGTGATCTTGGGTCACTGCAACCTCTGCCTCCCGGGTTCAAACGATTCTCCTGTCTCAGCCTCCCGAGTAGCTGGGATTACAGGCGCCCACCACCATGCCCAGCTAATTTTTTGCATTTTTAGTAGAGACAGGGTTTCACCATGTTGGCCAGGCTGGTGTCAAACTCCTGACCTCAGATGATCCACCAGCCTCAGCCTCCCAAAGTGCTGGGATTACAGGCGTGAGCCTCTGCACCCGGCCATACATTAAAGTTTTTAAAACATTATTAAATAGTTAAGAAGGATGTCTGCATCCTCATATGCTTCCAATGTAATGAGAAAAAAAGGACTAAACATCTTTTACCATTTTCCTCATTAAATACCAAATAACTAACACTATTTTGTAAATTCTTCTGTTAATGAGAATGTATTCCAACACAGTGCTTCTCAAACTCTCAGGTGCACACCAGTGACCTCAGTAACTTTTTGAATTTCAGATTCTGACTCAAGGCCTAGGGTAGAGGCTGAGGTTTTGCATTTCTAACAAGTCCCTAGGTGATGTTGCAGCTGCTGGTCCAAGGACCACAAGTTGAGTATCCAAGCTCTAATATGAAACTTGGAAATGAAACATTTATTTCCAAATAAATACATTTTTCCAAATAAATATTATTTCCAAATAAATAAAATGATACATTATAATAATTGTAAAATGATGAATTGACACAAAAGGTGAACAGGGTAACCATGGAGGTCAATATGTGTTTAAACTACAGCAATAACAACAACAACAACAATTCAGGGGATGCAATGAGTAAGTAGAAGACACAAGACAGAAGAAAGGAAGTGTAAAAGGAGAGCAGTGGTAGTGGCATGGAATGGGGATGACTAACAGGACATCAAAAGGAATAGAGCAGATGTTTGGGAGAAACAGAGGAGACACTATAGAGGAAAAAAAGAAAGAAAGGAAAGATTAAAGAACTGTAGACATAACCCTCATCCATAGATAGTAATCTTCTCATCAAGCACCAGTTGGACAGTTGTGAAATTTCATTACGCCTTTCTAACAGCCTGTAATTAACGAGAAAATTGGTTCCCTTTCTAGTAAATTGGGTAAAGTGAATATAGAACTTTCAACTTTCATTTGACAAACTTTTATAAATCCATACATAGTTATATTCCACAACAAGAGCATATCCATTCTGCCCACGATCAAAAGAAGGGTCTGGAAGTCAGCAAGGTCATTTAAATCTAGTCCCTTCATCTTTAGCAGGTTTGCTTTGCCTATGACCAGATTTGTTAGGGTTTAAAAACAACATTAAGCCCATCACATCTGATTAGTCCAAAGACAATTGCACATAAGAGGTGGTGTATAATCAGTAAAGCCTGTGAGCATTGTGGGGTAAGAACTTAACTGAATCAAGTTATTTTTTTTTCAGTGTAGTTGATTGCTCTGTAATTAAATACCCAATAAAATATAGACCATCAAGGAAGAAATGGGTGTCACTGGTCTTAACTACTAGAAGGAGCAACACATATTCATATTTGATGGAAATGCATAAGGGGCTGAAAGCTTAAACAACTCCTTGGATACTTTGGGCAAATGAACAAATGGCCTTAATGGTAGTTTTTATACTGTTGTTTTCAAGTGGAGAAGCTTCAGTACTTGCTCTGCACCTTTGGAAAATAGACCTTGTCTCGTGTATGCTTTTAAGACACTCAAATGTGTCTATATTTCCAAGAGCATCTGAATCAGAACCTCTTTTTTCTTGGAGTTCCAAGAGTCCATCTAAAATCTCTATCAGCGTATAATTAACTGATAAAAGAAATGTTAAACAAAAGCAACTACAACACAAAAATTTGCCAGGTAGGGCAGGGTTACCTGATAGATTTTCTATTCCTCTTCTGTTTCCATGACACTCTTAGGAAATTTAGTGAACGTAAAAGAATGGTCAAAGTATGGGTGTTCCAGTACCTTCTAAGATTTAGGAGGAAGCTATAAAGTATATTACTTTTTGATTTCATAAATTAACATATCAATGTTGGATCTAAAGATGATCTTAGTGACTAAATTTATAGCTTAAATGATTTGTTTCAGATGTATGCTCCACTGAGACCTCTTGACGTGGAAATCACAGAATGAAAGGGTGTGCCCTCCATAAGTTCTTTAATTTTTAAAAAATTATTTTATTTTATTTTTGGCAGAGCCAATATTAGTCTAGGGTTCAGTCTTTCTCACCCTGGGAAACATTTCTACATGGTCTCTGAATGATTCCCAACAATTCTGTGATGACCAAGGTACGTGCTTTTTACTAAAATCTTAGTCCTATACCTCATGTAAAGGCCATTTTGGACCTCAAAGAAAATCAATTTCATCATAACATCTTGAAAAACTTTCTTCATACATATATTAAAATAAATATATATTTAATTTTTTTAAATTTCTTACATGTTTTTCCAGTTCAAATCATTTACTTTCTTCAAGGAAGTCTTTATTTCTGGGAAGAGATATTGTGAATACTAGGACCTAAATAGATTATTTTAAAACAAGCTGATCAAATTTCATTATGTAAGCACAAGTAATAACCACATTGGGTGAATACCCTGGGTTTCCATCTAAACAATGTTTTTTATAATTGGCAACTGACCTTACATTATAGGTATTTTCACTCATGGGACTGGCCAGTGTTTGAAAAAATAATCAGATAAAAATTAGATTCTGTACGAGTAAGCATTTTTATAATGAAATTATATTTACATTAATATACATAGACTAATTGTATAGCTATATTGGCTACAGCAATATTTCTCTTCAGGGAGAAGACTTACACAATTCTGTTGTAAGAACAATGGCTGTATTTGAAGCTGTTTAATTAAAGCATTTCTGGGGGTATTTTTTCCCCACTCTTAACAAATCCCTTACCAAGGCACAATTAGATAAAGCAACCACAGGACTAGTTTTTGGTAGGGTGCTGCACTGAACAGTATATTAAAAAGCATTGTCTGACATAACTTGAAATAGACTTGACTATTTTACGTGTGAGTCCTAAAAATGTTCATGGGGATTATCAAAGATAATTAAAAATTCAGAGTGTTGATACTCTTTAATGTAAGAGAGTTAGAGTTTGTGTTTATCAATCAATCCCATTTTAAAGTGGTATGAGCAAGGCATGTGAGGCATTTACTTTTCAAATAAACAACTGAACTTATCATATGTGTCCAGGATTTTTGGATTTTATTTGTATTGCCATTAAAAACAAAGCAAAAACTTCTTTCAAGGTACTAGCAAAAATACAACACATGGCCCTTAAATTCTTATCTCTAGGCAGCCCTCTTGAAAGATGGTAAAAAAAAAAAAAAAGGCAAATGCAGTATTGCCATGAATTCAAATTATATCAGGACATCTCATAGTATATAAAACCTATCCTTTTGAAAAGGTACCATTATTCCTTGAGAAAATCATAAGTGATAGCTGATTTATTTCTACCCAAAAGATTAAGGTCACCATGTTATACATGCAATGAACAGATAATCTTGCCAGAATTCTATTAACTTAAAATAGATAAATTTATTGAGTTTACCATGTGTCAGTCACTATGATACAGCATGGATTAATGGGCTTTGTTCATTTAGAGGATTCTCAAACCCTGAAGCCTAGGGAATATCTTGTGGACTGTTTGAGGTAAAGCTTGAACATTTGCAGTTTCAACAATCCTAAATATATTAGTAATTTGGGTATTAAGCTAGACCTCAAAGCCACTGAATTATAGCAATGTAAAACTATTAAGACAGAGCCCCTGAAGTTGCAGACTACCATCAAATGACTAATATAGTAAGAATTGCCTTCCACACCATCACTATAACTGTTCAGGTGAAGCCTAACAGGAAGGCAAAAACAACACCTTTCTAAAATTTAGAGCAAGAGAAATGATAAACAAGTCTATGAGAAAAAGAAATCAAAGAAAACATATCTGTCCTTTACATGGAAAATAGCATCATATTTTGTCAAAATATATGAATTTCCATATCTTGTTGGGGAAGCAAGAATACTTTGTCTATACTAAAAATAAAATAATAATATAATCCAAAAAGAGAAAGGACTTTAAGATACATGAATGTGAAATTCTCAACTAAAGTAAATTACTCCTAAAGTGAAAGCTATAAAAAAGAGATGGAATTCTCACTTAACTGAAATTAAAAATCAATGTAAATGGAGAAAGATATACACAAAAATCTTAAAAGTAGTTAATACCAGGCAGTGAGATCAGTAGTTGTTTTCTTTTTTTTTTTTTTTTTAGTTTTTAGGTGTGTTTTCTATTAAATAGATGTTTCTTTTTTTTTTTTTTTTTTTTTTTTTTTTTTGAGATGGAGTTTCACTCTTGTCACCAAGGCTGGAGTGCAGTGGTGCAATCTCAGCTCACTGCAACCTCCGCCTCCTGGGTTCAAGCCATTCCCCTGCCTCAGCCTCCCGAGTAGCTATGATTACAGGTACCTGCCACCATGCCCTGCCCGGCTGATTTTTTTTTTTTTTTTTTTTAAGTAGAGATAGAGTTTCATCATGTTGGCCAGGCTGGTCTCAAACTCCTGACCTCAGTTGATCCACCCACCTCAGCCTCCCAAAGTGCAGGGATTACAGGCGTGAGCCACCATGCCCAGCCAATAGATGTTTCTTTAAGTAAAACAAAAAATCTAGAAATTTAAAAGAAAACCAATATGTTATCAACTACGATACAACTAAAAATCCGCCTTATAACAATGCCATAGTGAATTGAAAGGCACTCATTGTAAATTTCAGAAATGCATTACATATTTTAACATTTTTAGAGAACTCATTTTCATCATATATTAAAATGGGCATATATACACAAAAATATATAAAATAGCTACATTTATATGGGAGTCAAACATATCCCAAGAGGCTTGTAAATTTGGAACTGGTTTTAATCGTCAGTGATCCCAAAGGGGGGCATGCACACTCATGGTACAAGAAATAATTTTTTAGGGGTACCCAGACTAAAGTATAGGTGCATAGACTGTGAGAATGAGGTGGTAGGGAATATTAAACCAGGTGAGGTAGACAGTAAGGAAGAAAAAAGAAATATTTCTTGCTCTGGCTCCTTATAATCACATTTATACATTCTTGATTATGCTCTCTGCTATTGGGTTTCCAGGGAAAGGCTGGGCAAGAAGGGTTGAGGAGAAACCTGGGAATGATCCCTCAGGGCTAGGCTCGCCTACACTTTGGTTTCTTGGGACCCACAGACCAGGCCTGGAGCCAAAGTTCAGGATTTTGGGTATGCAGCAGACCTGTAGCATCTAATACCTTACCATTGCTCACCAAGGCAGTAAGTTTAACTTAAGAGACTAATCAAATCACTTCACCTTGTCTGATCTCAGTTCCCTAGCTGCAAAGTAGGAGTAGAAATAATGCCTACCTAGGAAGGTTGTAGTGAGGATTAAATGAGATGATAATTAATGTAACATATTTAGCATAGTACCTAACACATAATAAGTGTTCCTTTATAGAACGTGTTCTTCTACTTTATCCCAGCCTGCATCCTGAGAACATGTCTTTCTATCATTCATGCTTTCAACCCACAAACAACTACCAATAACAAAGTGATACGGTTTGGATCTATGTCCCCACCAAATCTCATGTCGAATTATAATCTCCAATGCCTGGTGGGAGGTGACTGGATCATGGAGGCAGATTTCCCCTTTGATGCTGTTCTAGTGATGGTGAGTGAGCTCTCTTGAGATTCTGGTCATTTAAAAGTAACTGGTATCTCCCACCCCCCTCCTCCTGCTCTGGCCATGTGAACTGCCTGCTACCCCTTTACCTTCCACCATGATTGTAAGTTTCCTGAGGCTTCCCCAGAAGCCAAGCAGATGCCAGCCTTATGCTTCCTGTACAGCCTGTGGAATTGTGAGCCAATTGAACCATTTTTCTTTATAAATTGCCCAGTCTCAGGTATTTCTTTATAGCAATATGAGAAAAGCCTAATATATCAAGGTCACCTGATTGATCTTGTTTGGCAGTCATATTTTAATGAAAATTTATGAAAAGATGGCTAAGTAACTTGATATAACATCTTTGCAGTTTCCAAGCAACATGGCAGTAATGACTGGTTAATATAGATTCTATTAAATAACGTAGCCCATTCTAAAGAGCAGAAGCTTCAAATGGCCTCTTGACACAAAGATTTGCTGAGTCAAAGTCACTCACAACATGTTGCCAGGATTGATTTCAGTGTCCAACACTATCACAATAACTAGTTAAATGATGTTTATTTTTTTCAAAACTTACATATGCAAATTGTGATTCTCACTGCTAGTCATCATTAGAACTAAAAATAGAAACTTCCTGTTAACCAAGAACCTTTCCTTAACTTAAATTAAGCCAAACATGTCATTATTGCTGACTGATGACATATATTTTTTTAATCCTGAAGAAGTTATTTCATTTTTGATAAATCAATTAGATGTAATAATGGTTTATTATATTAATTAAAACAGTAGTATTATGATCAATTTTTAAATGGTTGTTTACTATTTATAGATATTCTAGTTTTTTTCATTTATGAAAGTGATATAAAATTTCCTTTGAAAATATATTTCAGTAAAAAATGAGAGTCAACTTAAGGAAATATATTGTGTATAAACCACAGTTAGTAATCAGACATGGCAGACATAGACAAGGTGGGCCTAGAAGCACTTAAGTTTGGGAAACAGTGTGCTATTTTGTTTTTACTCAGAAAGCAGAAACAATACAATGGGTTATTGTTTTATAACTTAATTCTGCTTTCAAATGAGCCACAGTATTCAAATAAATATGTTTGTTTGACTAGAGTCTTATTAGTGTAAGTGTTTTAAATAAGAAAGACTTGGCTACTCCTTACTATCCTCAAGTAAACACTTATGCTGCATAGCAATAATTACAATTTGACAATCAATTAGTTAAATTACTAATCAGTAGCAGTCAGTTGAAGTGCCACCTAGAACCCCCATGAATTAAAGCAAGTGATCAAATTGATGAAAATGAGAAGGGAGTTATTAAATAAAAAGGTTATTTTTAGCACAGATTTTTTATTTGCAATGGTTGTTCAAAAACTATACTACACATGTGCAACCATCAACCTAAAAACTACATACAATGGAAGAATTTTGGGAACCTATTATTTTATTTTACTTTTTTTGACCATCTTTAAGAAAATCAGGGGAAAATGCCTCCCAATTTATTGCCCAACAAAATCCTTATTGTTTTGTATTTTCTCAATATTTAAAAACAAAAAGTTTTTGGAACTATTGCTTTATTAACTTCTAGTTCCATTTTAGGGAAACAATTTTGATGTCTTTATTGTTTTTAGGTTATGGCACTTCTGAGCCTCTTAGTATTAATATTATTTGAAATAATATGTGTACTCCCTGTATATTTTCTAAATCACATGTAAATATCAGGCATGTATTTATTTTTAAATCTATACTCTCATTTCAAATGATTGCACAGGTTTCACAACTGACTCTTATAGGACGTATCTTTTAATGAACTTAAAGGGCAAACAAGGAAACTAAGACAGTCACAATCAAATGTTTTATTCTTTCCTCAAAGCAGCCAAAAATTCTCTATCAAACTCTGGATTGCAATATCTGGAAGTAGAATTGATTTGGCTCAACTGAGAGAAGCCCCAGTCCTGTACGTTTTTGTCTGAGTGTGCTTAGAAATTACAGTAACAGTTGGGATTAGCAGAGCAGGGGAGACTAAGACATGAGTAACACCCTGAATAAAGAGTTCTGGTAAAAACACATCCTCTTGTATGACAACTACTAGTCCACAGGAAGACAAAACCCAGCTACTGTATCAGTATGATGATAAGGCAAGCTCATCTTCTAGCATCAAGGAGAGGATTGTTGAAGATGCAGGTGAGCATATCTCTATGCATTATGTTTATATGTGTGTGGTATATGCATCATGTATAGTTCCACATTCAGGAGTAAAGAATACGAAAGATAGCATCTAGTTCATTAATAAGTTTATATTCACATGTTCCAAACTGATAATCTCTTCCTTTTCCAGACACTACAAACTAGCTGTGGTCAGTGCCATTCCTTGGAAGCCAATAGATGGCATTGTTGCATCATACAGCTCTGTCCTGTCTTCAAAACACAAGATTTTCCAACATTATCCAGGTCTTTGTGAATTTCTCCAACATCTTTATATAAATCGTTTGAAAAGCCATGCAGAGAAAGTTCTCAGCCTCTATGGTTTTGAGTTGCTTTTTCACTAAATGTGGAGAGGAATTGGGTTATTTCCTTCCTGAGTTATGTAAAAGTCACAGAATCAAATCTTTCAACCTTCAACATATTCTAATTTTCCACCTTATTCTTTTCATTTTATTTAAACCCTAAGCACAATCTTTGTACTAGATGTAGAGAAGAGTTCTGGCTTTCCACAGCCTGATTTCTGACTGAGAGAGAATGGCAGCCAATTCTATAATGCTGCAGGTCATTTAGACTCGGTGAAAAACCCATTTCTGTTGAATTAAGTACGGTTATCTTTAACAGCAAACGTGTGGTCAATGTTTTTGGTCATTTCTTCTTTAATAAAACCAAAATGTCTTTTTTCCTCCCCAGAGATGGAATCAGATTATATAAGTTTGAAAAGTCATCAAACTTTTAAAGAGCTGAATTCTCATTAATTAAATGTAAAAGTTTTCCTCTCAGTTTGAGCTTTAGAAAAAAGCGTTTAATGGATTCTCCTACTTAAAATGCTTTCTCCAAAAGGATACAATTTGGACAGAGGGCAGTTTTAAATAATCTACAATAGTGGGGAGTAGGCAAATAAAAGGAAACGTACGGAAAATTTAAAAACATATCTGTTTAACATATTTCCCTATTTTTAAGTTGTCAAACTAGCTTTAAGAATATCATGTTTTAAAACATCTATTTTACTGATAAATAGGAGTTATTATTGCACAGTGAAAAAGCTGACATAGGTGTAGGGAAGAAACAGAAATAAAGAGCTTGAGATATGCACCCCAGAACATTATACAATGCAGTAATGTTGAGATGACCTGCAGACCACTTAATTACAGTTGTACTTTCATAGTGACCGGTTCTGTTGACACCTAGGCTTCAAATTTAAGCTATGAGAGGGCTTCTATTTCTCTGGGATGAAATGAATAAGAAAAAGACTTCAGGAAATGAAGCCCTACAATTTGTTTTGAGCATGCTGACCTGAATCAGATGTTTCATCTCATATTCTAACATAACAGTTCACTATCAGCTTTGGGCAAAACAGGGAATGCAAAAAAGTGTCATTCATATACATGTGTGTCTGTGTATGCACATATATATATATATATATATATATATATATATATATATTCATATTTCTCTGCTTTCATGTAGAAAAACGAACGACGACCATAAGGAAAATAGAGGGAAAGATTTCAAACTTAAATCAAAATACACTTTTGACCAACATCTCCACACTTCCCCTAAGCCAAACCTGTAGAGTAAAAGCAAAGAGATTGAAGAGGAATCACAAAATATGAAATAAAAAAAAAGGTACAAACATATTAAAAACATGCTGAAAAAAGACAGTGAAATATCAAAGGGTACAAACTTTCGGTTATATGATAAATAAGTTCTTGAATTCTGATGGACAGCATGATGACTACAGTTAACACTGTTTTGTATAATTATAAACTGTAGACTACAAAAAAAGAGTAGATCTTACATGTCCTCTCCACCAAAAAAAAGTTAACTATGTAAGGTGATGAGTATGTTAATTAGCTTGATGGTAGTAACCATTTTGCAATGTATATGCATATAAAATCATCATGTAGTGCACCATAAATGTATACTTTTTTATTCATCAATCATATCTCAATAAAGCTGAAGGGGAATATGCTTTTGAGTAATTCAAGCTATGTCTACCCTAAATCCAGCAGTGTTTTTTCTACATCTTCCCTCTTTACTACTCCCCTCTTTACTGCTGTCTCCCTCATGCAGAATTACCTGAAAAAATCACCAGCAAAACAAAATGATCCACATAAGAACATTAATAAAGTACAAGTGCATTTCTAGGACAAAAGGCATCAAAATCAATTTGCTTAAAGGTAGGACTGTTCTCATTTTCTCCAGGAAACATTTTTTTCTTGACAACTGGCGAACACTGAAGCATGACATGGTTAAGTCTGTAGAGACTAATGGTAGTGACTAAAATTTTCAGGGCCACAGACTAAGATTATAATGCAGTCTACATTATTTTCTTTATAGGGATTTTTTATAATTCTTTTTTGCATTAAATATAATTGTTTAAGAATTTATTTCCACTTCACTTGCAAAGCACTATGTGTTAGTTCGTAGTTATTTAAAATCTACTTATTCTGAAGACAATTATTAAGATATTCTACAGTAGTGCATTTTTCTTTTCTTTTTTTTTTTTTTTTTTTTTTTGAGAAGGAGTGTCACTCTTGCCCATGCTGGAGTACAATGGCGCATGTCGGCTCACTGCAACCTCCGCCTCCTGGGTTCAAGCAATTCTCCTGGCTCAGCCTCCCAAGTAGCTGGGATTACAGGCACATACCACCATGCCCGGCTAATTTTTGTATTTTTAGTAGAGACAGGGTTTCACCATGTTGGCCAGGCTGGTCTTGAACTCTTGACCTCAGGTGATTTGCCCTCCTTGGCCTCCCAAAGTGCTGGGATTACAGGCATGAGCCACCACGCCCGGCCTTATTATTTCTTAATGTAAACATGCAACAAGAACCACTTAAATGTCAGCATTTTCTTCCCAGTTCACTTTGTAATGTACCTAAAGCTAGACCTGGATAGGAAAGCAAAGAGAAGATGGAACATTAACTACATAATTCAACATAGAAAATATTTTTTTGTTCAGTAATGTTGCTTGATTTTCTTTGATAATTGCCACAACCTTGGGTTAAATATGGGTTAAAATAGTGAGTCCAGCACGTATTTGACAAACTATTACCAGATAGAGTGCTAAAAAACAGATATAATGTGCATGTGTTTCAACAGCTTTATGGAAGACTCGAGTAGGGAGAAAGTGCTATGAAGACATTTGTTGTTGTTGTTGAGACAGGATCTCGTTCTGTCACCCAGGTTAGTGTGAAGTGGCACAATCATGGCTCACTGCAGCCTCAACATCCATGGGGCTCAAGTGACCCTTCCACTTCAGCCTCCTGAATAGCTGGGGCTACAGGCACATGCTACCATGCCTTAATTTTTGTATTTTTTGTAGAGACGGGGTTTTGCCATGTTGCCCAGGCCGGTCTCAACTCCTGGGCTCAAGCACACCTGCCTTGGCCTTGGCCTCCCAAGTTCTAGGATTACAGGTGTGAGCCATTGAGCTCAGCCTATGAAGACTTTTTGAACTTAAAAATAAAACCATGTGATATAACTGATTATTTTATAATGTGTGAAATATGTATAGATGGAAATAGTTATTGAAACATTGTGATGTTTTCTTAAATTTTTTCTCTAGATGTATTGGCTTCATTGCTTAATTATTGTTGTTCAGTGACTTATTGAAAAACAAGCTCAATACAAGAGAATATGGTATTTATTCATATTCTTATCTAGCAACAAACCCTTGGTCTCTAATAATAACAGTTTATGTTGTAGTCTCTTTCAATGTTTGTAGTTGCTGTCGATAAAATAATGTCCTCTGGCTGGCCAGGCACGGTGGCTCATGCCTGTAATCACAGCACTTTGGGAGGCCGAGGCGGGCAGATCACGAGGTCAAGAGATCCAGACCAGCCTGGCCAACATGGTGAAACCCCGTCTCTACTAAAAATACAAAAATTAGCTGGGTATGGTGGCATGCGCCTGTGGTCCAAGCTACTTGGGAGGCTGAGGCAGGAAAATCGCTTGAACCCAGGAGGCGTAGGTTGCAGTGAGCCGAGATTGTGCCACTGCACTCCAGCCTGGCGACAGAGCAAGGCTCCGTCTCAAAAAAAAAAAAAAAAAAAAAATTTTTAAATAATGTCCTCTGTCATGTCATAAAAATCATCTTAAATGATAATATTACTTAATAGCTTCTGTCTAGATTTCTGGAGACAGAGCACAGATTCAGAGGTTAACTATTTCTGCCTGACAATTCTGGAACTTTCTCTATAACATACTATTTTTTGAGGTATCCATTATACTTTTTAGGTTAATCTCTTTATGAAGAGATATTTTCACTTGTTAAACTAAACTCTACCTCTCATAGCTTCCACACGTTCCAAGTCAGAATAAATTTTCAAACTAGCCAAACACTATAGCTTCTTCATTGCCAATCTTCCAAATATTTCAGCATAGCTATTATATTTTCCCTACATATTATTTATTTCCCTAATCTATTTAAGTAATCCTCACATGGTATTGTGTCAAGACCCTTCACCATTTATGACACTTCTAGCCAGGACATTTATTAGCTTGTTAATAGGTGATTGGCATTTAAGTTCTCTATGTTACAAAGCAACATTTGGTACAAAAAATGAAGTTATGATAGGACTAGAGATCAAGGATAATAATATATTAAGAACCAATAAAACACAGAATAGAAATAACTTGGGTGCAGATAAAAGGGAGAAAGAAAAGAAAGGAAGAAGTGAGGCAGCAAGACAAACAACTGGTATATAAAGTCAAGTCTTTTTTGAGACATTTCATGGTATTTGGCATTATCAGAAATATGAGGAATTCTACCTTGAGATTGACAGATAAAAGAAATTCATATTGTCATATGGGTTTCTAACATGGCTTCATAACTTACTCTTTGGAAATAATATTTTTTCCTTTTTTCTGTGATTTTCATAATCTGGTATTAGAGACATAAAATAAGACAGCCACAGTCCATGAGAAGTTATTCAGACTAAACGTAGGGATGCTCACAATGTTGGAGCTGAAAAGCTAAAGCAACAAACTGAAAATAGGTTGCTAGACTTTGATTTTCACATGTTCCTGTGTTTATTCTTCAAATGAATATCTTAGCACTGAAATCAACCCACTAAGCTATAAGCAATATTTATTATTGAGGGAAAGTGACTTTTAGCTACTACATATTTCGTTCTGAGTTCAGATTATTAGACATTTGGGAAAAGTCAATAAATGCCTCTGTATAATGATGGAATGATGAACTGGTGGCTCTCAGGATATATCAAACACAGTGACTGATGTGTTTTCTCAAGCCCACTAACATTTTATCTTAAAAATTAATTAAATGCCAAATATTTAATAACCTGGAGGTTTCACTTATGAATCCAGATTTCAGATCCTTTCCAAACTTGGATGATCTGATAACACGGAGACAGCATTTCTAGCGGGCCACAACAATTGTAGTTCACTAGCCATGTTTAGCTGGGCTGTAGCTCTCCAGTTTATCATCCATGCTCTCCAATTTGCTATCGTGCCCACCACTCCTTCTTATGCCCTATTTTATACACATTTCTATTTGGCTACGGTAGATATTTGAGTGATATAAACTGTCAACATTTTCAGACTTTCTCTGGAATATTTACCTTTATATTTAATGGGTATGCTCTGATTTTAAAAGCAATTATACACTTACTATGTGATCTTGGGCAAGCTAAATCCTCTGTATCTGAGTTTCCCTAACTGTAAAATGGGACCAATAATAGCATATACTTCAAAAGATTGCTGTGAGGATTAACTCGTTCATATATAAAAACCCTCTTAGAAAAATGTCTAGCACACAGTAAGATCTACAGGGTTAGCTAGCATTCCTCTCCTTTTCCTCCTCCTCTATCTTCTTTTCTTTTTCTCATGATCACAGTCATCACCATTATCACCACTACTGTTGCTACAGCTTTTTAATATGCACTATTCCCAGCTGTTTACTTTTAATTTCACTCTTTCTCACAACTGACCAAAATATATCTGGCTTATCTAGATAAAATTCCTCCAAATTCTCTAGAATATAATATTATACTTTATTATATATTTGTTAGTTTTATTATTATGTACTATCATTATATAAATCCATTAGTCTATTCTAATAGAATTCTATTGGATCACCACTAAAGTTAACCTTCTCAGTGCAGAGTCCTTATTTACATATGTATCCCTTTAATTTGAGTGGAATTTCAATATATGCTTATTAAAAGAATAAATGCGGCTGGGCGCAGTGGCTCACACCTGTAATCCCAGCACTTTGGGAGGCCGAGGCAGGTGGATCACCTGAGGTCAGGAGTTCGGGACCAGCCTGCCCAACATGGCGAAACCCCGTCTCTACTAAAAATACAAAAAATTAGCCAGGTATGGTGGCAGGTGCCTGTAATCCCAGCTACTCGGGAGGCTGAGGCAGGAGAATCGCTTGAAGCGGGGAGGCAGAGGTTGCAGTGAGCCAAGATGGCACCACTGCACTCCAGCCTGGGCGACAAGACTGAAACTCTGTCAAAGAAAAGAATAAATGATCACGTACTTTTTTTGGAATACCAAATAATGTTGCACATTAGGAAAATAAGCCCACATTAGCCCTACTTCTTTTAATTCTATAAACTTAACTATTAGGAGGACTCCCTGGGTGCTTGTTAAGCTAATACAAAAGCAACAGTCCTCATGTATGAATCTCCTAAAATAATAAGATTGATTTAAAAGTTTTACATTGAGTAAGACAGTCCAATTCTTTTGTCGCCTTTAATTACATTTTTCCTAAGCAGATTTCTCTTTTTTTAGGGACCACAGTCCAGTTATTTCTATATAATGTAACTGGTCATATTTTAAAAGAATTTAATAAACTATTTTACCAGTTGCTATACTGTTTTAGCAGGTCAGTTTTATGTCATTGATAAAAAAATTACAGCTATATTCATCTGAAGTCTGTTTCATCACAGATTTGTTTCATTAATGAATAATCTAATAAGACAACTTGACTATTACCTTATTAGATGGTAGGTACAGGGTTTTTAAAAAAGTATTATTTTCCCAGGGCTTGGGAGTCGGTAATGAAATGTGTAGTCATGCCCCAATTTCATTGCTCCCATGCTGAAGTCAGCACATAATAGCTCAAACAGAAGTGAATGCTGAGATGCAAGCCTGTCAAAGGCTAAGCCAGGGATTATCTCAGTGATGCGCCCATCCCTTTGAAGAAGGCTCCCTTTGGTGGCTTTTCATGCAGTTGCTTGGCTACCTATTCCCCAACAATATCCTAACCAGACCTGTCTGGTCTCTTTTCTTTCTCTCTGAAGACACAAACACTACCTGGAATGGTTTTTATACTGGTAGCTCTCTTTGCCTTCACACAATTTTTGTCAATTACTTCTTAAAAAAAATTCTTAGTTTGTTCTCTGTATATAACCTTTATCTGAATCACTTTACTATACTCTATGTACCTAACAAAGGTTGGGGTTTTTATTTTCTTTAGTATTATCCCATTACTAAACTAATGAAACTGCTATTCATTAAGACTATTAGGAATGATTTAGTTCAAATCTATTGTCTCATAGATCATTGCAGTAACAGAACAGTTCAAGGGGTCTTTCCAAGCTCACTTGGCTAGTTGGTGGTAAGGCAAGTCCTCAAAGTCCACACCACACTGGCCACTACTGCATAATCATGGAGTGCTGAATAAAAGCATGCCAAGAAGCAAACTTCTGACCCTTCACAGTACATGTTTCTATATTTAACTTGGGCAGCCCCTTACCTTGGTGCTGGCCATGAAATGTGTTTCAGGATTTATTAGAGCACAGTGATCTCTTATGCATTATAATTGCATCCTAAATAGGTTTCTAATTTGGTCAATCAAATTGAGATAGGCTGACCCTTTTAATATCATAGCTTGCTGATGTGAAACAAGCCTGTTTGTTAAGGAGATTATGCATCTTCTGGTCTTCAAGGTTTTAGTTCCTGGAATTTTCATGAGGTTAAATTTGGATATATGCATCTCCAGAGCATACAAATATAAATACAAGTTTTTCAAACAATATTTGCATCATTCTCAAATGATCTTTCCACCCCCTACATACTTTCCAGTTTCCTGTCACTGATTTCCATGAAAGTAAATACAAATCAGAAACCTTTCTACAGAAAATTATATACCAGCATCCACAAATACAAGGACAGTGATTTATGACAGCTATTTTTCCACAGCTATCAAGGATTTAGCACTGTGTTAGGCACATAGAAATGGCTTAATTGCTAACTTTTAAAAGAAATATATATATATAGTCAAAAATGTAAAGAAAAAGATGTTACATCCTCCTTGGATTTACCTTAGCCTCAGATAAGTGGTGATGAAGCTCTAAAAATTCAGACAGACATTTATTTCCATAACTATGCAGAAACATCATCGTGAGAACATTAGGTAGACAATCATACAGCTTTGCTTATGCTGTGTGCTGACTCATAACACCTGCCGCAATCTTCACACTTGACAGAACATGATTTCATGTGCACGTAAAAGAAAACTGACCAAAATTTCATGTTCTTTGGGTGTTTGATTTCATCTAGAGAAACTCCAGAGCCTTTCAGAAGTATGCCATAGAATGGGTTGTAGAATTTTCAATTTAAGGTGCATGGTTATCCAAAGCTAGATAATGATTTGGTTTCAATCAAGTGATAGGTAACAACTGTAATATGGCTCATTTGCCCCAAATTAGCTTTTTATCAGAATATACTGTAATCCTATCCTGTTTATTGGTTGTATATTTCACTCAAAAACCAAAAAACAACTGCAGCTTCATTGTAAATGTTCTGATACTTTTAGAAATAAGAATAAATGTTATTTTGGATTTTTGGCACAACATCTGAATAACAAATGATTACACAGTTATCCTTTATGAATGGGAACATTATGACTAGCCAACAATATTGTGGTAAAAGTCAAAAGCTAATGGTTATACCATTATTTACAAGTAACCTTCACTTAGAAATAAACTACCTCTCAAAATGATTTTATAAGAAGACTTAGTTTCAAAATTCCATGTACGGCTGTGACATTGTGAAATCAAATTTTATTTTTCAAGGGTCATGTTAATGGTTGTGTTAGCAATATGCTATTATGAACACATTAACTATAGCCCGGTAACCAAGAAATCAAAGTTTGGCAAAGTCTGTTAGAGAAATTCCATTTGGGAGTTTCTCTATAAGATATATATTATGGAAGCTCTTACAAAGGTATAATTTCATAAGAGAATTTGTTATGAACAGGCAGTCTGCACTTTGGATATTCACAATAGATCTGCTACCTCCTATTTTGACTCCTCAAACTAGAGTTATGCCATATCATTGCCAGTAGAAGAGGCAATGTCACACTAGATCCACTACTCACATGGCAATAATATAGATGGATGTTTGAAAATATTTCCAGGCAGATGAAACTTCTAAAACCTGAGCTAAATAACTGAAAACCAGAGCAATAATATTTTCAATACGTATGCCATTTTTTATTGCCGCACTCTTGTACATTCTCTGAAACAGCACAAAGGCAGTCAATGACTCAAAAATATTAACAATTTCCTCTTAAAAAGTGAGCCATATTGATCAGAAAAACCTAATATGTTTCTAACATCCTTGCCTAAGAAGAAAAACCTTACTGGTACTTTGGACAATATAGATTAACTCTTACACAATTAGGCAGGATATTCGGGTCAAAAAAGTATTTGAGGCTGGGCGTGGTGGCTCATGCCTGTAATCCCAGTACTTTGGGAGGCTGAGGTGGGCAGATCGCTTGAGCCCAGGAGTTTGAGGCCAGCCAGGGCAACATGGCAAAACCCCATCTCTACAAAACATACAAAAATTAGCTGGGTGTGTGTCTGGGCACGGTGGCTCACGCCTATAATCCTAGCACTTTGGGGGGCCGAGGCGGGTGGATCACCTGAGGTCGGGAGTTCAAGACCAGCCTGACCAACATGGAGAAATCCCATCTCTACTAAAAATACGCAAAAATTAGCCAGGTGTGGTGGCACATGCCTGTAATCCCAGCTACTCAGGAGGCCGAGGCAGGAGAATCGCTTGAACCCGGGAAGCAGAGGTTGCAGTGAGCCTAGATTGCACCACTGCACTCCAGCCTGGGCAACAAGAGCAAAACTCCATCAAAAAAAAAGAAAGAAAAGAAAAGAAAAGAAAAGAAAAGAAAAGAAAAGAAAGAGAGAGAGAGAGAGAGAGAGAGAGAAAGAAAGAAAGAAAGAAAGAAAGAAAGAAAGAAAGAAAGAAAGAAAGAAAGAAAGAAAGAAAGAAAGAAAAAATATTTAAAAAAAATAGCTGGATGTGGTAATGGGCTCCTGTAGTCCCAGCCACTACAAACGCTGAGGTGGGAGGATTGCTTGAGCCCAGGAGTGGGAGGTTGCAGCGAGCCAAAATCACGCCACTGCCCTCCAGCCTGGATGACAGAGTGAGATACTGTGTCAAAAAAAAAAAAAAAAGTATTTGCTTGGAAGAATAATAATTAGAGGAAAGTAGAGTATCATTTCAGTGTAATATAAGCACATTATTATGTTCTTTAGTGACTTTGTTTTATATGTCTTTTTTTTGTGATTCTAAGTGAAAAATATGGTTAAGAACTTTCTGCATGTATTTATATTAGAATCCATCCTTCTCTCTTTCCCTTCCTCTTTCCTGCTTCAGATAAGGATGAACCCTTTATCTTGTTCATAGATTAAAGCCACTTACTCCTTCTTTGGTCTGAATCTAATTTCTCCCTTTCTTGAGGAGTCCTGGTTTACCATATATAACCATTCTTCCCTTTTTTATTTTTTTGTTTTTATTTTTGTTTATTTATTTATTTATTTGAGACGGGGTCTTGTTCTGTCACTCATGCTGGAGTGCAGTGGCACAAATACGGCTCACTGCAACCTCAATCTTCCGGGCTCAAGTGATCCTCCCACCTCAGCCTCGCATGTACTTGGGATCACAGGCATGCACCACCACGGTCAACTAATTTTTTGTAGAGATGGGGTCTCACTTTGTCGCCCAGGCTTGTCTTGAACTCCCGGGCTCAAGTAATCCTTCTGTCTCCGCCTCCTAAAAGTGCTGGGATTACAGGGGTGAGACACTGTGCCCAGCCCCCTTTACTTTATATAAACATGTTTTAATACCACAGGAAACTAAAACTAAAAAAAATCCAAGAACAAAACCAAAATAGAACAAACAAAAACCTTTCCTAGAATAGGAACACCACTCCGTTTTCCTTCACTATGACGGTTCTTGGAGGAATTATTCAAAATTGGTTTGTTGGTGTTGCCAACCAAAAGTTATCATCAAAGTCACTTTTATTTATTTGTATGTCTTTACTGAACATGCTCTAAGTGAAGTTGCTCATGACTTAATTTTCAAATCCAATGGACTCTTCCCTCTCATTTTACTTGACTTCCGTGGATCTCTTGGAACTTTTACCGACTGCCTTCTGGAATCTTACATTCAGAAAAAAATGTACTTTTCACTTTTTTTCTTTTCTGCCTTAACTATTCCTTCTCATTCTCCTCTGATAGTGCTTCCCCTCCTCTGCTTGTCCCTTACATATCAATGAGTGGCAATGGATGATTTTTCTTAATCACACACACATTCACCTATTACTCTGGCTGTCTAGTGGAGACATTAAAACTTGGATCATCCTAAGTGACCTTAGCTCTACCATATAAAATTGTTCCCCTTTTGTACCCTACTTTTCTTTCTATTATAACACCTAGAACACTCAGGGTCTTTGCATTTCACAACAATGGGAATGGTGTCCCCCGGAAAAGTGAAATGTGAAGACTCCAATGATGTTATTTCACTGACTTATTTACCTGATTACCTCTGCCTGTTAGACAGCATGTAATAGTAGGACATATGCATCATTTAAGATTTTGGTCCCAAAATTCAGTCCCACATTTAGCACATCTTGGCCTTGAATAAATATTCATTTAATGAATGGGTAGATGGATGGTTTCCTTCCCTCTGACAGTTTGAATTTCTAGTTATAGCACTCATATATTAAATATGCCCCCCATAATAGGCCCTCAAACAACAGGTAAAAACAACTATGGTCCAGAAAAATCTATGCAAATACTACCAATTCATTCTGATTATTTATCAATAATAATCTTTGTGTATGTCATCCCTGAACTTGGGTAATAATGATCTGTGCTACAGCAGTACTTTATTGTGTGAAAGTAAAAATGGGGTAAATATACCCTTAAATTCTGATGTCTTTCTTATAAAAATATATTTTAAATTCACATGAGATGTTAAGTTTACCTCATTTTTATGGAAAGTATTGCTATACCCCTCCTGAGTTCTGAAAGTGACTGCTTTGTGAAGGAGCTGTTAAACTACTGAGTAAATAACATGGTTTTTGAAATTATCATAATTACACATATTTACATAACAGACCACAATATCTCCAAGGAATTGTTACCATAATTACATAAAATCCCACATATAGAGTTTCCCTTTCCCTTATTCATGAGCTATTTTTAATCTTCATGGTCTATACTCAGTATAGAATAAATACTGATCTATTATCTCTCCATGAAATTTCGATAGGAAGTAGATTGTTATCATGAGTAAAATAACTTAACGCTTCGAATCTTCATGGACATGAAACAAAATGTGCATCCACCTACGTAATAGCTAATTTACGGAGCACTGATTATGTAATTTTTGTTGGCCTTCAAATCTATGTCATGACCTCATTTTTTTCTGGGTAACCAAATTTATCTGGTTGAAATCTCATGTGATTACAATTCTATTTGCAAGTGTACGAAGAGATAGAGTCATTCTCAAATGGCTGAAATATTAGTTGCTTATCCCAGTTGCCTTAATTTTTTAAACTGTGATTGACAAACCTCTCTCTTTGCTTTTTGTTTTTTGTTTTTGTTTTTGTTTTTTTTGTTTTGTTTTGTTTGAGATGGAATTTTGTTCTTGTTGCCCAGGCTGGAGTGCAAAGGAGTGCAATGGCACGATCTTGCCTCAATGCAACCTCCACCTCCCAGGTTCAAGTGATTCTCTTGCCTCAGCTTCCCGAGTAGCTGGGATTACAGGCGTGCGCTACCACACTGGGCTAATTTTTTTGTATTTTTAGTAGACACGGAGTTTCACCATGTTAGCTAGGCTGGTCCCGACCTCAGGTGATCCGCCTGCCTCGGCCTCCCAAAGTGCTGGGATTACAGGCACGAGCCACCGTGCTGGGCCGCCTGTTGTTCTTTATGTTGATTTTCTCTAGTCTTGTAGCGTGGCTTTTCTTCTTTATCAAGATGCTCTCTTCCCACTCCCAACTTAGACAATCCCATGGATCAGTCTACCTCTCTGGGACTCCCAGATTTATGACCACCACCCTCACTTTCTAAATGTCCAATGTTTCTCAACTCAGGCACTTCAAAGGCAACATGCCTCTAACTAAACAGTATTCCCCCCTAGATTTGCCGTGTCTTGTGATTGTTCTAATACTGAATGTTTTCTCCTTCAACCATCAAATTGGCTTTCATATGCTCTCACTATAGTCTGGTATGCTTCTTATTCTTTATTTTATCTCCACTTATTTGGTAGGTTTTCGGTTTTCTTTTTCTTTTTTTTTTTTTTCTTTTTGAGACAGAGTCTTTTTCTGTTGCCCAGGCTGGAGTGCAGTGGCACAATCTCGGCTCACTGCAACCTCTGCCTCCTGGGTTTAAGCGATTCTCCGACCTCAGCCTCCTGAGTAGCTGGGATTACAGGTGCACACCACCATGCCCAGGTAATTTTTGTATTTTTAGTAGAGATGGGGTTTCACCATGCTGACCAGGCTGGTCTTGAACTCCTGACCTCATGATCTGCTCACCTTGGCCTCCCAAAGTGCTGGGATTACAAGCGTGAGCCACCGTGCCTGGCCTATTTGATAGGTTTTCTTATTATTTCTCACAGGACTATTTCCAACAGCTTTCAAAATGGCCTTTTTCTCTGCTAGCCTTTTTCACCCAGCCAAATCTGTGTACTCCCCAATAGAATAACCTTATTGTGTAACTGCCCAAAATCGTGCAATAGCTTTCCACAATCTGTCTGTACACAGTCCAAATTCCTGAACATGGCCTTCGAGGCCATACATTATCATCTTTATAATTACCAATTTATTTTAGAATCTTTCTGGAGTCAAAACTTCCTGGCAAGTCTTTTCACACCCAAATTCTTTCCACATTACTTGGACTATTACAGCCACCTTGGCCCTCGACCTTTAGCTGCATGGAATACCCAGAGTAATCTTTTAGGATCATCTCATCCATGAAGTTTTTCCAAATCCACAACGCAACTAGCAGAGGCCTTTTTCCTTTTTTCTTTGCTTTTCATTTTCCTTTCATATACTTAATCTATCACTTCATTGTTTAGATAGATAGATAGATAGATAGATAGATAGACAGACAGACAGACAGACAGACAGATAGATAGATCTGTCTTATTTCATGAGAACAAGCCTCAAAGAAGAGAGAAGACAGAATGGTAAGTATTTTCGTATTTCCCATAAGTAATGAGGTTTATGACCTATGGTATGTGAATAATAATGTTTTTGAATGAATGAATGAATGAATGGAATGGAATGGAATGGAATGAATCGAAAGACCACCAGGAAAACATAAAACTTAGAGCTAGATCTCCAAATAAAGATTTCAGAAGGGATGGGAGGGAGAAAGTTTCCTTGTCTTGTTGAAAAGTATACTTAGTGACCTGAAATACATAGAAGTTGCCTGGCATATGTTATGAAAATACAGTACAATGCACCCCAGTAGAAATACAGAATTTGTCATATGCAACATATGGCTTTATGCCTTGACAGTAATAATGACTGTTTGGAGGTAGGTATACACTAAAACTCCCTTTTCTTTTTCTGACCTTTTCTCCTGTGGTATCCTGAAGACATGTTTTTAATAAAGAAGAGTTGGATAGAAGGGTAGAAGAAGATAAATTAAGGAAAAGATTTTAAGTAATATAAGTGTTATTGACAATTACTAAAAGTTAGAAAGAGTTAGAAACAATGAGTATGAAAGAAGACAAAGTATTTTCTTTTGAAAATTAGGAAAGAAAGAATAACACCTTTAAGACATTTAACATGATTTTAACAAATAAATAATTCCATTGATTCACTCTCTTTAGTCTTATTAGGCACTTTTGAGAAGAAACTATGTCTTATTATATATGCAGTAGCCACATTTTTCAATGGACAAAATTACTTAGTAATTTTAATATTTAGGTATATTTGTTAAAACATTTGAGATGTACAGTTTCAAGTATACTCCAGTGAAAATAATTTTTAAAAAGCAAACGACGACCTTTTTATTGTAGGTACAAGTAGAGAGAAAGCACTCCTATGTATAAATATATTAGATTTTTTTCTATGAATCAGTCCTGGGTATTGCCCAAATCAAAGATAAGCATATTTATTTTTTTTCCTTTCTAATAATAGTGGAACACATTTCACATATTTCAAAATGACCATTGTATCCAAATATTAAGACGACTGGCTCATTTAAACTCATTTTCTATGTAGAAGTTGAACTAGAGAACATTTTATCCTTGAGAATATATTACTCTTACAATATCGTTAAGGTTGGTCTAAGTTTGATGAGAAAATTGCAAGCCTATTTCATAAATTTAACATTTGCTGCACTATTTTTCTATCATTTTCAAAATCTTCAGTTTAGTTTAGAGCTGAAGACCAACTTGTTCCAAGAGTGGGCAATTAAGTAGTCCTTCAGAATGAATGTGTCATTGCTCTTTCTCAAGAGCAATTTTTGAGTACATTAGCTATCCCTTTCAATCAAATAGGTACATTTCTCTAGCTTTCTCCATCCTAGCTGTGAGCTGTTTCTATTTATAGTCCACAGAAACTTCTGGCCTACAAACAAAAAGAGATTACCCTATACTTCTATTTCCAAGAGGCAAAGTGTTTTCTACTCTAAATATGTCTCAATTTTGCAGAGAAACCTACCATTTGTGAATCCCCCCTAACTGTGATACATGCATTTCCCTAAACAGTCTGGCAAGCAGTTCAGATAACTACAGAATGTAATGTAACAGCTAGAAAGAACAAAGACGTCATCCAAACCAACGTTGTCATTATATGTATATAAAACCTAAGGGGGTGTAATATCCAAATCCTTCAGTTTTTGAAACAGAACTGTAACAAGGCCATTAATTAAAATAAAATGCCTTGATTATTTACAGAATCTACCTAATTTTGTTTACCTCAGTTCAAATCTCTGATGAACCAACTGTTTTAAACTACTCTAATTTTTTTATATTCATGTCAGGTTGATTCAGTTTAAGACCTAATAATGAGAAAATGAGGGCTTCTTTTTAATGATGAAATACAAATATAAGTGAATAATCATAGTCACAGTTGAGAAGCAGCATGTTGCAAATATTCTAAGTTAATAATGTAGATAAAATGTTTGGAGATGAACACCAGAAATACTGCTTTATGATTAACTGCAGACTTAGTAATGTTTGGTAAATAAAATGTCACAGTCTAATTGTTTGGATCACAATGTAATTAAATTACAGTATTGTTGAACTAACACAGATGTAAATTATAAGAATAATACATGCTTATTAATGAAAACATGGAAAAGAAGTCTAAAGAACAGCAAAAAAGCAATATTCTTATTGTTCAAACCTGTGTTTTGCAGTACGTGCTTTTATTTTTTAAGTCCTATTAGATTTTGTATAATGAAGTAAATATTTAGTGCTCTGTACCACCTATTAGACATTATAATAACCGTGGACAAATACTAAACACTATTCTTTGTTTAAGATGCTTAAAAATGAGTTAGGCCATGGTCAGGCTTTCCTGACTCATCTCTATGCTCCCAATGTTGGAAGCAGGCTATGCCCAGGGCTTAGATCCTAGGAAATGCTAGGCCATCCATCGCCACAACCTCCAGAGCCCAGAAACTAGATTGAGAAGGGTCTGATGTGTAGAATTGAGTTCAATAAGTGGGAAGTAGAGCAGTATGATGATTAGGGCCTTGTGTTCAATTCATTATTTAGCCCCTGCATTCCCTCTATCACTCACCTTCCATAACTGAAAAATCGAGACTGTTGGTAGCACCTAACTCTCAGAGTTGTTGAAAGGATAACATGATATACTGTGTTCAGCATTTAGTAATCAATAAATTGCCCCCTCAAACATCACCTTATTTGTGAAGTATCCCTCAAAATATACTGTAAAACCCCTTCTGTTAAGAAGAGGCAGCCTAATCCAGTGAGGAACTTAAAACTGAAACCAGATTTGGATCTGAATCACAGCTCCAAAAATCAACTAGTTTTGTGGCTTTAGGCAGGTGACTTCACTTTTCTGAACCTCAGTTTTCTTGTCTGTAATTTGCAGATATCAACACCCACACTGAAGGGTTGTTGGGAAGATTATTTTTAAAAAAATAAAAGAGTTAGTGGGAAAGATAAATATGAAGAAAAGAGAGAATACCTACTCAAACTCATAATGTCATATCAAGATATGTTCTACAGACTAAATACTCTAGTTATGGAGTGAGTCAGGTTCACCCAAGAGGGTCTAAAGCTAGGCTTTGAAGAATCAGACAGTATATGGATGTCTTATCATTACAAGGTAATATGATAAAGAAACGAGGAAGGAACAAATTTAGGGGTAATGTAGTAAAGAAATTATAATAAGAAGAAAAGAGTCTTAGGACTCAGCAGGCATATGATTGAAAAAGAATAATAGATAAATGATGAGACAAAATTCTAAATGTCTTAATGAAAAACGGTGTAATCAAAGCGAGAGAGCTGAAGAATAGTCTGGCAACAGGATGCAAAATAGCCTGGAGTGGAAAGAGAAAAGGAGGCAAGAAGCAAGTTAAAAACTATTGCAATACATCAAACATAACAGATTGAAGATTTAGTGAGAGTGAAGAGATTAAGGTTATAGATACCACAAAGAAAAAGTTTAATAAAATTTCTATAATTTCTATTATCTACTGATAATGTAATATGATTAAGATTTTTGAAAACTTAAGAATATGATTTATTTCTTTTTCCTCAAGGCTCACAGGAAAAGGACTGGAGGCAGATATAGGTGAGGGAGATACATATCTCCACTTCCCTCCCTCATGCTTTAGTGGAGAGGAGGAAATATGTTCCATAAATTGTAGGAAATAGGACGTTTCTGTTGCCATTTTGAACACTAGCACAAGGCTGCTGTGCAGGGTGACTGTGAAAGCACAGTCTTGTGTGAAAACGCAGAGCTTATGAAGCAGACTGGCATGATTAGCCAGAGAGATGGTCTAGTTTGCCCTCCCAGGCCTTCCTCGGGTTTTGCAGATTAGCCACTGACCCCACTGTAAAGAAGGTCTAAAAGAAGGTCTAGCAACCTTGAAATAAAGGGATAGCCTGTACCAGGAGAAAGATGAAAGGCAAAGCAGACACTCTCAGAGTTTAGAGTTTAGAGTGGATGAACAAGCTAGGGATCTTTCTGAGGCCTTAACCAAGCTGAGATAATTTAGACTATGAATTTTACCAAGTGTCAACTTCAATTAGCATATGCTAAAGACCATCCCATAGATAAATCCTGTCACCAATCCCCCAAGAACCAGCAGGAGGTGAGGGGATCCATTTCCTCTCAACTACACAATGTCATGAAAGCCATTTCTCCATGCCCCAGATGCAATTTTAGAGAGAAGTAGGAAAATCTCAAGAAACAAAACAATCTTCAAATATTAAAACCAACGTGACTAAGTTATAGGATTAGGATGAGTTTAGAGCAGATAAAATCAAAATTAGTTGACCTCACGACCCAGGAAAGGGGAGATGAGAAAAGTTTCTGAGAATAAAATATTATACTGTCCTTTCTTCATTTATGAGTGAAGTGCCAGTAATTTAAGATTCATTATTAAAACTGTAACTGCCTTTTTCCTCCTATGGTTAAGACATGCTGATATAAAACAACAATGACGAGTCGATAGAACCATTTTTTTTTTTTCCTTAATGAGTAAAGGAATCCAAGTCACTGGAGAAAGGTGTGTCCCTGAGCCAAGTACATTTTTGCCATTTTTTGTCCATAATACATACTTTATTTAATGGCCCTGCTGGGAATCATTGGATGGAAGCCATATATTTAAATATAAGTCAGCTGGGAGCAAAGAAGAGACTAATAATGAACAGACTCTCAAGTTGATGAGACCTAGCACTTGTCTCTTGTAAGTCTTCCATTGCCGCTGAAGGCAATGGAAACAAAAGGGGAGCTTTAGGAATAGAAATAGAAAAACTATGAAATAATTCTTTAAGAATTTCTTTTCACTTATCCTCCCAGTTCCATTTCTGGGTATGTGCAATACTTTAGTTCGATAAACATTTATTTAGGCCTACTAAGTATTATCAGTTCAGAAATGGTAAGTAGATTTTATGACATGTGCCAACTCTGATAAATCAGCATGTTATGCTGAGACTTGTGAGGAAAAGAATGCTAGAATCTATTAAAACCATCTGTCATAAAGGAAGAAAAGGGGCGTGGTTGCATTTCCCACACACTTTCCTTCTCTGTGCTAGATACTATAGGGGATAAGAAGATAAACTCAGTACAGTCCAGCCAGGAGATTATTACAATCCTGTTGGAAAGACTGAAGGTTTGCATCCCACTTAGGAATTTCCCATACTATTTCAATTGAGTGAAAATGAAGATCTAGGCAAGGGCAGTAATAACAAAATTTAAAATAATGGCATAAATACTTGAATTATTTTAGTTGTGAGAGCTGGAAAGATGCAGACATCCTAGCACTGTAAGTACATTCTTTGGTCCCTAGAACACTGAGAAATGGCAGCTATGTCTTTTTGCTGTTTTGTTTGCTTGAATTACTTTCATAAAACTGTAACAGTACATTCTAGAAATGTCCTTTTCCTGTTCATCCTTGTGGCCTATGTTGAAAAACAAACAACTCTTTGCCTGACCCAATGACCTTCTGATATATTTATTCTCGTCTTTGTTAAAATAAGCAGAATCAGGATCGCTTTCTCACAACAAAAAATACAAACACTAATAATACAAATGGAAAACTCACTTATGATGAAGACTTCAACAGGATTACCTTGTAGAATTTCTCAAGATCTGAAAATAATTATTTCTTTTTCAATCTTCAGGCACCTCAAATCTGTTCAATTACATGGTAATATCATTTTAAATTCTTCCATTTAAGTAATATAAAGTATATTTTATGTACTGATACTGATTTCTGATCATGTCTGATATAGATATGTAATATTCTGTATAGAATTCTAGGACCCTGTTTTTTGTGCAATATGGTTAGATATGTAAGAAAAGACACAAATAAATGCTTTAATATTAAGCTATTATTAACCTCATGAATCAATATTTTGAAACACTTTTTTTCTGTATACAAGTCATTTATAGTCCATTTTCTACTATCTTTAGAAATTTCCAAACCTTTTTTTGCCAGACTATAGAAGTGTACAGGAAAAAATATTAATAATTCTGTGGTTTTTGCATATCTTTACTTCCCTTTACTAATCAAATCTTCATTCCACATTACGTATACTAGGAGATCCAGACTTGTGTCAACTTCCTAATTTTGGTGCATGATGTATCAGGTTTGGGCAATGAACAATGTGGGAAAACATGGCACTGGGAGATAGAAATCAGGATCCAGGGGAATTATTGCACAAAATAAAATTGGAAGAACCTCAAGGCCATGAAAGACAATTGATGTCCATCCTGTGTCAGGTCCGTGTTTAGTTTCAGAGCCTCTGTTCCATTTGTAGTGCCGCCAACTTCTCAAGTACCAGGAGAGGAATGGTGAAGGTGTTAATTAGGGCGCTGATATCTGCTGCTTCTAAGTAAATTATAAACACTCTAAGGTTCATACAGTTAAGACAAATGACGGCTCGCTAAGTACAGCATAAGCTAGCGAATAGAATCTACTCAGTTTGGAAGCAATACATATCATTCTAGTGCTCATGACAATTAAAACCAAAGTAGGATGTCAAAATGAAAAACACTTCTTTGGATCCTAAAGGTTTTAAGCAAATATGATAATATAAAGAACAGAATTGTGTTTTGTAATATTAAGCATTTTTAAAAATTTCCTTGATATAAGAATTCATAAATTTTAAGAGATTCCCATATAAGGCAAAGCTTCTAGGCATGTTTCACATCCCGTGCAATCCAAAAACATTAACTAATTCCTGAATTATAAGAGAAATGAACTGATATAGGACCAGGTGGTCATGGGGTGATCTATTCTTGAGCAATGTAAGAGCTATTATCTCTAATATAATTTCATTCCTACTTGTAAATCTACACACCCCATGTGTTAACTTGATGGCAGAATCTGCAACGGCTGGTGGGGCTGTTGTTGCTAATATTCAGGAAAGGAGAACAATCTTACAAGTGCCTTACATCTTGGGAACAAAAGTAAGAAATAAAAAATTAGCTGTTTAAAAGAATTGGATGTTTGATAGGATTGCATGACAGAAGATCATGCATAGATTTCTCTGAAAATATAAAAACTGTGAAGGGGAGGGGTGTGTGTGTGTGTGTGTGTGTGTGTGTGTGTGTGTGTGTGTTCTATAGGAAAAGATCTGAAGAAACAGGGGCATGGTGAGCAAATGTGTTTAGTGTGCCATTTAGTGACCTAGACAACAATCTGCAGCTCAAGACAACAAAATAATGGATTAGGAATAGCAACTGGAAATCATTTTTAAAAGTCACATATAAATCTCAACTACCAAATCAAGTCATTTCCATATGTATGCACTTATGTATTTTTCCCATTACAGTCCTTTGGAAAAAAATAACTCACTTTATGACAACCTCCACATTCGATTACGTTCCCAAATATTTACCATTTTTCCTCATTGTTAGAGCAGAAAAATACAAAATTAACTTTATTTCTTTTAAATGGATATTACAGCATGTCGGTAGTAGATAATATCATTATTAACAACATTTCAAAACATTTCACTATGCACTTCAATTTCCTCATTGCACTAAAAAGGATAATTTCAAAGACATCTGATCCATTTTTCCCATATTAGAATATGCTTCCCTTACAGTATGGACATCATTAAAGCAATTTACCTGAGCTAGCTAAGCAAAGAAAGCTGGGTGCTTGAATCTTAATAACTTAACTGGTTTCATAAAACAAGACTAACTGTATTCGCTGGGAGAGAGTGGGGCTTAGGGAGGAAACACACTATTGCATGGAAGAGAAAAGCTGTTTTGTATCCAGCTATTTTTAATTCAGCTCTGACTTACTCTGACCTAGACTATTACAATGGAAATATAAGCACCATGCCCTTCAATCATTCACAATGAAGCCAGAGTTATTGTTCTAAAGACCTAACTGACCATGTCACTCCTACTGGTTAAAATCCTTTCTGGCTTGCCTTTGCCTAAAGAATGAAGCCTGAACTCTTAAAAAAGGCATAAAAGTTCTTTACATCTGGCTTCAACCTGCCCCTTCTATCCTATTCCGTTATCCTTCCGCATCCCATTCACTGAACTTTCCAAATATCTGAACTTTTCAGCATCTCTTGAACAACACAGTACTTTAATTATTTCATGCTCTTGTATCTGCTGTTCCCTGTGCCAGAAATGGTCTTCCTGCATCTCTCTGTACCTGGAAAATTCTTCACTAGGTTATATAATCAATCTCAAATGACTTCACCTTCGTGTCCTCTTTGAAGCTTTTCCCTATACCTCCAGGGACTCTTTGTTTTTTGTGTTTCTGCAACGCCTTGTAGGTATCTCTCCAATAGTACCTCTAAAAATGTATCCTATTTGTGTGCTTAAATGGCTATCTGGTTTTGGCTGAAGAAACCACTTCTCACTCATTTCTGCATCCCAAAAGCCCAGTAGAGCAACTCGTATAATAGAAGAAGGAGATTGGTTAAAAGCTACTCAATGAATACCAAATAGAAAAAAAGCATAGCATAAAAGTTCATCTCACTTCAGGTACTACACAGTGGATGTACACAAAAATAATTCTGAGTTTTAAAGCTATGTAACTGATTGGAGTGAAAGATATAAAGACATCTTGTATCAATAGTTTCATTGCTTAATTTATCTACTTTAATAAAACAAAGTTTTGTGGACTAAGCTAGCATTTAATAAAAAGTATTATCTATTCTTGTGGAGATGATCATACTAGAGATACATTAAGCTTAAGGAAACCCACTAAATTAAAACCAATGAATATAAGGACCATTAAAAAATTCTTGTCTAATATCCAAATCTATACCTCATTCAGCAATAAGTTTTGTAGAACTCAAATTTCTACTGATTATGCCAAGCTGCTAAAGAGATAATATTTATTTAATGCTTTTGTGATTTTTTAATTTTATTACCATCTTAAATTTATTATTTATACATTGGGGAATTGCTTAACACTTTACCCAAGTGATCAATTATTTATGCTCCTTATAATAAACCTACAAGTAGGTCCTGTACTACTTCTATTTTTTAATGGGAAACTGAAACCTAGATTAACTGGTCAAAAGCCTACATCTCTTAGTGATGAAGCCAGGATTAAAATACAAGCAGTCTGATTCTAACATTATGCAATGCTCTGTGAAAGTTGAAAAGAGAGGAAAATTACATAAACAGTTGTTCCTCCCACCTTGCAACTTGCATTACAAACGTTCTTATTTGCATTCATTTGAAATTCTAGCTAGGCCCTTAACTGGTATGAAATAGGCTGTTTCGTGGAACACTCCAATGATGAAACAGTTGTAGCTTAACAATGAGGGAATATTTTTCTTCATTTCGCTTAAGCAATTCCGCATCCAAAGATGATTGAGAAGCTAGCATTTTGCACATTTCACCAACACATTAATGTTTTGTTTTGAGAGTTTGCTATTTCTCAGTCTGAATCAAGGATATTTGGAAAATCCTGTTTTATTTTTCTTGCTAGTATCATGAAACGTACAGTGGCATTTAACACTTAATTTAATCTTTATGCAACAGGGATCCCAGAAGGCCTTTAAAATACAGCATGGAGTACTTTCACTTCCAGAACAGCAGTATGATGAGCTCTGTAGTCCAACTCCCAAGGAAACAACAATAATTACTGACAATTATTAAAAACAAACAAACAAACAATAACAACCATTTCAAGTCTCCATAAGGTTCCCTAAGGGCAAGCAGCAAATGAAGAAACTCTACCAAATCTCAGTAAGAACAAGGAGAGTCTGTGGCGTTTACACATGGTCTACATCCTTCCTCCCCACTCTGCACCGCAGAATGGAAGCTCCAATCTGGACAGGTGTGGCCAAAAAAGTGGGACTTAACACTCTCCCCAGCTCCCAGACAAAGACGACTCTCTCCCTGAAGAGCAGCAGGCTACCAGCATTTGTCATGCCCTGAAGCTCTATGTTACAGAGGCTAAATTTCTAGTGAGTGCATTTGAGAGAATTGGAGCTCCCCTCCTCCACCCAATTCCTGCACATAGGGCAGGGGCTTCAGCTCCTGTGAGGCATGCTGAGAATACTGGAGGTGCTCCTCCCACTTCTACTGCCCTCACCTTATCTTGTTCCTAGGGCAGAGGTTCTATGCTGAGGGAGATAAGCTGAGAAGGCCAGAGGCTACAGACTCTATTCAACACCCTGCTCATAAAGCACAGGTGTCACTTCAAGAGAAGTAGGCCAGTGGCCTTGCCCTGAACTTTGGAGCAAAATTGGCTTCCAAAGGGGCTTGAGTTTAACTGGATCAGAATGTGGAGCAATTTATACCCCAACGTATTATCCAAAACAATAAGCAGGCAAATAATGTAGTACAAAAACTTGGTCTAATACCAGCAGAGGAAGACAGCTTAACAGAGAGATCAGGGAAAGATACAGTCAAAGAGAATCTTCCTAAAACCACTGTCATCCCAGAGTGACTATGCACATGCCCAAATTTGCCTCCTCTGAGGAAGGACATTGCAAGCTTCATACTGTCAGGAAAATACATTTAACTAAAATAGTCCAGTTATGTAACAGAATAAATGAACAAGCAAACAACAACAAAAGCAATCTCCAGATTAGGGGATATCAGTATCCACAGTTGCTATAATAAAGTATCTAAAATGTCCATTTTTCAATAAGAAAAAAGACACACAAAGAAAGAAAAAAGTGTTCCCCATATACGGGAAACAAACCAAGCAACATAAATTGACTGTGAAAGAGGCCAAATGTCAGGTTTAATATATTAATACAAATAATCCAAAGCAGCCATATAAGCATGTTCAAAATAATAAAGGAGACCATATTTAAAGAAGTAAAGGAAATTATGATGGCAATGCTATATCAAATGGAGTTTTTGATGAAGAAGCAGAAATTATTTAAAAGAACCAAATGAAATTCTGGAGTTAAAAATTATAATAGCTGAAATAACAATTTGCTAGAAGGGCTCAAGAGTAGGTTTGAAATGACAGAAGAAAGAATCAGCAAACCTGAAATAAATCAATAGAAATTATGCAATCAGAAGAACAGAGAGGAAAAAGAATGGAAAAACTTAACAGAGCCTCACAGAAAGTTGGGCAACCATTAAGCACACAACATGCACGTAATGAGCATATCAGAACAGAAGGACAGAAAGTGAAGAGAAACATAAAAATACGGCTGAAAGCTTTTCAAATTTGATGAAAAATAATCTACACAACCAAGAAGCTCAACAAACTACAAGTATAATAAACACAAAGAGATCCACATCCTAACACATTGTAGGAAAAATGCTAAGAGCCAAATACAAAGAGAAAATCTTTAACTCAACAAGAGAAAAACAATTTATCAGTTACAAGGGAACTTCAATAACTTTAAGGGAACTACCAACAGCTCACTTCTCAGCAGAAACAATGGTGATCACAGTGGGATAGCATACTCAAAGTACTGAAAGAAACAAAATCATCAACCAAGAATCTTATATGTAGTAAAGTTATCTTTTAAAAATGAAGATGAAGTAAAGACATCCCCACACAAACAAAAACTGAAAGTAACCATAAGCAAAATCCTTGCAGAAAAACAAGGAGTAAAGGTAATTATGTAAATATTAAAAAAAAAAAAGTATAAAGGCAATTTCCTTCACCTGATTTCAAAGTCAACTGTATAAAACAACATGTATATAACTTTATTTTGGGACCTATAACTTATGTATTACATAACATTTTTGACAACAACAAAACAAATGAGGTGGAAGGGAACAAAGATATATTGGCTTAAGGAAATGATGCTAGTTAGATGGTAACTCATATCCTCAGGAGCAAATAATAAAGAGAATAAGAAAGAGTAAGTAAAAATATTACTACACCAAACTCTATAAATATTTATTTGTTCTCGGCCGGGCGCAATGGCTCACGCCTGTAATCCCGGCATTGTGGGAGGCCAAGGCAGGTGGAACAGGAGGTCAGGAGATTGAGACCATCCTGGCTAACACAATGAAACCCCATCTCTACTAAAAATATAAAAAATTAGCCAGGTGTGGTGGCGGGCGCCTGTAGTCCCAGCTACTCGGGAGGCTGAGGCAGGAGAATGGCGTGAACCCGGGAGGTGGAGGTTGCCGTGAGCCGAGATCGCGCCACTGCACTCCAGCCTGGACGACAGAGCGAGACTCCATCTCAAAGAAACAAAACAAAACAAAAACAAAAACAAAAACAAAAACAAAAAACAACAACAAAAAAATCTACTTGTTCTCTTTTCTTCTACCAACTTCTTTAAAATACATCATGGATTTATTCTTTGGCTTGAACCCCAGCTTCCCAATCCCCTCTGTTCTTTATAATAGAGCATCAGGAAGCACAGTATTAGAATAGAAAAAAAAAATAGTCAAATCTGTAAATAATAAAAAAACAAGGACTTCATGTGGCCCTTTCAGCATAATCATATTCCCAAATATATTTGGTCAGTAATTATTTCATGGCAGAGGTTGTTAGGAAGAACTGTCTTCTTCATCTTGGTATTTCCTTGTAATGACCTATACTAGAAAAATATGTCTAGCGTGTGTTTCCACCTCTTGCTCAATCCTCCTCTAAATGAAAGGATGGATCAATCCTGACTGGCAAGATCATAAAGAGTCTGGCATTCATTGGTTTATGCTTAATGGCTGAGCAAATGTGTCTTCTTTCTCTCTGCCCTACTCTTGGGTAGGAAATAATGACTCCCTCTTGCTGCTGGTTGGGTCTATGCCATCCCCACACACTCATCTTTCTATAGGTGTACCTGAAGGCAAAGAATCAGTGTGGCAGTTTGTAGAAAGTCTGATTGTGTTAGTGGGTCCAACATTTCAGGGAAATAGGCCCATAGAGTAACTTTCATATTTACATAGGAAAAAAATAGGAAAGCCTGAAATACCATGTCCAACTACCTGTTAAAATATACATATTACAGGTGTTGGGGAAGCACTGAATTTTAAAAATATGTCAGAACCAGACACCAAAATTTAGAGAGAATTTCCACGACCTTAAGTTTTTGGGGATGATTCAGTTAAAGAAATGCAGTTCTGGACTACGCGTGTTTTGCCCTCTCAACAGGAATTACCAGGATATTGTCAAGAGTGTAAGGTTTCTTCACTCTAGTATACAGCACTGCACTAACCACAAATCAGGCATTTACTTCCCTGGTTCCTTTAAACTACTACACTCTTATTTATAGTTTTTATTTTTTCCTTTTCCTCCTTTCTATCTTGTCTCTTCCTGCTTTCATTCAGATATTATAAATCACAGATAAAAATATAGTTGGAGAACAAAAATGGATTGGTAGCCCTATTGTATGCTCAGATAGCTAGGCACTTCAGGAAAAGCAGAAGTGTTGAGAGAAGAGTCTACAACAGTGCATAGTGAGGATATAGACTTCCATGTATTACACCTACATAGAAAATAGGTACAAAGGTTGGTAAAATGCTTATAATTATTGAAATTTGCTAATAGGTAGATGAATCTTCACTTATCATTCTCTATTTTGTATATATTTAGAATTTTTTATAATAAATATTTAAGTTAAAATATAAATACAGAATGCTTCTACTTTTTAATATGGTTACAAGATATGGTAGTTTTATTTGGAGAAAACTCCACATCCATCAGGAAAGCAGTGCTGGGTAAAGGCTAAGTCGGTACTGGGAATAGGTATAGATTATGTATATCAATCTCCACTTATGAAGAAAAATAAGAGAAGAAGGTCAGTACATCAATAATTGTACTTAACACTAAGTCTACATACAGCTCTTCTAATTTAAGGCTCAGTGAAAAGAACAATAGAAGTTGCCTATAGAAATTTTCTGAATCCATATGGATACACTTGTCTTGAAGCTTAGAAAATAAATGAGACTTTGCAATTTTTTCCATGAAAACCAGACAAAATTTTAGAAAACTTCCTGATGCCAGCCATGAAATACTAAGATGCATGGACTTGAAAAAAGAAGCTAGGATCAAGGAAATCATAATATGAGAAGAGGGTAAAATAAAGGCAAATATTAAAAGGGAAGCTTAATAAACTAAGACAAGAATGCAGTAACATCCAAAATGTAATAAATAGATGAACATATATGATAGAGTTGTAAAGAGAATTATACAAGCACAAATCAAATCAGTATGAATGCTTATTGTTTGAAATTTTATTGCTTTTATTATTCCTTCACATTAAGCACACCTCCATGTACCATTAATTACTACTTTAAGAAAATGTCTCTACGCATTTTGCTTTTAATGTCCATTGCAATATCCATATTCTAGAACCTTACCATTTCACCACTGACTCACGAAGGCAGCCATTTACCTGGTGTGAAACTTTAGTGCTTATTTGCATAACATCTTGTATTACTCCTTAACTGATTTATGATTACCATTACACATGATTTTGCCAGGGCAAATAACATTAAATTCTGATTTCATTATGACACTTTTCAATAACACTTGGAAACAAGGTCTTTTTAGCAAAACAGAAGACAGGCATATCTGGTTCTATGTCACCTTACAAGTCTACTCAAGGGTTATTTTATTTAATTTTCTAGGAGACTATACCTGTGTTTTACTTTGTATCTCTACTGGTATAGTGAAAAATCTTCAAATTACCTATAACCAATCAGGAAATGGAAGTCAGTGTCTGAAAGATACAATATTACGTTGATATTAATTACATTTTAAAACATACATAACAAAGTCTATAGAATAGGAATAATTTTCTCCTTACATCCCATATCCCTTGTTTTCAGAATTCCTGATATTAAATAGCTAAATTTCAAAAGGGCTTAGTTTTTGAGACTGAAAAAGTTCTAGTACTTGGTAGTATGTAAATCCATAATGCTAAATTTGTGCACAGGTTAAGTTTTTATTTCCTTGTAAACAGTTTAGCTTTGGTTTTGAAATGACAACTAAAGAACAACTACACAGTATTACCAACAAAAAGCACTACAGTTCTTACCCATTTTCCAAAGGCTAGTTTATAAATAAGATGTAAAACACGTGGCCAGGAGCGGTGGCTCACGCCTATAATCCCGGCACTTTGGGAGACCGAGGTGGGCGGATGACCTGAGGTCAGGAGTTTGAGAGCAGCCTGGCCAAAATGGTGAAACCCTGTCTCCACTAAAAATACAAAAATTAGCCGGGCCTGGTGGTGGGCACCTGTAATACCAGCTACCTGGGAGGCTGAGGCTGGAGAAACACTTGAACCTAGGAGGTGGAGGTTGCAGTGAGCTGAGATCGTGCCACTGCACTCCAGCATGGGCAACAAGAGCAAAACTCCGTCCCCCATCCCCCCAAAATTAAAACACTTCAAATTATACAGTTTCTTCATTGACAGAAATATATATAGCATCGATACCTTCACTATATGACTTGTAATTACAAGGAAATCTATTCACTCATAACTTTAATCTGGTATATTATCACACCCTGCATCTGTTCATTTTAAAATAAGCATGCTCATCAGACAGGTGTTATGGTTTCCAAATTGATTAGTAAAAGCACCTTATAGTCTGGTATAGTGTTTTATAGTTTGTGAATCTCTTTAAGAATTATTGTTCAATGTTTAGTTAGTATTAAATAAACATTTAACTATTGTATTTGTTAAGTATTATATTCTAATATTAAAAATATGATATTGGTGGTTACAATGGAAAATTTGGTTAGCTTTCTTCAGATACTAAAAGAAGACCCACATTAAAAGGCACTGCTGTAGTCACACATTTAATATATATTATAAGAATTTGACATATTTAGCCCCATTAGAACCCCATTATAGGAATCTAGAACATACTCTGAAATATATAAATAAGCCAATATTTTTTATTTCATCCTAAGTGAAAGTAACCATACATAATAGTTGGCTATTACTAATAGTGAATGTTTATAAATAACTACTATCAAAATAATTTTAGCAGTAACATTTAATATTAAAATGTACATTTAATTGAGAAATAGTGATAATAGCACTGTGTAACATTTCTATAGAACTTTGTATTTGAAATATTTTAACATTTTGTAGTATGTTATTTACTCCTCATGACTATCTGGGGAGATATTAGAGAAGGTACAGATGGATTTCATCAGAGTTTAAATTTAAGGTGTTTGAGGAGCAAGAATATGGTAACTTTCAGATGTGACTACAGCTCGCTAGAATAATTCTAATTGTCATGTATTATCTGATGTTCTAGTTAGGTATTTATCTGGTGATTTTAAAATATGCTAACAACTTCAGGCAATTTGAGGATTTCCAATGATTAATCCATTGGAGTAAGAATTCTAACAAAAGCCTTCCTCCCACACTTAACTAATTAGCTATATTGTGGGCATGGATATTGTGATCAGAAAAATAGAATGAAAGGGAGTTTTGTGCACATAATATTTTGGTAGCTAGAACTGGTCTGTATCAGTCGAATTAGACAACTTACGGAATTGTGGGCTAAAAAGTGTAAGAATCAGCCCTAAAATGATAATGAAATGACTTACTTCTATTGTGCTTACTAAAAATGAGTGTATGTGTGTATTCCTACTTCAATATGGCTTTATGAACTCAAAACATTACAGCTATAATAAAATATACAATGGTTCTTAACTACTCAAATTGCCAGTTTCTTATTCATTTGCAACACCCTACCAAGTCTATAATTACATTAATTTGTCTGCCTCTCGATTTTTCCATTTGAACAACTAGACTTTAGTTTGAATGTGTAATTCTCTATGGGAAGTTGAAAGTATCCTAGTGTTTTTGCCTTTCAGATAAAACAACATGATCAACTGACATTGAGTAAACCATTTCTAGATTTCCACAAGCAAGGAAAGTTGCTAAGAACAGAGACATCTGATACTCAAGGGTACAACATACTAAAATTGGGAATCCATTAAACCCCTTTTCTTTGACCTGTTAGTCTTTTTTTAAAAAAGACCATGAATACTATTGGTGATAATAATTGTTCATATAGCTCTCCCAAATCAACAAGTGAGTAAATAAAAATTTCATTCACAACATGCATGGTGTGATAGTGTTTTCTAAAATTTTGGTAGCTATTTTGGTTAAAGACATCAGCTCATACTAAAAATATTATCAAATTATGCAAAGACTTCCCAGCATTATTCTTTAATCAGGATAATCAAGTTTCTTCATGCTTGATCATTCAGTTGAAATCCCAGAAGTTCATGTTCAAAAGCTTTTTTTGTCATTCCCCAAAAATGTTTGCTCAGCAAGCTTCAGGTAATACTCTATTATTTTCTCAAGGACCTTTTCACTTCTTTTATCTTTTCACATTAAGCCCTATGAAAACTATAGTTTTAGGTGTAAATAAATGAGGTTGCCATTTGTAGAAATGATAGTTTCTTTTATTCTGAATTAGTTTTACTTCCATTCTATTTATTCTATGGTTTTCATATAGAAAAGGTATTGCAGCAAACATTTCGGGTGTTGAGGTTGAAAGGAAGTTTCAAACACACACACAAAATTCTGTTATCTTTGCAGTCAATGTATAATAGTTGTTCTGGCTTTCCATAGTCTAACACACAAACATAGTACCTGGGCAAAAAAAAATCTACTTTCCAAGATAAAATTTGCTGATTATAAACCAACCAAAGAAAATAATAAAAATCAACTTAACCTCTATTAACATAAACCAAAATTATGGCAGCCTTCCACCACCGAGTTGCACGGTGAAAATTTCCCTGGAGAAATTCCTTCACAAGCAAAGTTTCTGCTCTGTCTTTGCTCTTCAAATAGTTTCTTAGCATGAGCTTTGATGTAAATATTTCACTTATCAAAACATTCATGGACACAATTTCTCTTAATCGAACATATCCTAATTCAATACTGACTATAAGTCATATTCCAAGCCATAAGAGAGTACAGCAAATCAAAAGAATAAAGGAGCTATTGACAGTCTTTTTTGATGGGGACACAAACTATGAGCTGAAGAGAGTCACGTTCCACTTAGAAAGTAGAACAGCTGTAGGAGACATATGGAACTGCTGTGGAAGAGAAGCTGCCTGGTTCATGGAGTGAGATCCTAATCAAAGTGATTGATGCTGGATAAGATGCAAAAATTCAGCAGATTCTCTTCTGAGGAGAGATGCTCTGCAGATAAGTACAAAATGCTCTAATGAATGAGACAGACTGTAGTACCTGGAATGCCCCTAGGATAAATGTTAATTTTAATTGAATGTTATATTAGCCACAAATCACTTTTTTAGTACTAAATATAAAACACAAAGAGAAAATATTATTGAGGTTTCCATATTCAGAAATGTATATATTGGAACTGCAATTCATAATGTATTCATGCAAATGAGCATTTCAAACAGAGATGTGACATTTTACCTGGGAATGGGTGTAAGTGTATTTTCTTCCCCTTTTTTTTATTTTAAGATGGAATCTCACTCTGTCGCTAGGCTGGAGTACAGTGGTGTGATCTCAGCTCACTGCAACCTCCGCCTCCCGGGTTCAAGTGATTCTCCTGCCATAGCCTCCCGAGTAGCTGGGACTACAGGTGTGTGCCACCACGCCCAGCTAATTTTTGTATTTTTGGTAGAGACGGGGGGGTTTCACCATGTAGGCCAGGATGGTCTCGATCTCCTGACTTTGTGATCCGCCCACCTCAGCCTCCCAAAGTGCTGGGATTATAAGCGTGAGCCACTGCGCCCGGCCTCTTTCCTATTTTTAACATTATGATTTCAGTCATTTTTCATGGACAGAAATACTTAGTAGCCACATAAAGGAAGGTAATAATAAACAACTTCTAAGTCCTGGTCGTCATTTACATAACGTATCTGAATATTTAACATATAATTCTATCAAAGCTTAAATAGGGAACAGGGTTTTGAGAATGATCAGGTAATACCAAATGTTGATTCACGGTGATTATTTTAAATATTTGACTTCTACTTCTATTCCTAGAAGCTAGCTCTGCTAATAGTCTCCAAGTCTCTACTCAGATCTATGCCATTCTGAATGATCCATCCAGCTAGGAGCTATTTAATAAATGTGAATCAGTCATAAAAGTAGGCTAAACAGGCCGCGCACGGTGGCTCATGCCTGTAATCCCAGCACTTTGGGAGGCCGAGGCGGGCGGATCACCTGGGGTCAAGAGTTCGAGACCAGCCTGGCCAACATGGTGAAACCCCATCTCTATTAAAAATACAAAAAATTAGCCAGGCATGGTGGCAGGTGCCTGTAATCTCAGCTACTAAGGAGGCTGAGGCAGGAGAATCACTTGAACCCAGGAGGCCGAGGTTGCAGTGAGCCGAGATTGTGCCATTGCACTCCATCCTGGGTGACGAGCGAAACTCTGTCTCAAAAAAAAGAAAAAAAAAGAAAAAAAAAAAGTAGGCCAAACAAACATGATCTGCTTCAAACCACAATAGTTCACTCCCAAGACTCTGGGTTAACCACTTCATTAGATTATATTGCTACCCTTGTGGTCCATTAGTATAGATTATCAAAGACTAAAAAATGTATAAGCCCAGGAGACTTGAGTAAACTGCATTAGGTAAAAATAAGCTATAAATCAAAAGAGAAATGGATAAATGTGCTATGTGAATATCATGATGAGGTCATCATTTTTATTTTAATCATTGGATACTAAACAGATCTTAAAAATGAGCCATCAGTTTACCTAGACATAATAACCAAGAAATAAAATGAGATTCCTTTGGCACTTTAATTGTCCTAAAGTGCACACCGCTGCGAGGATAGAAATTACCCCACGGGTATAATTTTGGAGGTTCAATTAATGTTTTCAGATCAGTAAGCTATAACTTCTCAAACTAACATGGTCATTTATGTAAGTGGATCTTATTTGCTTGAAATAGTTAATGTGTTAATTTCATTTAATTTATAAAAAAACTAAAAACCAAAAGTTTCTGCTCAGATGTATCAGATTTTAAAATGCTCTTACGGGCTTAAAATAACAAATAATTTTTAAGCTTCAGAATGGTTGAAGTGCCATGTCTACTAAGAAATGAGCATCAGGAAAAATAGTTAATGCATGATGGGTTTAAGACCTAGGGGATAGGTCGATAGGTAGAGCAAACCAGCATGGCACATGTTTACCTATGGAACAAACCTGCACATCCTACACATATACCCTGGAACATAAAATAAAATAAGATAAAGAAATACTTTCTTCATGTCTGAAAATGAATAACAGTTCACAAAGAAAAGAAGAAAATTTGGTGGAAGTAATATTGTGCATTCTATTAAAATGTGCCATAAAGTTAATCCTCTGTTAATATCAGTGCCCAGCATTACTCAAAGAAATTTACAATAAACACGTATATGAAAGATTTAAACTAAATCAGCACCAGTATATTATTGATGTGAAGTGTTGTGGTAATTGTAAGCTACAGAAGAATGCATATGACAATGCCCAAATCCTTATTGTTAATAAATAAATAAATAAAACAAGAGATCTCCTTTCCTACCACTTTGTGATTCAAGGTCAGTTGCAAATTAACCCATTTTCAATAATATTAATTATCCTCAGGTACAAACTTGAAAATAAATAGAAGCAATGATTCTAACTAGAGACTGACCAAAATTCTATGTCTAATGAGTTCATGTCCATATTAAAGCATCAGTTTCTATGGTTTCTGATACAGTACTATCTATACTAAAGGTATCAATTTTTAGCAAAAAAATAACAAATAGTTTATCAACAGTTTGTCTTCTGGATGTAAAATGGAAAAAGTCTAGGCCAAATGGCAATACAGAGTGGTAAATGATTCCTTGAAACAACGTTCTTATTTACGTGAACTAAATTAACTCCTTGAAACACCTCGATTAATTACTCAAGTGAGTTTATTGTAATTTGCCCAAGGTAAATCATTTTATGATTAAATCTATCCTAAAATAGACATGGGAAGTCATATACATGCATCTAAATTAGAATGCCAATTTCTCGTAAGTTAAAAAGTCAATCTAATAGCATAATGACTTATAAGCTATACACTGTGTTTATACAAAACAATGAATCTTTAAATTTAATGTATGTTTCATGTCAGTTTATTTATTTTTCTAATTTTAACCATGTGAACAAATTTTAAACATTATCCTCCTACAAATTTTAGTTGTTTTGAGAAAAAGAAAAAACAAACAGGAAAATTGTATTTTGCTTCTCAAAATAAAGTAGGACATAGCTTTGTTTTCTCACTTGTCTAAGCCATGTTATTTTTACTATTTTTAGTATAGCGCACTCAATACTATAATTTGAGAGAATGTCAGTACCCATCCAATATTACTGAGTATGTTTTTCAAGTCCTATTGATAGTGCATTTGACATTGATAACTAGAGCAAGAATTAGGAACGTGGCTACATTTTCAGCTCTAAACTTTGCATTACACCTACGATAATGTGAACCATAGTCTGACAGATAAAACATGTTCTGGAAGTTACTGAATTATATGGATAGAATTATAGGCTCTTATCTGGACTTTCATTAGACTTCATAGGTAAAAACAAAGCAAGACATCAAAACTACAAGTAAAATAGCTGGAAAAAAATTGCACTGAGGGGAACATTCAGTAGGAAAAGGAAATATATATTATATTTATAGAAAAACAAAACTGAGGAATAGTAAAGGTTCCACACAGTTTCTCAAATGTGGTATGAGTTAAAATAATTTGACAGATTTCCACCTATAATGCTAAATACTTATATTTAGGTAACTGGAAAACATTTTGAAAGGCTAAATATTGAAT
Organism: Homo sapiens; assembly: GCF_000001405.40. Classification (NCBI taxonomy): domain Eukaryota; kingdom Metazoa; phylum Chordata; class Mammalia; order Primates; family Hominidae; genus Homo; species Homo sapiens. Next base: position 29,055,042 of record NC_000023.11, on the reverse strand, counting down.
ATGTGTAAATATAAACTATGCTACATACTATTGAACACTGGTCTGCACATGTATTTGACCTAGTCCAATTTACTACTAGTCTGCCTTTCAATCACATTTAGTCATTCTTCCATTTGTTCAACAAGTATTTATTAATGTCCTATTAAGTATTGTGTACTATTCTACATTTTGAAGATAAGGCAACAAAAGGAACAGATACATTCCTGCTCTCATGGAACTTACGTTGTAATGGATAAAGACAGAAAATAAAATAGTATGTCACGTGTGTCGAAAAAAAATAATTTGGGAGGCCACTAGGCTGAGATGGCTCCAGTGCCCTGGGTTCCTATGTAGACAAACCAAAACCCAATTCAGTGTAAACATTTAACTTAATCTGAAACTGCCAACTAATTTCTAACTAGGGACTTTCCACTTCAATAAATCAAATATTTTCTTTGTCTTGCTTCCTAGAACACCTTACAAAAATTTTCCTCTCACACCTTCTTGGTGGAGCCCATACAGCTTGTGATTTGGTGCTGCCTAATTTATGAATCAGTCTGCTCAAATAAAATCTTTAAATGTTTAATGAGCTCAGCTTTATCTTTTAACAGGTGGTGGTAAGCGATATGCAGACAAAGCGTAATAAGGAGACTGAGGGGTAAGTGGGAGGCAGCGGTATTTGGTTTCGGATAGTCAAGAAAGGCCTCTCTGATGAGACTGAATAAAGTGAGGGAGCAAACTCTGAAAATGAATACCTTGGAGAAGAACATTTCAAAAAGAGGGAATAGCAATTTCAAAGCTTCTGAGCAGGAGAACAATAGTATATTGAAACACAGTGAGGTGGGTGGTATAGCTGGTGTAGAGGGGGAAGAGAGAAGTAGAGGTGATGCTCTCAGTCAGGTAAAGGGGGCAAGTCTTTCTATATGTTACACAGAATTTGAATTTTGATCTAAGGGAGATGGAGAGAGACATGATAAGATTTGGAAACAACATTAGCGTCCATTAACAGATGAATGAATAACAAATGTGGTATACATACATAATGAACTACTACTATCCAGCCTTAAAAAAGAATGAAAATCTGCCATTTGCAACAACATGGATGAATCTAGAGGACATTATCCTAGGTCAAATAAGCCAGGCACAGAAAGATAAATACCAGCTCAGAAATAAAGCTGCACTCCTACAATTATCTGATATTCGACAAAGTTGAAGAAAACAAGCAATGGAAAAAAGGACTTTCTATTCAATAAATGGTGCTAAGATAACTGACTAGCCATATGCAGAAGACTGAAACTGGACCCCTTCCTTACACCATATACAAAAATCAACTCAAGATGGATTAAAGACTTAAATGTAAAACCCCAAACTATAAATTCCTGGAAGACAACCTAGGCAATACCATTCTGGACAGAGGAACGGGCAAAGATTTCATGATGAAAATTCCAAAAGCAACTGATCTCACACTAGTCGGAATGGCTATTATTAAAAACTCAACAGGTGCTGTTATTTATTAAAAATAACAGGTGCTGGCAAGGTTGCAGAGAAAAAGGAACACTTATATACTGTTGGTAGGAGTGTAAATTAGTTCATCCATTGTGGAAAGCAGTGTGGTGATTCCTCAAAGAACTAAAAACAGAACTACTAATTGACCCAGCAATCCTACTACTGGGTATATATCCAAGGGAATATAAATCCTTCTATCATAAAGACATATGTATGTGTATGTTCACTGCAGCACTATTTACAATAGCAAAGATGTGGAATCAACCTAAATGCCCATCAATGGTAGACTGGATAAATAAAATGTGGTACTTATACAACGTGGAATACTATGCAGCCATAAAAAAAGAACAAATCATGTCCTTTTCAGGAACATGGATGGAGCTGGAGGCCATTATCCTTAGCAAACTAACAGAGGAACAGAAAACCAAATACCACATGTTCTCACTTATAAGTGGGAGCTAAATGATGAGAACCCATGAGCACATAAAGGGGAACAACACACACTGGGGCCTATCAGAGGGTGGAGGATAGAAGCAGGGAGAGGATCAGAAAAAATAACTAATGGGTAGTGGGCTTAATACCTGGGTGACAAAACAATCTGTACAACAAACCCCCATGACACAAGTTTATCTATATAAGAAACCTGCACATGTATCCCTGAACTAAAATAAAAATTAAACAACATGGAGAAACCCTGTCTCTACTAAAAAATACAAAAATTAGCCGGGCGTGGTGGCAGGTGCCTGTAATCCCAGCTACTCAGGAGGCTGAGGCAGGAGAATCGCTTGAACCCGGGAGGCGGCGGTTGCAGTGAGCTGAGATCATGCCATTGCATTCCAGCCTGGGCAACAGAGCAAGACTCCATCTCAAAAAAAATTTTTTTAAAAGATAAATATTGAATGATCTCACTTACACGTGTAATCTGAAAATTCAAATTCAGACAAGATAAGAGTAGAGTGGTGGTTACCAGAGGCTGAGGTGGGTGGGGGAGGGTAGGAAAAGGGGAAATGTTGGTCAAAGGGTACAAAATTTCAGTTAGACAGAAAGAATACATTCTGGTGATCTATTACACAACCAGGTGACTATAGTTAGTAATAATGTATTGTATACCTCAAAATTGCTAACACAGGGAATTTTAAATGTGAAGATGGTGGCTTTAACTGGGTGCTTGTAAGAGAGGTACGAGAAATGACTGAATTCTGGACATACTGTGGAGGTAAAGCTAAGAGGATTTGTTGATGGTTAGGGTGTGAGGTGTGAGAGGAAGGAGTTAAACCCCAAGATTTTCCCTAGGAGTAACTAGTGGGATGGAATAGACATCCTCGACACAGTGAAGACTGCAAGAAAAGCAGGTTTAACAGAAATAAGGAGTTCATGTTCATTTCTCTGAACAAAAAGATAAATATGTTTGATTTGGTATAGTTCATAAAAATACAGAATGGAAGCTGTGTGAAAAATTTAATAGAGGTGCTAAATTCCCATTTAAATTGGGACATACCTTTCTTTACTCCTGATATGGAGGGAATATATGGAAGGTGTCCATAGAGTCTCACTCATTTGGAAACATGGAATCACAATATCACCTTTTTACACATATAGTGAGAAATCTGAGCAAAGAAATAATGTTTTCCATTGCTTGCCACCGCTAAAAGAGAGCCGAAAATACAGGATGCTGGACAAAAGTCAATTAATCACAACTACATGTATTATAGGCCACAGACATAGCGTCACATGACACCAAGAAGGTGGCCATTTGGAATATCTGAATAAAGCCTACTTATTGATCCTTCCAAAGTGTTAAACACTGGCAGGAAGTCTGACTTCCAAGTATTTCACATACGTCTGAATGATAAGCACTTTATAATTACAACCAGGTAACTTAACATCAGAGAAACTTAGGATTTCAGAGTTGGAAAGCAGCAAAAGGTAGCCAAGGTTTCTACCCTGCCCAATGAAGACACTTGCTACGTGATCCCCAGCCGGATTGCTTTCTATCTCCTCTTCAGGTATTTTCTTATGGTTTGTGAAGTTTCCTTTTCAATACTTTTACATAAAAGCACGAATAGTTTTCATAAGAGAAAATGCTCACTTTCCGACATATGACAAACACTTTTCCAAGCATTCTAGCCTCCTGGAAGAAAATTCTGCATTAAACAGAAAAGTATGATCTAGGACATGGCACCAAGGAAAATGCCTTGTTGTAGTAAGAACTCAACCTGTGTGGGATTGGAAACCAGGAGAATCAATGTTGAGTCCATAACACCATTTTGGAGTAATTTTTTCATTTTTTAAAATGAAAGGAACACATCTCATAACGCTTTTATTTTCCCTCAATATTCTTACTTCAGGCAAAGATATCGACACTGTTATGTACATGCTTACCTACAACACATGTTCCGGTTTGACAGAGAGGGATTATCATTTAATGCTATTGGTGTAGAAATTCTGATATTGCTATATGTCATAATATGACCTTCCAAAAAACATGTATAAGTATCTGTGTAGACACAGTCCACTACCAAACAATTTTGGAATGTTTTTCTATGGTGTTATTTAAAGATATTATTCCTGTAGTATAACCTGAGACTGATCTATTCCTAGAATTCTAAAAGCACATGTGGAAAGTGGCATTACTTTTTTCATTGATTCTCAAACATGCAGAGACTATCAGGGTTTCCAAGTTTTCTTCCTTTGTACATGGATTGCTTTTCAGATTCAAATGAGCACTTTCTCCTGACAAATAAAGCACTTAAATGGAGTGCCAGCACACCTTCTTTGAGAAGCAAGACAAAGGGCAGAATCAACGAGCCCGTAATTTCAGAACACCTTAAGGTTCACAAAATTGTGATTGTGCAGTTCAGAAAATTAACATGGCCAGCTTCCTGAAAAATAATGGCAAACAGTTAAGTAAAACTAACAGCTAACATCTTCCAGAAATTTGGTGTGACCGAGATACTGTGCTAAGCATTGCCATATGAGGTAAGTAAAATGATCATTCCTGCTTCACAGTTGAGTGATCTGATACCAATAAATATGAGTTAGTATGTAGTGTGTCAAGATTCAAATTTAGAAATTATAACTCAATAATAACATAGTGATTATGAGCTTTAGGTCTATAACCAGACCCTCTGGATTCAAGCACCCAGGCCTTCAAATTACTCAACTGTTCTCTCCCTCAGTGCCTCATCTATAAAAGAGAATCATAATAGTACCGTCTTATAGGCTGTTGTGAAAAGTGGATGAGTTACCCATAACCAAAGTCCAATCATCGGAAGAACAGCAGGCAAACTCAAATGAAAGGATATCCTATGCAATACTCAATCGGTAATCTTCAAAAGTGTGATAGTCATGCCGGGTGTGGTGTATGCCTATAGTTGGAGCCACTAGGGACACTGTGGCAGGAAGATTGCTTGAGCCCAGGAATTCAAATCCAGCCTGGGGAACACAATGAGACTCCATCTCTGAAAAAAATAGTGTGATAGTCATGGAAAACAAGGAAAGACTGAGAAACTCTCACAGATCCAAAGAGGTGAAGGAGATATGACAATTAAATGCAATATGGATCCAACAGGGATTGGATCCTGAAATAGAAAAAGAACATTAGTGGAGAAGCTGGTGAAATCCAAATGAAGTCTGGAGTTTAGTTTACAGTAATTTATCAATATTAATTTCTTAGTTTTAACGAATGTACCACAGTTGTATAATACGTTAACATTGCATTTAGCAAAATTGGATAAAAAATGTATGAGAACTCTGTATTATCTTTGCAATGTTTTTGTAAAACTAAAATTAATTCAAAATAAAAAGTTTATTTTAAAAAGTTAATCAGTTTAATTAATATATGTGAAACAGAATACTGTCAGGCACATAATGAGTGCTAGATAAATATGAGCTATCAGTAGCAGAAGTACTATGTGCTAGTCAATGCACCCATAAGAGAAGAGACAAGAAAGTAATTACAAAATGTCCCATGGGTAAGATTGGGCAGTTTGTTTTCTGCAATTGCAGGACTGAAGGTCAAATATGTACGGAACAGAAAATGAAAGGGTCAGGGCTCCCTATCTTCACGGTTCCATTGCACCACTCTTCTTACCTCACCCTCCTTACTCTAATTGTCTGCTGAGATATGTAGTCATATTCTCTTTGCCTGCCATTAAAACTTAGGGCTATTGTAAAAATATGGTTTTTTGTGCCACCTCATTGAAAGCAAAATGCTTTAAAACACTGGATGATGGATAACCTTAAAAGGCAAAATGTGACTTGTTAGAAAGAAGCGGAGGGAACATTATACCAAGGTTGGTGAATGTGTTCTGTGTATGGCAAACTGCTTTGAGTTAGCTTGCCATCAGGCCAATAAAACGGTCTGAAAAGAAATTTGGAAGCTTTGTGGGATGCATGTTACCTTCTGGAAAGCTGTGGTAGCACATGCAGAGTTGCAGTGACATGTCTTGCAATGCATGCTAGGTTTTAGACAGATTGCTAGAAAAGCATGTGTCACAAACACCCTATCATATCTTCACCATTTGTAAAAGAAGCATATCAATGTTGAAAGTAATAGAGCATTGAGAATGCACTCCATACTTACTGAACAAATACTATATTTCGTCTATTCTAAGACATACATTCTAAACCCATTTTAATATCTCTGAAATCAAGATATAACTTATGATCAACAACATCATTGTTAATTTGGCAGCATTTCTTTTCTTCCTTTGTGGTTCATAAAAGAGTGATGCATCTTGAAATTAATAGCATCTTACATTTGATAAAAACTGGTGAGGCCAATCCCTCATGCTTTTCATATAAGCTGGTACTATTATATTTAGAACCAATATAGAACCACTCAGAAGAAAACATTTGATGCATATTGTATTTGTGAATGACTTCCAGTTTTGTCTTACACACAGGATTGGTGTCCTTCCCTAATTTTCCTCTCTATCTAAACATTAATAGAGCAGAAAAATTGCAATTGATAAGATATGCAGAATCAAGAAATATGATGAACACTTTTTTCTCAACAAGTAGACTAAGTAGGTTGATAGTAAATAAAAGATTTGTATGCTAAAATTGGAATCACATGGAGAAGCATATGTAAAAGCCTGTGAAAGACTCCTTGAGCACCAGGATACTAATATTCAACATCTGATACCTACACTCAGAGACTTGAAGTAATTATCATTGAAATAAGTCATTGATGAATGGAAGTTTTGGCATAGAACACTAATAAAATATTTGGCTAGGAATTCTAGCACCTTTATACAAAAGAAACCATATTTATTAGTAGGATGGTGGCTTTGATTCAAAAACTTATCTTGGATGGTTTAGTTTACTTGGTGTTATGTAGTAAGTTGAACTACATTACATACATAATTCATTCTTCATTAATTTATTCATTCATTCATAGAATGAGACACTAATATGGGCTGGCACATTAATATGTGACATTAATACGTGGTAGAAGATGGTGACAAACACACATACACGTAAAAGTTGCAGGAGTGCTTCCCTCATGGAAGATAACAGTTCTCTTAAGGAATGGGACAGGGAAGGAAAGGGGAGTGAATGAAAAAGAGATACATACATAGTTCCAATACAAGGGTGGTATGTAATGCATACGTCAAAAGAATTAAAACAAATTATGTAAGAGATTATAGGGGGGGAAGTGCCCAATTCAGTTAATGAGGAAAACTTTAAAAAAAGGTTGAATTTAGGAGGCTGAGGCAGGAGGATCGCTTGAACCCAGGAGGCAGAGGTTGCAGTGAGCTGAGATCACACCACTGTACTCCAATGCAGGCGACAGTGTGAGACTCCATCTCAAAAAAAAAAAAAGGTTGAATTTATATTGAATGGTTAAAGATGTATGCCTCCATTAAACATTACTTGGGCTCTGTGGTCACAGGTAGTTTCAGATGTTCACTGTTCATACTTGTCTAGTTTAAGAAGTGTTAGCTAACCTTACCCTTGGTCCCAAATCCTTTCCAGTCAGAGACTTTTAGCAACAGATGTCTTTGCCATTTTGAAAATGCCAATAATAAATGTATCTGTAATTCTCAAGAGGTTTATCTTAACAGATCCACAGCAAATGAGAAGTTTTCATCCATGGCAGCATTTGACAATATGCTATCTGTGTTGTAACATTGCTACAGATTGTTAGTGTGCATTTTCAGCCATAAGTACAAGACACATCAGTGAATACCTAAAAATCTGTAAAATCAATTAATGAGGGATAGTGGCAGTTGCATGATATCATATTGTCATTCTTCAAACAGCTGTGGTTTGGCTTGAAAGAACCTCACTACATAGCTTTTTGTTTTGTTTTACTTGCCCCTGCCATTCTTCATTAACACATCATGTAGAGACAAGTCTTTATTTAGAATGTCCCTTTTGATGGATTAAGAATGTATTTGAAATGAAAGACATTCTGAAAACTGCATAACCAATTTTTATTTTTTTACTTAAAAGTAGTAGCAGCCAAGCAAAACTAAGAGGCCCAAGCCATGTGGGTGTATGGAGGTTATACTGCAGGGCATGAGGATTCAATTCCAGAACCTTCCATCCAGAAGTTCTGGGTTCTTGGATACATCCTTTGGTATATCTTAACTTCGGTGGGTTTTGTAAACTGAAGTAAAGGGTAGTTTCTTCCCCCTTTATCTTTAAATGGCAGCAATTAGTGAGACAGGAAGATGGCTGTGAGCACTTTAGCCATTCAAGCCTATTGAGCTGATGAATGATTATGGGTCTTCCTTTTGCCAGCAGCAAGTTTTCCTCCATTTTAGGACAATCGAAATCAATGATGCTGTAATTGCCATGCTCCAGAGGTGGTAGGCAGACAGATAATCTGATGACACCAATTTCTGTAACTGACAGTGCTGAGTAAGACCAAAGCCAATCACTGATTCTGGAACTGGAGGTAGGGGCAGGATGGCTAGCTTATCTGACTCTGTCATAATGTATGAATTCAAATCTCGGTTCTGTGGCTATATGATTCTGGGTAAGTTACTTGGCTTATTTAAGACTTGGTTTTGACACCTAGAAAATAGAGTGATTCATTGGATTATTCTTCTGAGGATTAAATAGGCTCTCTGTGACAAAGTGCTTAGCCTGGCATACAATGAGTGCTTAATAAACATGTGTTGCTATTGCCCTCTATCCCTGTTCATATCCATGTTTCACAAGTACATCACTCTGAAGACAAATCCAATGATATGGCCACTTGGGAACCCTGCAATCCCAGGGCTTTGGGAGGCCAATGCAGGAAGATCGCTTGAGGCTAGGAGTTCAACACCAGTCTGGGTAACATAGTAAGGCCCCATCGTCTCTAAAAAGAATTTTTTTTTTTTTAATTAGCTAGTTGTGGTGACACATGCCTATAGTCCCAGCAACTCAGGAAGCTGAGACAAGAGGATTGATTGAGCTATGGAGGTTGAGGCTGCAGTGAACCATAATTGCACCCCTGCTCTCCAGCCTGAGTGGCAGAGCAAGGCCATGCCTGAAGAAAAAGAAGGAGGAGGAGGAGGAGGAGGAGAAGAAGAGGAAGAAGAAAAAGAAGCAAGAAGAAGAAGGAGGAGGAGGAGGAAGAAGGAGGAGAAGAAGGAGGAGGAGGAGGAGGAGGAGGAAGAAGGAGGAGGAGGAGGAGGAAGAAGGAGGAGGAGGAGGAGGTGGAGGAGGAGGAAGAAAAATTTAAAAAATAATCTTTAAAAATGGCTACAGGAGTAACTGGAATTTAGGAACATGACAGACTAGTATGCAATAAGTAGCATGTCAAAAGCCAACCTAAACAACAACAACAAAAAACTAGAAGGCCTATGGTTTTAAAATGTGTTTGTAGACTGGGCATGGTGGCTCATGCCTGCCTATATGCCCAGCTCTTCCCAGCTCTTTGGAAGGCTGAGGTGACCCAGTCTTTACAAAAAATAATTTTAAAAAATTAGCCCGGCAAGTGCCCATGCCTGTAGTTCTAGTTACTTGAAAGGCTGAGGCAGGAGGATCCCTCGAGCCTAGGAAATTGAGGCTACAGTGAGCTATGATTGTACCACTGCACTCCAGCCTGGGTGACAGAGCAAGATTATGTCTCAAAAAAATGTGTTTCCAAATGAATATGTACATGTACGATGAAAAGAAACCTAATAAAGAACAATATTTTTACTTGGCAATTGCATGCTCTGTCAGCAAAAGAACTTGTGTTGGTTTGTATTGCCATGTTTTCATTTACTCATTTAGTTACCATATTTTGGAAAGCCGATAGTGAAATAAAAAGTACAGTGAATTCTGAACTGGATATCAGGCCCAGAGACGCTTGCAGTTGAAGTATCCAAGTTAAAACAAATCTTTTGCTTCTGTATTGTGCTCAATATCCATCGTATGTGGTTATAGGAAAGGCTTTGAGTCCTGACTGTCCCACTGCATTATGATCCACCGTGACAGCAGTAGCTAAATAAGGTACCTTGGACCTCTCGAGTTTTCCTGTCCAAGTTTCATCTACCATTTTTCAATCACTAACATTGAATGCTCCTTCTATTGAGCTGCCTCTAGAGGGCAAAACAATCCCTATATAAAAAATATTTAAGTATTTATTAATCACATACACACACACCCATGCACACAGCCTGCCGGAGATTGGAAAACTACCACATGTCAAATACATTACAGGCAATCTTGTCATTCATGAGAAAAATAATAAATGTACTAGCTAATCATGAAAAGCAATAGAGAATAAGAGGTCTTCTGGTAATATTAGTTCATTTCCACTGCTAAACTTCCACTGTGGGTGTTAACAAGTTTCAAGACTTATTTTGTTTTCATTGCCCCATTTTTAAAAAATCTATTACATGTGGATAACACCAAATGCCGCCCACCTAGCCCCCTAGCATTCGTTATGAAGATTAATAGAACAGTACTGGGCAGGATTTTCCATTACTCTGAAGAAATAAGATCTGCAAATACAAAAGAACATTATTAATGTGTATATGTCACGGGTTGGCTGGAAGAGTCTCTGTAACTGGCCACATATTAATCATTAGGGATTAAAAAAAACAGAGCAATGAGATCTTTATGTTGTTTTTTTTAACCTTATAATAGGAAAAATCATCATAAATATCTTTTTATTTATTTATTTATTTATTTGTTTAGAGACGGAGTCTCACTCTGTTGCCTAGGCTGGAGTGTAGTGGCGCGATCTTGGCTCACTGTAACCACCACCTCCCAGGTTCAAGTGATTCTCCTGCCTGAGCCTCCTGAGTATCTGGAATTATAGGCACCTGCAACCATACTCGGCTAATTTTGTATTTTTAGTAGAGGTGGGTTTCACCGTGTTGGCCAGGCTGGTTTTGAACTCCTGACCTCAAGTGATCCACCTGCCTTGGCCTCCCAAAGTGCTAGGATTACAGGCATAAGCCACCACGCCCAGCCCATAAATATGTTTTAAATGATTTCTGTAACAGAACTTCTAAGACCTTAAAAAAAAATTTCCTTCAAAGTTCCATCTGGTTGTTATTGTAATAAAAATCCTTTGTCTAATTCAGCTTATTCAATTGTCTCAACAGCCTTGCATTGCTATAACCCAGGGGAGCCGTCTGTCAGCAGACATATTCCAAGCTCCAGAAAAATAAAACTTAAAACATGATACCCTCTAAGCTCCCCTGAGATGAGTATCAGCTTGACAGCTTACAAGATGTCTGGGTTTGTTTCCTCCACTAACCCTGTCAGAAACCAAGGGGAGCTCGAAATTAAATAAATAAAAGCCCTATTAAGCCAAAGCACGTCACATTGAATAGTTAGTTTTATGGTCCCATTGGGTATCTTTACATTCACTTTCAATTTGCTATTATTCTTTTAATGGATTACAGGAGGGTTCAGATCCATAGATTAGCCAAGCCAATGAAGGTCATTGGCATTCTGACACAGTTGGGTGTTCATGAAATAAAGGAGAACGCATGGGATGAATTCATGATTCATGCCCAAATGAAGACATGCCATGTAGGGGGAAATATTTTTATAACAGTGGTAAGCTTTGACACCTCCATGCATGGATTCCAGTCAGGGCTTTAGACCCTTTATTAGACAGTGAAAAACGTTAAAAAGAACTGGTGGACTCGGAAAAAAAGTTAAGTGACTTTATGACGTGTCATTATTTCAAGACATAATTTGCTGGATTTAAGGCCCTGAAAAAAAAAGATCACATCTGGCCACACCCTTGGTAAGAGAGGTAGGTTACTCTGAATAGGAAGAAGAATGGATGAATTAAAAATGAGGATAGGGGATGGATTTTCAAAAGGGGGCAAATAAACTAGATTTCATGGATAAAGAGATCACAAACATAAAAAGATCTGAAGCCAATATAAGGTACTATGGCAGCCATAGAGAAATGTAAGTATTTCACACATCATCACAATGTTGGTGTCTTAGTCAAGGGTGTTATGTTGCTTGGTGAGCACCTCTGATTCCTTTTAATATCATGCCTCAGATGGAACTGCCTTAGGAAGAACAGGTGTGTGACAGCCATGAGAATATTTATATCAATTTTCCTAGTACAACCAGGACAGATGTGTGATCTAAGGCAATTTTTAGCTTTAAATTAAATGATTTGTAAGAAGTTTTTTCTTTTGTTTGGAATCAAAACATCAATTAAAAATCTATATACACTTTCCCTACATTTTCGTAGAAAGTCCAAGTAGTTATTAATTTTCTCCATGACTTATTACTATTGCTATCTATGGTAAAGTGAAAGCAAGTTTATTAGAGAAGTAAAGAAACAAAAGAATGTCTGCTCCATAGGCAGAGAGCCAATTTATTATTTTTATACATAACAGTAAGATAATCTGCAGAGAAATGTCCATTTTTATGTGTGTTCTGTAATATATACAAATCTAGAAAGGGAAAGGAGGAACGCTTTTGTCTTCTGTTGTTCTCCAATTCAATAAAACTTTTCCTACAAAAGATGAATAATATAATATAATTACGCTTACAATGAGGGCTGAAAATGTACAGGTCACTTTACTAGTTATTTTATATGCATGAGCTCATTACATCCTCAAACAGGTCTATTCATATGTTATATATGATAATCTGCTAATAGGGAGTTTAAGAGTCTTCCCCAAATTACAAAGTCATTGAACACACTTATATGTGCCTTCAAAGTCAATCTGAAAATGTCTTTAATGTTCCTTGGAGTCATTCTTACAACAGTTTCTAGTTCCAATGGGAACTAGAGAAGAGTGGGGCCTAGCCACAGTTAAAACTTTTATGTGTCCAACTAGTAGTTGTCTTCCTGAAGAAACAAGTGAAAGGAAATCTTTGAGAGGCACTGATGAGATACCAAGTTCCATTCAGTCTTAGTTACCAAATTCATTGGGCCTCTATGGAATAAGAACAATCTGGAATATCTAAATATAGTTGTTCTGCTCATGGCAGAAATAGGCATGTGGGCCTATGTTCTGAGCTCCAGCTAGTAGGGGTAAACTGGTAAAATGAAAATTGATATCTTTTGGGGGAAGAAGGAGAAGATGAAGCTCATGTTTTATCAGAGACACTACAAATTAGGTTTCATTTCTGATACTGTCCCAGGAAGACATTGTAAACTCGGGCTCATATTTGTTCTCATTTCCTTTCTCCCCCTCTTAGCTATTACTGCATAGAAGGAAAACTAGAAATCACTTGTTCCAGCTCATTGATTTTCGATAAGGAGGATATTATTATCTACTTTTTACAGATGAGATGACAGAATGTCCGTGCTTTAGTGAACAGCTCATTGTGACAACAATTATACTGTACTGGAAACATACTGTTATCATAAAACTGTCATCTTTTTGGCTGAACCTAAGTAGGTGTTCAGTAAATGTTTGTAGAAGAAATAAAGAACTAATACACGGTATATGGGTTATTAGAATTCCCATCATCTCAACTCCATCTTCTTTGTCATCATTTTCTCCTTCAGCACACTGTCACTTACTTATTGCCTAGTCTATACTGTTTCTGTCTTTGTTACCAGAAATGCAAATGAAGACAAACTGACAATGAATCTTGAAAGTACTTTAAAACAACACATCATCGTTTAACTGTAAAATTTTCTGCTCGGTTGCTTGTATAAATTGTATAAATTGAGATAAACTAGACTATAAGCTCCTTAGAGGCAGGATATCTTTCTCAAGTCTGTAAGCTGTATCAGTGGACCTAGCATGAGGTCCAGCAAATACTCATAAATAAAAGTTGGTGGCTACATGCAGACAAAGAGTACCAGATAGCAGCAATAAAGTTGAGAGTAAATTCCACCCCCCTGCCTGCAGATACGTCCCATGGGATCTCAGGGAAAGCAGATTAAGATTTGAGATAGGCTTCCAATGTTCTCTACATCATATGCCTTTTTATAAGTGAAAAGAATGAGTTTTTCCTTAATACTCAAGGGTGCAGACATTCACTGGGCTGCTTGAAGACAAACTCAGTAACAACATTTGCTAAAATATTTATGCTCTATGAGGAAACATGATAACACAGCTATCATTAAGAAGGATTCATACACTCTTGGTTAGAATTCAGTCCAAAACTCATTCCACTATAAAAGAGGACAATTCCTATTAAACTAGAAATGCTACACCAAATATAATATATTAGAAGAAAGGTAAAATGTCCTCTTTATTTTCACCATGTTTGTGCTTTCACACTAACCAATCATCTGCAACATCTACAGTTAGCAAATAAACCTGAAACAAAGAAGTCACTGGCATTTACTGACATGAGCCTGGTGGGGAAACTGTAGGTGGTTAGTTCCATTATGGAATCACCTGATCTGATCTTGATTAGGAGCCGACCCACTTCCTGGTCTTCACAGGCAAAAAACCTACACCATAAAGCGTGAACACACCTTACACATTATCTCTTTGTTTAAAGTGAAAAGGGTTTCTTTTTATTTATTTTTTTCCTTTTTAGAGTAATAATTCATGGATTTTAATAAAGTTTAGAAGTTGTAAATGGAAAAGAGACAATGTAGACCTAAATTTTGACACTCAATTAGTTGCAGCTGGTGAAAACTGGTGGATTAATGTGGCTTAAACCCTGGCTACACAATGTGGTCTCTGGAGCAGCACAAAGAGCTCATTGGAAATGCAAAATTTCAAGCCCCATCTCAGACCTACTGAAACAACATCTACTTTTAATAACACTCTATCCCCAGATGATCCTTGTGCAGTTTAATGTTTTGAGAAGCAGCTGGTTTAAGCAAGAGGACTCTTTTGGGTCCAGAGGAAACAGCAAAGAACCTCCCAGGAGAGGCTGCTTGCCTGTCACCCATTCACTGAGCCGACCACTTTTTTCCCCATGCAGATTCACATCAGAAGGTGTGTTTTAAGGTAGAAGCTATCATAGACTAAAAGGAACATCCATATGTAAGGAGGAAAATATCACTTAGAAACTCACTTTTCCAACAGTACAAATATATTTCATGTCTTTATTAAACTGACTTTTCAAATGTAACTGACCGTTGTAATAACCCATAATGTTTTTCATTTTTTTAAATCTAGGCCCCTGATCTGGAAGGTCTCAATTTGATAATTGTTAGAGAGGACCCAGATATCTGCATTTTAAAAATTCCACAGATGATTTTGTTGTACAATTAGGATGGGGATTTATGGCTCTATTTTTGTTGTTGTTGTTTGCATATAGGGTATGGTGGAAGCATATCTCCTGAGGGATGCTAAATCAGGCAACTTTAATATCTTGATTTGGTCTTTGGCCAGTTGCCATTAGACTGCCTCAGGATTTTTTTTTTTTTTTTTTTTTTTGAGGATTGTTACTTCTTGGACTTCCTCTAAATCTATTATAGTTCAAGATGTTCATGTATTATTATAGTTCAAGTTGCTCATAGCTTATCCTCCTTAAGTTGGATTGTAGCCTCTGAAAACATTTGTGATAGAGTGGGCGATTTCCACTAGTGAAAAGCTAGAGCACAAAGGGGACAAAGTAGAGAAACAGGCTGAAGTGAGCTGCTTCTTCAGTCTTGCCCGAGCCATGCAAGGCTCCTAAACTTCTGGGCATAACAGAAAATGTCCTTCTCAATAAATAGGGCACACCAAAGGGCTAAAACTATCCTGAATTCCGTTTTTACAGGAAGAAGAAAACAATTCATTCAGGAGAAAGACAGTATTCAACAGACAGTATTGCCTGATTTAAAGTGGAAACCTTCAAAGAAGAAAAGAAGTAGGAAAGCAGAGCAGAGGACTGCCTCCCTGGGAAGCATTTATTATGAACTCCAGAAGGAGGCTTTGAGAGTGAGCTTTTTTTTTATAACAGACTTGCTGGATTAAAGGCCATGTTTGTTCCCTCAGCATTCTGTATGCTTCCTTGACCAGTGAGTTGTCTACTTAATAGTAGTCTGGCATGTTTATTCCAGAATCTATGTATACTAGTTTAATATGTAATGTAATTATGCAATTACAAATTGAACAAAAGAACAAAATGTGAGTGCAAAAAAAGGTTGTATCTATTAAAAGTAAGACAAAACGTTTGAAAAGAATGGGTTAAAATGAGTCACTAAAACAACTGCTGTTAAATTAGGTGTGGATGAGTCAATTCTTAAAGACGGGGATAAGTAAAAAAATAAATAAGTTTTCTATATGCATATTGCTTTAGAGTTACCGTTATGCTTTTGCTCTCCTTTAGAGAAACTGAAATTGGAAATTGTAGATGATGCATCATGGGTAGAGTTTTTTTTTAAGAAAGAATTAGAAGCCCACTAAGGAATCCAATATTTAAGGAAAAGGTCTTGACCCTAGAAGAAAAGGTTAATAAATGAATGTACTTGTATATTTTAAGTAAAATGTTTACTTCAAGTGTGCAATTTTTTAATGATTCCCCACTTTAACCTAACAACTATTGGTCTTGATGACATTAGCTAAATTAACTCTAATCTGGAAAAAGTCTCAACAGTATATTTTAAAACTCTGTCCCTTTGTCCCCACACATGAAGACTAGTACCAATGGCCCCCACTCCAGAAGCATGGTTTGGTCAAAGAGAATATTAGTGATCAGAACATGATGGGTCATGGGGACAGTGTCAAGGAATAAAACAATGTTGAAAACCAAACCACTAATTTAAGGATAAACACATACTCATTTCATGTACATATTTATTAGTGTTCTATTACTATTTGTAGCATATTTAAATGGCTGTATATATAGTTTTTTCTTTATATATGATAAATATCCAAGATGCATGCTTTCTAGGTGCAAATATCTACCTGTACATATTAGAACAGGCTCAGTGAATTACAGAAACCTACAAACAGTAAATAGAAAAATTAAAATGTTTAATCTAGGGTTGTCTCAGGCTGCCCACAAAGGTAGAGCTCTAGATTTAAATGTTACTTTCCATCAGTTGTCAGCAAAATTTCTCACTTGCATTACTTCAACATGTGTGTACTTGATGCGCCATGAAGTCTCAAAGTACCTAAACCATTGCCCCTCTGCGAAAGGACCCTGTGAACATTTTTTTTTTTGCATAGCAGCTCTGTCTGGATCTTGTTGAGTGTGAGCAGAGTGAAGCCATTCTAGAGGCTGTGATCCACTAATTGGCTCTGGGCTGAATTTGGGCATAAGCCAAAGGGATGACAGGGCGCTAGGAGGCCAACTGTCTGAGATACCTTGATTTGAAACCTCGTTTGTCAGAGGTGTTCCATATTGGATCATTGAAAACTGACCTAATTGTGTCTTCTTAACAAGAAGTGTTGGAGATAGATGAACAATGAGAACAGGGGTCACTGGACTCATGCTATATCCCAATAAGGCAGAACTATAATTTCTAGTTCTTCCTGACAGCTGAGGTATATTCCTGTTTTAGAAAAACTGTGCCTTTGTATCTCACAAATCTTCAAGGTAAAACCCTTAAAGTTCATTTGTACACTCCTCCTCCTTGTGGGTCATAAATGTCATACTATTTATTATAATGTGAGTCATTATCCTTCATTTTGAACACACATGAAATACAATTTGAAAAGCACGGTAACTACTTCACAGATCACGGGAATAACCAGTTGATTCAGAGGTACATTGATTGTTAAAATAGAGAAGGGGACTCTATTTTATAATTTTTTAAAATAATTCCATTTTTAGTATGGTGAAACTCACATAAAGGAATCTCACAAGAAATTAGAAACCAGTTAAGCAAGAGGAGAAAAATCCTGCTCCTCCCTATCTAGGAACTAACTTTGACCATATCAAAAATGTATGAAGTGTCAATAACCAAAACATATTAATCTAAAAGACATTGTTAGGAATTCAGATTTTACTTATTAACCACATGTACAATGGCAAATAAGGAGGTAAGACTAGTGAATTGCTTTTTGAATTAAATAATCAGACATAAAACATCCTCTTTTAGCTGGCAAGAAATTGCTTTAACTGGTCATATTTATGTTCATACATGAACATCAGATATAATCCACAGTATAACACTGAAGCAGAACAGAAGTTTAGTTACAAAGCCATTTAGCACAGGGCCTTCAAGGGAATGTCCTCAACAAATATTATTTAGATGTATTAATAGCAAGAGCTATTTTAACATAATGTACAGCTTTTAACACCACATATTCTAAAAGCTCTTATAGTAGCACTTTCAAAATTATGTTTCGAGTAATACAATATTCCCAACAGAACTCAATAGATATTGCATGCAAAAAGGGTTCTAGGTTCAAATTTATAGGACAGGCTGGATGTTATGAATGCCCCTTGGAACATCAGAATGCACATTAGCACATTAATGGTTCTGAGTCCTGCACACATTTTAAAAATTGACCTGTATTGATTCTATTATTTCTCAAAATAATAGAATTTTGAGAATAATAGACTTTTGGTGAATTAGATGAAGAACATACAGGTTTTTGCAGGTAAGAAAACTAAAGGAATCATAATTCCCAATGCTTATTCAAAGATAAAAGTAAATAAATGGTTGTGATGTTTCTACCTCTATAGATTCTAAAATTTAATATTCTAGACTTTGATTAAAAGAACTTCCCAACCTTGACAATATTTTCCAGCAGTAATTAAGAGATGTAAGAAAATAAACTAAAACCAAATTGTTTTAAATAACTCTTGCATTTAAACACAGAATTATGAAGCTTGGCTTGCTATTTGTGTACTGATGGCCGGAAACAGTTTCAATTGCTCTGCCTTTGTGAGTTAAATTCTTATTGGCTGCAGATTCTTAACTGTTTTAAATTATCTCAGAAAATCCGCGTTTTTGCCCTCTTTCTCAATTTCTGCAGAATTCCATCTTTATGTTACAGGTGGAAAGAGTATAAGAAGTTAGTAACTATTTTATATTTGTGAACACTGTAAAAACAGGAGTGGAAGATGGCATGTGTTCTTTAGCTATGATTCTCTTCAAATATAACTGGACAGGATTATGTCTTTTGACTAAAATGTGACCATCTTTCACAGCCACATAGATGCCAATGAAGAAGTGTTGATAGCTTCTGTCTCAAGTCTTCTCGAAGCTAATAAGAGAGTTAATGCGAACTTGGCAGCATCAATGCCCTATTGGATAGTCAATAAGAGTACCTGAATCTGGATGAGAAATTTGGCCTGGCAGCTGGGGGAATTTCTATAGAAGGCAGTCAAAGGCAGAAAAGGGAGCTGCATTTTGGAATGTTAAAACAAAAACCTATCATTTAAATATGACAAACATATCACAATAAAAATTAGAATTTCCACCACGGGCTTTGGGCATTCTTGGGTAGTAGTTCAAATATTTAAGAACAACCTTTAAATGTTATGATATAGTTAAATTCATTAGTCATTTTCCAGTATGCCTTTCTTCCTTTATGGTTTATAACTTTAAAGCATTTTTTTCACTCCAATGCTATATTAATGTTCATGTAACATTTTCTCTAGTACTTTTGCAACTTTATTTTTATATTAACATTTTTTTTTTAAGAAGGAGTCTCGCTCTGTCACCCAAGCTGGAGTGCAGTGGTGCGATCCTGGCTCATTGCAGCTCTGACTCCTGGGTTCAAGCAATTCTCCGCCTTCTGCCTTCCTACATTAACATTTTTAACCCGCCTAAAGTTAACTTAGGTGTATGCTATATAGTAGGTACCTAACTTTTTTCTTTCTAAATGGTATCATAATTACAAACATCATTTGAAAAATAAACTATTTTTGCCCTTATTTGAAATGAAATCTTTTTAATATGTTACATTTGGATCTAAATTCATTGCTGTTTTTGCATTCATTATTCTGCTCCATGGATGTGTCATAGGTGTCTGTCTCTCACTATAACAATACTTCCTTTAAAAATTATTGGAGATTTAACATTGGAAAGGCAAATTGATAATCAGTGGCTCAAGCCTGTAATCCCAGCACTTTGGGAGGCCGAGGCGGGCAGATCACAAGGTCAGGAGATCGACCTGGCTAACACGGTGAAACCCCGTCCTACTAAAAACAAACAAACAAACAAACAAATACAAAAAATTAGCAGTCCCAGCTACTGTGGGTAGCTAACACGATGAAACCCTGTCTCTACTAAAAACAAACAAACAAAATACAAAAAATTAGCCGGGCGTGGTGGCAGGCACCTGTAGTCCCAGCTACTCAGGGGGCTGAAGCAGGAGAATGGTGTGAACCCAGGAGGCAGAGCTTGCAGTGAGGCGAGATCCCGCCACTGCACTCCAGTCTGGCAGACAGAGCAAGACTCTGTCTCAATAAAGAAAAAAAAAAAAAAGAATTAAATACTTTGCATGGATTTATTCTAGGATTTTTAAAATACATATTGGGAATTAAAAACACTGGTGAAGAAGTTCCTCTAAGAAAAGCCCCAGGCTTCAATAATTTTACCAATAAACACTTGGAAAGTTTCCAGAAATGAAAGATTCTAAAGCCAATAAAATTACTGCAAAGCACTAAAAAGATGAATTCCTAACTTATTTTGTAAAACTAGTATAAATGTTACTCCAGAAAACGACATGAAAAAGGCACATTTCATGTTAAAAATATTAAAAGTCTATTGAAAGCACTTGATAAAATTCAGTGTCTATCTTGATGATTCAGAACCAACTAAGAGTAGAGGAATCCATTCTTTATCAAATGAAGATTATTTAAAACAGCCTGCTCAGTGGTCGAAAGCTTAAGTTAAAAACAAGTAGCCAGATTTTTACAAATATTAGTTAATATTGCTTTAGAAGTCCTGGCTAATATTATAACACAAGAAAAATAAAAGGTAAAGCAGTCATGTAAAGATGATTGTCTGAAAAATATCAAATATGAACTGAAAAACACTTAGAACTAAATAGAGAACTCGGTTACAAAATCAGAATATTAAGACAAACCAATAAATTTCACTTATATCAGCATTAGAAAATAAAATAATCATAAATATCTAAAAATCTACATACAAATAAAATACTTGCGACATAAAGACTTGAATAAATGTGAAAATGGACTAAGTTCTGAAGTGAGAAGTATCAACATTTTTGACATGTGTGTTCACTTTTGTCAAAAAAGGTTTTAGACAATAATATAAATGACTGATGTGGTTTCCAAGTTAGACTCATTTGATTTATTTGGAATAAATTTATGTTATTATGGCAGGTACTATAATTTCTTTTTATGTGGCATGGCCATTATTTCATCCAATTATCTCTCAAATGTTTGTGTGTGTGTGTGTGTGTGTGTGTCCCATTTCTTGCTTTTCCCTTTTCTTTTCATTCT
Source organism: Homo sapiens (assembly GCF_000001405.40). Taxonomy (NCBI): domain Eukaryota; kingdom Metazoa; phylum Chordata; class Mammalia; order Primates; family Hominidae; genus Homo; species Homo sapiens. Next base: position 29,033,865 of record NC_000023.11, on the reverse strand, counting down.
CATTGGTACTGCCCTAGCTCAACACCTAACTTTTGCACAAAACTTCACTTTTGGGAGCTTTAAAATATCTTACATGTCCAGAATTTTGAAAGATGGTTTTGCACCTTCTTTGCCTAACCTCTGTTTTACAATCCTGCTAATATTCCGAAGAACCCTATAAATGGTGTTTTCATTTCCTATCCCTGACTCCTTGAAACTATTCCACATACCACTAAAACAACTTTTCCTAGATATGGAACAGCGGATGTCACTGCCTTACTTAAAAGTCTTGAGTGGTTTCTAATAGCTTAAAGAATGTCATTCAAAGACTTTGAGTTGTCGTGTGTTATCCTCTAAGATCAAGACTCTCCCATCTCGCCTATACCCTCCCAAACTCTCCACCGTGTATCCATATCTCAGCCAAACCCCATTTCCCTTTCTCCATAGACATGTTTCAACCACCCTTAAAGTCCCAGACCAAATTCTACCCTCTTTGTGAAATCTGATTCAGTGCTTGTCTCAAATAAAATTTTTTTCTCTTCTGTGTTCTGACAATATTTTTTTGTGAAAATCCACTCTAGCATTTGTTCTATTATTCCATCATGAAATATTTATTGTATTTGGTTATCTGTGTACTATAAACGGCAAAGTCCTTCAGGGCAGAGCTCATATAATATTTATATTTATATTCCATACTGCATCAGGCACAGTATCTTGTATTTAGTAAGTAATCAATAAATTGATAAATTTATTAAAATTAGGAACTTCAAGGAATATAAGGGAGTACATATTACTGTCTTCAATTTAATTATAGCTCTCATTTAATTATAGCTAACATATTTTTATATGTCCCACATAATATACTAAGCAACTTACATTTTATTCTCATACGACCTAATGAAAACATATTATTAGCCTTATTTGTCACACAGTATAATAAGCATCTCACATTTTATTCCATTTTATTCTCATACAACCTTATAAAATTGGTATTAGGGGCTTCATTTTTCAGTTAATCAAGAAAGGGTAACTTGCCCATGGTTCCATAAACAGTAAGTGGCAGACCCGCAATTCAAACTCAGTTCAATTTGACTCTAAGCCTTTGTGTCTCTGTATGTGTGTGTGTGTGTGTGTGTGTGTGTGCATGCCCACGTGAGCGCACGCTCATGCATGCATGCAAGCTAGAAGAAAAAATGGAGATTAAGCACTAAGAATGAAGGAATGTGATGAAAGTTATAGAAGAAATATGTACAATACAATATGTGCAAGAATTTGTTATTGATCCATGAAGAATCGCAGAGAAAGAAAAGACCAGGGGACACCTTTTTTTTTTCTCACAAAGACAATCAAGAGAGCAATGGTTCAGCATGCTTAAGAATGACCTGGGCAAAATAGGTGAATTGTATGATATATGAATCATATTATAAGATAGCTGTTAGCAAAATAATGACTTCAGCAGCTTTAAAAAATACAGATCTGTATGTTCCATCTCAACGGATTCTGCTTAGGTAGATCTGGAAATGAACAGAAGAAGCTGCATTTTTAGAAATCATCTCCAGGTGATTCTGATGCAAGAGTTTAATTGCTCCCTTTTGGAGAATCACCAACATAGAGGGTTAAAAATATACAGACACTATGTTTAGTTTTTCAAGTTGCATACTACAGAATTCCAGTGGTGCCATTCATAATATTTGCTACATGAACATTGCCCTCTAAAGTGGTACAGTAGACAACCTGCACAGATGTGAAAACCATCCCTTTAAAAGTACATGATATGATGAGTGAGAAGACAACTAACATTTCCTAACTGCCTACAATCTGCCAGTTACTATGCTAAGCATGACAGATAGACATAAAAACAGATAGATAAGTAGGTAGGTAAGTAGGTAGGTGGGTACGTAGGTAGTACTTCCATAAGTTATATGTCAACCTTTTCAACATCATTTAAAATTAGGTATTATCACCTTCTTTGACATATGAAGAAACTTACATTCCGAGAACTTTAAATATTCTCCATGTTGCACACCTAGAAATAATTTCTTCCTTCATTCAACGTATAAACAAAAGTCACTTGTGGCCAAGTGGTACTTTTTACTGATATTATAACCAGAAAAACCGTAAAAGGATCCGTATGATTGTATGAAAGGATGCTCCCACTATAGAAATCATCTTGCAACAATGACCAAGATAGTTACCAATAATAGCATTTCAATTTTTTAAACCCACAAATTATCCATGAGGAAATGCTGTGTATCAAACCTTGTTAAGAATAACAAGAAAGAGCTCTGTACTTTTGATGCAAACTTAAAGGAACTTATTTGTAAATTAAGACCAAGTTATAAGTGGTTTCATAAAAATCACAAGGTCATTACAATGTTGTTTTTACTAAAAGCCTAACTAATCCACAATGACCACTCTTCTCCATCTTCCTGGGAGAATATTTTGCCTTCTCCCTCACTCATTCTTTATGTCATTAAGTAAACAGAATACCCACAAAAGAAATCAATCTCCTAAAGACACACAGTGCCATAGGCCTGTTATGGTAGCTTTTAAGGATGCTTAAAGATTTCTTGATTTGAAGTAGAATTGGCAACGATTGTGCTGAACCACTTTTCTGAAATGGTTAGCAAAAATTAGAAATGAAAATAAGTAATTTAATTTACACATCCAAGGGACACTATCATAAAAATCAAGAAGTTATAATTCTGCTTTAGTTTCCTAAATTATCTTAACACTAAGCTTGATAGTTATTTCATGAAGAATATGCTATCACCTTCATCAAAAGTAAACCACTAATAATCAGGAGATTTAAAAGAACATGAACAAATTCTATGAGCTCAAAAAGGATATTGGGAAGTGTTATCCTTGCAAAATCAAAGTCAAATACATTACTAGCTTTAAACACATTTTAAAAACTCTCATTTAAACACAAAGTTATGCAAGATGAAGAAATGGGGGGGAAATATGATGTCATAATTGAGAAATAATTTAAGACAGTCTTATCACCCAGAAGGAACTGAATCCCACTTTCATTCTCTTTAGTACTTTGATATAAGATTCACCTTATCTTTGGCCTTCTCATTAACATTTCTTTTCTTCTGAACACCTGGTAGCACTTTTTCACTCTTCAAATAGGAGTATTTCTAGATCTCAATAGAACTATCATTACACCGAATCTGCCCTCTTTGCCAAAGCCCTTTATTGCCAAACTACCATGTTCAACATATTTATTCAATTTCCCTGATAGGAGATTTGAAATTCAAAATTCGAAATGTCAATGTCCTATTTTACTTTTTACCCCATCCTTGCCAAAAAACTAGTATCACAAAGGCAAAAATATAAAATATTTTAGCCTTTTATCTTGTAAAAGGTAAAACATATACAGGCAAAACATAAAAAGGTAAAAAATACACAGGTAAAGGAGTAAAACAAATACCTATGTACCCATTAGTCAGGTTCAGAAAATAACCTACAAAAGAAGAACCAAATAAATAGAAATACATACTGTGTTCATTACATGAAAACTCAATATTGTTAAAGTGTCCATTCTTTCCCCCTTGATCAATGGATTCAATGAAATTCCAATCAAAATCCCAGCAAGTTATTTTGTGAATATCAGGAAACTGATTCTAAAGTTTATACGGAGAGGCAAAGGACTCAAAATAGCCAACTTAGTAATGAAAAAGAACAAATTCAGAGGACTGACTTTATTCAATTCTGAGATATATTCTAAAGCTATGATAATCAAGACAGTGTGGCACTAGTGAAAAAAAATAGACAAATAGATCAATGGACTGAAATAAATATTCCAGAAATAGATCCCATATAAATATAGTTGACAGATCTTTGACAAAGGGGCAAAGGCAATACAATGAAAAAAAGATAGCCTTTTCAACCAATGGTGTTGGAACAATTGGACATCCACAAGCCAAAAAAAAAAAAAAAGAATCTCGATAAAGACTTTATACCATTCATGAAAATGAACTCAAAATGGGTCATAGATTGATATGTAAGACACAAAATTAAAAGACTACTAGAAGATAACAAGATAAAATCTAGGTGACCTTAGGTTAGGTGATGACTTTGTAAATAAAACACTAGAGGCAATATTTATCAAAGAAAGAATTGATAAGATGGACTTTATAATCAAACCTTTTTGTTCTGCAAAAGATAATGTCAAGAGAATGAAAAGACCAGTGAAAAATGGGAGAAAATATTTGCAAAAGACATATCTGATAAAAGACTGTCATGCAAAATACACAAAGATGGACATCAGCAAGACCATAGAATAGGACTTTCCAGCACTCATCTCTCTGCAGAAACATCAATTTTCACAACTATCCACAAGCAAAATCACCTTCACAAGAGCTAAAGAAATCAGTTGAGAGATTATAGCACCTGGGTGTAGCATAAAAATGAGAAAAGATGTATGGAAAAGAGTAGGAAGGGCAGTTTTACATTACCTGTGTGAGCCCTCCCCCAATCCCAGGCAGCACTGTGAAGAGAGATACCTTCTACTTGGAGGAAAATTAAGGAAGTGAGCACTGGATTTTGCCTTAGACCACAACACTTGGCCTACCCCAGTAAAACCCAGTGATAAACATGACCCCACTGATATGGTTTGGCTGTGTCCCCACCCAAATCTCATCTTGAATTATAGCTTCCATCCCCACATGTCGTGGGAGGGCTGGTGGGAAGTGACTGGATCATGGGGGTGGTTTCTCCCATGCTGTTCTTGCAGTAGTAAGTGAGTTCTCATGAAATGTGATGGTTTCATAAGCATCTAGCATTTCCCCTGCTGGCACTTCTCCTTCTTGCCACCTTGTGAAGAAGGTGCCTTGCTGCCCCTTTGCCTTCCACCATGATCGTAAGTTTCCCAAGGCCTTCCCAGCAATGTGGAACTGTGAGTCAATCAAACCCCTTTCCTTTATAAATTACTCGGCCTTGGGCAGTTCTTTATATCAGTATGAGAATGGATGAATACACCCACTATCCTAGACTAGGCCAGTACTCATGGACTGCACCTCCCGGCACACCCCAGTGCCAGATGAGATCTTGCACCTCTAAGATCCAGGCTTACCTTTTGGACTAGTTGTTTGAACAGACCTTACTGCCAGGCTGACCCCAGCAGCTCTAGGCTCAGAAAATTCCCAGAACTAGAATAGACCCCAGGTATAAAACTGGAGGATATTGTGTTATTGTGTTAAGTGAAAAAAATCAGCGACAGAAATACAAATATGCCAACGATCTCACTCATATGTAAAATCTAAAAACACTGAATTCATAGAAGTAGGGCACAAAGGCCTGGCACGGTGGCTCACATCTGTAATCCTAGCACTTTGGGAGGCTGAGGCGGGTGGATCACGAGGTCAAGAGATCGAGACCATCCTGGCCAACATGGTGAAACCCCGTCTCTACTAAAAATACAAAAATTAGCTGGGCATGGTGGCGTGTGCCTGTAGTCCCAGCTACTTGGGAGGCTGAAGCAGGAGAATCACTTGAACCTGGGAGGCAGAGATTGCTGTGAGTCAAGACTGTGCCACTGCACTCCAGCCTAGTGAGCAAGACTCCGTCTCAAAAAAAAAAAAAAAAAACAAACAAAAAAAACAGTAGGGCGTAAAATGGTGCCTACCAGGGCTGGCAGGAGGAGGGGAGTCAAAGGACACAAAATTTAAGTTAGAAAGGGGGAATAAGTCCAAGCGATCTATTGTTTAAAATAGGGATTACAGTTAGTAACAATGTATTGTATTCTTAAAAATTGCTACAAGAATAGACTTTAAGTGTTTTCATTGCAAAAAATGGTATGTCAGGTAATTCACATGTTAATTAGCTTGACTGAGCCATTCCACTATGGATACATATTTGAAAACATCATATTGTACATGATAAACACATACAATTTTTTCAATTAAAAGTACATTTATATATATATAATATACACACACACACACACACACACACACAAAAAGAAATCTTAAAACTCAACAATGGAAAAACAAATAATCCAATTTAAAAACGCAGTAAAGACCTTAACAGACATGTTACCAAAGAAGATATATAGATGGTAAATAAGTTTCTGGAAAGTTGCTTCACATTACATGTCATCAGAGAAGTGCAAATTAAAACAACAAGGAGATAGCACTACACAACTATTAGAATGGCCAAAATCCAAACCACTGACAACACCATATACTGGTAAGCTTGTAAAGCAACAGGAACTCTAATTAATTGCTGGTGGGAATACAAAATGGAATAGCCACTTTGGAAGACAGTTTGGCAGTTTTTCACAAAAATATATATACTCTTACCATGCAATCCAACAACTGTGCTCCTTGGTTTTTACCCGAAGGAGCTGAAAATTTAGGTCTTCATAAAAACCTCACATGGATGTTGATTGTATCTTTATTCATAATTGCAAAAACTTGGATGCAACCAAGATGTCCTTCCATAGACGAATGAATAAACTGTGGTACAACCAGAAAGTGGAATATTATTCATGTCAAAAACAAATGAGCTATCAAGCCAAGAAAAGACGTGGAAAAAACATAAATGTATGATACTAAGTGAAAAAAGCTAATTATTTGAAAAGTCTACATACTGTATGATTCTAAATATGTGACATTCTAGAAAGGGAACATTTATGGACATAGTAAAAAGGTTTGTGGTTGCCAGGAATTAGTGGGAAGGAAGGATGGATAGGTAGAGCACAGAGGATTTTTGGGAGAGTGAAACTATTCTGTATGATACCATAATGGTAGATACAGCTCATTACACATTTGTCCAAACCCACAGAATGTACAACACTAAGAGTGACTCTAATGTAAACTATGGACTCTGAATGATAATGATGTATTGATGTAGGTTCATCAATTTCAACAACTGTACCACTCTGGTAGAGGATGTAAATTGTAGGGGGAGGCTGTGTATAGATGGGGTGGAGAATATATAGGAAATCTCTGTTCCTTCCATTCAATTAAGCTAAGAACCTAAAACTGCTCTAAAAGATAAAGTCTATTACAAAAACTAAAACTATGGCCAATCTTGTTTCATCTCTACTCCTATTTATCCCTCCCTACATTATTTTGATACAAATCCTTATGTGTATCTTCCATAAACTATTTCAGTTATTATTTCTAAAAATTAAGGATGCATTTTGAAAACATAACCATTGTGCCATTATCTCACCTAAAAATAAGAATAGGTGATAAATAAAATATTCATATATGATCAAATTTCTCTGAAAATACAGGATATTTGATGAAATATTTATGCTATAATAACTACACTTTCTATTTTAATTTTCTTTTCTTTTACTTTAAGTTCCAGAATACAAGTGCAGAATGTGTAGATTTGTTACACAGGTTGTGTGCCATGGTGGTTTGCTGCACCTATCAACCCATCATCTAGGTTTTAAGCCGTGCATGCATCAGCTATTTGTCCTAATGCTCTTCCTCCCCTCACCCCCCACCACCCAACTGGCCCTGGTGTGTGAATAACTACATTTATATTAAAATTGCACTACTGCAAATTTGGATGAGCTTTGAAAACAAATCTTGCTTTGGATTAATGGCTTTTAGAATTTGTTACAGAACAGAAGTTATCATGGTTTCTGATAATCAAATCAAATCAAATCAGTAGTCACACTACCTAGCATTTAATTTATTTAAAGTAATACAGTTATCAACAACATTATAGAGTTGGTTTCAAATAAAAACACGAGAGAGGATGTAAAAGCATCCAGGATACTAGGTCCTGATGAGATTGCAGTCATCTCAGCTTTCATTTGCCCACTTCTTGCTTTTCTTTCCCTTAGTAAAGGCAAAAACTAAAAATTAGTTCATAAATTTTCCAGGGACTTCCTAGTATGGTTGGACTTAACTTCAACAGATATTTATCACCTTTAGTAGAGCAAACACTGTACTTTATTTACGTATTTAGTCTCAACATTTCTAGGTGTAAGATGGAAGTGAGTAATTTGCCATGATCCTCTCTCAGGGATGTTGGAAATTCACATAAAATAAGCATCTCTGTAAAGAGACAGGCAAACACAACACATCGCTATTATTCCATAATTTAGAATAACCTGCCAATAATGCAACATGGAAAGCAACGTAATTATCTTACCATATTTATCTTTAATCCTAGGCACCGTGGTGTAGTGAAAAATAGGCTAAAGAAGGAGTGTATTTTTAAATCAAAGATTCTACAAAAATTTGATTCTGATTTTAGTAATAATTTATTCCAATGTGACATGATTTCAAGGATTTCAAGGATACTCAAGTATCTAGAAGAGTGCCTAGAATATAGTAGGAACCCAATAAGTATTTAATGATTAAATAATGCATGTCAAGTTAAGGTATCTATAATTTATTCCCAAAACAACAGAAGAACCACTAAAGGCCATGAACATGAGATGAACACAATCATATTTAAGATCTACAAAGATCTCCCTGGCAGCAGTGTACAAACATTCACAGGCTAAGCTAGGCCAGAAACTGGAAGCCCAACTAGGAGGCTATGTGGTCCTCCAAGTAAAACATAATCAAGGCTATTGACTCAACAATTTCACTCCTAGTTACACGCCCAAGAAAAATGATAACATACGTCCACACTTGGACATTAACGTTCATTCAGCATTATTCACAATGGCCACAAAATGGAAACCACCTAAATGAATGTTAACTGAAGACTAAATAAAATATTATATACATGCAATGCAATATTTTTTGGCAAGGATAATAAACACGTGCTGAAACATGCTATCACAGGCATAAAATTTGAAACTGTTACTTTAAGTGAAAGAAGCCAGCCACAAAAACCACATGTTGCATAATTTCATTTATATGAAATATCCAGTATAGGCAAACCTATAGAAACAGAAACTGGATTAGTGGTTGCCTAGGGCTGGGCAGAGAGGGAGGAGAGAAATGAGGAGTGACTACTAACAAGTATGGTGTTTCTTTTAAATGGAACAAAAAGGTTCTAAATTTAGATTGTGGTGATGGTTGCACAACCCTGTAAATATATTAGAACCTTTGAATTATACATTTTAAATAAGTGAATTGTAGCTATATGAATTATATCATGATAATGCTGTAGAAAAATGACAGACTGAGCAAGAGTGAGCCAGAAAGCTTTGGATGGACAAGACTGGATAATAGATACTGACATTAAAGACATTAAGGAACTAAATCGGATATTTATTCCCATTCATGTTAACAAATATGTGAGCCAAAGACATTGCTTCTTTAAATGATAAGATATAGCTGCTAAGTAAGCAGTTACCTTATTGCAGACCTTTTTTCAATTACTTTAAATTTATCATTACATTTAATTTTCACAATAACCCAATGTAATTTTGCCTATTTTATAGGTAATTAAACTGAGGCACAGAGTGGTTAAGTAACTTGCCTAACATCACACACTGGAAATGTCAGAGTCATAATTTGAAAAAATGCAATTGGTGGCTAAAATCTGTGTTGTTAATCACTACGTGATTCAATCTATCACATTCCTTATAAAAGAATTACCTGTTGGTCCTCTAAAAAAATAAATATGGGACTTTAGGAAGGTGGATATCTTATCCCTAATTAGGGTACTTAAATAACTTAAGTAAACACACCGGACATCTTTCAAAGTAAAATATAAGAAGATTTTCCTAGGTAAAATTGCTCTGAGAAGTAGTGTGACCCATTGCACAATAGCTGAGATTTTTCATCTAGTCACACGGGTTCAAATCTAAGATCTATGACTTCTTATCTGTGTGGTTTGAGAAAGTCATTTAATTTGTCTGCATGATAATAAATACTTCATAGTGCTCTTTGATAAATTACATGAAATGACAGTACACTATCTTACACAGGCATAAACTCAATAAGTAGTGATTTGTTATTTGGTTATTCAGCCTTTATATCTCCTAGAGTTTCACTATTTTCTCAGTTAAGCTTCTGATTTGCTAATTCATTGAGGGTAACTATGCTAGATAAACAAGGTATATTGCCAATGTGTTGGTTTCAATTAAAAATCCTATAAAGAAAAAATCTAATGCCACTAGATTTTGTAGCGTAATCTGGTGGATATAAAACACTGCTATATTCAGCTTTACTTTAAATATTTATCTAATCGATACAGATAAGCCATAGATTCCCCATAGGAAGGTATCAAGACATAAGTGGCAATTCAAGTCAAATAATAGATGCTAAAACTGCAATTCCATTTCATATCCACTGTAAGTAACATCCCTCTTTTGCATAACACATCAGTGACAGCATCTAAAATTAAAATAACTATTTAAAGTTTCTAAAGAAAGCTTTTCAAGATCTAAGTTTTTTATTTGCCTAGGGAAAAAATAGAGTTGAATGTTCTGTTATTCCCTATTTGCAGATGCATAAAGCAATCACTTTAGAAAATGAACAGTTTGTTAAATTTATAGCTGGTATGTTCTCTTTAGACTAATCTATGCTGGCTCAGCTTAACTACTGCATTGTCAGTGCCTGTCTTGCTAAGCACACCCAGCAAATTTCACAATGGCCAACATCCTAATAATGCATTATGTATATTTTCTAAACATTACAATGTAACTGCACATTTTATGAAAAAGGAACAACATCATAAAATGAAAGAGGGAGAAAGATGGAATAAAGATGAATTTGCATTAACAGCCAGGCACTTGAACATTGACGTGGTTACTTATTTCCTCACTTGCAGATTAATGACAGTGTTTACCTCCCTTGATATTGACAAGGACATAATACATCTTGACAAATGATTAAAGAGGCTGCAGTAGAGTTTATTTCATGGTAGCGTCAACTGCCCTCCTTTTGGCATGAAGTGAAAAGCTTACATCAGCTGTAATTTTTAGTAACACCCTTCTGTGGGGTTCTCTTACAACTTTATAAAACAAGTGTGATAAATTGATTATGCTAACAAGTGTGGGCTGCAGTGAGTGGTTTACTGGAGATTGGATCTTGTTTCTAAATAACAAGAATTATGACAATGTTATACATTAAAATCAATAGTTGTTTAATATTTCTATGAAGCCTATAGATTGGTGATAAAGAGTTAAAGTTAATCTATTGGATCTTGTAATACTTATTTAAGCAAGATTGTTGCATTAAATTATGCTCAATAAGGAAACAGGGAATCAAATGAAGCTTGGGGTGCCAGATGAGAAAGAATGACGGCAGCTTTAGGCATAAGTCCTTTTCAGAGAAATATTTTATTTTTTAATGAATTTCAGAATGGGACTTCTAAGCTAATCACCCATTATTTAAGACTCTGATAACCAAAAACAAATAAAGTAAAACTTATCATTATGACACATTTGCATTTCAAGACTATTTAGGTAATATTTGGAACTTAAAAGTTATTTTCTCAATATCTACTTTTCATTGTTTCTATATTCTGATCACCTGATTTCCATATTTGATATTTTTATGGTACACATTATGACTTGAATGGAAGCAATCTCTCTTTCAAGCAAGAAATATACTTTTCTATCAAATATAGTTTTTGGCATATCAAAGTTAAATTTACCATAGGAATGATAAGTAAATGTATCCAGGCAAAAGTGGGAGAGAGTAGGTAAGGCCTACCAGAGAAGAAAAGGATATACATGGAAAAATTGGTCACACCGAGGTGGTGACAGGTGCCTTGAGAATAGAGGACTCTCATGAGGGTTGGGGCGAAATTCAACTGGAAGAAAGGTGCAGAAGGAAAAAGCTGTAGCTTCAGACACATAGACATTGGAAGAGAGGGAGAATGAAGAGGACTTGCTGAAGGAGCTGGTGAAGGTGCAAATGGAATACGGAGAAAAAATCGGGAGCTGAAAAGTCCAAAAAGGGAATCCAAAAAGTGCAGAAAGGGGTAATTAACCTTTTCTCTACTTTTGCTGGGAGTTTAAAGAGAATGAAGATGTATAAAATATTAATAGATAATAATAAGGAGATGACTGCATTTCAAAAGCACAGTGTAGTGAGCGTTGAAGGCAATGAGTTAAAGAGTGAGTGTATGTCAAGAAAATAACAGTTGCAGACATAATTCTGGAATTCTTCATCCTGAAAGGAAGAAAAGGGAAGCTGAAAACATACATGAAACACTTAAATAAGATTTACTGCTGTTTTGCAACAGTCCTAAAAGTCCCTGCTTTTAGGCATAGACGAAGACAGTGAATAAATAGCAGATTAAAAATTTAAAATAACGGAGAAAAGGGCAGGATCCAAGGAAGAATCAAAGAAGATGAAAGCAGAAAGTAGCAAAGGGAGAAGATTTATCTTTCTATGACAAAAATTCTAGTAGAAATTACTGTGCTTAAACAGGGAACAATAAAACGTTTTAAAGTATCCATATGCATATCTTTTATAATAAATACATATGGAACTTTTACTTCTGTGATTTAAAGAAGAGCTGTACCAAGAATAAGGACCAGGATGAATAAGATAGACAGCTGTAGAATTATTAACAATGGGAAAGTCATCATCAACTTGTGACATATCAGTCACAGACCTGATACCACTAAAGGGCCAGCTTTTATCAGTAAATTCTACTAAAAAATGACACATGAATTTAACCTCCTATAAATGGGTAAGATGGAATGTGGAGAAAGATGACATTTTGAAGGGATGATGTCATACCTATTTCTTTGTTCTTTTTTTTTTTTTTTTTTTTTTTTTCCTTGAGACGGAGTCTTGCTCTGTTGCCAGGCTGGAGTGCAGTGGCGCCATCTCGGCTTATTGCAAACTCCACCTCCCGGGTTCAAGTGATTCTCCTGCCTCAGCCTGGGACTACAGGTGTGTGCCACCACGCCCAGCTAATTTTTGCATTTTCAGTAGAGATAGGGTTTCACCATGTTGGCCAGGATGGTCTCGATCTCCTGACCTCGTGATCCGCCTGCCTCGGCCTCCCAAAGTGCTGGGATTACAGGCGTGAGCCACCGCACCTGGCCCGTCATACCTATTTCTAAATTACACAAATTAAGAAAGAAAATGATCAGAAATTAGGTGCAGTTTAATTCTGGTTTCATAGGAAAATTGAAAACTGGTTAAATATGATTCCTGAACAAAATCATAGAAACTTTTATTTAGGAGAAGAATGACTTTATATGCGAAAAGTAGCATTAAATCTATCTTCTTTCCTCTAGAGCCCTCCTATGTTCTCAGTCCCTCTCCTTTATCCACATTTCTTAAGAGCATAGTTCATACCCATCGCCTTCTCATCTCCTCCTCCTACTTTCCTAGTCATCCCTGTACTACTATAGTCAACCTACTATGGTCACCAAATACAGTAATGCATCACTGAACGATGAGGATATGCTCTGAGAAAAGCATCGTTAGGTGATTTCATCGTCATGTGAATATCACAGAGAATACTTACACAATGCGACAGGGCATAGCCTACTACATACCTAGGCTCTGTGAGATAGCCTATTGCTCTTAAGCCACAAACTTGTACAGCATATCACTGTACTGAATACTGTAGGCAACTGTAACACAATGGTAAGTATTTGTATATGTAAACATAGCTAAACATAGAAAAAATATGGTAAAAATACAGTATTAGAATCTTATGGGACCACCAGGGTAAATTTGGTCTGTCATTTACCAAAACATCATGCAGAGCATAACTGTACAATGGACATACCTGTTTTTGTCTTATTAGATTCATATCTTGATTTTAAAATAGTTTATTATTCTTGAAATTCTTCGGTTTCTGGAAAACACACTCATTCACTTATTAATGCATTTGCTCAATAAATACTAATTTTGAAACTATTATCTGCCAAGAATCTTTCCTGCAGTTGTTATTCATTCGTTCGTTCTTTATGTGAGCTTTCAAATACTGCTTTTACTTCTTTGAGCCCTTCAACGTTCTCCTCACTTGACATAAAGCTGTAGGTGATGACACCTGAACTCATGGATTTAGCCATCATGTATATCAATAATTTCCAATGGAGGATATAGAAAGATTTGACAAAAATTCCCTATGGAATATGTCAGCATCTCTGATAAGCTGGCCTTTTTGAACTACAGTCTTGTACATGGCAGATTCTGACATGCTCCACTCCTTGAATGAGAATCACTGGCATGCAAAGGGAGATGCTATTAATAAGATTATGTTGTACTTCTGGAATATGTAAAGGCAGAAAAATTTGGGGAGCCATTCACTTTCTGGGATAAGATTTACCAGATTTGTATCTATGGCGTAGACCAAACACCAGTTCAAGTACAATTGGATGTTATACAGACCTTAAACACAATTAAAAATAAATCAACACCAACTACCTCAATTTTATCCCCATTGTCACCCCACAATGTCTCCTTTTTTGGTGATCTCCATCTTGTTGATAACACAGTCATCTACCCAGTCACCAAAGCAAGAACCTTGGGAGTTTTCTTAGGTACCTCCATCTCGCTCTATTGTTCGTTCATCACTAAATGCAGTGTTCTTTTTTTAATAACAGTTTTCTTGAGATATAACTCACACACCATAAAATTTGCCCTTTGAAAGTGAACCATTTATTAATTTTGAATATATTCAAAATGTGAACCATTTATTAATTTGGAATATATTCAAAATGTTGTGCAACCCTCACCACTATCTAATTCCAGAACATTTTCATCATTCCAAAAAGAAATTGATGTGGATTGGCTATGTCCCCACCCAAATCTCATCTTGAATTGTAGTCCCCATAATCCCCACGGGTCATGGGAGGGATCCGTTGGAGATAATTGAATCATGGATGTGGTTTCCCTCATCCTGTTCTTGTGATAGTGAGTTAGGTGTCACGAGATCTGATGGTTTTATGAGGAGCTTGCCCCTTCACTGGGCACTCAATCTTCTCTCTCTTACTGTCTTGTGAGGAAAGACGTGTTTGCTGTCCCTTCTGCCATGATTGTAAGTTTCCTGAGGTCAGTTATACTGCTTTCCTTTAGAAATTACCCAATCTCGGGTATGTCCATATAGCAGCATGAGAACAGACTATACAGAAATCTTATACCCATTAGCAGTCATTCTCCATCTCCAACTCCTCCCAGAACCTGGCAAGCACTAATACAATTTGTTTCTATGCCTTTCTGGCAAAAAATGTGGTGGTTTGTGTCTAGGCCTGTTTTAATGTAATCATTTCTAGATTCCAAATGCTTATCTTCATTCCTGCTTGTCTGGACTACTCTGATGATCTCCTAATATATGCTGTGACATAAGGCAAATAGAGAGATTCATATGAAGCCAAATCTGAGAAGATCATTTCCCTGATTAAAACCCCTGAGTGGTTACTGATCTACCTACAGATGAAGTACAAGCTGTTTAACATGGCTTTGCTTTTGTTCAAGTCCCTTCATTTTAGAATGTTCTCACCTGCACATGTTCACTTGTCCTTTAAGACCCAATCCTTGATTACTCAAGTTCTTTCTGACACCCTAGGCTAGAGATGAGATGCTCCTCCTGAATGTTTCCAGAATCCCATGATGACAAAATCAATGTAGTCCTATCTATTCCCTAGGTTCTCGCAGAATTCCTAGAAAATGGTAGGGCTTCAAATTATATTTGCAAATGCATGCATGAATACATCAACAGATTAATTAATATGTAAACCCATTAAGGAATGATTAATTGAAGGACCTTAAATATTACTGGAGTTAATACTAGAGACTGGTTTAGTCTGTGAGGCAATGAAACAAAAGACATAGATCAATTGCTAGAGCAAAAGAGTAAAACAATGAGAGTGGAAATGTAGAAATTGGCACACAGTGAATTTGTTTTCATCAGAAAATATCAATACAAAGGTGATAATCATGAATTGGATATGGAGAACCAGGTAAATTATAAATGCTTCAAATTCAGTTATTTCCATGATCCTACAAATCGAGATTCTTTTATTATGGAACAATCAATAATAAATGATATATCCACATAGATTCAGACAATTTTTAATAGAGAAACTGAAAAACAGTGACAGTCAAGGCAAATTACTAACCTGAACAATCAACAGCAATATATTTAGAAGAAAGGGGAATCTAAAATATTTTAAATGTATATCAACTATTTTTAAAATGAGCTACATACTCGCTATCCTTGCCATGATGATAGGTACAGATCTTACAAATATTATGTCAGAAAAACTCCAAATTTCTGTGAGTACTAAATTTCTTCAAACATCAATTCTGTCCATTCTATGAATGTAGTGGTGGTTGTCCTTACCACATAGATTAAGATTCACTTTAAAATTTAGCTTTTTAGTTACACTTAAGTTTCTTTTCCTGCATAAAGTTAAGGTACCTTCAGTGCAACTGCAACATCCACCATGACTATGCTGACACTCTACAAAATCCTGACAAAGCCTCCAAGCGTGGCTTTGTAAACCTCTGTTGCAATGAAAAATAAATCAGAGGTATTAAAACCTTATAAAAGAAAGTCTCTTGTTGCTACAGAAATTTCTGGTTCCTAAAGGCTCAAAGAATGAACTATTTTCTCCGATTTACCTGGGTCCTGTTTTTGCATTAGTGATATTCAGATGATTAAAGGTTTTTGAGAGATAAACGCTTACTATAAGCAGGTAAAGACTCCACGTTCATTCTTATTCTACAGAAGCAGATTGTGAGCACACAAATCCACTCTCGGTTAATTCATTGAGGCAACACGTAATACGTGGTAGTGGTTCACCAGTCAATCAGAATGTTCCTTCCATGCTTTTTCTCTTCTTAAAATGACCATGTGTAACTAAATATTATAGCTTTTTCATCATTCTCTTTGCTTCTAACAGATTCACGTCGAATCATATAATCTAGTCAGTGTTACAGAAGTCATACTTTTCTGATACCAATGTTCAGAATAAAGGAAAAAGTGAGTTATTGGTTTACTATTAAATGTAATCTACAATCTCAATTTTTAAAGAAAAGTATAATGTAGTACTTTTGCTTGTTTTCCTATTTATTATTGGTTCCTGTAAAATGAACATATTACTCTAGGAAAATATAACTTGTGGACCTATTGTAAATACATATATATCTGTTTATGTCCATGTGTATATATGTTTTACTCTGCGTGGACTTCACCACTGCACAATATATGCATGTAAGAAATCTGAACTTGTATATCCTAAATATTAAAAAAGTTTAAATATCACAGTAAATTATATAAAAATATACTTATAATTTGAACTATATTACAGAATTACTATACTGATACTATAGAAACCTACACACACACAAACTTTTCTGAATATCTGGCATGAAAATATCCACAGTAAGTGACACATTGGTATGCCGAAAGAACCAATCATTCACAATGTACATTTTGTTCCTTTTCTGTATGAATATACATATAAAACTTCTTATGCTGCCTAGAGTTCAAATCTACTATATTTACAATAAGGTTTAAAATTCTTAATTACTGTAAAGGGCTTACAAAGGCTGTTCTAGAGTAACATATGGAATTTTAAGAAGATTATATATATTAATTTATGATATTTTTGCCCATATGATCCCATTGGACTAAACAGCTATGTTTCCTTGAAAGAGGAACTATGTAATAATGCCTCACATATTAAATTATTCCCTGTGTCATACTGCTTACTTTGTAACTATAAGCTATATATTAGCCAAAGCCACTAGAAGTTCTTCAGGACTTGCCACCTTTTCACAAAGAGAATGAGATGCGTCTGCCTCTATGTTTCATGTGAACCTTCTAGTGCAGGCTTTATCATTCTGTATTGTATCTGCTTACCTCCCACACTACTCTGTGAGTTTGAGACCAGAGACCATGCATTAGCCATTTTGATCTTCCTAGCAACAGAACTGAGCTGTATTTATTAAACTAATGAATATTAAATGATATTAGCACTTATCACAATCTACTGTGTATTATTATCAGTTCTGTATATGTCTAATGACCACTTTCTCTACCCACTAAAAAATGCTTGAGAAATGAAGAACTGTTGTACACATATATGTATACCTCTTTCCCCAGCACACAAACAAGGTGTTTGGTAAATATTTATTAACTTTTAATTAAGCATGTATAAAGTTAAGGAATTGTAAAAGTACAAACTTCAGAATGTCCTGTTATTTCAATGACTTTCTTTAGACAGTAACAATTACTACCTTGACTTTTTTTTTCTGAGTACAATAGAGAAATTTTGCCCCCAAAGAACATTAGACTTTTGATTCACTTGGCTTGAGTTACCGAGATGAACTTCTTTCTGAATAAAATATTTCTTGTCCTTTCTATGAGAGTGAATTTGAGTGGCCTTGCAAATACACTGGCTAATGCTCTATGTTGAAATCTCAGGAATTCCCCAAATAGACACTAAGGTTTTTGGTATCCAGGGAGGCTTAAGTCTAATATAAGGTATTTCTTAGTACTCACTTTTAATTATTCTGTTGTGACATATTCTTCTAATAATATATATTTCAACTTACTCATGGCATCTACCATCAATATAGTATCTGTATAATTCAAATTTTAAACAGAATTCTATATAATTCACTGTGATATTTAGAAAATGTTTTTAAACAGAGTAATATGGCCAATATGAAATTTCAGAGCGAAAGTTTTAATGTAAAGCTGACCTTTGAAATGTAGGAAGATTATTATTATTACCATTATAGAGTTAAAATAATAGCAATCATTAAATTATTTTAGAATTCATATTGGATGACCAATATGTACTTCCTGAGAATAATAAATACTTCAGTTATTCATACACTGATCCAACATTGTTAGCTATAGTTTAGAATCAAACAAAGCATTTCCTTTAGAGTTCAGAACTCACAAATCATTGTGAACAGGTCAAGCAGATTATAATATACTACATCTGCTCCCGTGGTTGCTCCCTTTTTTAGATAAAATGTCATTCTAACAGTGCTCTCCCTATTCCCACATGAGTTCTTAGACTATTCAGAAAACTCATGGGGAGAAAGATTACTTATTCATGAAAGCAGTGTTTCTTTGGTCATCCTAGATTTGATTGGCACTAGCAGCAACTATGTCTGACTCCAAAGATTTAAATATTCATGAGAGCATAATCACCACATTTAAATATCTAAGCATTAGAAGTTTCAAAGTATTCTCGTTTTGGAATAAATGTAGCCTATTTTACATAGATGAGCTAACATAATGACAAAGTATTACATTCCTGAAAATTTCACTGTTTGGGGGACTACAATATAGAATATTTAGAATTCTGTTAAAACATCCTACCAAAGGTTGCTTAGGTTATTAAAAAATTTGACCTGAAAATTCATAAATAAAAAATGGCTTCTTGAAATAACTGTGTGCATATGCCTCTCTTCAAATGAATTGTCTTCCTGTAATTATACACATAAACTACAGTTTTATGACTGGATCACTATATATAAAATCAAGGGCAACTAAACCATTCTTGGATAATGCTTTCACAAACTGCCTCCCCCAATAGGATGCAGCATGGATGTACATGTGGGGGTTAAGAGTATATATACACAAATATACATGTGTGCACACACACACCCTAGGGGACTTCAAAAAGTTAGAAAAATAGAAATAAAAGATAAAAATTTAAAAATATAAATTTTATTTTTCAAAATAGGTTTAAGACATTTTTGTAAACAATGATACCATTTAGTTTACTCCTAAAAAACTGAAGATGCTCGGAATTTAACCAGGCCAATGAATACTCTTTAAAGACTTTTTAAGATTAGAAAACAAAAAAAGTAAGAAGAGGCCGAAGCAGGACTGTAAGGCGCATACCTAATGATTTTCCATCAAAACTTCTACATCTACAAAATTACCCTTGTTTGATGTGAGGAATGAGCAGGAGCATTGTTGTGGTGGAAAAGGCCTCTCTGGTGCAGGTTTTCTGGATGTTTTTCTGTTAAAGCTTTAGCTAAATTTCTTTAAACACTCTCATAATAAGCAGCTGTTATTGTTCTTTGGCCCTCCAGAAAGTTAACAAGCAAAATGCCTTGAGCATACCCAAAAATTGTTGCTATGACCTTTTCTCTCGACTAATCTGCTTTTGCTTTTTTTTTTCCTTCAACTTTTAAGTTCAGGGGTACATGTGCAGGATGTGCAGGTTTGTTACATAGGTAAACTGTGTGCCATGGTGGTTTGCTGCACAGATCATCCCATCACCTAGGTATTAAGCCCAGTATCCATTAGCTATTCTTCTTGATGCTCTCCCTCCCCCACCATCCACCTCCAACAGGCCCTAGTGTGTGTCGTTCCCCACCATGTGTCCATGTGTTCTCATCATTCAGCTCCCACTTACAAGTAAGAACGTGTGGTGTTTGGTTTTCTGCTCCTGCATTAGTTTGCTGAGGATAATGGTTTCCAACTCTATGTCCCAGCAAAGGACATGATCTCATTCCTTTTCATGGCTGCATAGTATTCCATGGTGTATATGTACCATATTTTCTTTATCCAGTCTATCACTGATGGGCATTTATATTGATTCCATGTCTTTGCTATGGTGAATAGCGCTGCAATGAATATACACAGGCATGTGTCTTTATAACAGGATGATTTATATTCTTTTGGATATATACCCAGTAATGCAATTGCTTGGTTAAATGGCATTTCTTCCTCTAGGTCTTTGAGGATTCTCAACACTGTCTTCCATAGTGGTTGAACTAATTTACACTTTCACCAACAGTGTAAAAGCATTCCTTTTTTTCCATAACCTTGCTAGCATCTATTGTTTTTTTTTTTTTTAACTTTTTAATAATAGCCATCCTGACTGGTGTGAGATGGTATCTCATTGTGGTTTTGATTTGCATTTCTCTAATGATCAGTGATGTTGAACTTTTCTCACATGTTTGTTTCATATGCTTTTGCTTTGACAGGACCAGTTTCAGCTCTTGGTAGCCTTTGCTTTGATTGTGCTAAGTCTGCAGGATCATACTGTTAAAGTTGTATGTCATTTCCTGTTACAATTCTTTAATGAAATGCTTTAAGATCTTGGTCCCACTTGTTTAAATTTTCCATTGAAAGCTCTTCTCTTGTCTCCACTAATCTGGGTTCAATGGTTTTGGCACCTATCAAGTGGAAAGTTTGCTCAACCTTAATTTTTCAGTCAGAATTGTGTAAGCTGAAGCAATTGAGATGTCTATGGTGTTCACTATTGTTTCTGCTGTGAATGGTCAGTCCTCTTGAATCAGGGCATAAAAAAGATTAATTTTCTGCTCTGTGTGGACAGTCTGCTGCAGCGAGCATCATCTTCTCCATTGTCTCATCCCTTCTCAAAATGAGTTTTCCATTTGTAAACTGTTGATTTCTTTGGGGTATTGTCCCCATAAATGTTGTGCAAAACATCAATAATTTCACCATTCTTCCTCTCAAGCATCACCATAAATCTGATTTTTTTTTGAGACACAGCTTCGCTCTTGTTGCCCAGGCTGGAGTTCAATGGCATGATCTCGGCTCACTGCAACCTCTGCCTCCTGGGTTCAAGTGATTCTCCTGCCTCAGCCTCTCTAGTAACTGGGATTACAGATGGCCGCCACCATGCCCAGCTAATTTTTTGTATTTTTAGTAGAGTCAGGGTTTCACTATGTTGGCCAGGCTGGTCTTGAACTCCTGACCTCAGGCGATCTACCCGCCTCAGCCTCCCAAAGTGCTGGGATTACAGGCGTGAGCCACCTCACCCCGCCAGGGCCTCTTTTTAAACTGATGACTTATCCATCTTAGTACCTCAAACTAGATGCTATCTAGACGTGTTTTTAAATGTTAGTATGAGTTTATTTTGGTTCAACAAAATTTGATTTCTCTGAACTGCTTTTCCATAATATGCATTTTCCATGAACTTTTTGAAGACTCTTTGTATATATTTCCATGCACTGTGGTGCCAAAATCTGTACATAACAGACACATCACACTCAACTGAAATATTATATAATGTCGGTCTCTCTGGTTTCCAATTTATCACTGTGCAATAATAACTTTTATAGATTATAGGACATCATTTGACTGTGAACCTAAACTCAACTTTAGATTTTAATGAGAAAACTCCAATTGAATTCATTATTTAAAACATGCAATAATACAACATCCAAAATGTTAAATTTCTGCATTTATTTAGTTTATGAGAGAAATGTATTTTTAAAAATAGCTTTGTAGACTTATAATTGACATACAAATGTAAATGCCACACATATTTAATAGGTAGAATTTTATAAGTTTTAGCTTATGTATACACCCAGGAAATCATCGCTACAATCAAAATAAGGAATATATCCATCACACCTAAAAGTTTCCTCATGCTCCTTAGTAATCTGTCTCTTCAAACTTTACCTTCACTGTCTTTAGGCAACCACCGATCTGTTGTTTGTCACTACAGATTAGTTTGCAGTTTCTAGAATTTCATACACATGGAATCACACAATGTGCATTCTCTTTTGGTTTGGCTTCTTTCACTCAGCATGAGATTCATACATGCTGTCGCAGGCTAACAATAGTTAATTCCTTTTTATTACTGAGTTATATTCCATTCTATAGTTAAACCACCATTTAAAACATCAATTCACCTCCATAAATATTTGGGTTGCTTCTAGTTTTTATCTATTAAGAACAAAGCTGCTATGTTCATTCATGTACAACTCTGGATAGACATATGCTTTCGTTTCTCTTGGGTCAATACATAGGTCTTGAATGGCTAAGTTATATGGTAAGTTCATTTTTAACTTTTCCAGGAACTGCCTTAAGAGACTGTTTTCTATTGTGGCTGTACTATTTTATATCCGCACAAAGAGTTGGTCCCTATGGGCTATCTGTATATTTATTAAGACAGAAGCATCTTTTCACTGTGCAATATATACGATATATGGTGAGGTCATTTTATAAGAACTGGAACATAAGTTGACTATTCTAAACAATGATAAAAGTAGATTTTTTTCTTCCCTCTCACAAGTAACAGCTTATAATGAAGGAAAATATAAAAATAAGAACAACTAACAATTTTTGAGTGCTTACCATGTGTCTGCTTGTATTCTAAGTTGGTAATATGTATTATATCATAGAAGTACCTACAACAACCCTATGTAAGTAGGTTCTAAAACTGAATCAATCTAAAAGGTGAAGAAGCTGAGGAGACAAGTAAGTTTCCCATAGTCACAAAACTAATAAGTGACAAAGCCAGTCTTTGGCATGATCTGGCAGTTTAAGCCCAAGGGATCAGCTCTTAATTACAATATGACACTCCCCTCCACCATCTACACATTACTAAATACTTGCAAATTATTTATTTATTTTTTGAATACACATTAGATCTTATTTAGAGATTACATCAATCACTAAAATCGATATTTGAATTTTATTTACAAAAATTAGAGATCATGTTAATAACTGCAACTCTATATGTTTGTGACTTTAAAAATATGAATGTATAAGCAGAATTAAAAACCAAAGCCATATGATCATCTCAAGAGACATGGAAAAAGCTTTCGATGAAATTCAACATCCCTTCATGATAAAAACCCTCCGGAAACCAGGCATCAAAGGAACATACTTCAAAATAATGAGACATCTATGACAAACCTACAGTCAACATCATACTAAACTGTCAAAAGCTGGAACCATTTGCCTTGAGAACTAGAACAAGACAAGGATGCCCACTCCTACCACACCTGTTCAGCATAGTACTGGAAGTGCTAGCCAGAGCAACAAGGCAAGAGATCAAAATAAAGGCATTCAAATAGGAAAAGAAGAAGTCAAACTGTCTCTTTCACTGATGATATGGTCCTCTACCTAGAAGACTCTGCCAAAAGGCCCCTGAAACTGATAAATGACTTCAGTAAAGCTTCAGTATACAAAAGCAATGTACAAAAATTTGTAGCATTTCTATACACCAATATCATTCAAACTGAGAGCCAAATCAAGAATGCAATCCCATTTACTATAGCTACACATAAATAAAAATACCTAAGAATACATCTAACCAAGGAGGTAAAATATCTTTACAAGGAGAACTACAAAACACTGCTGTAAAATATCATAGATGATACAAACAAATGGAAAAACATCCCATACTCATGGATTGGAAGAATCAATATTGTTAAAATGGCCATACTGCCCAAAGCAATGTATAGATTCAATGCTATTCCTATCAAATGAACAATGTCACTTTTCACTGAATGAGAAAAAACTATTCCAGAATTTATATGGAACCAAAAAGAGCCTGAATAGCCAAAGCAAAACTAAGGAAAAAGAACAAAGCCAGACACATCACTTTACCTGATTTGAAACCATACTACAAGGCTACAGTAATCAAAACAGCACGGTACTGGTACAAAAAGAGACACACAGACCAATGGAACAGAATAGAAAACTCAGAAATAAAGTCACATGCCTACAGCAATCTGATCATCAACAAAGTCGGCATAAATAAAAGAGAAAGGACCCCCATTCAACCAATGGTGTTGGGACAGCTGGCCAACCATATGCAAAAGAAAGAAACTGGACCCTTAGCTTTCACCATATATGAAAATTAACTCAAGATGGATTAGAGATTTAAATGTAAGACCTCAAACTTTATGTATAGGTAATTTCTTTTTTTTCCAACTTTTACTTTTGGTTCATGGGGTACATGTGCAGGTTTGTTACATGAGTAAATTGTGTGCCACTGGGATTTGGTGTACAAATGATTTTATCACCTAGGTAGTGAGCATAGTACCCAATAGACAGGTTTTTTACTCTCATCCTCCTACCACCCTACCCCCTCAAGAAGGAGCTCGTGTTTATTGTTCCCATCTTTTTGTCTATGTGTACCCAATGTTTAGCAACCACTTACAAGTGAGAACATGCGGTATTTGCTTTTTTGTTCCTGCATTAGTTTGCTTTGGCTAATGGCTTCCAGCCACATCTACGTTGCTGCAGAGGACATGATTTCATTCTTTTTTGTGGCTATGTAGTATGAAATCATGACCATTGCAGCAACATGGATGCAGCTGGAAGCCATTATCCTAAGCAAACTAATGCAGGAACAGAAAGCCAAAAACAGCATGTTCTCACTTTTAAGTGGGAGCTAAACATTAGGTACTCATGAGCATAAAGATGGAAAGAATAGAAACTGGGGACTATTGTGGGGGGAGGGAGGAAGGGAAGTAAGGGTTGAAACTAACTATTGGGTACAATGCTCAGTACCTGAGTGATGAGATCATTCTTACTCCAAGCTGCAGCATCATACAATATACCCAGGTAAAAAACCTGCACATGTACACATGAATCTAAAACAAGAGCTGAAAAAAATAAAGTGAATAAATAAAAGAATCATTGAAAAAGAAAAATTGACATTTTAAAAAACTGTACTTTTAATTGAAAAATAATTTTATGTATTTGTTGGGTACAATGTAATATTATGATATATGTTTATGTTATAAAATGATTAAATCAAGCTAATTAACAAATTCAAAAAATAAAGGTACAAAAATTATCTGGCCCGGGCCACGCGCGGTGGCTCACGCCTGTAATCCCAACACTTTGGGAGGCCGAGGCGGGCAGATCACGAGGTCAGGAGATCGAGACCATCTTGGCTAACACACGGTGAAACTCCATCTCTACTAAAAATACAAAAAAATAGCCAAGCGTGGTGGCGGGCGCCTGTAGTCCCAGCTACCCTACTCGGGAGGCTGAGGCAGGAGAATGGTGTGAACCCGGGAGGCGGAGCTTGCAGTGAGCCGAGATCACGCCACTGCACTCCAGCCTGGGCGATAGAGTGAGACTCCGTCTCAATAAAAAAAAAAAAAAAATTATCCGGGCCTGGTGCTGCACACCTGTAATCTCAGCTACTCAGGAGGCTGAGGCAGGAGACTCGCTTGAACCCAGAAGGGAGAGATTGTAGTGAGCTGAGATTGTGCCACAGCACTTCCGCCTGGGCAACAGAGTGAGAAGCTGTCTCAAATAATAATAATACTAAAAAAGTACATTTAATTTTCTACCATTCTGAATATATCAAATGTCTGCGTTAAAAAATAAAATATGAATGTAATACATTCAAATAAAGTATGATTAAATAAATTTGCAAAAACTATCAAAGCACAACTATTGGGGAGAAATAAAGAAATACATAATTAGTGAGATGTTCTAGTGAGTAGACATTTTAAAAGATGATAATGATAGGTAAATATTCATAATAGTTCAACAGTCCAAACATACTTGCTGGAATCATATACTAAAATTAATATTTTTCACTTTTGCTTAATCACCTGTTGTCATTTTTTACTTAGCATGTCCCCTCCATTTTAAAATCTCATGATAGCCTTCAGATTAAATATTTTAGAATAATTGTAATTTATACTACAAAGCCATGAAATCTCTCCAGATTACTTTATGATTCTGGCCAATTTCCAAAAAACTGAACTCATGGTTTTATCAATGTTATCCAGCTTTATTTTTACTTTTTTGGGGAAAGGGTTTGCTGATCTCTATATTCTACCATAACCAGAAGTTCTGCCTTCAAAAATGTATTTTTTAACAGACATTTAACTGTCACATTATGTTCTGACTTAACTCATTGTTTAATAATATTCTTTCTCAGCATAAAAAATGTTAAAGAACATCATATAAGTCCTCAGATTATAAACTCCTAAACAATTCTGGTCTTCATACCTCCTATAAGTTTTCATATATAACGTGTATGTGACTCTAATCATTTTATCTTAGTATTACTGGCAACAGGAATAAAAATCATCTAACTCCTTCTCTCTAACAACTATAGCAAAATTCAAATTTCCTTTCTTATTACTTTTACAATTCATGTATATTTTTACTCTACTAGAAAATTTGCCTGTAATCCTGACTGCATTAAAGAGTGTACAATTCACAAATGTTGAATATAATTTCCAGGTCTTTACCTAAAAGAACTTTTACAGGTAGAGTATAATTCTTTAGTAAAACACATACCAATTGCTACATGCAGAGTCAAATTCCAAATTTTGAAACACCTTACATAAAACATTTTCTAAAGCAGCAAAATTAATGGCCTTCTTTTAAAACTGCCTCCCAAATGCTTGCTATATATTTTATTACTATTAACAATGAATGAATATATGCATTTTATAAATATATAAATGATATAAATTTAAAGTTTAAAGTATACAAAATTGAGCCCCCAGCTGTCACTGCCAGATTTTCAAAGCCAGTTAGAAGTAGATTCTAGATATCTTCCTGTTTCCAGGAAACAAACAGCATACTTGAGTTGGGAAATTTGAGGAATATTTAATAACACACACACACACACACACACACACACACACACACACACACACACATATATATAAACACACACAAATGTGGGCAAGACAAAGCTAAAGGATGGAACGGATACCAGAACCCAGAGATTGAGGGCAAGATGGATAAAGAGGGCTTTCTGACAGGAGGTGTGGGATTTTTTTTTTTTTTTTCCAGACGGCGTTTTGCTCTTGTTGCCCATGTTGGAGTGCAATGGCGCCATCTCAGCTCACTGCAACCTCTCTCTTACAGGTTCAGGTGATTCTCCTGCCTCAGCCTCCCAAGTAGCTGGGATTACAGGCACCTGCCACCATGCCCGGCTAATTTTTGTATGTTTAGCAGAGACAGGGTTTTACCATGTTGGCCAGGCTGGTCTCGAACTCCTGACCTCAGGTGATCGCCCGCCTCAGCCTCCCAAAGTGCTGGGATGAAGGTGTGGTAAATCTGTTCTCCAGTTCACCTCAAGAATCACTTACAAAAATGTAACAAGAAGAACAAAGACCCCTCCACCCAATTCTCCCCCTTTCATTAATTTTCTGGTGTTCCTCACTGGCCACACCCAGCTGGCAGGAGGACAGGAAGCCCATTGATGCATTCTTTACAGATCCCCCTCCCATGGCATAGAGCATGTTCTGGAAGGTGGATGTAGATCTGGGGAGATACACTAAGATAGCCAGCATATTGGTTTTAAGACTATAAATTAAACCTTTTCTCTCTCTTTTTGCACATATATGTTTATAAGTAAGATCTATTTAGAAGAGTATATTGTAGTAAATTCATTTGGTAGATTATAGTCTTTTTACAAGATTTTATATTAGCAAATTAGATTTATCAGAAGGCCAATGTCAAGACACATGAATATTTTTACATGTTCATTTTATTCTAGGTGTATAATTTTAGAACCAGAAGTGAAAGTTTGATGGTTAAGAACCATGCTAAAGAGTATCTGGCCTTTTATTATGACTTTCTCATATTAATTTTAGGTACATATTTAAAACATTTTAATTAAGACACGTCTTTACTCGCAAACACAGACAAACCATAATGGGGAAAAATTGGGGTCATTTTTCCCTAGTCAATAGGTTTTAAAAGTGGCAGCTACTCGAATAATGTTCAAACATCTTTCTTGCTGCTAAAAGTTTACTCTTTTTAAAAGAACCGATAAAACGTGACACAGAAGACTTGTTTTTCAAGGGCCTTGAAGGAAAATATACTCATTCTTGTCACTATTTGATTTCCAATAATTTCAAATCAGAGGAAAAAAAACCTAATTCTAATCTCATATATTCTATGCTAATATAGTCATTATGCATTCAACTTCACTTAACGGAATGCTGTATATATAAAATGACCCATTGTACCTTTGGTGCTTTAATCACAGTAGTTTCACAACACTCCTTATCATTGTCAAACCTGAGGGAAATTTTTACAACAGTATTTTTTTGAAAAACATCTAACGTACCAATAATAATGAATTAGTAGATCATGTGAGTAAATGTATCACTTTTGTTTAATTAGTTCTAAGATGTTTGGCCTGCCAAGTTTCTTAACTGCATGCTAGTCATAATTTTTAAGTTGGTTTTCTCTATATTAACAGAAAGGGCTTGAAAATTCCATTGATTTCAGACAGACCATATTAATTCATAGTTCAATGCACTATTTATAGCTCTATTTGCTATACCCTTAAACAAGCTCAAAATGCCAAATGGGAACCATTAAACAACATGATTTGGCTCACTTCAGTGTTTCCACAGATTAACAAGACTGTCTGTACCTGTCACTATCATGAGGAGTGGCCACCACAGGATTTGTTTTACTTTTTAATTTTTGAGACAGGGTCTCACTCTGTCACCCAGCTGGAGGGCAGTGGCACAATCAAGCCTCAAAACAGCCTCAAACTCCGGGGCTCAAGTGGTCCTTCCACCTCAGCCTCCCAAAGCACTGGGATTACAGGTGTGAGACACTGTGCCTGGCTTACCACAGAATTTGATTAGGAATATTTTCTTCAGGTTTGGTATATAGCCGATGAAATTTGTAAGAATTCTCCCAAATATGTGAACTAAAATTAAAAATGTGTTTATTAGTAGTACCTCCTGGATTATTTCTTCCCTCTATGCAGTATTCCTGGTGTTTCTACTAAATACTCAAAGATAACTTATTTTCTACTAATGTTCACATTCATAAGACTTGGACCAGTTTCCTTATGTGTTCACTGCCTACGAAAATTACTTTTCTCCGTATAAACTCAGTGTAAGAGACAGAGTGCATTTCATCTGTCAAGTCCTTTACCTACTCTGGCTAAATTTTGGCATTTGCAGAGGATCTCAAACTACATTTTTGTCTCTTTCTACTTTGTTAGAGTATACACATGAAACTAGTACGTTTTCCATAAATTTGATTTCTAAAACCTGCTATGATTTTAAAATATCTGTTCAAAAATATTTTATAAGCATATGCATTTTTACTTGCAAGTATGATAATATGCATTCATCATAACCATTTATTAAATCAACTGTATCTTCATCTTTTTTTTTTCTAGACAGTCTCACTCTGTGGCCTAGGCTGGAGTATAGTGCTGGAATGTAGTGGTGCGATTTGGGCTTACTGCAACCTCTGCCTCCTGGGTTCAAGTGATTCTCCTGCCTCAGTTTCCCAAGTAGCTGGGACGACAGGTACACACCACCACATCTGGCTAATTTTTGTAGTTTTAGTAGAGACGGGGTTCTGCCATGTTGGCCGGGTTGGTCTCAAACTCCTGACTTCAGGTGATCCAGCTGCCTTGGCTGCCCAAAGTGCTGGGATTACAGGTGTGAGCCACCACACCCAGCCTAAATCAACTATTTCTTATATACATAACGTAAATTCTTATTTCACAGTATACAGTTTTGTTTTTCCCATTTACCAAATTAATAGGTGTTATAAGTCCTATGATCTATAATACTGTCACATTAGCATATAAGTAATCAGCTTCCTGTCAGGTATAGTTTCATTTTCAATTAACTGAACAAAATAACACTTACTTAAGCTGTGGAACTGAATCAAATTGCCATAGTTCCAATCTACATTGAGCTTTATGCAAATATATTGGGTAAAATTTGAGAAAAACACAGATCTCTTTGAAAGCATTTCCCCTTTATGTCTGTGGCATATCATGTACCAAGTTATGCAAAACAGAATCTCAGAAATCACCTTCGGTGGCTTCCCTGTGCCCCTTCATTTACATCCTATAAAAATATAAGTTCCACTAACTTAATTGTCTAAATATTCCTCAAACGTGTCCTAATCACTGCAACCATAAAACCCTTCCCTTGTTTAAATGTTTGTAGGTACTTGGCACCTGATGTCCCTCCCCTCATTAAAATCTGTCAAGATCTACCTATTCATGAGTAAATAAAGTTAAACTCTAGTAAATCGGGCTAGATGATACGACCCCTACCTACCTTTCCAACTGTAGCTCCACCATCACATACCCACTTGCAGTATGTACATGGAAGAGTCTATGCTATTTCCCACTGTTGTTTTGCACATAGCAAGCATATTTTATGCCTGGAATGCCTTTCTTCACTTCCTTATTTTCCCAGGAAACTCCTTTTTAACACCTACCCTGTCCCCCCTCCTTCCTATAATTATATTTATTATTCTCCTAGGCAAAGTTGATTTTTTTCCCTTGTTTGTATTCAGTGTGTACATTTTCTTGTACATTGCACTCAGTCAGTATTCCAATTAACCCTTCACTCTATGAGATCGTGTGTGTGTGTGTGTGTGTGTGTGTACACACATAACTGGTTGATTTCCTTAAATTTCAATGAATTATTTGGTGATGTACAAAAGCAGCTTATGTTTGTATTTTTATAATGGTACTATCCCCACCCCCACAAAAAAAGAAAAATAAAAGTGTTATCACTATGATATTTTTGGTAGTTTTAATCAGTCTTCCACCTTCACTTCTCATCTTTTACCAACACAAGTTGCTTTCAATATTTCAATTGAAATCTATTGTTTTATCCTACCATTGGCAGAATTTTCCCAACAATATGTAAATTTAAAATATGACTACTTTTTAAAACTCTTAAGTAAAAACAAAAATACATTTTAAAAGCTAATGGTATTCAATAAATTTCCCCTTTAGTCTTTTTTTTTTTAATTTTGGCTTTAAAAAAACATACATATAGAAAAGTATATAAATCCCAAGCTTACTGAATTATCACAACATGAACAGGCCTGTGTAACCATCAATAGGTCAAGAAATATTACCAGTACTTAGAAGCACCTTTCCTGCCTCATCCAAAACACTGGCCTTCCCTCCTTCCAGCAGTAATTACCACCTTGATTTCTAATCTCACAGATTTGAACTTTATAACTTTATAAAAATAGATTTATATAATAAGTATTCCTTTGGGTCTAACTTCTTTTGATTATGATTATAAGCTTCATCCATGTTATAGCATGTAGTTTTGTTCTATCATTTTCATGATAAAATAGTTCTTGGGGCCTGGCATGGTGGCTCATGCCTGTAATACCAACACTTTGGGAGGCTAAGGTGGGCAGATCACAAGGTCAGGAGTTCGAGAGCAGCATGGCCAACATGGTGAAACCCCGTTTCTACTAAAAAGATACAAAAAAAAATTAGCCGGACATAGTGGCATGCACCTGTAATCCCAGCTACTCGGGAGGCTGAGGCAGGAGAATTGCTTGAACTCGGCGGGGGAGGTTGCAGTGAGCTGAGATCACACCACTGCACTCCAGCCTGGGCAACGAAGCCAGACTCCGTTAAAAAAAAAAAAAAAAAAAGTTCTTCATTGTGTGAATTTACCACAATTTCTTATCCATTCTACTATTGATAGACATTTAAATTGCTTCAGTTTGGTAATATGAAGAATAACGTTTCTAAATGCATTGCTTTAATATCTGATGATCTCAGAATGAATTTGCAACTAATGTCACTTTGAATAAATTTGCTCATTTTCCATCAATTAAAATATTTTTTCTTTCTTTTAAATGAACTTTTAGAAGGTCAAATCTTTAAAAAATATACTTATTTAACCTTATTTTCCTAAGTAGTTTAGTAAAAACTAAAATCCACTAAGATTATATTTAAATGTGAAAAATGAATGTATCTACCAGAAAGTATTCACTCATTCCAGCTCTACAAAGACCACCATTTTTTTTCCTCTGTGAAAATCCACACAATTAAAAACAGGGTCAGTGTGAATAAAGACATGAGTCACCATGACGGATATGTGGCCTTATAATTATACTAGAAGACTTGGGCTATCTAGACACTGTGTCACTGATTACTTGTGTAATTATGCAGTAATTTCCTACCTTCTATGCATCATATTTATGTGCCAAGTAATCTCCCAAAGACACTTTCCAGCTCTCGTATTCTAAGACTTTTTTTCTCATTAAGTGAGGGTGTCTTTTGTATCAGAGAAAACTGAAAAATTAATACTGTATGTAAGATTTTTCAAAAAAATATTTTGATTACAATAAAACTTATGAATTTGTTCTCTCATAGGTTATGTTTTATTTTGTAGAGCATGCAATGTATAGTATGTCATGTGTGACACTGTTGTTAAGGAGAAAACCTTCCAGGGTAAATGAAGATAAATGTGTATTTCTCACATGAGAAAAGTGGAAAGAAAGGTGAGAGTAATAGATGAATTTAGGAGGCACTGTGCCAGGCAGAAACTATGACAAGTCAAAGACAATATGAAGAAAGGATGGAAAAAGCATGAAAAGATCACCTGAAGATCACACTCTGAAAAAAAAAAAAGAGCAATAACTATTTATCACACATCATGCTATGTCCCCAGGATACTGAGAAATAGTCTCCTTTTTGGAAAAAAAAAAAAAAGAGTTATACTTCTCTAAGAAGATAAACTTGTAAAAAGAGAACTACCACAAAATTGTATAATTGCTCTTCATAAGAGAGATATAATCAGTGTCTTTAAGATTAGTTCAAAAGAAAAAAATAAGGAATACCTGAGTAGCTGTGTTCATACACATTCTCTGGGCTGATGGAATAGCAGCATGCTGTATTGTGAGTGGTATGATACTGGTAAGAAAAATTGGGATAGAAAATCTTTTTTGTAGAATAAAAGGAAATTATCAGAGTCTATAATATAGACTAGTCTTCTAAAATTACTCAATTCCATTAAGCAAATTGTTATTGATTACCTGTTGTGTGGAAGGCACAGAGATAACTGTAATAATACAAAGGTAAACAAGACATAAGACCTGTATTCAAGGAGCATAGAATTCAATAAAAGAGCATCAGAGAGCAATGGAGAATAAAGAGAGCATCTAAGGGACTTCTAGGGTGGAAATGAGAGAGAAAAAGAATAGTAATTTGCAAGACAAAAAGAAAGGATGTAAATGAAAATTCGTATAAGCTTCAACCAGACTATGCCTTTCTCCCATGGTGCCACCTAATCCTTTTTCTAGTCAAAATAACACTCCATAATAGGAAGGATGCCATGCAGTATCCGGTAAAAACATTGGCGGAGGATGGAGATTAATTTCTCCCCACTACTTTACTATATCATCGGGAGATTCAGGAAATGTTCTGTCTTTGATAAAGGCAAGGTTTTCAGGATCAGAACTAACCAACACACTAATTTCTGCTATCTTGTAGCAAGCAGCAGACTCTTTCCTTAAGAGCAGCAGACTCTTAAAATTACCAGTGGCTTACAAGGAATCTAATTTCCACAGGTACTCTGGAGGAGCCGGGGAATGCTGTGGGATTGCTGGAACTTTAAAGTTAGTGACTCTTCATTCACTTCTTTGAGGTTGAAAACAGGCCTTGTTGAATTATATTTGAAAAGGCATTGAATACTGACTATATAGATAACAAAGCAACTATCCTTAGAACAAATACCTATGCGCAAGAAGTTGTATTTTATTTAAGTAAGTAGTCTAAGATATGATTAGTATTACGGGGTAAAAACATTGTAAGCAGTTTATCAGAATGGACCTTACCAGGTGAAGCTGGTCTGAAAAGGATTATACAAGAAGATGCATTTAAAGTACATCTTGATGGAAATGAATGTTGAACTTCAAAAGGATAAGAGATATTTACATTAGCGATAACAAAAAGAGGGAGCATATACAATCTTTGGAGGTGGGGTCAGAATAAAAAAGATTTTGAAAAGCAAGAAAATAAACTGCTGGGGTTAAAATAAAAGACACAGGAAAATGAAGAGGTTGTATTACCTCAAAAAGCATACAGTGCCTGGAGCCTAAATTAACTCAGGGATTGGGCTAGCATAAACACAAGACGACAGGGTGAATAGAACAGAGGGAAGGACAAATCCATACGATATTCTGACAAAGAAATCAGTAAGCATGATTTGCTTGCTTGATATGAAGGAAAAATAAGAGGCAAGATTAAGTAGAGTCAGACTTTGTTTCTGGATTAATAAAAGTATAGATACATTCTGTGTGTGTGAGTGTGTGTGTAGGCGGGAAGAAGATGGGGAAAGAAGAAAGAGAGGGAGTAGAGGATGTTTGAAGTTGAGACTATGGGACATGAGAAGATTATTCTCTTTTCTTCCTCTTTCTTCCCAATTGCAGAGAGCTCATAATTATGAACATGTCATGTTGTAGAGCTCTAACAGCCTGTTTCCTTCTACGTGGCTGAAAAGTCAAGTTCATTATGTCTGTAGGGACTTGGAAAGCTCACAAATAACAGTGGTCATTAATCACCCTGCCTAAATTCCTGAGCTAGAGACAGGAAGGTATGGAAAAGTGTGAAATTCTAGGCTTTCTCTAACGTTATTTTAACTTACTTTTTGACAGATAAGTTCAGGCCCTAGTTTATACTCCGCTGTTGAAAGAAGGCTTGGAATAGCACCTGCTTTGTCCTCCACACCATAAATCTCAACAGCAAGAACACTGCATGTTTCACACACAACAGAAAAGATACATCATAGCCATTAACCTTCCCCTTAGTTGCTGATAAAGTAAAATAGGCCCATTCTTTATGGAAACACTCATGTATCTGTTCAGATAAATATTCCTCTCTTTGCAATAAAACCTATCATTTTATAACCCCAAGACTGTCTTTGCAAAAGCATTGAGTTTCAATTTAAAATCAATACGATGGGAATGCAAAATAACATTTTAACGGCAAAAGCAGAACAGTTAATTACATTTAAACATATTATCACATATAGAAGGTGAAAGTTCTCTCTCAGTCTCCCTCTCCACCCCACCTCCCTCTCCATAAACATGAAAGAATTAAATGCAGGATTCCCATTAATATGTTGAGAGAGATTTGTGATGACATATTGAAGAAGGAGAATTGTAGCTGTCAAATGACCAAAGCTGGCAGAAATAATCCTCCTTTGCAGTCCTTTTGAATCTGAGAATTGTGTTGAAGTTCACTTTCTCTTTTGGAAGAGTGCCATTTTTTTTTTCCTGAATAGTCTCAGTTGTTATTTCTAATACTGGACAGAAAAGGCCCACTCAGAGGTGAAAACTTTTTTTTTTAAGGCAATTAAACCATCCTGAGCTAAAAAAAATAAATAAATAACATTGGCTTATTTGTGTTTTTTGTCAACTTGGTTCAACAGAAATGGTTTAACTTCTCTAAGTACAACAGACTTTGCAAACACCCAATGGAGAGAGAACACTTGCCTGGGAAAAGTCGTCCCTGGACAAGCCCAGCTGCACTGAGGGAAAAGGGGATTTTTCTGCCATGACAACTCTTTCATTGCAGAGACCAGCTGCTTTAGCCAAACTAATCATAAACCTTTGTAGAATGGTCTGCACACCATCTGGTTCCCTTCAATGTCTTGGAGACTCCTTCAAAACTGGCTTTAAAAGTGAATATGTGAATATTTTCCCTTGAATACCAGGTGTATTTACTATTGCCTGGAATAAATCTGGTTGTGGGGGTGGGGGGAACATGGGATCTTGGAAGGAACTCAACATTTTCAGAAATAGACTGAGAAACTGAAATTTGTTAACATAGCCAAGATCTTGGTTTTGTCATCATTTCCTGTTTATCTTAATAATAACTGGACATGTCTATGGTTATCCATTTGCAAATAAAGTAGGTTATTCCATTCTCTGGCTTGGCTCAGTCCTCCCTTTAGGATTTATATAGTATGCTGCATAAATTAAGTATGCCAGTATGCCAAAAAGATGATTTTCTCTTTTTGAGGCCATATAAGATTAAATGATAAACATGACAGGGGACAACATCTCCATCAGATATCCTAAGTGTCATTTTGAAACACATTTCATTTAAACTGTGGAAACAGAAAACTCACTTCAGCTCTGGAAAACTATACACTGAATATCACCAACATAGAGTTATCTTACTAATAAGCATATCCATATGTGCACCTTCTGATTTAATACTTTTCTTAAGAATATGATTTAATAAAATTCCTCTTCAAAGCACTCTGGTAGTTTACAACAAAACAAGTTCATATCCAATAAATTAATATTACACCACAAATGCATCAGGTTTTTGGCAGTTTTTTCATGTATGTTTTTTAGAGATGAATGTTCTCAGAGAGAAGGGTATAAAAGTGCCTGCTTTTGTACAACTTCTTCCACACTACCCTGAACCAATAGGCACTTGACATCAATGTTCTGATGTCATAAAGATGTCCTATCTGCGCACTGGGTAAGTCCATGATCCCTGGAAAATACATTTAAACTGAAACCATGGGGTGGTTGAGTTTTTCATGTAATACATTCATTGTTAACTTAAGAATGAGTCTTTTCACTATTATAATTCAATAATTTTAAAAGCCAGTTTAAAAATTGGCAACAGATTTGAATATATATTTCTTTAAAAATACACAAATGGCCAATAATCACACAAAAAGATGCTCAGAATTATCAGCAATCAGGGAAATGCAAATCATAATCACAATGAGTTACCATATCACACATCCTATGACGGCTACAATCAGATTGTGAAAAAGCTCTGGAACTAGATAATGGTGATGGTTGCACAACGTTGTGAATGTACTTAAGGCCACTTAATTGTACACGTAAAATGGTACATTTTATGTTCAGTGTATTGTATCACACACACACACACACACAAAATAACAATTGTTGGTGGAGATCAACAGAGAAATCAGAACCCTAATACACTGCTGTTTGGAATGTTAACAGTGCAGCCACTTTAGAAAACATTCTGGCAGTACCTCAAAAGATTAAACATAGAATTATCATATGACCCAGGAATTCCATTCCTAGGAACATACCCAAAAGAAGTGCCCATACAAAGACTTGTACAAAAAATTTTATGGCAACATTATTCGTAATAGCCCAAAATAGAAACTACCCAAATGATCATCAAATGATTAGTGGATAAATAAAATGTTCTAAATCCATATAATGGACGATGTGTGGAAATCAAAAGAAATGAAGTACCGATAGATGCCATAACATGGGTGAACCTTAAAAACATTACATTACATGAAAGAAGCCAGTCACAAAGGACACATATGACTGGATTTCATTTATATTAACTGTCCAGACTAAGCATATCCATAAAGACAGAAAGTCGACTGGTAGTTGCCCAGGACTGAGGAAGGGAGGGGTTGTATTTGGAGGAAAATGAAGACTGTCTGCTAATGGGCATGGGGTTTCTTTTTGGAATGATGAAAATGTTCTAAAATTAATTTTGGTAAAGGTTGCACAACACCGTGAATATCCTGTAATCCACTGCATCTTAAATTTTGCATGGGTAAATTATATAGTATGTAAATTATATCTCAATAAAGCTGTCTTTTTTTTTTTTAAGAATGAGCCTTTTCTGGTTCATAGAAGTTGGTAAATATTGTGTGGAAGTTTGCATTAACGCAAAGGAAGCTTTTGGGGGATGCCTCGGCTATACTGATTTCCCCCAAAGTTAGCCTTCTAAGTTGACATTCTTTCTTTTTGCCACTACCCCTTTCTTAATGTTGCAAACCTGAGAAGAGAAAGAAGATCAAAGTAGAAAGACAGGAAATTGCCAGGTGCATTAAGAAGACTAATAGCAGAATCATTTGCTTGGCATTGAGGTGTTTTTGGAGAACCTCAGATCTGTCACTAAATCCTTATGCTAATGACTGGGAATTTATAATACCTCTACAGCAATAATATGAATATTAGTTCAGAGATCCTAAATGAAAACCTCAAAGAAGACATTTTTATCATTTGATGATCAATGCAAAACAATCTCTAGCAAAGTAATTTCTCCTAATTTTCCTCCTTTTCTTCTACCTCTTATTTCCAAGTTAATATATGGGTCTTTTAAGTATGATTCCTCAATCTGTTCTAGGGTAGATCTATTGTTCCTCTCCCTAGCGCTTACTTAATGCCTAAGCCTTGTTATTTGCAAACAAAAAATAATCTTTCCTGCTAAAAAGAGATTAGTGAAGATGAGAAAAAGAACAGGTTTTCTTATTTTAAAACATATTTTATTGAAGAATTGAAAATATATTCACATTTATAGGTATATCTATAGCCTTGTTCTCATTTTCAAAATATTTTTTAAAATAAATATATAATAGCTGACATTATTGCCCCCTACATTTGATAGGAAAACAAAGGACACATAATGGCTTGATGACTATGTAAGATCACATTCACATTCAGAACTTAGTACTTATATATTATTTACAGTGTTTAGTAGTCAATTCCCAATCAAAGGCTTCGAAGATAACCCAAACTAACATAACACAGCTTCATGCATTTCCTTATTTCACCACATAATAACATGAACTAGAAATCATCTTAAATACAGTCTTCTGCATTTTGTAAAAATAAGTACTGCTGAAGGCATATAATTTGCTTTAAGAAAGAAAAAAGTCCTCTACTATGATCACTCTTCTATAAGAGTAATATTTTAATTAAATTTGCCATATGCTTAAGTCCTCATTCTTTTAATAATGTCAATGCAATTAAGCTGCATTTGATATTTCAGATTTTTCATTGAAATAAAATTATTCTGATCCAAATTCTCACGAGAATTGAGAAAATCACTCTTCACTGCATTTAAACCTATCAGGAACTTATTCCTGTATATCAATTCCTTGGCAACAACAACAAACACAAAAAACCCTGAAATATAACTTCTTAATTTGATACAACATTTGCTATTCAGAGGTATGGGCCTCTCATGTGATCTATGATCTCTTAGATCCTACCAGCCACTGGAATCTCTACTTGGAAGTCTAAAGGGCATATCAAATTTATCAGGTCCAAAATGACCTCCCAAACATGCCCACAATCCAGACCCACTCTTTCGGCTGTCTTCTCCATTTCGATAAATGGCAATGCCATCCTTCCAGTCATTCCGGCAATCACAGGGTCGTCTTTGAAATAAGCATACAAAGCTTCCTATATCTGCCTATTCCCCCACTTTTATGACCTCTCTTCTTAGCACTTTGTAACTCCATCCCTTAACTCTTAATCAAAGAGGTCTTTCCAAATGACCTTATTTTAAGTTAAAACCCCCTCCAGACCCAAACCCTTCCTTTCTCATATTATCAATGCTCCTTATTGGCTTCAATTTGGTCCATATCCTTGGTATTAACTGGCTTAATAGTCATTTTACTTCTTGTTTAAACTGTCTATTTCACCCACATATCATACTTTTTTTTTTCTTAAAATGCCTCATTCTAGAATGTACCAGAATGAAAGCTCTATCAGGGCAGAGATTTCAGCCTATTTGTTCAGTGTTATATTTCCAGTGATGAAAAGAGTACCTGGTACAAAGTAGCCACTCCACAAGTATTTGTTGAATAAAATAATAAACTACATAAGGATATAAAATTTAGAAGAGCAAATTAAGAGTGCTTGTTGGTATTGTTTAATTATTTTATTTAATATATGGCACAATTTAATGTTCTAAAGCTGCATTCAACTAAAAAATCGGGAAAAATATGAGAACACTCAAGTGAGTTAATTTATTTACAGACAATATGGCATTCATCAAGTTAAATTCGTCACTACCAGCTAATAATCACAAATACTCAAAGATAATGCAAATTGTCCGTTTAGATTTCCTTTAATAATTTACTTGTAAAAATTAATCAAGTGCCATTATTTGACAACCTCCTACTTCAATCTTTGCCTTCTCAATAAATAAATATCACTAGCATCAAGCCAGTGGCTCTGGTCTAAAACCTAAGCATCCTTGACTTTTCTATTTCTGTTAACTCTTTCTCACAATCAATCCATCAGTAAGCCTTGCCAATTGTATCTTCAAATTATATTATCTTGGATCGACTTGTTCACAGCTCATCTCTACTGCCGCCACCCCAGTGCCAGCCACCATCATGTCTCCTCTGGACAATGGCAACAGCTCCTTCACCGGTCATTGCGCTTGCATTAAATTCCCTCTTCTAACCCATTTTTTATATCATATAGCAATAATATTTTTCTTAAAACCCAAACTAGATCACAGTATTCCACTGGTTGCACTGCTTAAAACCTTTCATTTTTGCTGTATAATTGCTCATTTCTTTTTTAAATTTTCATTTGCAAATATTTTCAAATTTGTCAAAAAATTGCAAAAAATAGGACAATGAAATCCTGCCATATACCCTTTACTCGCAATTTCGCTGAATGTTAAGGTCTTACCGAATCACAGCATAATTTTCAAATCAAGGAAATTAACATGCCTAGAATACTGATAAATACTTGGATGATGAGGTTGCTGATCTGGTAATCACATTTTAAAAGCTAGTGCTCTAGCCACACTTGATTTCTCTTGGACCTTTGATCATACCAACCTCATTCCATTCTCAGGGCTTTGCACTAGATTTTCCTTCTTTCTCAAACATTCTTCCCCACATGTTAGCATGGTTGGCTCTTTTAGTCATTCAGGTCCACTTGGGAAAGATTTCCTGAGCATCTAGTTTCCCTGATTTACTTTTTACCATAGCATTTAGCACTAAACATTTTCTCAAGTATTTGTTTATTGTCTATATTTTCATGCTAAAACTTCAGTACTCTGAGAAGTGGGACTTATTTTCTTGTTCCTGAAAATATCCCCAAGATCTCAAACTATGTTTGCCAAATAGTAGGCACTCAATGAATATTGGTTAATTATATAAATAAAATTGCCAAGGAATATTAAATAAAATTAAATAGCTATTATAAAGCCAATTGTTATTTCTACCATACTTGGCAGTTTTCTTTTTTTTTTCTTCTTTTTTTTTTTTTTTCTTTTTTTTTTTTGAGACAGAGTCTCGTTCTGTCAGCCAGGCTGGAGTACAGTGGCATGATCTCAGCTCACTGCAACCTCCGTCTCCCAGGCTCAAGCAATTCTCCTGCCTCAGCATCCCAAGTAGCTGGGATTACAGGCATGTGCCACCATGCCCAGCTAATTTTTGTAGTTTTAGTAGAGATGGGGTTTCACCATGTTGGCCAGGCTGGTCTCAAACTCCTGACTTCAGGTAATCCACCACCTTGGCCTCCCAAAGTGCTAGGATTACAGGTGTGAGCCACCGCACCCAGCCCATACTTTGCAGTTTTAAATTCACACTTATACATTTATTATCTAATCTAGAATAACGGGGAAATTATTGAATTGAGAGTCAGGCAAGCTTGGCTTTATTTCCTAGTTCCATTATTGACTACCAAGTTTTATATTCTATCTAAGCCATAGCTTTCTCATAAGGTATTGAAATTCAAATGGATTCAGTCAGTAAAAACTGAAGCCAATAATTCAACCTAGATTTGACTGAAAGAGAACCAAGTTTTATAGCACCAAACTCGAAAGTAAGTCCACAATGTCAGGGATTGCATCTATTTTATTATTCACATAATTACTAGTGCCTACTATAGCATCTCCCACAAAAAAAGACATTCAATAAATAATTGTGAAACAAAAGTTAAATAAACGCTACCTGTGCATAATATGGTATGCATCCATATAATATTTCAATTTGCATTTTGAAAAATGTTATTTTAAAAGTATTAAATCTAAATATAAAATTCTATCTCAGAACTCTCATTAACAATAATTTGTTCCTAAGTTTTATGCTATCCAAATATATTTATGTCTCTATATGACTCTTGAAAAAACAAGTACTTCAATATCATTTCGGTCTTTGCAAAGTAACCAGTTTTGATCAAAATATTTGCATGTTATTATTACCATCAAAGTTCAAGATTTTTTAACTTGACATACATAACATTTCAGAAGATCAAAGATGAGATACATATCTGACATTATGGGATTTTGATATTCTATTTATCATGGAATCGAAGGTTGAGTTTTTATAAAATATAAGGTCAGATGAACAAAGAGCCCCTCTCACTGTTTTCACCTGATGTACTCTGAAATTATCTTATGGTATCCAGATACATTTTCATAATGCTGCTTCTTCTTTCATCTGATAAGCATAGAGTTCTCAGGTTGTTGAAGCTCTTGCCAATCATATGTTTTAAGTGATTTTAGTTTTAAATTTTTCTGTGGGAGTTAGTTTAAAAGTATGAATATTTTGTGAATGCTCTCATACACAAACACAAGTATACACACAGTAGAATCTGTTTCTTCTATTGATATGTTCCTGTCTCTTTAAAAGACTCCATAACAAATTCAAAAATTGAGACAAGACTTACATTTAGAACAGAATCATAGTCAAATGCAGGTTGATACAACAGCAAACAAACTATACATTTCTGATTTCTATGAGCAAGCCTCCATTAAGAAAGCATTTATATTTGAAGATGTATATGTTCATATACATTTGTTTAGTCATCTACTTTTCCAAATTTAAATTGTTGTCCCTAATTGTAGGAGAAGTTATAGCTATGAGTTTCATATCTCATTGGCATTGAGGTATTTAAAATTATAGAAGAAAAAAATCCCTATTCAAAGGCCTCCGAAGAGTTTATATGAAAGCAGTACAAAATAAAACCATCTAACATATGGATACCATCATTGTTGGGTGAGCCACACAGGATGCTCAAATCTGGCATTTTGATTCTATACTGGAGACATCCTGGTCTCATATATATTTGCAGTTGGTTGACTCTATATATAGAAAGATCTCAACAGACGGTCACTGGCAGAGTGGCTGGCCCCAGAACCTACCTACTTTGTTTCTCCTTTGGCAACCTGATGGTATATATCTTCGGCCTCATTCTTAGTTATAGGTCAAAAGTGAGCAACAGGAAAAAACTAAGTAGGAAACTTAAGCTTCAGATAACAAACTGAAAAGAATCGGTGAATACTTGTCTGTTTCACTGAAATAGAGAACTATTTAGTATGTCTAAGGATTTCAGATTAATTCACATTTCAGGCAGATATCTCCTATCCAGATCAACGAAAGCTTACTTACCAATGATACTATCCCCGATTTAGTTTTAAGAAACTTCTGAGATGTAATACAAGGTAAGCTTATTCTAGATATGTTCTCAAAGGAAGGCTGGAGGATTGGGCTCAGAAGTTGGACAGACTGAAACAAAGACTGATAAAGTTTGAATATAATGCTCAAAGCAGATTATGGTCACATGCACTTAGGAATGAAGTAACTGTTCAATTGGAGAGTAGGGGTGCCGACCTGGGGGCCACTGGTCCATCTAATTTTTAATTTGTTTTTGGCTTTGGAAAAAGAATACCCTTTGAGATTTTTGCTTGGTTACTATAGTGTAAGTTCTGCACATTAAAATTCAGAACATAAAAAAAAATCAGAAAATACATCTGTTGTTAAAATACAATAATTTACCAAATTACTCCATGTCTTGAAAGTACTGCAAACTTGTTTAACCTGACATTCATTGGCATTTTTCGTAACTATTTAACATAACTACCTAGAAATAATTTTTCTATCATAAACTATATTAGAATAAATTTGAGCAATATATTCATGACACTTTTTAAGAAAATTTTATTCTTTACAAGTATAGGTTTGTCTTCCCCAAATATTTATTATACTATGATGGAAATTTCCCAAAAATATTAACCACTAACTATTCTATATTTTATGTTCACAGGGAAATCTTGATTAAATTATCTAAGAAAGAAGTGATGTTAGTTGTGTTTACAATTTTGCTTCGTAGACATTCAGAATCTATATAATTGTTTGACACAAAATATAAATGTCACAGTCAATACTCTACAGTAGGAATTTCATTGAACCTTGTATATGCGTCAGTGTATCAATAGAGGTGTACGTCTTTTCTAAAAGCTATTATCTTAACATGGCATCTAAAACAAAAATTAACACTTGATCTGGCTGCTCTCACTTGAAAGTATGATATTCTTCAGCATGTTAAGAGAGCATGTTACTGATGTTAATAATTAGTTTTCAAATTTATTTTCTGCCATTTATGGTTTTAACAGAATAACAAAACAATCAAAGTTTAGGATGATTTAAGGGCAATAAGTAGGTAATGGATGAAATATAAAAGAAGTGAGAAGCATTGGCTT
Source organism: Homo sapiens (assembly GCF_000001405.40). NCBI lineage: Eukaryota > Metazoa > Chordata > Mammalia > Primates > Hominidae > Homo > Homo sapiens. The sequence goes on along the minus strand of NC_000023.11, from coordinate 28,989,287 downwards.
CCACTGCAGAAGATAAGAGATGTACTGAGATACAGCCATAGACACAGTTCACAAAACCTTGGCCTTGTGACTAGCTGTTCCACTGGCCAGAATTTTGTGAACAGTTGTGATGGCGCTATCCCAGTGCCTCTCTTTCAGCTATTGAAGTCAGTGATGTAGTTAATACAATGGTGAAGCATACCTTTATAATAATTATCTCAGTGCTTGATTAAAGCCTAGAAGCCAAAATGAAACTTAAAGCATACACACAGAAGAGATAGTGTTTCACTGGGTTGAAAAACTGTAACAAAAATACTTCTAGAGTTCTGCAATTGGTGGCCTCATGTACCTAACTTGGATGAGATGTGAAACTTTCCTTCTCTTATATTTTAGTTACATTGTGGAATTATATATACAGATTCAGTCTTACAATGAATGCTTACAGATAAAAGCATTCATTGAAAACTTTGAGATGATACAACAATCATGTGTGCTATAAGAGATATTGTAATATCAATATCTCCATCTTGAATTTCTAGAAGTATCTTTCATAATAATTTACCCACAGTGATGTTCCACGATGATTATGTAAAATACAGAGATCAGGTTTTAAAAATCTCTATTCTTCAAATACAGAGTGACTAAAAATACAGCTCATCAGAGGTGAGTGGGTACTTCTTTCCAGGTCCCCTAATCTCCAGTGCCCTAGCAGCTCTTTCCACTAAACATCTAGCAGTGACAGATATGTGGGTTGTAGGTGAGAAATCAACCCTGAAGTGGCTGCAACTTCGTGTATACTCCCATGCCCCCAAGCTGTGAAATTCTCCAGCCTGCTTGGAGGAGGTCCTGACAAAGCTATATGTGAGGGACAGCAAGAATGCCAGATGGCAGTTTGTGAGAAAATCTGGGACCATGGCAGCCAGCCAAAAACAGTGGACTGGAAGAAAAAAAAAGGATGATCACCAAGAATATACCACCTCCACTACAAATGAATGGAGGATGAATTACGGCTGTCTTCCTCATACAGGTAAAAATCCTTTGAGTAAGTTTTCACCCATATGTGTAACAAATAAAACAAAAGCTGTAAAAATTTAAACAGTATTTGATTTGTATTGAGCTGATTTATCTTACTATCATTTTCTTTCACTCCATTCGTAGTTAAAAAAAAAGCAAGCCCATTGACAAGGAGAGTGTAGGCAAACTTACAAATAAAGTGATGCAAAAACTTTAATTTTATGATGAGAAGTGGATAAGCATGTTTCAAGCAATCACTTTCCACTGGATTTTTGAGTAACAGGGGCATTTGCATTGTATTGATTGCTATTGTGTGCCTTTATCACTTTTATTGTTTGCTGCAATATAGCCCTTTGAAGGTCTGCCAACCCACTGTGGCTTGCTCAAAAGCAGGGCTGAATTTTAATTAAGCTGAGCCAAATAGACACAGAACATTTGAACTTGATTAGACCACTTATCCTGATACACACACAGAGGGCATTCAGCACACTTACTTTAATGACTGACAAAGTCAATTCACATATTTGGTGAAATTATCAAGACAAAACCCACCATTTGTCAACATATTCCTCCTACATAAGATTTCTGCTTCTCTATTTTAATCCAATAAACCAGCAAGGAGAATTGAGGGGGTAGGTCGCCAATGAGGATAGGTGTGGCGTATCTTGATAACAGTAATATTCTATATTCCCTGGGAAGAAGCAGTATGTGAGTTTAGTAATTAGGATTCAACAAGATAGTTCAAGTAAAGAAATGCAAGTGTGTGTGTGTATGTGTGTGTGTGTGTATAAATATGTGTCTGTTCATATGTATTGCTTTCCTTTTTAAATATTTCAACCAAAAGAGAAGTTTACCACAGCATTTAACCCAGATAAGGGAGCAGGCAGGATGTCAGAATTTCAGGAATTTTTATTTTTGATACCTCACAAAGAACAAAGCATTCAGGTTTCTGGCTTCAGCAGAAATGTGCCAAAATGTGTTCCCACAGTAACTTCTCCCAAAATCAGCCAGTATAATTTTCCCACACAGCATGGAGAACTCAATCTCTGATAGATCCAGGATTCTGCAAGGCAGACTACTGTTAAATTGACTTTGCTGTTAAGTCAGACCAAGTAACCTTCAGGACACTCTTTGAAAACAACTTTCCTAAATAGACTTTCAGACTCTTAACAAAAAACTCACTTTCCCTAAGGAGGCACCGATCATAGGCAATATTTCAAAAGCACATGTACAAAGGAGTTACTCTTTCTATACATGTGTGTCCAGAGTCATGGCTAAACAGATTCTAAAATAGGAATAAGCCAATATCTTCTCAGTGAAAATTCAAAGATAAAGTCTCCAAGCTGAAACAGAACTTTGCATATATATATGACCATGCAAATTACATCACGGAGTGGCTCTTCTTTGACAAATCCAAATCACTAAGTCCTTAATAGAATTCTGCACTTTACTTCCCAACATCATAATACCAATTGACTATACTTAATCCTAAGAAAATAATCCTTCCCTTGGGATTAGCAAATTAAAAATTTAGTAAATTTCTAAAGAAAAACGGGTATATTTTTCTGTGCAGGGGAGCAAATTGTGTTTTAAAAAGAAAACAATATAAAATACTCATTTTCGACAACAGCAAGAAAAATGAGCATGTTTCAAATTACTCCCTTGTATGTTATAATTTCACTCTTTATTTCTGTCTACACAAGTGAAGGAAGAACCCACTTTTGTGATGATCCAACCAAAAACACTGATAAATATATTTTTATAAAGAAGTCATGAACTAGAAAGAACAGAGACTTTGAAGCCAAAACATTCTACATTTTAATCCTATCTATGCAACTTTCTAGTTCTATTATGTTCCTCCATTTACTTAACCTCTACTCTATTAGGTATAAAATGGGAAGAAATAACACTTTTGGGGAAAAGACAAAGTATAAGACATATTCCATGTAATTTCTACATAATGCAGTTACGAATTTTTAAATAAATTCTTAATGGGAAAAATTTTAATAGACTTACATGATAGGAAACAAGTTTCTATTCCATAAGATCTAGCATCTAGTTTTTAAAAATACTCGATTAAATCTCATCTTTTAGGCACAACTTTGAGGTTGTTGTAGTGTCAGCAAGTTTTATGTCTTCTTTGATTTTATTTTTCTTCCTCATGTAGCCCACCATCTACCAGCTTATATCTAATGCATTTACAGCCACCTGATGCTAATACAATATGCATAATAATCTCCATGAGTCTATCCTTCTTAGCATTATCAGCACTGCATTTTTCGATTTCTACTCATTTTCATAAAATGGACAACCTTTTAAAAAATGTGCTCGTTAGGGGCCGGGCGCGGTGGCTCACGCCTGTAATCCCAGCACTCTGGGAGGCCGAGGCAGGCGGATCACAAGGTCAGGAGATCGAGACCATCCTGGCTAACACAGTGAAACCCCGTCTCTACTAAAAATACAAAAAATTAGCCGGGCGAGGTGGCGGGCGCCTGTAGTCCCAGCTACTCGGGAGGCTGAGGCAGGAGAATGGCGTGAACCCGGGAGGCGGAGCTTGTAGTGAGCCGAGATCGCGCCAATGCACTCCAGCCTGGGCGACAGAGCGAGACTCCGTCTCAAAAAAAAAAAAAAAAAAAATGTGCTCGTTAGGTAAAGATGGAAATGTTATTCATACTGAATTGTTAATTGGTATTCAGCACCTACACGGAATAAGCTGAAGTCTTTATTTCACATTTGCTAATCAAAAATTCAGATGTGGTTTACCAAAGACCATTTAAGGATGGCAACATATAACATGTAAAAGGATGGGTTACACTAACATCAAATCTATGAAACCATAAAGAACATCTCTGTGCACATGTGTTATGTAGGATCACTTAGTTTCTAATGGCCATGCGTTAGTATGGCATTCCCATCCTGCTATTCTATTATTCAACCCCATCAATTTCTTAATTACAGTGATCACAATTGATAATTTTATATTTAGGTTATAGATTTTCTTGTTTTCTCTCTGCCTCCTTTAACATTTGTAAGCTCTATATGGGCAAGGACCACCATGTTTTTATTACCAATACAAATAAAATAATTTTAAAACTGCCTAACACTCAGTCAAGGCTCAACAAATATTTGTTGACTGTATCCCAAATGAACAAAACCTAAAGTCTAAAGGATAAGCTCCCAATCTAGGGAAGATGAAGGGCATCCTTTTTAAATCTTTTCCCCTGTTAATTACTTTTACATAAAAAGTGATTTGCTCATTGGTTTGTATCATACCCAGTTTATATTTATTATTCAATTTTTCATCAGATCAAAGAGGTGGAAGAGACCTTGAGATGTTCTTATTGCCTTGAGGTGCTCCTACTACTCAAAGCATTCAATAAGCATTAGCTTTTTTCTTAAACTCTAGAGGCCTCATGAAATTCGTATTAGAAATAATCTTGCCTAGAGGATGAAAAAAGGGTGACATCTAGAAATGATTCTAATATATAGCCCCCAATTTAGCCTTTACAAATATTTATTCTTGTGACGGATAGCAAGTCTCTTCTCTGGGGATGAGGATTTTGTGTTTAGTGTGCATGGTCAGGGACCTGTTGATGTGTGGGGATAATGGATAAAGAGACAGATCTTAAAAGGTGTAGAGAAGAGATGAGGATGAGAGAAAGGAAGGATGCCTGAGATATATAGGTAAGTTTGGGGAAAATATTTGGAGGAGAAACAAGAAGAAAGCACTGAAGAAGCATAGTGAGAGGTTTTCAAGGAGAAAGATGTGTGAAAAGGATCCTTAAATATTTTGACACGCTTGCAAAACAGTAAATATCAAAATTATTTTTCAGTGTGATGTGGTAGTTTCTTATAGGTCGTTTTATGTGGTTGTTTTAATGTAGGATTTGTGTTGCTTTGTAGTGTGACACTGGCCTAATAGTGACCACAAGATGACCCAGCCTTGTGTGAATTACAGTCTTAACAGAAGCCTGGAAGTCTCTAAAGTTTTACTGTTCATCCAATATTGCAGACAAATAGCCCCATGTAGCTATTTATCATTAAATTTATAATTTAATTAAAATAAAATTTATAGACAATTTAAAATTCAGCATCAGGTCAGTTACACTAACCACATTTCTGGTGCTCAATGGCCACATGTAGCTAGTTGCTTCCATATTGGAAAGTGCAGATATTGAAAATTTCCATTACTGCAGAAAATTCTATTGAATAGCACTGCTCTAGAACTTTGAGCTTATGTCACACACATGCTATTCCAATGTTTTTGGTCCTATTAGTGATATTAAATATTCAAAGAAAAATATTTTAACATCCTTTGTCCTACCTGAAGTGGTGAATTTAAAATATTGACAATCATGACATATTTGTTATGCCTTCTCTGTAGTTGTTTGTACTTCTCAGAGTTGTTTGTACTTATGTCGTTGAAACATTTTCAGAAAGATTTTTGTGACATACTTTCATTCCCTCACTATATTAATTGGTTATTTCCAATTAATTCATTACAGATTATAATTTTTAATCTATTAAATAAGCTGAGAATTTTTTTAAGTATAGTCAAAGCTACTCAGTGGATAAGATAAATACTAAGAAAATAATGAATACTTGTATTTTACCTTGTGATTTTTGTTTATATCAGAATAATATGATATGGAAATATAACACAGTATTGACTAAAATATAATAAAAATAGATGGGCAAAAATGCCCCCATGACAAACTCCAATGTTAGCGTAAATTGGAAAGCTCTAAACATGTCTGGGACAAGAGGAAGTACATTGTTCCTAGGCTCATGCTAATCCATTATAAATCATAATTCATGAGGGAAGAGAAATCAGCATATGCTTTAGATTAGTGGCACTGCTAGAGGAATATTGAAAGTAGAAAGAGGCAATGATGAACATTTGGATAATTTTAATACTGCTTTAAACAGTGGAGGGAGAGTTGTCAGAAGGACTGGGAAAGGGGAAGAGATAAAAATCCTAGGGCCTCTTTGGAGTAGAGTACTCTGATGTCTGTGTACAGGATGGAGAAATTTCCTACATGAACAAGTAGCAGTGGAAGGACAATTGGGGAAATTTTAGTCTGGGAGCCACCTTGGCTCTCCAAGTAATTTAAATAATCCAAATGTGGATAGAGAGATGGACACTTCAGCAAAGTAAATTACAGTCAAGGATCCATCTAGACCAAATGATATATATGTGTGTTTCATATTTGGAGAAGTTATTTAATATAGTTAAAACATATTTACATTATATGAAATTATAGTTGAATGCAGGAGTTTTCCTAGCTAAAATGTATTGCTCTCTAGTTAAGAATGATTCATGAGTCTATGGCCATACCACTCTGAACATGGCTGGTCTCATCTGATCTCAGAAGCTAAGCAGGGTTGGGCCTGGTTAGTACTTGAATGGGAGAGTGCCTGGGAATACCGGGTGCTGTAGGCTTTTTATTTAAATAAAAATAATAATAAAAGAAAGATGCATGATGGTATTGCTGATACGTTTAAGAACTTTGGACAAGAGTATCTAAGCAAAGAACCAGTAAGGTTGATGATACTCGGGTTTAGTGGCAGAAGCACTGATCCTGTGGTCAGATTCGGCACTTACCTTATGATCCAGGATGCAGAATTCAATTTATTGGTGTCTCCCTTTGCCTGTAGGCAACTATGAAATATATCTCAAGCTTTCTCAAAAGCAAAACGTTAAAAATAAATGAAATACATACCCTTGTTTGAATAGAAGCTTCCACAACAGAAAGGTACTAAATGCAAATAGTGTGGTGTTATATTTTGGCTACTGAAGAGCGCCATATGAACAATATTTACTGAGTGCTTCCCGTATTCTAAGTGCTTTACATTCAATGACTCAGTTAATCCTCACAAGAACTCCACAAGGAAGGTACTATAATTATCCCCACATTATAAATGAGGAAATTATAAGACTGAACCAAAGTTTTGATTCTAGTGCCCATTGGTGGGTTCCAGAGGAGCTTTCTCACAGATGATTACAGCAAGCTGCCCAGATGACCTAATGTCAAATATAGATATTAGCAAAGAGTTAGGCAGCACCACTGGAAAACAACTGTAAATTCAAACAGGCAATGGATACACAGCACCTACACTGAAAGTGTTGTCTTTAGAACAATGAAACTGAAAGAGAAAACAGACACCTTGCTCTCTCATCATATTTTGTGGCACTGATCAGTTCTGGAGAATAAAATAGAAAAAAAGTACCCTCAAATTGGAGGGATATCTGCTTTATCCCTCAGTTCTTATTTAAGGTACTGGTATATTTTAAGATTTTAATACTCATATGCATAAATACAATAGGATAAAACAGGGACAGGAGGTAGATGCAAACCCAAAAGCAGCGATGGGAGAGGGGGTATGAACAGTGAGGCAGGCAAAGGTTAAAGGGAGATAAGTAGGGCTTAAAGAGCTGGGGATAATTAGGGGTTGAGTTAGGATACTTCAGGATTTGTGCAGAGCATGTACAAAAACGAGAAAGTGCAGGCTTCTCTTCAGTCCTTCTCCTAACTGCCGTGAATGCCAACTATGAGCCAGGCCCTATTTCAGCATTGGGAAGAAAGGTAGATCTGCATTTTTACCACATTCAGATGGTAAACAGGAAGACAAGGCTGGGAGGAGAAGAGAAGAAAACACAATATAGACCATCACAAAATACAGATATCTTGCTAAGAAGTGTAAGAGAGGCACAGGTAGTTTGCATTATCTTGCCAAAGGGATGTTAAGGGCCTTGAGGAATAAATCATATCTTCAAACATTTTTAATGCCTTAATATATTTCTTTGCATATAGCTGGCTATTAGCAAACAATTATTTTAGAGGTAGTATGGCATAATAGAAAAAATATTGGTTCAGGGGTCCTGAAAGAGGACTGTTTCAATTTCCTTCTCTGTGAAAAGAAAAAAACCCAGGAGATTTTTAGATCATTTTAGGATCGTTTTCAGGTGTATTAAGTTAAACTCCATGATTAGCTTATCAGTTATTTAGTATCAATGTTAATAAGGAGTCCTCCTTTGAGGGACATGGCATGATGTGTGAGAAAGTGCACCTGACCTCTTATCAAGGCAGGCCATTAAAAGCCAGAGTCATTCTACCTACAGCATGGGACTAAGCAGAATTTTTTTCTTTTCTTTCTTTCTTTCCTTTTTTTTTTTTTTTTTTTTTTTTTTTTTTTTTTTTTTGAGACAGGGTCTCACTCTGTCCCTCAGGCTGGAGTGCAGTGGCACAACCATAGTTCACGGCACTCTCAATCTCCCAGGCTCAAGTGATCCTCCTGCCTCAGTCTCCTGAGTAGCTGGGACTACAGGCATGCACCACCATGCCCAACTAATTTTTTTTAATTTTTAGTAGAGACATGATCTTGCTATGTTGCCCAGACTGGACTCAAACTCTTGCGCTCAAGAGATCCTCCTGCTTTGACCTCCCAAAGTGCTGGGATTACAGGTGTGAGCAACCGTGTCTGACCTAAGCATAATATTTTATCAGATTTGAGATACTTGACCCTTGAGCCTTAACAGACTTGTTTGTGGAAGTAGGCTAGAAATAAGGAATGTATATGCTGTACAAAATAAAAAAAAATTAGCCAGGTGACCCATATATGCATTTGTCCTCAACCTAACTGCAAACTCCCTCTTGACAGAAAACTCTTGCTCTGGAATATTTCACTTAAAAAGTCAAATCTACAAACTAATTACAAGCATCATAAATGGACAATGTGGCAGAAGGTGCGGGGAGTAAGATTCAAGATTTACACAAGGCTATTTCAACTCCAAGTTATACATGTTTGACAAAAGAATTATGTAAGAAATTAATATAAAAATGAGGTAGGATAATTTAAACAGAGAACACAGACTGATTATAATAAACTTCACACGTTAACAGACGTTTGACTTGATATATAAATATGAGCAGGTAAGAATGGTCAGTAAGATTTAATGGAGTGGGAATATGATCTAGCTTAATCAGTAAAGATGTGCTGGAAAAAACCATCAATTTGAAGAGATGAGAAAACTGGGATGGCAGAGAAATCAGTTTGTTCACATTTGTGAAACAGACTGTGTAAAACACTGGAGGTGAGAGAAGAGAGCTCCAGCCAAGTGACGGAGAAACATTCTATATCAGTGAATGAGTCATGGCTCTCCTGAGAGTCAAGATGATTTGCATGTTTGGTGATTGATGTAGATAGAGGTAATAAATCACACTGAGTCTTAGCTAAAAGGCTCTGCCATCTCAGTCATAGAAAGATGAACATTTCTACACTATACCTACAATACTCATTGTTCAAATGCACTACAACTTCAGGAATGATCTGAAAATATCCATCAGTCAACTATGATGAACTTGCATCACAGAGAACTCCACCACTGGGGATCATTTACAATTTCATGTGGTAGATTAAGGGCTTCAGGCATTTTTATCTTTGGAAATTTTTAATAGGCTTTTTAAAAAATCAACATACTGCATTTTTTCCCCAGAATACATTGCCATTGCCAAAGGGAAAACAAAAAACAACCATCACAACAACAAACTTGTTACACAAGAGACTGAAATACATATTCAGTGTGCTGGTAATTCTTCTGACTCTCTCTTTTCAGAAACATCATTATTTTTCCTTTTGTTTTAGGACTGCTGATTTTGCTATCAGATTAAGGCTAATGTTAAAAGGGAGAGCTAGAGAAGCAAAAAGGTATTCTCCATGGAGAATAATTCTATTACCATTGCTGGACCATTCTTGTAGCTAAGAGTTATATTCTTTCAAGAAGAAAAATTGAATTGGCTCTGCACAAATAGTGACTGGATATTTCAAGTGTAAAAAGCAATGATGATACAATTAGCTTTAGAAACTAGTGAATTACTAATAACCAGAATAAAACGGGGCAAAAAGGAAAACGCTAGTACCTGACTACACATGAAAGTATATTGAACAAAGTATAAGAAAATTAACATTGTTGCATTGTTCAAAATGTCTAAAGATGGAATCAGTATCTGTGAAAGTAGGAAAATGAGGAGCTATCTAAGTATGGGTGGTATCATTCCCTCACTACCTGAAGATTTTAGCTCCTGCCTAACTGTTACCCTCTCCAACATATGATGCTTGTCATAACTTCTGGTACTTTAAATGTCTGTTGAAAACAATTCTCTCACCATCTTGCCCTAGTAATTCACTGAACTTTTTGACTCCAGAGACCTTGTCCTCCACCCTGCCTTGGCCACTTGGTTCTGTGGTCATACGATAGATGTTGTTAGAAACTCAGTTATAAACATCACACTTTCTGACCTCCACCTTCTAAGTCTCCAGATGATTCCATCTAGTACCCCATTCCAACAACACTTTGATATTACCAGGCCCTCCAATGCATTCATTCTACTGGCTTTTCACTATTCCTTATGCCCTTCGTGGCATCACTTCTCTTTTTATCAAGCATAAACTCTACAGTGTATTGTAAACACTTTTTTGAATACATCTTTAAATTGCTCTGCTCCCTCTCAAATCTGGTGCCCACTTGATAAATCTTAAACCCCGGTTACCACCAACTCTCCACTCATTCACTGTTCACTCTCATGCTATGGAAACTTCTGGAGGAAAACACATAATCTGACTAGTCACATTTTGAATTCATGAACACTAGATTCAAGTTGGCTCCTAGTATGACTCAGTAATCTTACTCAATCTCAAATTTACCTGAATATTGGGGAATCTTTAAAAAGTACTAAAGCAAGGCATCACCCCAAAATTCTGAGTAAAGTTGTCTTGGTTACAATCTGGCCTTTGGAATTTTTAAATGCTCTCTGAGGTCATTTTAGTATGTAGCAACGTTTGAGAACCTCCAGTCTGAATGGCTATTTTATTCTCTCCCCTTTCCTCACACCTCCAACACCTCCTTCCCCACTCTCAGTCAATGACCTTGTTTCTCATTTATCTGAGAAAATTGAAGTAATCAGTAAACAGTTGCTCCCTAGCCTCATGTCAACATATCTTCCCATGGGCCTGCGTTGGTGACCAACACTGTGGATCACCAGTCTTTGTTCCGATGACGGACCCCACCCTGTGTGCTCTAGATCTCATTCCCTCTCACCTACTCAAGGACATGGCTCCAGCAATTAGCTCCACTCTCTCCTGCATCACCAATTTCTTCCTCTCTTCTGGGTCATTCCTGTGTGTATTCTACGCTATTATTTTCCCATCTTAAAAACATCCTCTCTTGACCGTATTTCCCACTTACAGTTTCAGCTCCATTTCTTTGTTCCCCTCAAATGTGAAACTGAAACGCGTTCACTTTTTAACACTTGTTCTCTTACCTCTTTTTTGAGACAGAGTCTCACTCTGTAGCCCCAGGCTGGAGTGCAATGGCGTGACCTCGGCTCACTGCAACCTCCACCCCCCGGGTCCTGGTTCGAGCAATTCTCCTGCCTCAGCCTCCAGAGTAGCTGGGATTACAGGCACGCATCACCATGCACAGCTAATTTTTGTATTTTTAGTAGAGACAGGGTTTCACCATGTTGGCCAGGCTGGCCTTGAACTCCTGACCTTGTGATCCACCTGCCTTGGCCTCCCAAAGTGCTGACTTGTTCTTACCTCTTATTTCTCTCCTTAATTCTCTCTTAACCCAAATCCCTCTTTCAATTTTGCCTTTCCTCTCAACACCTTTTGAAACTACTCATCAAGGTCACTAAAGGCTGCTGATATGGTTTGGATCTGTGTCCTCACATAAATCTCATGTTCAATTGTAACCCCCGGTGTTGGAGGTCGGGCCTGGTGGAAGTTGACTGGATCATGGGGCAGAGTTCTCATGAATGGGTTAGCACCATCCCCTCTTGGTACTGTATAGTGAGTGAGTTCTTATGAGATCTGGTTGTTTAAAAGTGTGTGGCTCCTCCCCACTCTCTCTCTTGCTCCTGCTCTGGCCATGTAAGACAACCTTGTTTGCCCTTGCCTTCTGCCATGATTATAAGCTTCCTGAGGCCTCCCCAGAAGCAGAAGCTGCTATGCTTCCTGTACAGCCTGCAGAACTGTGAACCAATTAAACCTTTTTTCTTTGTAAATTACCCAGTCTCAGGTATTTCTTTATAACAGTGTGAGAATGGACTAATACAGCTACCAAGCTGTTAAATCTAATGGTCAATTCCTCAGTTTCACCTTTGACAAATAAGCAGAAGTTGATACAATCAATAATTCTTTCCTCCTGGAAACAGTTTATTTGTTTGGTTTCTTGAACAGGAATCAGCAAATTATAGCCTATGGATCAAATCAAGTCTGCTGCCTCATTTTTAAGTAAAGTTGTAACAGAACATAACCATGTTCATTTGCTTACCTGATATCTATAGCTGTTTTCCTGCTAAAAGAGCAGAGTTGTATTCTTCCAACAGAGACCTTTTGGCCTATGAAGCCTAAAATATTTACTATCTGGCACTTTACAGAAGAAGTTTGCCAGTGATCCCTAACTTCTTCTTGACTTCTATCCTTGTCTTCCTTTCACCTCACTGTTCACTCTCTTTTTAGGCTCTTTAACCAGTTCCTTTTCATCTCCCAAGCCTCTTAATGTGGAAATGCCCCAAGATTCAGTCTTTGGATCTCTTCTCTCCTCTGTTTATACTCACTTCCTGGGTAACCTAATCCAGGCCCATAGCATTAAATTTCATCTTTCCTGGAATGATTCCTTGAACCCCAGATTTAATGACAAACTGCCTATTTGGAAACTTCACTTTGATGACTAAACATATCTCAAAATTAATTTGTCAAAAACTGAATTCCTGACCTTCCCCCTTATCTGTTCCTTCTGCAGTTTTTCCCATCTCAGTAAATGGCAACTCTATCCTCTCAAAAGCTTAAAACAAAAATCTTGGATTCATACTTGACTCTTTCACATATATATGCTCTCTTAGGAAATTCTCTTATCTTTATCTTCAAAATATATTCACAACCCACCACCTGTCATTATCTCTACTGCTACCATCATAAACCAAGTCATCATCATTTCTGGCCTGAACTATTTCAATGGATTCATAACTGGTCTCCCTGTTCTTTCCCTTGTTCCTATCCTCAATCTTCTGTGCCAACCCTCTTTCATTTCATTCTCAATATAAAAGCCAGAGTTATCCTTTCAAAATACTAAGTTAGATGACATTAAGCCTTTTTCAAAACCTTCCATTCACATCCCATTTTACTCATATTAACTATCAATCTTTTAACTTACAAGACATTACATGATTTTTATGGATTTTTATGAACTTGTCTTCTTTTTCTCCTCCATTCTTTACTGTGCTCCAGCCACTCTGGCCTCTGAGCTCTTCTTTGAACATGACATACGTGTTCATTTCTCTTGTTGTTTGCATTTGCTGTTACATTTGGGATGCTCTTCCCTGAGACATCCTAATACCTCAATCCTTTATCTCCTTCCCCTCTTTCTCAAATATCACCTATTCAGCAGAGTCTTCCTTGCCCATCCTATTTAAAACTGCAAGTTCCTCTCAGTATTGTATATTCTACCTTCCTGCTTTATCTTTCTCTAAAACATTTATCACCATGTAAGATATTTCATATATTTATCTTACTTACTGTATATCTCTTTACATTAGAAAACATTTTCCATGAGGGTAGGATTGTTATATGTTCTATTTACTGCTGGATCCCTGGTTAGGAGAAGAGACTTCATAGGTGTTCAGGAACATGTGCAGATTGAATGAACACTTGGAGTTGAAAGAAAACAGTTAGAAAGTTGCTCAATTTTTTTACTTCTAATTTTCCTTCAGCAAATTCCCAAAGAAACATGTATCCTAGTTTTTTAGCCCAATTCAAATATTAATTGTTTCCACATTTGTACCAGGTTTTGTACTAGAGCTAAGGAATCCCAGATTGACTTAGATCAACATTGTTTAATGTGATAGGACAGTTAAAGTGCTATAAGTGCCAGAAAATGTTCAATCTACAGAGTTGAAAGATGGTATCACAGAGGGGGCAAGCATTTGCTATCTTCAAAGATCATCCAGCATTTCCCAGGATAAACAAGAGTTGCAGAAGGGGCAGGGAGTACACTGATAGAGGGAATATAATAAGACAGAAGTATGAAACAAGTATTCACCACAATACTTCTATACAGCTGAATCATATGGTGATTCTGAAAAAAAGAACAAATGACGGGGTATGAGTCTGAAGAGATAAGCATTGGCCAGATGACTTTGTATTAAAAATTTTAGGAGTAGGGACATAATAATTTACTTGAATGCAAGTTGACTTGACATTTATAATTGAATGTCTTCAAATAAACCACACTTTGAGTCAATATGAAAAACTTCCATGTTCCACTTAGCATGCATTTAAAATGTGTGTGCACATTCCATTTATATCTATACATATCCTTAGGCCAGTAATCTCCATCTCCTTATATTCCACTCTATATAAACACACTGTAACTATATTACATTACATACAGAAGATTCCAGAAGATGATAATTGTCCACTTTTCAACTAACCAAAATTTAGGGAAGAGAGGCAAGAAGTACAGGAGTAGGACACCTGGGAGTTCCAGGACTGAGCTGGCCATTTATGAGCCAAATGGCGTAGATCAAGACTCTTAATCCCTGCACATGTTAGTCTATTCATCTATAAAGGAAAATAATACCAGCCCTCACAGGGATTGCTCTAAGGATTTTAGGAGGTAATGGGAAATATACATTAAAATATAAATGCTATAAAAAGATATTATCAGTAGGAATAGTAACAGTAGTAAAGGAAACCTTAATTCAAGATTTATGCATATCAGATTAACAGAGGTTTCTTGAGCCAAAACTCGGAGTTCAATTTTTATAACTCTGTCAAAACTTCAAGAATGGAGATATACATGAAAGTCATGACAATAACTTCAGTGTTTATTTTCCTTAAGTTTTTTATTTGGCAAATATTTATTGAAAACTCAATAATTAAACAACAAAAATTGGACGTTTAGCAAAGGTCATATAATGTCCTATGCTTATTTTAATTATCTCATTTAATTGTCACCAAATACCTATATGGGAAATACTATTATTTACATTTTTCATATGTCAAAGAGAAAACTCAGATAGTTACTGTAACTTGCAGGGCATCACACAGCAAGTATGGGGGAAGCCAGGAGTCACATCCAGGTTTAATCCAGTGCCAGCATCTGTAACCACTACATCAATTTATTCTGAGCCCTTGGTCCCCCTCTGCAGGCCCGTAGTAGACCCTTAAGAAATTTGTTTGAGCAAAATTATATGATTAAACTCACTAATAGCACAACTAAAACAAACGCATAATCTCCAAAGAGGTCTCCTTTAACTTTTCAAAATTAATGTTCTAATTGAGTCCTAGGCTAGATCATAAACCAAAGGATACACTATGAATTTCTCAAGAACAGGGAAAGTACGTGGTTTATCTTAGCTAAACACTTTGCAAATAGTGACTACACAAAATAGGTTTTAAATGAATGAAGCAGAGGCTAACCATAACAGAGCTATGGTTTAGATACAAGAGCTTTAAAGGCACTCACAGTTACTACATCAGTATGTGGAAAGACACCTGGGCTGATGGGCTCTGAAAAATTACAGAGAATCATTAAATTTACAAGTTTAATATCTGTAATAAACAAAGAAATATCCAAACACAGAGTTATCATAAGTGTAGAATAGAAGAAAACTAAAGAAGAACCGTGAGTCCAGCTGACAAATTAACCTAATCAGTCAGAGAAAGTCCAATCAAACATATCTATCCTACCTAAGGCCAAAATTAAGGTATTCTTTACAGCCAAGATGATAAGTTATATTGGAAAATCGTGAAATATGGAGCTGTGGTGTTTGGGCAGGAAATAAATCTTAAGAATAACCAATTCTCAACTATTCCAACACGTGCAAAATTGCACTATTAATTAACATGAAGATACTTTTGGCTTAACTTTCAAAAGTTACTTACAAAAACTAATGGTGTGTGCCATTGCCATAACGCATTGGTTTGAGATGGGTAGAGAATTCACTCATTCAATATGTATGAGCATGTTTGATGGGACAATCACTGTGTCATAAACAACAAAGTAAGAAGAAAAGTGCTCTGTTTTCAAGCAGTCATGGTGACTTATGGATACACAAATAAATAACTACAAAAATGAGATTGGTGCAGCAATAGAAGTATGTATCACATGCTCTGGAAATATTGCATGGGTAAGGGGAAAACTCAATAGGTTAAAAGAGACTTCAGAGAAGAAGAGACATTTGCACAGAACCTGGAGAGATTAGTAGATGTTATCTAAATGAAAATTACTAAAGATCAAGGAAACAACAGCAGGAAGGGCATGACCAACAGGATGAGGATGGGAAAAAGTATGAGAGATTTAAATCATGGCGGGTGGGTAAAGCTAAATATGTATAAGATGTACGAGAAGGTGAGACTGGTAGTTGCTGAATCTATAAAGGTGAAATGGGTCAGGTTTAAACAGAACCAGGTGTAATGGAAAATGCCCGAACTCTGCAGTCACAGCACATGTTTTTGTTTTTTTGTTGTTGATGTTGTTGTTTTGTTTTTTGAGACAGAGTCTTGCTCTGTTGCTCAGGCTGGAGGGCAGTGGCACGATCTCGGCTCACTCCAAGCTCCGCCTCCTAGGTTCACGCCATTCTCCCGCCTCAGCCTCCCAAGTAGCTGGGACTACAGGCACCCGCCACCACGCCCGGCTAATTTTTTTGTATTTTTAGTGGAGACGGGGTTTCACTGTATTAGCCAGGATGGTCTCGATCTCCTGACCTTGTGATCCGCCCGCCTCAGCCTCCCAAAGTGCTGGGATTACAGGCGTGAGCCACCGCGCCCGACCCACAGCACATGTTTTGAATTTTAGTTCCGTCTCTTACACCAGCTCCTTGAACTTGGAAAGATCTTTAATCTTTCTGTATATCAAGGTCTTCTGCTGCAAAGCAAGACATAACAATACCCTATCTTCAAAGCTCAGTTTGGGAGTTGGAGATACTCATGTTTTATGTCTAGCAATGTAAGTTTCTTAATAAATGATAATAATAATTATTATTGTTTCAAATTCATGCCAAAAAGTTTGGATTTCATGGGTAGGCAATGAATAGATCTGGACTGCTTTTAAATAAGGAAGTCAATATAAGTGATGAACACGGGAAAATAATAGAGAAGCCAGTCAGTAGGTTATTACAACAGTTCAGATGAAAATACAGGTATCTTTGAAATAAGTTTCCGGCAGTAGGCATAAAAGAAGGAAGTAAATAAGATATAATTTGGTGGTGGCCATGACAGGATGTAGTGACCAATTAGATCTGAGGCTAGAAAGTTAATTATGTTGATTAGGGTTTCTGGAAAAAAATTAAAACCCTAAACTGTTACAGAAATACACACACACACACACACACACACACACACACACACACACAATTTTCAGAGTTATTTGTTTTCTGTCTCCACCCATGTTGGCAGCCCCGTGTATGACCTCCCCCTCATCCCCAAATACAGATGGGTCCACTTAAATCCTATGCTAAATCCAATGCTAAAACTTTCAATTCTCCTTACCTTCCTCTTGAACACACACACTCTCTCACGTATGTCTCATTGATCGTTCTGCCAAATCCTAGGTTACATTTTTCTTCTAAGCTTAAAAGATTAATGAATTCTTCCAAGACTAATGAGCTCGATAAAAGAGAGATCTAGTATTGCTCAATAATTTGGTACTCTACCCATGTATTAGTGAGAAAACACAGCCATGCATTGATTATTGCTAATGATATCATGGTGCCTGAGCACCTGCAGTCCTTGTCTTGCTCTTATAGGTCATTGGGATTTATAGATTATCTGCTAGAGATTACGAAGGAGAACCTTGAGTGGCAATGGCATCACACTCCCTTTGACTCCAAGGAACAGCTTCATCAAGAATTCTGAGCTTGTTTTGCCAAAACTGTTTCTTCTTTTTTCATCCATATATTTTAAGACTATAAACAAAAATCATTCAGAATTTTCCAATTACTAATACATTATGACAATTTTATAGGTAATTTAGAAGTTTCAATGGGGTAGGGGAAAAACATCTTATCTTCTCATGATGGTTTTCCTTTGGTAGAACAATACGGTTCTGTAGTTGGCAGTTGTTAGTTACTGAGATGGTTGTGAAACAGGTAATCCATCATACCCTGGCCAAGGAAACAAGTAAAACCTATGTCTTAAGTGATTTTTCAAAATCAGGGAAAGCAGTGTGGCTTAACTACACTGAAAATTCTATACTTCTCTTTCCCTTTTGATTTGTTTTTCATGAGACTGGATATGCAAGGTAGTTGAATGTATATATATACTACATATAAATATTCTACATGTGCTTTTTTAGACTGGTATTATGTGGCTGAAAAACAATAAAAATTATATATATAAGGGTTTTCATAAATTATGGCAAGATATGCTTTTTAAGAACTTACATATATATTTTAAGTTAGGGTTTTCTTTCTGTTTTATTAAAGCCTATAGCACGCAGTATTCCCAGGTGGTCTCACATCCAAGTACTAACCAGGCCGAACTCTGCTTAGCTTAAAAAGTTAGTTTTTTTAAAAAGGATAAATTTTTGTAGAAAATTATTTCAAGAGTTTCTAACTTCAATGCTGTTGTTGCTTTTTGTTTCACATTCACAAAGCTTATATAAGCAAAATGGTATTATTCATTATTGTGATACTCCAACGTAATTATATGTAAAGATTTATTAGGGAGTTATAAACTTATGAATCATAGAAGTTAAGAACAGTTAGAACATCCAATTGACACAATTGGAACTTATTTCTTCTAGTATGATTGACATGATAACTGATACAAAGTATACACTTCAATATTTGTTCAATGAATTAATGTTTGTTAAATAAAGAATCTGTTCTTTGTGTACCCATTTTGTTCATTTCTAAATCCTTATAAAAAAAGTGAAGCTTGCTTACATAGTTTAGAATTTTATGTCAACATAAAGATGTAAAAGTTTTGGCTGGGCGCAGTGGCTCACGCCTGTAATCCCAGCACTTAGGGAAGCCAAGATAGGTGGATCACCTGAGGTCAGGAGTTTGAGACTAGCCTGGCCAACATGGTGAAACCCCATCTGTACTACAAATACAAAAAATTAGCTGGGTGTGATGGCAGTTGCCTGCAATCCCAGCTGCTCGGGAGGCTGAGGCAGGAGAATCACTTGAACCCGGGAGGTGGAGGTTGCAGTGAGCCGAGGTTGCACCATTGCACTCCAGCCTGGGCAACAAGAGCAAAACTTTATCTTTATATATATATGTTTCTAAACATATATATGTGTTTAGAAACATATATATGTGTTTAGAAACATATATATGTGTTTAGAAACATATATATGTGTTTAGAAACATATATATGTGTGTTTAGAAACATATATATGTGTTTAGAAACATATATATATGTGTTTAGAAACATATATGTTTAGAAACATATATATGTTTCTAAAGATGAATTGAAAAAAATAAGCCAAAATATTGTCTATCCAAAGACCGAAATATATAGTGCTACAGTATAAAATTTGCATTCCCGAATATCTAAGAATACAATTTCTTAGTATTAAAAAAAATTAACACTAGGGAGAAAAACGGTGGACATTACTGCTGTGAGAGTCTAAAACCTATAATATTTTAATCTACCTTACCAAGACCAGCCAAGATTGTAAACCTAACAAACATCATCATAGGAATTAATGTACATGAATAGATAGGATTAAGAAATCAGTATTTGGCTATTCAAGTATTACATTCTAAATCTTCTAAAAACTGAGCAAAAATGCCTACACTGAAAAAAAAAAAAAGCTTTCTATATAATGGGAAGCTGGCTTCTAACAATGTCTTGAAATTCAGTGTTTTGCCTGAATAACTCAATTTACATTTCCAAGTCTCTTGAGAATGAGACTAAAAATCATGTAACTTTAAGAAGAAAATTCAGGAAGCCAGATTGGGAAAGAGCATGATGTAATGGTATAAGAAAAATCTGGAATAACACAATTAATTTCAAACACATGTTTGTCTCTGTAGGTTTTAATAAGTAACCAAAACCCCAGCTTGGAAATCCTTTTAAATGAATAAATAAATAAAAATAACTATACAGTGGCTTCACACCAACAAGATCTGGTTTAAAGCAAGTTGGAAGCTATGTGTTTTAGACTTCCTCCTTATTGAAGGATGTACTGTCCATTAGTTGGCTTAACCATACAGCATACGGGTTTGATACAGATGTCAAAGAATGAGGGCTGAATGAATGATAAGATAGACAGCTTTTACTATAGAAAACAACAAATTCCAATTGTTCCATTGTTAAAAATGGCTTTTGTTTTTATTCAATAAATTAGTCTAAAAAGTGTATACAACACCTAATAAGTCTGACTACTAATCACTTCTAAAGAAACATATAAAGAAAATAACATGTATTCCCACCACTGTTCCTGGTTTGTTATTGCCTCTGCACTCATCCCATCTCTATATGTGTATGTGCACACACATGCACACAAATGTGCACATATGTGAGTATACACATAAATTTGCATAACCTCTGTAGAATTTTGATTCCTGCATTTTTCACATAAAATTGAATTTTGAGCATTGCTTCCATATTTATTATATATTTGAAATTTATTTTCCTTCTACACAATGCTTAACTCATGTTATTTTATGGGAATACTGTGATTTATTAACAATTTCCCTTGGTTATTATAGAATCATCTTACAAATGTATTTTCTAATGTTTTCCTCAAAGTAGTTTTGTGAGGCCAATCTTATTATTCCACTTTGCGCTTGGGTTAAAGAGGCTGAGGGACATAAATTATTTGCCTGCCTGAGATCATAGAGTCTGGAAGTGGCGGGACCAGAACTTCCATATGATAAGTCATGAGTATGAAATAACTCACAATTTGCATTTTTGAACTTCCATAAACTCCTTATACCTGATGTTACTTTGTATCTCAGCCCCCCAAATTAATAATAACCTACACTTCATTAGCTAACTAATAATTATATACAGTAATAATTAACTAATGGCTACGGAACTAATGGCTCTTGACTAAGGGTTGTCAGTAATCTAAGTATACCCAAAATAATCTTAGAGATCAAAAAGAAGTCCACCAGCTTATAATTATATATTACATTTTATAAAGGAGATCTTTACCTAAGAGACTTTCAAAACTACATTTTAGATAACATTTGTAAGGAAGAAATTCTCTTTTGTTTCTCAATAAGTAAGTAGCATGCCATCTGGCCGCACTGCCCTTATGAGAAAAGAATGTGGGAAGCCACTTACTGTAACTGAAAAGAGACACACTACAGGGACCAAAAGTGAGGGACGCTCTCTCTCAGGCACAAGATTTCTAACTGCTTCATCAATATTTTTCTCCTCTTTACAAATTAAAATGTAAGTAAAGATGATTTTTACACCCCTTAGGGATTATTTAAAATAATCTTTAAGGTGGAAGACTTTTTCCACTTTAACATTCATTCAGTGAGTGTATCTTGCTTGTTAGGCTGTGCATGCCTGCACTGTAACACTCTCAATTGTGCATGTCAATATATAGTCAGGCAACTAGTGATGTTCATAAGGAAGTTAGAAGTTGGGATGTGCAACTCAGGAATGGTTTGATCTAGGTATTTAAATGTCAAGTGCTTGTAATGATGAGTAAGGTCATGGGAATAGGTAAATCACCAAAGTAGTGAGCCTAGAAAGACAAAAGATTTAAAGGTAAAGGGTTAGGGGGAGATCTTTAATTTAAAGAATAAGAAGAAAATTTGTTATGTATTGAAAGTAGAATTTTTTTTTAATGGCTTAACTTTCTCATTGGCCAAGGGGACTAAATTAAAGAGTTCTGATTTAGAACAGTATGTAGATATAAGGGTAAAGAAGGAAAGGAAGTTATATATAAATCTAAATACTAGATTTGAGATTGAACATTTATGAGGCTGAAAGAGTAATATAAGACTTATGAAACTGATTGTGGCCAATAGTATATAAAGCTTCAGTGCCTATTTTATATGACTTAAATCATGAACGGTTACACCAACTCCAGCAGGATGGAGCTACCAAGTGATCTTTGCAAAGGGAGCCTTGTCTTTGGTAGAGAAGCTTCACATATTTTGAGTGGCAGAAGTTAGAAACTATTGCAGTGTTCATGTAACTGGGCAAAGGAGACCAGTTCCACAAGCTCAACTGTTTGGTCACTGTTTTGGCCTAGCTTTTGCCCATTGGTCATTGTGTTATATCACAGCAGCAATCAATTTACAAACCAAAAGGTGGAATTTGCAACCAAACTAAACCTGACAAAAATTGAACCAGTCCTAATTGAGTTGGCCACCTCTTGTGGAAAAACATTCAGAAAGCTTCCAACAAGCTCTAGTCTCTAGACTATAATAACAATGGTTTCCTTTGTGGTGCCTAAATGATTACAGGTAAAGAAAAAATAAATCATGCTTAATAGAAAATGTCACTAATCTAGAGGAGTAGACCTCAAATCAGCTGTAACTGTTCCAGTAAAAGTTTAATGTAGACGTTTACATTAAAATTTAGATGATGATATTAGAACCAAATATTTGATAAAACAGTGTTTTAGCATTCAATATCTACAGCTGTATAAAGATAACTTTTGGGTTTGCTTAATTGATACATTGCAACCACTAAGTTCTTTATATACAATACTGGCCATGAAAGGCTTTAAAATCGCTCCTGTGTCATACAGACTGAAACCAAAAGCAACAACAAGAGGAGGGGGGAGAGTTGGCAGAGGACGATCATTTTGCAAAGCCACATAAGGAAGCAAAATCACTGACTATTAGAATGCACATGAGTTGGTCAAGAAATAACACTGCCTTCCAGCAGCAAAGTTTGGCACTCTCACAGTCACCCTTCTTCCCTGTTGTAGATGACATCTGAATACCTCAAGGCATTCTCATCTTTCGAATTCTTGATCTGTCAGCTAATTGGAAGAAGAGGAAATAAAAGGAACGAGAGTAATACCTTCTGCTCACAAGTGACTAATAAGTAAAAACATCCATTTATGCTTCAGAAAACAAAGCATAACCATGTATTTCCTCAGAAAAGCAGAGAAACATAATTTGGCAATTATAAATGCTAAAGATTGGCTTATTCTAACAAAAATTGCAAGTTTCATTAGAAGTCTAATTGTAAAATTTCTGTTTTGCTCTAAATTGGGGACCTATGTGTATATATGTTTGAAAACTAAGGTAACGCACCTTAATTAACTTAATGTCTATTTAATATTGGTGCCATTATGCAGCCCCACCATCTAACCCATTTCAAAGAATTAAAAGGGCTTCGTGAGTATTTTTTAGTACATGCCTAATATGGTGCCCCAAGAATAAAAGGCACAAAATACATGTTTATCAAATTAATCAATAAATTGTCCTGAAAAAGGTTACTTTTACATCATTCGTCACGAGAAAATTGTATTTCTAACAGCACTCTTTATGATAGATGGCTTTACTAAATAATTTCATGGTATAAAGGAAAATGAAATCTCATAAGGACACAATCACTAAGAGCGCACAGATTGCTTTATTATTTTTATCACATTAGTACTTGTATCCCTGATAGACAGATATTGCAACCTGGGCCCATTTGAAAGCTACGCTGAAATCAATGCCAATCTTATAGGCAAAGAACTAGAGGATTTAAAATAAAATCAAGTGCAAGTCTCTCTGATATTATGCCAGTTCAATGAGTTGTGAAGTTTTGAAGCTGTCCTTAGAGACTATAACTTAATTCCTAAGGTTTATTTTCTCTACTAGGTAAAAGAACTGAATTAAGGGGAGCAAAAAACTGTTCAATTAAGTAAACTATTTTATGCAAAAAGCATTTTTTTCAGACCTTTAATGTTGTTGCCTGTCTTCTGAGAGAGAAAAAAGGCTCACTTTCCTTCTATAAGCTCAACATGTTCTTAAATAAATGATCAAACTGGAACCTAACCCAAATTCTGTACCTTGAAATGCAGGTGCTAATTTAAGGATATTAAATAATAAACTTACTCATATGCACATTAATAATTATCTTACTATTAAGGTTCAATTCTATTATATGGGATGTTTAAAAGAGAAATTTGAAGTTCTTTTTCAACCTGTAGTATGGGGAATGAGCATTTCCTAAGTATGGATGAAAAATAAATTGTTTACCACCATTTCACCCATTTCTTAAAGGACTTTGACTTCTGAGCTAATGTAATATGAGATTGAGCTTTGTGTCTATGTGTGTGTGTGTATAACATTCTTTTACAATTCTACACAAGTGGAGAGTATACAAAGCCAAGAACAAGACAAACAAGTTATCTTTAGTGAGAACTAAACTAAGGTGTATATTCCAGAAATAGTCAAAAGAAAAATTCACACATGCATGTACGCAATTAAAAAACTACTTCAAAACCATAAACTGTGACTCTGATCCCAAACCTTAGAGAAAAAAAAGAATTATGGAAATTATTTCAAGACTACTTGCTTACCCAAATAGGATGTAAGAGAAGACCTAGGTCTCACAAAAGGAGAACATTTTGAGATGCCAAGAAATGAGAAAAAATCCAGAAAGAAAAATAAAATGGAAAAATTAAAACTTGCACTTAAAGAGCAAAGAAGCAAATTTATGCTGCATCAAATAGTGTAAAAATTGGGGGAATAATTTGGAAATATCTAGAAACAAACTGCACATACCTTTTGCCCAAGGAACTTGGCTACTAGAAATTTATTCCACTGCTAAATTCCTACCAATATGCAAAAATAGGTGTAAATGAATAAGCACCATATCATGCATCTTAATAACAAAATTTGTATATGAGCCAACCACCCATAACAAAATGAATGGTTAATTTCGTGATTAAGTGGAAAATATATCCATCGTATGGAATACTATGCAGCAAATAAAGGGAAATAAAGAAATCTATATGTGCAGAGACACATTGATATGATTTATGTAAAAAAAAGAAGCCAGTTACTTAATAGACATATGTCTGTATATGCGTAGATACTTTATGTTAAAAGTGGATAGGCAAGTCTCAAATGTGTTTATTCCTGGAAATAAAAATGGTGGTGCCAGATGGAAGTGGAAGCATTTGATGGCTTCTTCTTATGTTATACCATTCTACACTGATGAATTTTTAACCACTCACATCTATTTATAAAACTAAAAGAAGTATTAAAATATTTTCAAGGATTACTTTAAATGATGTCATATTTAAATATACACTCATAAACAATTTCCTAGATATATGATTAAGTCACAATTACGAAGCACAGAAAACAATATAGAGTATAATTTATGCAAACATATATAAGCACAATACACAGAGAAAATTGAGTAGAATGATACATATAAAAATATAATGAATTGTGAAAGGAATAAGTTTCTGCAAGAAGGTGGGGTAGGGTGAGGGAAGTAAGGTGAAATAGGGTATATTGTGTATTTTACCACAATTAAAATTTTAGGAAAAGAAGAAATAAGAGAGAGAAGATGATGGAAGTTTGCACAGAAAAACAAGCCCACCTAAGAATTATAGAGGTTCTGGAATGATGGAACAAGAGCAGTTAAAATCAACGCCAGAATTAAACACACAACTTCTGAAAACTTTCCAGGGAAGTAATAACACCCAAACATGCATATTTAAGGATCCTCGGTGTTCCAGGACCATAGTCTTCAAAGGAGGATGGGCACCTTCCTAGACATCGCATTGATTAATCCCTTGCAGCATAAAAGAATATATCAGAAGTTCAATTTTCATTAATTTTAACTTCATCTACTTGTATATATATTTATTAATTTCTATGTATTAATTATTGATATCAATTACAGATATATTGTAAGAGTAAAACATGCAATTGATTCATAAATTGATATAGATATATTGGGGGTATGCAGAGGAATATATAATGTAAAATAGAGATCATCTTTATTAAGGCAATATTTATGAAATACAACCAAAAATGAACATATTCTGGCCACAGATTTAAACGACAAAGGCAAAGAAAAAAGTATAATATACTTCTAGGCAGCAAAAACAAGTTGCACTCAAAAGAATAAAAATCCAAATTGTCATTTTCCTTTGCAACATTAAAAGTCAAATAACGTTGAGGCAGTGCCCACAGATTTTTTTCAAAGAATGGTTGTGATTCAATAATTGAATTTTCAGCCAAGAAATTACAGAAGTGGAATATATCTTCCAATTTAGAGAATCCTAGAAAACATATTACCCATGTATTTTTCTTGAACAAAATCTTTCAAAAAGCACTCTAAGTAAGTGAGGGAGTTATCAAAATCATGAATTAAAAAATGCTGCAGTATAAAAACTTGATAGTAGCTAATAAAGCCAACAAGCAACATGTCATACACACACACACACACACACACACACACACACATACACACAGACACACAATCATCTCTCAGTATCCACAGGGGATTGGTTCCAGGACCCCCCCCACGGATACCAAATTCTGAGGATTCTCAAATTTCTTAAATAAAATGTTGTAGTATTTGTATATAATCTATGCACATATTCCCATATACTTTTAAATCATCTCTAAATTACTTATAACACCTAATAGAATGTAAATACTGTGCAGTATAACACATGCTGTGTTATATTGTTTTATTTATAATATTTTTATTGGTATATAACTACTTATTATTTTTTTCTGAATATTTTCAATCTACAGTCGGTTAATACATGGATGTAGAACACATGGATAAGGAGCGCTCTCTGTGCATGTGACATAATTAAAATCAAATGTAATTTTTGGGAGAAAAAAATTAAACAAAAGTCTTACTACCAGGATTCTGGGTCTCAAATGCCAAAATTTAATAACTGAAACTTGGAAATGAGAGAGTAAAAGGAAAAGAAAATTATCTGAAACCACAGTGGTACTGCCAGAAAAATAAGCTAAACATAAGAAGAGGTAGTTTGAATTTTAAGCCAAAGGATCTTCAACATTATTAAAGATTATACTCATAATGTGTAAGCGGACTAGAAAACAAAACATTGCTAGAGAGCCCTATATGAAGCTTAGTCATTTGAATGTTTATGTTTTCCAATAGAGAACCAGATTATCAAAATCAAATCTGATAATTTTTCTTCCAAAGAAGACAGGTCTCATAGCAAAATATTTGATGTTCCTAAATTTCAGAAAAGAACAAATATATATCTTCTTATGCCATTCTTAAGCTATACTTTTTCCTCCCAGGCTATGTCTTAAGGGCTAAAATGATGTAAATATGTGAATTTAGATAGTTTGGGTGCTCTTAACGTGAGAGTAACACCTTATATAAGAAACATAAGATTTAACAATCTAGTTTATTCTTTGGCTGAATCAAATGTCTATACAGATAGAAAAGTTCATACTATTGTCTCAAAAAAATTAAATGGTATCTATTTATCTAGACCAATATTTCTCAAAGAGTGGCAATTTTGCTTCCCAGGAGACAACTGGCAATATATGGAACATTTAAATATGAAGCCAAAGCAATTATAATTAATTTGGGAGAGGGGGAATGAACAGTCACATGGGTAACAAAGTCAGCCATAGAAAATAGCTCCCCAATACTATGCAGCCATAAAAAGAATGAGTTCATGTCCTTTGCAGGGACATGGATGAAGCTGGAAACCATCATCCTCAGCAAACTAATACAGGAACAGAAAACCAAACACCGTATGTTCTCACTCATAAGTGGGAGTTGAACAGTGAGAACACATGGACACAGGGAAGGGAACATCACACACCGGGGCCTGTCAGGTGGTGGGGACCAAGGGGTGGGAGAGCATTAGGACAAATACCTAATGCATGCGGGGCTTAAAACCTAGATGATGGGTTGATAGATGCAGCAAACCACCATGGCACGTGTATACCTATGTAACAAACCTGCATGATCAGCACATGTATCCCAGAACTTAAAGTAAAATAAAATGAGATGAAATAAAATAAAATACAGAGAGAAAATAGCTCCCCAAACGTCATTTACAGTTGTCCTTAAGTTCTATTTTCAACCATTCTTTAACTGTGGTGTGCTTACATTGCTATGTGGTCCCTATCAGAGCAACAACAGTATCAAATGAGGATGTACAAGAAGTACTTTCTGTATATTCTTAGTGGACTCAAACCCTTCCGTAGCTAGTAAAATGTAGCATTTTATGGGCATAAGCTATCTGTTTGTTACATTACTCGCAATATTTATCCCGATTTCATAAATATTTCCTCTTATTACCCACACTTTTTTTTTTTTTTTTTTTTTTTTTTTGAGACGGAGTCTCGCTCTGTCGCCCAGGCTGGAGTGCAGCGGTGCGATCTCAGCTCACTGCAAGCTCCGTCTCCTGGGTTCACACCATTCTCCTGCCTCAGACTCCCGAGTAGCTGGGACTACAGGCGCCCGCCACCACGCCTGGCTAATTTTTTGTATTTTTTTAGTAGAGACGGGGTTTCACTGTGTTATCCAGGATGGTCTCGATCTCCTGACCTCGGAATCCGCCCATCTTGGCCTCCCAAAGTGCTGGGATTACAGGCGTGAGCCACGGCGCCCGGCCCTTTACCCACATTTTCTTAACAGAAACAACTGCAATAACAGCAACAACAATAATAATAAACTCTAAACAATTTTGGAGAACTCTAGCAATGTGTAGCAAATTTTCAACCGCTTCAATATAAGGATGGAGAAGTATCTTTGCCCTTGCACTTACAATATAGATTACTTGGCATGTACTTGTCCTTTTGAAGGTTTCTCTTAAGGGTTTTGCTGAGTATTTTTATTTTGAACAAAATGGCCATAATATTCAAGCAAAAGGCAGGATTTTCAGAAAATATACTGATGCTATTTCCTATTGAACAGTTTGGTTGACTCAAGCCGTAACTATTATCAGTCCCTCTGTCTTTTGATATTCCATAAGAGATTATTTTAAAGACACATACTGGGAAATACTTTAAAATGTTGAAGTAAATAAAAATGCTAAACCCCCTTTTCCTAATGCTTTTTGAACTTATCATGACGTCATGATAATGAAGTTATATTCAGGAGAAAAATTAATGAGTAATAGGAACTGAGGTCATGTGAGATTTTAGCAGGAATCTACGATCATCTGTAAAATGACAAATATTTAACACATAATTTAACACATAGGTATACACGTGCCTCATCCTACCTAATGGCCAATTCCTTTTCTGCACAGAAATATCTTCTGACCTTTGCAAATTAGTGACTTTATCCAATATGCAACTGTATCTTTATCTATCTTTTATCTTTCTCCTTTGTTACCTGGGTCCTCTTCTCTCCATTTGAGCCATGGTATAAACATATGTAGTTACATTACATCATGTTCAGGGACAGAAAAGAGCACATTTCATTTATTAAATAAATGTAGAGTGAAATTAAAGTAAAAAGAAATGAGACTGCAATGGTTGAAATAAAATATGTGCTACAAGCAATACAACTCAGATTTAGTACTGCAGAAAATCAAATCAGTGATTCAGAAATTTAGGAAAAAATATCCAAAATACAGTAAAAGTGAATAATGTTTAACATCTCTAAAAGAAAATTTCCAAATATTTACAGAATGCAAAATATGAATGTCCTTGCTACATAAACATCTTACAAATCAGTAAGAAAACATTAATAAAAATATGCAAATAACATAATCCTGAATTCTACATAAGAGAAACATATTTGTATTAAGTATGAAAATATGATAAAATTCAAATGAATTGCTAAATAATTTGGAATTATAATTACATTACTATTTTTCACCTACCAAATTGGCAAAGGCTTAAATAATATTGGTGATAAGTGGATGAAACAAACACTCTCTTATACTGGAGAGTATAAATTGGCACAATTTTTATGAAAAGATATTTGAGAAGAAATAAAATTATTAACTACATTCCAATGAATTTCCATTTATAATTGATTTTAAAAATACAGCACTAGGATAAAAGGCCACATGCACCATTATAAATGAGAGTGTTAAAATATGTAAGGATATTAAGGAATGTTTCCTTGCATGTAAAAAGAGCAAGTTATGAATAGTTTGTACTGAACGATCTGCATTTTATTTTAAATAAGAAATATGTATTAAAAATTAGATACACAATAAAGTGTCAATCTAAACAAATATCGGGGTAGTAAGATTATAAGTAATTTTCTTTAATTATTTGTCCTTACTTTTTCATTTCAAAAATGATGTTACATTTCTTTATAGTTAAAATATGCTGATCGTCACGTATCTTGATAAACATCAAAGAGGAAAATATAGGTTATTTTAAAAAGAGCTGAAGATATTTATCTTCAGATCTTTTTTCTCTGTAACAAAAGAAAAATGACAGTAAACATTTTATTCCCATCTAATTACTTAGAAAAACTTTTTTTTGTCAGAGACATTTCTCTTTATTTTACTAAAGCTTTCCTTAATTCATTATTATGGATTATTAGAATCAATGTCCAATACAAATTGTAATTAGAGCTGTATTTACTTAAAACTCTACGGAAGTGGAGAAACTACATTCAGCCCCATCTGCTCCTGTTGGTGGGGGTCTGTTTGATGACATGAGATCCTCTAACCCTTTCTAGAAGGTTTGAAGTTAGAGGAGTTTTGCAAAATTCTTTAGCTGCCTTACCATCTAAAGTAGACAAACTGTTTAAAAAATGACTTTTACTATCTTCCTTCATAATCCTTGAAGGAATCATGCTGGCCTCTTCTACTACTTATCACTTCCTCTTCTTAATGTCTAAAGCCTATCACACAGACACTCCATAGCTTACTTGCCCCAGTATGGATTTGCATGCATGTCTATAGTACATTGCAAGAAAACGTTATGACCCCCAAATTTACATACATTCAGGCTTTCAATCACACCCATAGGAAATGAAAAGACCCTCATAATCAGATGTGTACAGCGTTAGGAGTGAAGCCATTCAAATTCATGTTCTACTAAAGTTGAACTCATAGAAGTAGATAGTAGAATGGTGGTTACCAGAGGGTGACTGGGCAGGGTTGAAGATATGTTGCTTAAAGGATACAAATTTTCAGATAGATAGGAGGAACAAGCTCAAGAGATCTATTGTGCAACATCATGACTACAGTTAATATCAATATATTCTTTAAAATTACTAAAAAAAATAGATTTCAAGTGTTCTCATCACAAAAAGATGGTATGTATGTGAGGTGACGCATATGATAACTGGCTCCATTGGCCATTCAAAAATGTATGCATATTTCAAAACATCGTGTTGTCCACAATAAATATATACAATATTTATCAATTACAAATAAATAAATAATATTTTATTTTTATTTTATTTTTTGAGAGGAAGTCTTGCTCTGTCACCCAGGCTGCAGAGCAGTGGTGCTATCTCAGCTCACTGCAACCTCCACTTCCCGGGTTCAAGCGATTCTCCTGCCTCAGCCTCCTGAGTAGCTGGGATTACAGGCGCCCACCACCACACCCAGCTAATTTTTATATTTTAGTAGAGACAGGGTTTCACCATGTTGGTCAGGATGGTCTTGAGCTCCTGACCTCGTGATCCACCCCCCTCGGCCTCCCAAAGTGCTGGGATTACAGGCGTGAGCCACCGAGCCTGGCCAATATTTTAAAACATTAAAAAAAAACTAAATCCCGTTCTACAAGTGATCAGAGATAAACTCAAAATCAGTGATATACGAACAAAAAAACACTAACAAATTGAGGCTGGTGTTGTGTAAAAGAAACAGAAATGAATGTTGAAGGCAGTAAGAGACATTGGAATAGGTAAAATATGTGCAAATAATAATTACATATTTAACACATATACATACATAATAAAATTATAGAAGTTAATCATATCTTGAGAAGCGCTTGATTAAAATTCTTAAAATATTTAAAATTTAGTTATCATTAAATGGAGACTAAAAATAAAATGAAAGGTGGGAAATAAAATATATGAAATTGTCATTCTTATGTGTCAAATGAGTTAAAGATTAGTAATTTTTTTTCTTTTATTATTATACTTTAAGTTTTAGGGTACATGTGCACATTGTGCAGGTTAGTTACATATGTATACATGTGCCATGCTGGTGCGCTGCACCCACTAACTCGTCATCTAGCATTAGGTATATCTCCCAATGCTAAAAAAGAGAGAAGAATCAAATAGATACAATAAAAAATGATAAAGGGGATATCACCACCGATCCCACAGAAATACAAACTACCATCAGAGAATACTACAAACACCTCTACGCAAATAAACTAGAAAATCTAGAAGAAATGGATACATTCCTCGACACATACACCCTCCCAAGACTAAACCAGGAAGAAGTTGAATCTCTGAATAGACCAATAACAGGATCTGAAATTGTGGCAATAATCAATAGCTTACCAACCAAAAAGAGTCCAGGACCAGATGGATTCACAGTCGAATTCTACCAGAGGTACAAGGAGGAACTGGTACCATTCCTTCTGAAACTATTCCAATCAATAGAAAAAGAGGGAATCCTCCCTAACTCATTTTATGAGGCCAGCATCATTCTGATACCAAAGCCAGGCAGAGACACAACCAAAAAAGAGAACTTTAGACCAATATCCTTGATGAACATTGATGCAAAAATCCTCAATAAAATACTGGCAAACCGAATCCAGCAGCACATCAAAAAGCTTATCCACCATGATCAAGTGGGCTTCATCCCTGGGATGCAAGGCTGGTTCAATATATGCAAATCAATAAATGTAATCCAGCATATAAACAGAGCCAAAGACAAAAACCACATGATTATCTCAATAGATGCAGAAAAGGCCTTTGACAAAATTCAGCAACCCTTCATGCTAAAAACTCTCAATAAATTAGGTATTGATGGGACATATCTCAAAATAATAACAGCTATCTATGACAAACCCACAGCCAATATCATACTGAATGGGCAAAAACTGGAAGCATTCCCTCTGAAAACTGGCACAAGACAGGGATGCCCTCTCTCACCACTCCTATTCAACATAGTGTTGGAAGTTCTGGCCAGGGCAATTAGGCAGGAGAAGGAAATAAAGGGTATTCAATTAGGAAAAGAGGGAGTCAAATTGTCCCTCTTTGCAGATGACATGATTGTATATCTAGAAAACCCCACTGTCTCAGCCCAAAATCTCCTTAAGCTGATAAGCAACTTCAGCAAAGTCTCAGGATACAAAATCAATGTACAAAAATCACAAGCATTCTTATACACCAACCACAAACAGCCAAATCATGAGTGAGCTCCCATTCACAATTGCTTCAAAGAGAATAAAATACCTAGGAATCCAACTTACAAGGGATGTGAAGGACCTCTTCAAGGAGAACTACAAACCACTGCTCAAGGAAATAAAAGAGGATACAAACAAATGGAAGAACATTCCATGCTCATGGGTAGGAAGAATCAATATCGTGAAAATGGCCATACTGCCCAAGATTCAATGCCATCCCCATCAAGCTACCAATGCCTTTCTTCACAGAATTGGAAAAAACTACTTTAAAGTTCATATGAAACCAAAAAAGAGCCCGCATCACCAAGTCAATCCTAAGCCAAAAGAACAAAGCTGGAGGCATCACACTACCTGACTTCAAACTATACTGCAAGGCTACAGTAACCAAAACAGCATGTTACTGGTACCAAAACAGAGATCTAGATCAATGGAACAGAACAGAGCCCTCAGAAATAACGCCGCATATCTACAACTATCTGATCTTTGACAAACCTGAGAAAAACAAGCAATGGGGAAAGGATTCCCTATTTAATAAATGGTGCTGGGAAAACTGGCTAGCCCTATGTAGAAAGCTGAAACTGGATCCCTTCCTTATACCTTATACAAGATTAGTAATTTTTAATGATTCGACCTAATGTATTTGAAGATCTAGTTTATTAGGTAAAGACTCTAGTATGTGTGAAGTGCTTTTAAAGAGCCAAAAGTGAACTCTCTAAATTATCACAAAAGAAGGAAGAAAAAACAACTTATCAAGAAAAACAAAAAAATAGCACAAATCTTATCTCTAACTATGGCCATACATGAAGAGATTATCTCAGTTACATATATCCGTCATTATATCAATGTAATCCATTCCTGTCACGTGTTTGATAAAATGTTTTGGCTAGTAGGAGTCTATATTTCATTATTTTAAATGATAAAAACAATAATTTATTTCCAGTGCACCCAGAGCCCCAATCAAAATAGTCTAACAACTAATAATCCATCAAGGATTTCTGCATAAAACATTTAAAGATCAATTATATCTTTCACATCATGAATAGGTTAATATGCTTTAAATGGTAATATATCCATTACTGTTTACGTGTAGCATAAAATGACATGATACAGTTTCACTGCAATGGGCATATATCTTCAGGTAAATAAACCAGGCAAATGACATGAATGTGGGGGTAAATGAGGAAAGGAGAATAGATATTTTTATGTCTTTACTGTATTTCTCCCAATATCCTTTATCACTTCTAACTTCACTTGTTTTGCCTAGTCATTTTTAGGCCTCTTAGGTTCACGTTGTTCAGAATCTTTTCCATTTTGTTTGAAGAGATTTCTTTTAATATTGTGGGGAAGGTGACAATGAGATTGTATATATTTAAATAATACATGCATGTTATGATAACCTAAAGTGGAGGCAATTCAGTCACACACAGATAGACAAAAGCTGAAAGATAGAAAAAAATTTAGAAATTAAACAAATCTCTTATTCTGAAGTGCTAAAAATTTTCCATTTTTTAGAGAGCTTTTCCTTTAATTTTGTGGGGAAGTGACAATGAGATTGTGTATGTTTAAATAATACAGGTATATTATGATAACCTAACTAAAGTGGGGGCAATCCAGTCACACACAGGTTGAAAAAAAGCTGAGAGGTAGAAAAAAAATTAGAAATTAAATAAATCTCTTTTTTATTCTGAAGTGCTAAAATGATAACTGAAATTGCAATAAAAATGGAGCAGAGCTGGAATTCAAACCCCTTGTTTTCTGACCCACATGCCAGTACTCACAAATCTTGTAACATTGAAGACGCTATATGAAACTATTGGCTTATCTAGATTTCTAAGTGTTGACTTAGAAATTTTATTACTTTATTTTAAAACTCATTTTGAAGGGTTTTTAAAGAAAGAACACTGAAATTGAACTTTTACACTATGTCAATTGCATTTCTTTGGTTATGAGCAATTGACTGCTATCAATAACTGAGGTATTAAATATCAAGGACAATGAAAATATTTGAGTTAACAGAGCTTTATGCACCATATGAAAGTGAGTACATTTTTAAAAGTATCAGTTAAATGTAGTAGTGAAACTACACTTGACGTAATTCAACCTCTCCTTAATGATTCATGAGTCACTTTCAAATCTTGAAAAAATGTAATGCCAATGGTATTCAATATTGGTTTATTTAACCTATAGATGTGTGGAAATAGGCAGCTGACAGAAAGTAGTCTTGTAGGATGCCATTTTAAAGTAACTGCCTTTAAATGATCTGGCATTAAAACTAAACTTTTGTTTGTATCTAGAATGGAAGATCTGAGCTCCAGTAATTAATGTAAAAAAAGTTACAATTCATAAAGGTGGAATTATGTTGATATCATGTTTTTTTGCAATGAGTACTAAAAAGTTTAGACACAAATTTATGATCCACCTCTGGACAGCCTCACTTCTGGCACAGCTTTTCTTCCCAACACTGTCCCAATTCCCTCCTCTACGTATTATTACTTTGTAATGTATGTATTTTTATAAAGAACTTAAAAATCTTTCAAGAACAAGATGGAATAATAAATAGTTAAGCATGCAGTAAAAATCATAAAGGAATACACATTTTCTTGGTCTTTGTAAATTCCGAAATATCTACTACTCTGGAGAAGTGATCCTATTCCAAATGGAATAAAACATACTGGTTTGGTCATCTTAATGTTAGCTTAATTGCATGCCATACAGATTAATAAGCTTAAATCCCATTTCTTCTCCCAGGGAAATCTATTAAAATATGATTGGGTATCTGATTAGCCAAAATGATTGTAATATAAATTATGTAGCGTTTTTAGACTATAGCTGAAATTTTGCACACAAAAATTTAATTGAATAGATTTGGGTTTTTCCTTGTATTATTCGTAACAAGAAAACACCACCAATTTCACTGGCTGCTATAGTCCATATTCAAGAGTCCACAATGAATACAAATGAGCTTTATTGAACAAGTCAATATGCCTACACTATAGTTTTTTGAAATATTAAACAGCGAGTAATTATTTATAAAGAAAATGAAAACCCATTACACAGATCAAGTTGCCAGGGGATTAACCATAACAATGGACTTTCATTAATGTGTAAAACTACTTATAATTCAAACAAAAATAAATTCAGTTTTATCATGACCCTTGTTTTATCCTGCTAATATGTCTGTGCATATATTTCTGTTAATATCAAAGTAAAAGCCAGAAATAAAATGGAGATAAATATCATTATATTGAAGATCTGCCTTTGTTTAACCTTTTAAAAATATCACCAAATGTACTTTATTCTAAGGATGTTAAACACTACATATTTCCATAAAAACACTTTTCCTTTCTTTTCAAACATGGATGTCATCAATAATGGTTTTGTTTTCTTCGAGTCAAATATGTCAACATTAGTTTCCTTATTCTTAGTGATACTAGCAGATTGTATTTCCTGATATGCACCCTATATTTTCTTCAATTGGAAAAAAAACATAAAAATAATGACTCTAAAAATACTTGCTTAGATGAGAAAATGTGTATTCTATTTTTCCAATTTTTTGCTAATGGCAGAAGGCTGATCTTTATGTCTGAAAGAAGAGCTTTTCTAAAAGTTTTAAGTAGATTAAGAAGGTTAAGAAATAAACTTTTACGTTGTCCTTATGTATGTTACATTTAAATTTCTTTTTGTGTGTACATATAACCCTACAATTTATAAACATAACTTTTTTAAATGCCCATTAATTATTCCAAATACCTGGTTTCCTTAAATTCTTTG
This sequence comes from Homo sapiens, assembly GCF_000001405.40. Taxonomy (NCBI): domain Eukaryota; kingdom Metazoa; phylum Chordata; class Mammalia; order Primates; family Hominidae; genus Homo; species Homo sapiens. Next base: position 28,952,286 of record NC_000023.11, on the reverse strand, counting down.
TTTTTAAATATACATCAAGCCCAGGATATTTAACAACTTAATAAGTGCATACTTTAAACTAAAAATATAAATTTTTGGAAATGTGTTTTTAACTTTAAGTAATCCTTAAATATATTAATATTTAAAATTAATGCTTTCTGTTTTTATAGATAGTCTCACCATAAATTAAGACAAATGAAAGTGTGTATGGGGAAATTCTCTACGGTACCTATTTATTGTAGTTATAGTATAACTGGACATAACTGAATTTCTAAAAGAATAAGTAACTTGCCCACGGCCAGAGAGTATATGAGGACTGCAGTCTTATATCTCCCTGATGCCAATTTTATCCTTCTTAACATCTACCATATACTGCCTCACAATAGCTCATATAATTAAGGTCATTAAAAGCCAGCATCAAGATAAAGTTTATTTTACTGTAGTAATTGATACACTTCCTATTTTCTCATGATTAAAAAAGTATTTATCTGTGTTTCCTTTTCCATCTAGCCTGTCAGGAAGCTCAGATGCTCCACTATAGTGAACTACATTGTCTTTGTCAATCGCACTTTTTTATTTTTCTCAATTGTCCTAGAAAGAAAGGCAAGAGAATTTAATTGGGGCTGTAAATGATAAAATAAAAGTAGAAACTGTATTTCTGAAACCTACCATAATATTCACTCTAATGAGGCTAAGCAGATATCAATTCTGTTCCCTAATTATTCAAATCCATCAAATTTGAATAAATGTGTACTATATTTTTAATATTCACAATTATAAATACTAGTCATAAAAGGCTGATATTCTATAAAAATAAAACCCTAAATTGTAAAACAATTTTCTATGGCACACTAAATGTAAAAGTGTAGTTGACAATTTTTTTTTTTTTTTTTTACCATTTATCATGGATTCCAATACATTTATATGAAGTTAGAATAATTGAAGGATAAAAAATTCCTTCCAGTCTTTATGCTTCTACAAGTCTATAAATTTTGGTGAGAATTCCCTTCAAATTTGCATCCTTGAACATTTTTTTTTATACTTTAAGTTTTAGGGTACATGTGCACATTGTGCAGATTAGTTACATATGTATACATGTGCCATGCTGGTGCGCTGCACCCACTAACTCGTCATCTAGCATTAGGTATATCTCCCAATGCTATCCCTCCCCCCTCCCCCCACCCCACAACAGTCCCCAGAGTGTGATGTTCCCCTTCCTGTGTCCATGTGTTCTCATTGTTCAATTCCCACCTATGAGTGAGAATATGCGGTGTTTGGTTTTTTGTTCTTGCGATAGTTTACTGAGAATGATGATTTCCAATTTCATCCATGTCCCTACAAAGGACATGAACTCATCATTTTTTATGGCTGCATAGTATTCCATGGTGTATATGTGCCACATTTTCTTAATCCATTCTATCACTGTTGGACATGTGGGTTGGTTCCAAGTCTTTGCTATTGTGAATAGTGCCGCAATAAACATACATGTGCATGTGTCTTTATAGCAGCATGATTTATAGTCCTTTGGGTATATACCCAGTAATGGGATGGCTGGGTCAAATGGTATTTCTAGTTCTAGATCCCTGAGGAATCGCCACACTGACTTCCACAATGGTTGAACTAGTTTACAGTCCCACCAACAGTGTAAAAGTGTGAAGGACCTCTTCAAGGAGAACTACAAACCACTGCTCAAGGAAATAAAAGAGGATACAAACAAATGGAAGAACATTCCATGCTCATGGGTAGGAAGAATCAATATCGTGAAAATGGCCATACTGCCCAAGGTAATTTACAGATTCAATGCCATCCCCATCAAGCTACCAATGCCTTTCTTCACAGAATTGGAAAAAACTACTTTAAAGTTCATATGGAACCAAAAAAGAGCCCGCATCGCCAAGTCAATCCTAAGCCAAAAGAACAAAGCTGGAGGCATCATGCTACCTGACTTCAAACTATACTACAAGGCTACAGTAACCAAAACAGCATGGTACTGGTACCAAAACAGAGATATAGATCAATGGAACAGAACAGAGCCCTCAGAAATAACGCCACATACCTACAACTATCTGATCTTTGACAAACCTGAGAAAAACAAGCAATGGGGAAAGGATTCCCTATTTAATAAATGGTGCTGGGAAAACTGGCTAGCCCTATGTAGAAAGCTGAAACTGGATCCCTTCCTTACACCTTATACAAAAATCAATTCAAGATGGATTAAAGACTTAAACGTTAGACCTAAAACCATAAAAACCCTAGAAGAAAACCTAGGCATTACCATTCAGGACATAGGCATGGGCAAGGATTTCATGTCTATAACACCAAAAGCAATGGCAACAAAAGACAAAATTGACAAATGGGATCTAATTAAACTAAAGAGCTTCTGCACAGCAAAAGAAACTACCATCAGAGTGAACGGGCAACCTACAAAATGGGAGAAAATTTTCGCAACCTACTCATCTGACAAAGGGCTAATATCCAGAATGTACAATGAACTCAAACAAATTTACAAGAAAAAAACAAACAACCCCATCAAAAAGTGGGCGAAGGACATGAACAGACACTTCTCAAAAGAAGACATTTATGCAGCCAAAAAACACATGAAAAAATGCTCATCATCACTGGCCATCAGAGAAATGCAAATCAAAACCACAATGAGATACCATCTCACACCAGTTAGAATGACAATCATTAAAAAGTCAGGAAACAACAGGTGCTGGAGAGGATGTGGAGAAATAGGGACAAATTTTTTCTACAAAGGACCAGATAGTAAGCATTTTCAGCTTTACAGGCCATAAGGCCTCTTGTCAACTCTGTTGTAGTGTGAAAATAGCCACAGACAGTATATTAACCAATATCTGCGTTCCAATAAAACTTTACAAAAACAGGCATTGAGCCAAAGGGATCCACAAGCCAGTCCTTGGCAGAGTCTATCAATACATTGTTGACAATATATAAACACTTTTACCTTGGTAAAGGTATGTGCAAATGAAAGCACACAAGGCTCATTTATGTTGAGAAACAAAAAAAAAAAACAAAAAACACCTTTTCTCAATTTAACATTTTTCTGCAGTTATCTTTGAAGAATTTTCATACAGCAAGATGAGTACACAAAATATAGCTGAAATAAAGTGGATTTTTTTAAAAGAACATTTTGGAGACTGTCTGAAGTGTTAATTGTGTTCATTCCTAACCTAAAGCACTCTACTAGTTAATAAAGATATGTTTACCAAACACTATTGTTAGAGACTAATAATTAGATTCAAATAATAATAATAATAACAATAATATAGTAGTGATCCTCCATCCACAGCTTCATTTTCCGTGGTTTCAGTTGCCCGTGGGAATGTACAACAAGATATTTTCAGAAGGAAAATAACTTTCATTACAGTATATTGCTATAATTGTTCTATTTCATTATTAGCTATTATTGTTAATGTCTTACTGTGCTTACTTTATAAATTAAACTTTATCATAGGTACATAGGCATAGGCATAGGGAAAAACAGTATATATAGGGCACAGTACTATCTGTGGTTTCAAGCATCCACTGAAGGTCTTAGAACATGTATCATGCAGATAAGGAGGGACTACTTTTCCATCACCTTCCATTTAGACATGTGTTGAATGCTTACTGCATTAATGTTAAAGGTGCTGAATGTTACAGGTGCTTTACATGTACCATCTAAAATTCTTATAACACTTCAAGGAGACTGCTATTCCATCCTTTTTTAAGGGAGGAAATTAACCTACAGCATTATGACCAGTGGCACTCAGATAAAGTGCCAGAGTTCAATGCCACATCTGTCCGGGAATTCAATTCCATCATACTACCTTCTCTCTGCATGGGGTTCAATCCTGTCTGTCTCCTGAGGACTGGGGAGAGACTTCTAGGTTCAGATCAGATCAGGGACAGTGAATGGGTCTAAAGAAGAGGGTCAAAAAGAGCAAATTCACCCACCCTCATATCTAAGGAGGTAAAAGGCAGAATGAAACCAGTGTTTCACAGCTGATGTATCCAGAAGTAGGCACTTTATTAATATTAGAAGAATTAAATGAAGAAAGTAAATTCATTAAATAATTTTACATAATAACTTCAATATATGGGATGCTGAATCATAACCAAATTTTTCATTTTTTGAACTGAAGAAGGCATTATGAATTCTACAGCTGTCTTCAGGCCTTAATAGTAGACTTCTAGTCAGTCAGAAGTCATATTTCTTCTGTAGAACAGTCTTTTTCAGTTAACTACAAGCTGATTAACTCAAGCTATTAATTATTTAGTGCCTGCTAGGTCTCACAATAAGCAGAGTGTTGGAAGAAACATTAATAGCCTCTTTAATGTTTCAGCCATGTTCTTCCCTCTTGCCAAAACGTCCTTCTACACGATTTTTCCATTTCTAAAGCCTATCACATCCTTGAATTTTTAGCATAAGTGCTACATTTCTCGAAGCTTTCAGTGAGCACCAAAAACAAATATAAAATTTCCACATTCTTACTGAGAATATTTCTCTATATATTTTTATTATTTCATATAAGTAGTACATATAACTACTTGTTTTCCTGATGTATTACATGCTAAACAGTAAGTTATTTTTTATTATACTTTTTAAGTTCTAAGGTACATGTGCACAACGTGCAGGTTTGTTACATACGTACACATGTGCCGTGTTGGTGTGCTGCACCCTAATGGGTTAATACTCATCATTTACATTAGGTATTTCTCCTAATGCTATCCCTCCCCCATCCTCCCACCCCACGACAGGCCCCGGTGTGTGATGTTCCCCTTCCTGTGTCCAACTGTTCTCATTGTTCAATTCCCACCTATGAGTGAGAACATGCAGTGGCTAAACAGTAAGTTTTTAAGGGCTTTCCAAGAAATGGACCACAGTATCCTCATCTTTGTACCTCTCATGGCACTTACCATACCAGCCACTCAGTACAATTTGAATACGTGAATAAACCAGTATATCCTTTGGTATGTAGTGAATCAACTCTAATGGGGAATTAAACTTCAGAATGATGAAAATCAAAACCCAATTTTCCAAACACATATATGTGTGTGTGCTTGGACACACGGATACACAAACATACACATGTACATACATACACACACATCTTTTAGCATTGCTATGGGACTGTGCTCCTCTCATCACACAAACTTCGAGTCTGAGACACCTAAAACAGACCAAAAGGAAAAGTCAAGAAAGCAACGGTATCCAACATTGCATGGTCAAAAGAAAAATGGAACAACTTGATTACTGTGGCTCTGACTCATGCTTCCTTGGCCTGCAGTTGCAGACACAAATTTGTCAAAGACTGTGAGTGCTTATTAGCATTCAGTTTTTCCCTTACTGTTTCCTCAGTGTTCAAATTTGTTAAGTAGATAATAGAATTGACACTGATAAAATACTCATTGAACTCTTCAGGAGGAAGAAGACATTGTAATAAATATAAACAAATAGCACTGTGCTTTTTATTAAGTGATGTCATGGCTATACGCTTTACTACATCAAATGCTGCAGATGATCAAAACATATGGACACTGCCTTCAAGGAGCATACTAAATTGGGAGAAATTGAGAGTGGAAACCCTGTCTTACTCATTTTTATGTCCCTAATCAAGCACAATGCCTTAAACATACCAAGGGCCCAATAAATATTGTTTGGATTGAAATGAGAAAATCTATTAGACATCTAGTGTTTCAGAATTACCATACACTGGAGGATAAGTTTATTCTTTTTAATAATTATGGCTCATTTGAATGCTTAAAAGGTACCAGGCAGTCTCTGGAGTGGTTTGTATAAGTTATCTCACAATATTTTTGCATATTTTAATCTTCATAATATGAATGAGAAAGTGAGGGGTTGAGAAAGTAAGTTTTCTATAATTATATACCTAATAATGGCAGTGCCTAGATGACAAATTAAGCAGCATCATTTTCAGAGGCCTTACTTTAAAATACTACCCCTATTGCTTTCCCCTACAAACTACCACACACAAAGAGTTTTGCTTAATATTAAATGAAGTAAAATAAATGATTGAAGTTATTGTAGACAGAAAGATAACCGAATGACTGTGTTACACATGCATAAATCAGTCTTTAGAAATTTGACTGCTTTATTTTTGCGTCAGATACAAATTAATGATTTTATTTTAACCCTCATCTAGTATTCTGTAGTAACCATTTGTTGATAATATTAACCATGTACCTCTTTTTTTATCAGATCTTAATTGGTAGGCTCACTATATATTTGTATCACACTGTATGTGTTATTCATAAATGCCCTTCATTTAAAATTATGCTAGACATTGTTATTTGCTTTTCTATGTACTGGATTAAATATATCCTTTTAAATATTTGAAAATAGTTAATTGAGTGTATACACACACACACACACACACACATATATATATATATATACATACATATATAACAGTAAACCATAATTAGTATCCAGTACTCCCATAAAAGCAGAACTTGGGTAAAAACATACCCTCATTAAACAACTAACTAAAATGAGTTATTATTATTATTATTTTAAATTTTACTTTACGTTCCGGGATACAAGTGCAGAATGTGTAGGTTTGTTACATAGGTATACGTGTGCCATGGTGCTTTGCTGCACCTATCAAGCCATCAACTAGGTTTTAAGCCCTGGATACATTAGCAATTTGTCCTAATGCTCTTTCTCTCCTCATCCCCAACCCTCCAACTGGCCCTGGTGTGTGTTGCTCCCCTCCCTGTGTCATGTGTTCTCATTGTTCAACTCCCATTTATGAGTGAGAACATGTGTTATTTGGCTTTCTGTTCCTGTGATAGTTTGCTGAGGATTATGGCTTCCAGCTTCATCCATGTCCCTGCAAAGGACATGATCTCCTTCCTTTTTATGGCTGCATAGTATTCCATGGTGTATATGTACCGCATTTTCTTTATCCAGTCTATCATTGATGGGCATTTGGATTGGTTCCATGTCTTTGCTATTGTAAACAGTGCTGTAATAAACATACGTGTGAATGTGTCTTTATAGCAGAATGATTCATACTTTTTGGGTATACACCCAGTAATGGGATTGCTGGGTCAAATGGTATTTCTGGTTCTAGATCCTGGAGGAATCGCCACACTGTCTTCCACAATGATTGAACTAATTTACATTCCAACCAACAGTGTAAAAGCATTCCTATTTCTCCATAGCCTCGCCAGAATTTATTGTTCCTTGACTTTTTAATAATCGTCATTCTGACTGGCGTGAGATGGTATCTCATTGTGGTTTTGATTTGCATAAAATGAATTATTAATACACTAAGTCAAAAGCTACAGGTAAGCAAGGGACCTCTACAAACATATATATACACACACACAGTGTGTGTGTGCGTGTTTATGCCACATAAGGATTCGTGAAAATGTCAATCACTGACTTTGAATATGATTAGGTAATTAACAGTGAAAGTGACATGCTATGACTTTTTTTAATTGAGCAAGATGGAAAACCATAGTCAAATTTTAAAATGATCTTTTTTCTTATCTTAAAAAAAAAAACTTCCTATCCCCAACACTGGATGATTCTTTTTGCACTTGGAAATGTGATAAAAATCTCATTTAGTCTATTTTCACTTTTTTCTTCAACTGTAACTTAAAACATGCTAATTATTTAATGTAGCTTTTTTCATGTCGGATATTTTTACTCTTTCAGTTACAATCATTATTTTAAAAAATTGTGAACAGAACAAAATCCAAGAAATTATCAATAATTTTAAATCACTGACATTATAAAAATAATTTAAAATTTTATGCAAATAGATTTCTAACTATTTGTAATCTAAACACATAATACACTGTCTAAAAGCCAGGAAACGTGTATTGTGAAATCATTTAAACTTCAACTGCATACCCAGTGGATATGAGATCGGTTCATAAAAATGGTGTGGGGAGAGCAAGTAACGTGCGATTTTCTTAGAAAATTTAAAATAGAATACAAAGACAACTCCTTAAAAGATAACTTACAAATCATTACCCTAATATTTGAATACTGTTGATATCAAATGCAAGGTTAAGAAACTACCATAAATTGTTAGGGAGAACTTACCAAATCTTAATTTATCCTGAGGAATATGTGATTTTTAAAATTTTCTCCACGATAATTTTTTAAATAATATTATGAGCTTCTGCCCCCATAATAAATATAAAAACAACTAATTTGTGATTATTAAAAATAATAATATTCGATCTTTGGCTTCCATAACTAAAAATAAAAATAACTAAATTGACTTATATTTACAAAATACGTCCACATGAGTTAGTTTATTTTACCTTCACAGTGACTAAGGAGAATTTTATTTCATAGATGAGCTGACTTGTCCAAATGCAGCAGTTGCATAACTTTCACAAAAGTAGATTTACAAATCTATGTTGAGGTGAATGTCGAATCAAACTCAGAAAAAATACATTAAGGAAACAATAGTAAAGGTGGTATACCAATGACACTAAAGGGAATTGGGAAGATAAACCAGCATTTCAGCACTTTGTGGAATTTAAATTAAAGTACTGAGTGCATTTCATTAGATCTTTGAATAGGCCCTTTCTAGTTTGGTATACTAATTATACCCAGTGGATTCATTTTTTTGTCATTAAAACTTAATACCATTACTTTTTGTACTTACTAATATACTTGGCAACTCCAGACAATCAAGGATAAAATAATAAAGAGTTTTAAAATATGACAACCTATTTAGGGGCTGGGGAAATTTTAATGAGTAAAAAAAAAAATGTTACGTATCCACCCCTCAATTCCCCATCCTACTCCTCATCACAGCATAGTAAATCATAAAATTACAATTCTTCCTCCATGACATCTACTTCTCTCATTTTAAGGGTTCATATACATTACTGATAGATTATTCTTATGTTCATAACCATATTGTCCTCATCAACAGCTCACAATAATGCTTGCTATCAAATTCAAATTCTTCAAAATGACACTCTTGCTATTTCTTTAACTGTCCCTACCTTAATCTCATTTCTGTCTCTCTATCCCCCTGCCAAGGTTTCAGTTACAATCAGTTAAACATTCAACACAGATTCCACTTGCTGTGATGAGTTTTTTTTTTTTTTTTTTAAAGCTGCTCTAATGACCAACCTTTTCATTGCCCATTATATATCACATAACGTATCTGGAATAAAGAGATAAATAGGTTCCGCTGGCTGAGAAATAAAAGGTAATTCTTCCATTTACAACTTCTAAGTCAACGCTATACTACACGATCAAACCTTAGGCATATTGAAACCATCACATAATGTGTTGATCTATAGAAGTTTTAAGGAGCTTGCATATTTAAAGTAGAAAACTAAGATAATGTCTCATCGGATTCTTGGATGTATTCTGCAATATCTTTATTACATGGTTTTTCATTTTGTGCTTGAAAATATATTATCTGTTAAGATGAAACTACTTGAGGCAAAATTGTCCGTTTTCAGAAAAATGTTAAAAATATCTTCCTTATATTAAACAGAAACCTGTACTTCTTTCAGCTTTGACCTCATTTTTCCTAATTCTTTCCCCTGGGATTGCACAGAACAAGTTTTCTCTTTCATCTGATGCCTCTAAGTCATTATAAAACTTACGATTCTCTTTAATTATAAACTTTTTTTTTTTTTTTTTTTACTATTAGATGTCTTATATTCCTATATGTGGCCAAGTTCCAATTATCCTTTATATTATGGTCAACTTTTTTTATTGAGACATGAAAAACAGACAACCACGTATGTTAGGATTCCATGTGAAATAAGTCAAAAGACTGAGGAAACAATTTAGGGATACTTCCTAGAAATTTAATATGGGCTCGCTTATTTTCACTACCTTTTTGGTTTAAAACTGTAAAAATGATTATAGTTTAGGAAGAAAATGACCCATGATGTAATATAACATTACATTGTATATATTCATTTGTTTATCATATATATTCACAGAGGTATAAATAATTTATATTACATACAATATAAATTATATTTTATTACATTGCATTTTTTATAAACAAGATTCAGGAGTAAAGAAGAAAAAGGTCAAGTAGGCCAGCCGCAAATTAGATGACTAAGATCTCTCTAGAAAATTCCTCTCAAAATCTTGTCCAGACTGATTGAACACTTATAGTGGCAAGCAGTCCAGTACTTCCCGATGGCAATTCATTACGGATTTGAACAAACTAAATTTCATCTCAGCATATAAAGCCCTCTTCAGTTATCGTATTCTCTCTACGGAGAGACTAGGAACTACGGAACTATGTTTCTAGCTTTACTCGGAATCTTTAGAAGCATTTCTTTTCTTTTCTTTTCTACATGGTAGTCCTCCAAATTTAGCAGACTCAAGTATTATCTTTGAGACCACCAAGAACAGAAGTCAATGGTACTTTTACTTAATTAGATTTATTAAAAACCTATTACATGCAAGGTGATGGCATAGTTACTCTCTGCAAAATAAAGATTTTAAAAACATGGTATTCCCCTTAAAACAAGTATTTCCCTGAAGGAATTCATAATCTATTAGAGATAAAACGGACATCTATGCAAATGATGTAATCACCCTCTTGAGCATGAGAAGAAAGTGTGTGACATATGTCTAAAAGGATCAGTGGAGCCAAACTAGATACTGTGCTTACTTCTTCAGAACTAAAATTTTAATAAGCTTGCATCTTTGAAGAACACATTAAAATTTTTAAAGCAGCATCTTTAAGTGTTTGACTCATTTCTGCCCCTTCTTAAATGTTACTGATGAAGCACAGGCATGCTTGCTCAGTATAGAACTTGATTCTCTTTTATGACTAATTAGATGGAGGTCAATTGAGATGGAGCTAGATTAGATGAAAGTGTCATAAAAGTGGTACCAAAAAGGGATGTCTGAAGGTTCCACATTTTCTTCTGCCTCATAAATTTCTTTTTATTTACCCATTTCATCCAACTCTTAAGTAAATATCTTGCAGAGAGCTTGTAACAAGAGAGATAAGTCAAAAACAAAATGAAACGCTAATCTCTACCCTTTTGAAAATGTGAAACATTCCCCAGAGCTTTACACAATGACTGGTACAAATATGAATATCTGTTGAATAAAAGGAAAAATAAATCCTTTTGCTTTTTAAGGTCAACATACTTCTACAAATGTTCATTCAAATATGTCACTCACTGGTGTATTTTCACACTAGAACAGAATTTCAAATTTTTTTATACTTAAAACTGTTCAAAATGTTGATACGTTAAATATTGCTTGAAGCAGTATCATAAATAAATTTAAGTAATAATATAAAGGAAAAGAAGAATAACCAAAATAAAAAGAACTAAACAAAAAATATATATAGTGGCTTATTTTTTTCTGAGTGGGGAAAATCCAATTTTCACTCATGCTCAACTCAATTCTCCATTCATGAGGTACAGCATTTATGAAAATTAGCTGGTACATTGATTGATCATGTCATAATTCTTATGACATGTAGATATATCCAAAAAGTGATGGGTAGGGTTCATCTGACTTGTGCCAATATTTACCTGTTCCTCCAAGGGGTAGAGAGAGGGCCAAAGGCAAGCACACCACATAATAAAATGTGATTGGTGGAGACTTAGCATTATCTTGGCTGTGACTTTCCATTTCCCCAAGTAAGTCAAAATATAATCAACAGGTTATTTCTTTCCTTAGAGACTTCTAAAACATTTCAGCCAAACACATCTTATTTGTCTAGAATGACACATAATGACGTCTTCTAAAACTTCTAGAAAGAAAATCGTCTCTGATATTGCAAGGTGCTGGAAATTTTATTTGACAAAAAGATCATATTCTAAACTGTTCATAAGCAAAGGAACGCTTCTGAAAAGAACAGTAAAAACAGGAAAAAAACACTTCTAGAAATAAGCTTTTATTGATAAATCATTTTTATTTACACTGGTTAAATCAATTCAAATCAGTTTCAAGATCCTTTGGCCAAATGCTACTCAATATTTTTGCTCTCATAAATATATGTCTTTTTTGCTCTTATTACTAAACTTCACAATAATTTACTGTTTCTCATTTTACCTTTATGAGAATAGTACCTTGAGAGCCACATAAAATGAACATTCCAACCTGCTTCATATTTTCTGCAGAGTTGAGAGGAAAAGGTAATAAGAGGTATGTCTATGAATGTAATTTTCTTTGCATTTGGATAGCTTATTTATCTTTTTCTGTTATTTCTGTATCCACATATTAAATATAAAAATATAGCCTTTTAAAGGGACTCTTTACCATGGGTATTGAATTCATACTGTGCAGCTGCACCTGCTTTGAAGTGAAAGACAAAGTAAAAATGCACATAGGCATAGAGTCAAGCCTCAGTTATGATGGGCTGATTAATCAGCAAATTTTTGCATACCATATTCCTATTTAATAAGTCTGTGACACACTGGAATTTGAGGTCTGTCATTCCCTACCTAAAGTTGCCTCTGAACATACTAAATTTGTCTAATCCAAGATACTCTGATGACGAGATTCAATGTTATTTTATGTTCAAGCAAGAAAATTGCTCCCAATCAATTGTAAAATATGTCTTGATTTCAGAGATATAAAAACATGAGAGAAAAGATTACATCTTTGACTTATTTTTAAAAACTTTTATTTTAGGTACAGGGGTACATGTGGAGTTTATTATATAGGTGCACTCATGTCACAGGAGGTTTTTATACAGATTATTTCATGGCCCAGGTACTAAACGTAGTAAACAATCGTTATTTTTTTGTAATCCTCTCTTCCCACCCTCCACCCTGAAGTAGGCCCCTGTGTCTGTTGTTACCTTCTTTGTGTCCGTGAGTTCTCATCATTTAACTCTCACTTATAAGTGAAAACATGCGGTATTTGGTTTTCTATTCCTGTGTTAGCTTGCTAAGGATAATGGCCTTCATCTCCATCCTAGTTTCTGCAAAAGACATGATATCACTCTTTTTATGGCTGCATAGTATTCCATGGTGTATATGCACCAGATTTTCTTTATCCAGTCTGTCATTGATGGACAGTTAGATTTATTCTATGTCTTTGCTATTGTGAATACTGCTGCAATGAACATATGCATGCATGTGTCTTTATGGTAGAATAATTTATATTCCTTTGGGCATATACCCAGTAATGGAATTGCTGAGTGAATGGTAGTTCTGTTTTTAGGTCTTTGAGGAATCGTCACACTGCTTTCCACAATGGCTAAACTAATTTATATTCCTACTAACAGTGTGTAAGTGTTCTCTTTTCTCTACAACCAGCCAGCATCTGTTATTTTTTTTTTTTTACTGTTTATTAATAATAATAGCCATTCTGACTGGTACGAGATGGTATCTCATTGTGGTTTTGATTTGCATTTCTCTAATGATCAATGATAGTGACCTTTTTTTCATATACTTGTTGGCCACATGTATGTCTTCTTTTGAAAAGTATCTGTTCATGCCCTTGCCCACTTTTTAATGGGACTGTTTTTTGCTTCAAATTTTTTTAAGTTCCTCATAGATGCTGGATATTATATCTTTGTCAGATATATAGTTTGCAAATGTTTTCTCCCATTCTGTAGGCTGTCTGTTTACTCTGTTGATAGTTTCTTTTGCTGTGCAGAAGCTCTTAAGTTTAATTAGATACCGTTTTTCAATTTTTTGCTTTTGTCGCAATTGCTTTTGGCATCTTTGTCATGAAATATATATTTGCCTATTCCTACGTCCAGAATGGTATTGCCTGGGTTATTTTCCAAGGTTTTTATAGCTTCAAGTTTTACATTTAAGTCATTAATGCATCTTGAGCTGATTTTTGTATATGGTATAAGGAGGGGGTCCAGTTTCAATCTTCTGGATGTGGCTAGCCAGTTATCTCAGCACCGTTTATTGAATAACTGGGGAGTCTTTTCACCATTGCTTGTTTTTGTCAGCTTTGTTTGAAGATCAGATGGTTTTAGGTATATAGCCTTATTTCTGAGCTCTCTATTCTGTTTCATTGGTTTATGTGCCTGTTTTTGTACCAGTACCATGCTGTTTTGATTACTGTAGCTCTGTTGTATAGCTTGAAGTCAGTTAACATGATGCCTCCAGCTTTGTACTTTTGCTTAGGATTGTCTTGGCTATTTGGACTCTTTTTTGGTTCCATATGAATTTTAAAATTATTTTTTGTACTTCTGTGAAAAACATCATTGTTAGTTTGATAGGAATAGCATTGAATCTGTAAATTGCTTTGGATAGTATTGCCATTTTAATAATATTGATTCTTCCCATCCCTTAGCATGGAATGTTTTCCCATTTGTCTGTGTCATCTCTGATTTCTTTGAGCAGTGTTTTGTAGCTCTCATTGTAGAGATCTTTCATGTCACTAGTTAGCTGTATTCCTAGGTATTTCATTATTTTTGTGGCAACTGTGACACGGATTACATTCCTGATTTGGCTCTCAGCTGGGCTGTTGGTGTATAGGAATGCTAATGATTTTTGTACATTGATTTTGTATCCTGAAACTTTGCTGAAGTTATCAGGTGAAGGAGCTTTGGGGACAAAACTATAGGGTTTTCTAGATATAGAATCATGTTGTCTCCAACAGGATAATTTGACTTCCTCTCTTCCTATTTGGATGTCCTTTATTTGTTTCTCTTGCCTGATTACTCTGGCTGGGACTTGAATTTATGAAATATGGAAAATGTCCTTTTCAGCCTAAGACACTTGAGTGATGATAGTAACCATGATTTTAAAAATCTCATATTCCAGGCTATAGGACAGCATGTAGACATTGTAAAAATTATGGCAATGCAAAAGACACCTTCTCTCCTCTTCCTGACTCTGTCATTAATTTTTAATGTTTCGGGAGTGTGACTACTAATGATATCTAAAATGGCAATTACATACCACACTTTGTGTTCTTGACTCAGTTCCCTTATTTTCTACCTCACTGGAGTTACCTTAATCAAGTAGGTAGGAAAGTAAAAACTGGTCACTCTCACAGCCTAAGGACCCAAGCATAATAATAGATTTTACCTTATGCCTAGATATTATATATCTAATACTTTGTAGGACTTTAGAGTACAAGTTACTGTGCTTTCATGGGTGAAAGGGGACCTCAGAATAATTATTCAATAGAAACGGTAACACAAAAGGCCAAATGTTATTTATTGTTTTCAGAGAGTAAATTTTTAGACAGATATAAACGTTAATATCTTTCAAGTGACATGACAATAAATGAATAAAAAGGTAAACTGGCAATCTTCAATATATTTCATATTGACAGAATTTTTCATCAACTTTACACAGGATCCTGCATAAATGACTATGCTAGACGATGAGGCTAAGATTGACAGCGTTAGGGCCAACAGGAAAAGGAAAAAATATGTAAAACCTGTTTATTGGAGGCCATGTTTCTGAGAAGGAATGTCTTGAAAATTCAGTTTGGCAAATTATCTGAAAATTTGTATTAGAGAGAGACACTATGGCCTAAATAGTCAAAGAAGCATGGATGTATATGAAGAATATCATGTCATTAATCATATAATTTTAGAGTTGAAAGGAAAATCTGAACTCAAGTGACACAAAACTTTTATTGTGAAGAGGAGGAACCTGAAGCTCATGGAAGTGTTATCACCCATTGTGGTATATCAGGGAGCAGCATAATCAGAGTTAAAACCACTCACTCTAAGATCTCCTTGTCTTTCAATCAAAAGCATCACCATAATATGATTTATATCATATTATGCATACATACATACATATATATATACACACATAAGTATATAGAAATGGTTATTATATCATTACAGTACACTCAGGGGCTCACTTTTTGAGATAGGGTGTCACTTTGTTGCCCAGGCTGGAGTACACTAGCATAATCGTAGCTCACTGCAGCCTCAAAAGCTTGAGCTCAAGCAATCCTCTCACCTCGGCCTCCCAAGTAGTTACAACTACAGGCACGTGCCACCATGTCTGGCTAATTTTTTTTTATAATTTTCAATATTCACAGTTACAGTTCCATTGCTCAGTCATTTATTATCTAGTCTGAGGTCATGAGAATGTTCTGTATGCTATTTTTTCCCATAGAGAAAATCATCTGAAAAAACCTCAAAACTCACATTTTCAGGAATGTAAGAAAGTATCAAACTACAGTGTGAACAATCTTAGACAAGTCATAGGATGCTCGATTCAGCATGAGGGATAGAGACTATCAATTACTAGTCTTTAAATTTTACAGTTGAAGAGGCTGTGGCTCAGTGGTTACAGGGTTTGTTCAAGGTAGATCAATTAGTTCACAGCAGATCAATTCCAGTGACCTATATTTGCCTAATTACAAACATACTCTGCCAATATGTGTGAAATACACTTCCTCACAGACAAATGCCAAGTAGCTTAAACCCTTTTACACCCCGTTTCTATGTCTAGGCACAAACCTAGTCTTCATCTTTGGCTCTGCTGAACACTGAGACTCACAAGATCACTATAGTCTATACTTGGCATCAGATCCATTCTGAGAACAGAAGGCAGAAGAACAGCATCTTAGCGGGGCAGCATTAGGTATTCCTCTTCAATGAGAATACGTTCAACAGTCAATATGTTAATTCATAAATTATTCTCCTTGACCCTCCAGAAGATAAACCAGTGTCCACATTTGATAGACGTGGGAGTCACCCTGGATTACAAGTCTCACATCATACAAGAGCCAATAATTCCTGTAACAGTAGCATGGCTGAGCTTCCAGTTTTGCAAGACATAACCCTCAGGGAAGCCCAAAGCTACTCTCTCCCCATAAACCATTTAAAGTTCTCTCAGTGCTGATAATCAAAATAGTGTGGTACTGGTGTAAAGATGGACACATAAGTCAACGAGTAGAACTGAGAGTCCAGAAATAAAACTTACTTTTATGATCCATTATTTTTTAACAAAGGTGCCAGGTTATTTAAAGGGAGAAAAAAATAGTTTTTTCAACAAATGGTGCTGAGACAACTGGATATCCATATATATATATAACCAAGGAAGGAGGCTGGAACTCTGCCTTACGCTTTGTAAAAATTTAATTGTAAATCGATCGATTAACTAAATGTAAGGGCTATAACTATAGCAAAACCTGCAAGAAAACATAGGATCAAATTTGTGACCTTGGATTAGACAATGATCTCTTAGAAATAACACCAAAAATAAAAACTAAAAAAAAATAAAGTAGACTTTATAAAAAATTAAAAACTATTGTGCTTCAAAGGACACTATCAAGAAAGTGAAATAAATCCACAGAACTGCTGAAAACAGTTATGGCTATAATAAAAAAGACAGATAACAACAAGTATTGTTGAGAAAGATGGAAGAATTGGAACCATCATACATTAGATAATGAGAATATAAAATGGTGCATCCTCTTTGGAAAGTATGACCGTTCCCCAGGAAGTTAAATATAGAGTTACTATATGACACAGCATTTCTATTCATAAAGACAGAAAAACACATCAATAACTTGTAAATGATGTTCATAGTAGCATTATAACAGGCAAAAACTAGAAACAACCTAAATGACAATTAAATTATGAACAGATAAATAAAATGTGGTATATCCATTCAATGGAATGTAATTCAACAATAAGAAAGAATGAAGTACTGATAAATGTTTTAATATGGATGAATCTTAAAAACATTGTGCTGAGTGGAAGAAATCAGTCACGAAACAACAAATTGTATTATTCTGTTTATATAAATTGTGCAGAATAGGCAAGCTCATACAGACAGGAAATAAATTAGTAGTTGCCTATGGCTGAGGGGGAAGGGTTAGGAGCAATATGAGTGGTAACTGTTAATGGGTACATTGTTTCATTTGGGGGTGATGAAAATATTGTAAAATTGATTATGGTGATAATTGCACAACTATGTAAATATACTAAAAAAAATTTAATTGTACACTTTAAAGGCATGAACTGTATGGTATATGAATAATATCTTAATAAGGCAGTTAGCGAAAAGGTTTTTAATAACAAGGAAGTGAAACGTCTCCACTAACAACCAAGCAGATTTCAAGATCGCTTTTAGATATGGGGTAATGAACTGTACTGAAAGTAACTTGGTGATGAATTTTTCAATGTGGTTTGATGTATTTATACTTAGAATATTTTTGTCAGAGGTGTTCGAACCAGAGTGACTCCATTTTGACTAGGAGCTGGGTAAAATGAGGCTGAGACCTACTGGGCTGCATCTCCATGAGGTCAGGCATTCTTAGTCACAGGATGAGATAGGAGGTTTGTACAAGATACAGGTCACAAAGACCTTGCTGACAGAAAAGGATGGAGTAAAGAAGCTGGCCAACACCCACCAAACCGAAGATGGCAATGAAAATGACTTCTGGTCGTCCTCACTGTTTATTATATGCTAATTATTATGCATTAGCATGCTAAAATACACTCCCATCAGCACCATGACAGTTTACAAATGCCATGGCAACATCCAAAAGTTACCCTACATGGTTTAAAAGGGGGAGGATCCCTCAGTTCCAGGAATTGCCTGCCCTTTTCCCAGAAAACTCATGAATAATCCACCCTTTATTTAGCATATAATCAAGAAATAACTATAGGTATACTCAGTCAAGCAGCCCATGCCGCTGCTCTGCCTATGGGGTAGCCATTCTTCAATCCTTTACTTTCCTAATAAACTGGTGTTCACTTTACTGTACGGACTCTCCCCGAATACTTTCTTGTGTGAGGTCTAAGAACCCTCTCTAGGGTTCTGGATCAGGGCCCATTTCCGATAACATTTTACCCTGTCTAATCCATTTTTTTCCCCACTGCTAAGCAAGTTATCTTCCAAGAGGAAACAATTACTGTGGAACTCTATTTGAATGATGGACAAAAATAAAACTACTGACATATTATCAGCTATGTTCAGTTACAGGATAGGAATGGTGGTTGAAGACACTCTCCCACAGTGACTCTACACTGTGTTTTTACAAGAGTGTTTACACAGTTTCAGAAAACTGAATGTTCTGGTAGATATCATGATGGCCACTGAGCTGCAATGGGGGAGAGAACTCCAGTGGAAAAGATCTGAAAGCTTGCTCCTCCAAGGTCTACCCACGGATTGAGGGGCCTAAGACAGTAAAAGCAAACCAATGAAAATTAAAATGTATAAATCCAAGCTGGAAATCTACAGACACATACACAATGTCTACAGTGTATACATAAAGATATAATTAACACATGGTTAATGCACATTTGAAGAAAATGCTCTGGCTTGCTAGAAATCAAAGAAATATTAATTCCTAGAATTAATTAATTAACTCACTCAGAATTCATTCAAAAAATCATATGGAGAAAGACATTTGGTACTTGTCCCAAAGGGAGGTACTTGGATCAAGCATTTAGGAGGAAAAGATTAGGAGTAGAATTGGAAGAGTAAGATTGGCAGTATTAGCTTTAAAATTACTGATAACTTTGGCATTTTGAAAATAAAAATATTCATAGGGAACACTTAAAATATCATAAGGAAATAATGTAAATGTGTAGGATATTATTTAGGGACTGAGTTTTCTTTTTCTACTAAATCCCCATTTTTTTAGTGATTTTTTTTTTCTACTTTACCTGTTAGCATTACAAATAAGCTAAAATGTAAAAAAAAAAAAGTGTAAAGACAGCTATATACTCTATACTCAATGTTAAAAATTAGAAACATAAAAAGCTAAATAGGTCTTTCTCAAGGGACCCATGAAGACATTTTCCCTTCACTGAGTTGTTCTATATCTAGGTTAATTGTTTCTTTATTACTAACATTTAAGAGGAACCAGAACAAAAGAAGCATATTACTTCTCTGAAACGCTAGTACTTGAATTTGAAGATGTATTTATCCATATCAATAAAAACACAAAAGCACACATCCAGGAAAATAGGAAGGATCGAGAAAAACCTGATGGTATTTTTGTTTTTACTATTACATTGTAAGAAAATAATGAGACATATTTTTTAAAGATAAGAGATTCTTTACAACTGAAAGGAGAAAAAGCCTCTATAGAAAGATTTTGCTAAGAGCAAAATAAAATGATGCTATGGCAATGCAAATAGAAATATTCAAGTTATATATTCCATTACAACCCCTATCTCAATTTGTATACACACTGAATGTAAGTAGAACTTAGAATCTAACCATAAAAAAGTACTATAAAATATAAAATTTAAGGAGAAATGTTAAATATTTAAGGAAGTTTCCATCTAGTTATAAATGCATATGCTCATATATGCAAACCTAACTTTATTTATTTATTTATTTATTTATTTTTTATTTTTTTTTTGAGATGGAGTCTCGCTCTGTCACCCAGACTGGAGTGCAGTGGTGTGATCTTGGCTCACTGCAAGCTCTGCCTCCCGGGTTCATGACATTCTCCTGCCTCAGCCTCCCCAGTAGCTGGGACTACAGGTGCCCACCACCACGCCCAGCTAATTTTTTTTTTTGTATTTTTAGTAGAGACGGGGTTTCACCACGTTAGCAAGGATGGTCTCGATCTCCTGACCTCGTGATCCACCCGCCTCGGCCTCCCAAAGTGCTGGGATTACAGGCGTGAGCCACCGCACCTGGCCTATTTTAAATATAGCACAGATAACACCATTTGAAAAATAAGTTTGCATGGCTATTATTTATTTTTATAGGCAATAAAATATTAAATACTGAATAACAATTCAACTACATTGTAATCATTTTAAATTAATGATACAATACTTGTCCAAATAAAATTTTCAGATTTAATAATTTATACCTCATTAGCTAACTAATTTGAAACAAGGTGGTTAAATACTTGTTAATGATAGCTAATGAAATATTGCTTAAAAGTCATACTTTACACTTACTAATTTTAACAATGGAATTTGGAAGAAAATATTCATAATTTAAAAGTGAATCATTTACATACCCTACTAGGAACTATGTTCATAATACACTGAAAATAAATGATTTTGTCTGTAAAGAGAAGTACTTAAATTCTAAATATTTTCATACAAAGCATTTACTAGCAAATTCAGTTGAAATTTTTTTCCATAATGTTAGCCTTTAGAGTTAAAACTGCTCAATTTTCACTTTCCAACAAAATAGGGATCAATCATGGTGACAGGAGGAAAGAAAGTGCCCATGGTTCCAAGACTTGTTAGAATTAATTGTTAAGGAAACACTGTTTAGAAAAGAAAAGATAGAATAATGCAAGCCATTTCCTTGATTTTATGTTAACCAAATTTAAACAATCTAAGTAGTTAAAATACTTATGCAATATCACTCACTGTTATCTGCATACACATTTTCAAAAAACCCACCCCACCAAAACATCCAATGATGCTTATAGCCGGTATTTCCTTGAAAACCCAAACACCTCCCTTAGATGGTTTTGCAGGAAAAAAAAAAAATCGGCTGGGCGCGGTGGCTCACGCTTGTAATCCCAGCAATTTGGGAGGCCAAGGCGAGCAGATCACGAGGTCAGTAGATCGAGACCATCCTGGCTAACACGGTGAAACCCCGTCTCTACCAAAAATACAAAAAATTAGCCGGGCGTGGTGGCAGGTGCCTGTAGTCCCAGCTACTCGGGAGACTGAGGCAGGAGAATGGCTTGAACCTCGGAGGCAGAGCTTGCAGCGAGCCAAGATTGTGCCACTGAACTCCAGCCTGGGTAACAGAGTGAGACTCCGTCTCAAAAAAATAAATAAATAAAAATTAAAAATAAAAATAAAATCATGGTCGTTTCTAACTTACTTTCAAGAGTTTTCAATATTTTTCTTATTCTTAGAAGTTAATTTTTTAGAAATGAGTTAAAGCTAATAGACACTCTATACACGATGCCCAAGGGCTACAGTACTGATGCAATGTTTAAATCAAGTGCCACTATGTAATGAATCTATAAAGTGAAAAAACTAATTCTAAAATTCACACAAAATATCAGTCATATTACTTTACAATAAGACAAGATGTATTTTAGAGACTTTACTTCAGACTCAATAGTTTTCTCAATACTTTAAAAAAAGACAAAATCACAAGTAAATTTTCAAAAACCCTTTAAGATGGTATTTTTATGAGAGCAAATAAAATTTTTTTTAAAAAATAGCTACTGCATGTTATATTTTGAATTGCTGGCAGCTGTGATTCTCCATCTCTATAACATTTAGGTAAAGAGCTGCATCAAGGATTAGAGTAAGGATTGTTGACATAATACTATGCGGGAGAAGCTAACATGAGCTTTTCTGTCTATAAGATTTCCATTAACTGGAAAATAACTAGCAAGATGGACAGAAGGTCTTGTGTAGAGCTAAGCTGTCCACAGAATACTGACTCTTACCTTCGTTATTTAAGCTTTTGATGAGATCTTACCAAGAATACAAGTTAACACTCTTAAAAAGAAAACACTTCCAGTGCTTTCCCTCTGGATAGATTCAGGTGAATAAAATAAATGAAAACAAAATATATCTTTTTGCTTCCATTTTGTTGCATTAACACACAGGAAAAACTATTGATGAGGTTAAGGTGTGAGAAGTCCTCTTACAAAAACACAGTAATAACAAAAGGATGGGATTGTTTCACAAATTCCTCACACCAACCATAAAAATGATTTAACATGCATTTTGACATAAATAGGTAAATATTTATTGTGCAAACCATATGAGCTTCAAAATCAAACGTCTATACCAGGAAATGTGAAAATCATTCCCAGGGATTAAATTCCTGATGGGTTCTGTTTATTTCTCAGTGGCAGAGATCAAAGATATTATTCACTGTTGTTCAGTAAAGAAAGACAGCTACTAAATAATCATCAGGCAGCCTGGCTGCCTTTCAACACATGTTTCTCAGAACAGTTACAGATACCAAGTCAGATATATTATAGGTCTGGTTCCAGTGATTTGCTACTACCCTGGTGACTTCAGTAAGGAATGAGAGGAGTGGGAGAGGATATATTAGAAACAGCCACAACCTGGTACTAATACAGTCATGAACAGAATAACAATGTATCTGTCAATAACAGGCCACATAATATGATAGTGGTAGCATAAGGTTATAATATTGTATTTGAATTGTACCTTTTCTATGTTAAGAAATGTTTAGATACACAATTACTTACCTTTGTGTTCAAATTGCCTAAGTATTCAGTACAGTAACATGTTTGTAGGAGTAACAGGCTCTACCATATAGCTTAGGTTTGTAGTAGGCTATACTATCTAGGTTTCTGTAAGTACACTCTGATGTTTCCACAACAAAAAATTGTCTAAGAATGCATTTAGAACATATGCCTGTTGTTAAGTGATGCATGACTATATGGAAATTTCATATCACTGGTGTTTGTCTCAGTAAAGTGTCAACCAGAAGGAGTAACTTTGGTAGTCCCATAACTTCAAATAGTTAAATATCGCCTGATACTTGAAACAAAAAACAGTACAGTTTGTTTTGACTTCATCCTTATTTAATTCATACAAAGAGTTCAGATTCTAGAACAGGCAAAGCTCCAGACAGTGGGGATAAAATGGAGATTATTTTGTGCAGATAAAGATACATAATTAATCAGTAAATAAGTAAAATAAGAAAGATTTTAGAGAGCATAAGTTCCACACTGACAACTGTAATAGGTTGAAGTGATTGAGAGTGACTGTTCCTACTTTCGTTAGGTCAGGAAAGGCATTTCTGAGAAAGTATCACTTAATTAAGATTTCTGAGAAAGTATCAATTAAGGGAGAAGCCCACATAGAGATGATCTGAAGTAAGAACATTTCATGCAGAGAAACATCTACTAACTACATAAAGATGCTAATGTAGGAGTTGGCCTGAGATGCAAGTGGGAAAGGGAATGACGTGGGGTAAAAAGCTAGGCAGAGGTTAGGACATGAAGGATTTTGTAGACCAGGTTAAAATATTCAGATCTTTGCCTTAGGGTTATAGGAAGTCAGTGGAGTAAAATTACCTGGTCTACCTTTTCAAAGATTATTGTATCTGTAGAGGAAGAAGGGAGATTTAATTGTATGGTGACAAAAGAAAAAAAACATGACAGGAAATAATTGTAACAGTCTAGGTGAGAAGTAATAAGGGTTGAGATAAGGTAGTGATAATGAAGAAACAGAAAAGTGGCCAGATTTGGGGGATGCGAGGTACAGGAGACAAGATTCACTGATGATTAGATATGAAGTTTATAAAAGCATTTATAAATTTGACTTTAGTCATCGGGTCATAATGGAACCAGTTAATCAGTGAGGGCTCAGCAGGTTTGTTTGTTGTTTATGCTGGGAGGTCTGATGGAAAAAAATCAAAAGGTCTGTTTATGTTAAGTTTGACATTCATATTAGATACGTACTCCCATGGGTATGTCAAGTAAGCTGTTTGAGGGGAAAAAAGCCTCATGTTCACGAGATAAGTTAGAATTAAATATAAAAACATATTAAGGGTGATTTGCATATAGTTAGCATTTTAAAGACATTAGATTGGATGACTTAATCCAAAAAAAAGTATGAAGCTAGAACTGGCACTAACATTTGGGGATACAGAAATGATGAGAAAAGGAAACTGAGAGGGGAGGAAACCAGGATGATTTTATGTGGCTCAGTACAAAAGAAGACAGTTTTCCAGAAGGAGCAAGTAGTCAACTGTGCCAAATTCTGTGGAGGGATCAAGTATGGGAAGAACAGAGACATGGCCATTCAATTTGACAATGCAATAGTCATGTGACCATAGGATACAAAAACAAGAAAGAAAAAAAAAAAAGGAAGGAAAGGAGGAAAGAAAACCAGCCTATGTCAGGGAAGCCCTGATGAACTAATTTGAAAAGAGAATACGAGGTAAATAATTGCAATAAAAAGTATGAATAATTCCTTCTAGATTTTGATGTGTGTTTGCATGTAGCAAGGAGAGTAGAAAAACAAGGTAATATCCGAAAGAGAAAAGAGAATCAAAAGAGCGTATTTTTATATGGGTTTAAAGTTAGAAAACAGCAGAACATATTTATAGGCACACACAAAAAAATTGATATTGAAGGAGGAGAGAGATAATTTCAAAAGAACATGCATGAATAAGTTAAAAGTAAATGAAATCCAGAGTCCAAGTGGAAAGGCTGGACATGATATGAGAACAGGTAAACTTGTCAATTCCAGTAAAACTGAAAGGCAGGCCAAGAGTGTAGATTTAGGCTGGACACAGTGGCTCACACCTGTAATCCCAGTTCTTTGGGAGGCTGAAGCAGGAGAATCACTTGAGGCCAAGAGCTGAGACCAGCCTGGGCAACACAGTGAGACCCTGTCTCTGCAAAAAAATTTAAAAATTACCCAGGCGTGGTGGCATGCACTTGTAGTCCTAGATACTTAGGAAGCTGAGGTGGGAGGATTTATTGAACCTAGGATTTCAAGGCTGTAGTAATTAAGCTATGATCACACACTGAACTCCAGCCTGGGCAACAGAGGGAGATTCCATCTCTAAAAAAAAGGTGGGAAGAGGAGAATGTAGATTTGGATCCAGATGAGCTGGTAGATTTGCAGATGAAAAAATGAGGGAAATGGGGTGTCATATTTCTTTTCCTCAATGAAGTAAAAAGAAGACATAACTGTTGTGAGAGGGAGGTTTGAAGAGAGAGAAGAAGGTGTGAAAATCAGTTTAGAGAATAAGAAGTGGAAATGGAATAGGATGTTTGGTGCTTGGAGAGGCTGAATCTCCTTTGAGAATTGTTGTGGCTATGAATTCAAAATGAGATTAGTCAATAATATTTAGCTATTTGCATGCAGGCATTGAGATGGTTTGCTATAATCAAGCCTGTAAACCACAACTTAAAGAATAATTTTAGGAGAGGAAAAGTGATTTTTAGTTAAACTATATATGTTTTTTTTTTCCTTGTGCTGACCACTTTTTTAATGACAAGGAATGTACAGTGCCATATCAATAATTCTTACTAAGTACTCTTGTTTTAACAATACTAGATATTTTCAGAAAATACAACACCTAAAATGTACAATCAACTTTTTCTATGAGATAACTTGAATCTCAAATAGCTTCTATAATTCTCAAAACAAGTTGTTATGTTTTTAGAAGTCTGATCTTTTAACAAAATAGATAAAATCCCAGGGAGATGAACAGTTGAGAACAATACTCTTCAGTAGAACTTTCTGCAATGATAGAAATGTCTTTCTGTGCTGCTCAATACGAAGCTGCTAGGCACATTTGGCTGTTAGTACTTGAAATCTGGCGGCTGTGACTGAAGAACCAAATTTTCTATTTTGTTTAATTATAATGAACTTAAATTTAAGTAGCCACAGGTGGCTAATGGCTACGGTACTGAACAGCTTAGCTACAGAATCACCCATCCAACTCTTATTCATCACTAGGTATTTCTTAGTTATTTGTAAAGCAAATAATAGAATGTCTAAATATCTGCAAAACAGACGTCCTTTGGTTCTTTTCGTGTGTGTGTGTGAGACAGAGTCTCACTCTGTCGCCAGGCTGGAGTGCAATAGCACGATCTTGGCTCACTGCAACCTCCGACTCCCTGGTTCAAGCAATTCTCCTGCCTCAGCCTCCCGAGTAGCTGGGACTACAGACACGCACCACCACACCCAGCTAAATTTTGTATTTTTAGTAGAGACAGGGTTTCACCCTGTCGGCCAGGATGGTCTCAAACTCCTGACCTTGTGATCCGCCCGCCTCAGCCTCCCAAAGTGCTTTACAGGCGTGAGCCACCGCACCTGGCCCCTTTGGTTCTTAAGTTTAACTTGGTAGTTCTAAAACTTTAGTATGCTTGATAATTACTGTACAGGGTTGCGTATACAAAATCCTTAAGTATTGAAATAGGCAATTCACAAAATGTTTAAAGGTCATTCTAACTCCTGGCAATATTCACATAGTAAATTATAAATTCACCTTAAAGCCTGATTCTCCACTCTCTCACCCACCACAACAGTAAAAGTTGATATGTGCTGAGAATTGACTTCAAGAATTACTATTGAAATATTTGGCAAAAAGATGAATCCGGCAGGTAGTACGGTCATGTATCACGAATGATTTAGTTCTTCAAACTAAAATACATACTTAATTTTATGCAATTGTCTTCTCGTTAGGGAATTTAAAATATTCATTTAAAAGTATTAATTTGTTTTATCTTTATTGAAATTAATATTTAAATATTAATGCTTCCTTCCAGCTATTAAGTCACATGGAAATTTTAAAACTCCATAACACTTAAAATGCGATAAAAATTCTAGCATTAGGTGGACTCCTAAGTTATATTTCTATATTTATGTGAACATTACAAGTATATTTTTGTTTCTTCTTTACATGGATTGTGTTAAGTTTTTCAATGATGTAGATAACAGAATGAAAAAAAAATTCCTCTCAACAGGTGGTATACGAAAAGTCAGAATGGCAGGTGTAAACTGTGGCAACACTCGTTATGATAAAGAAAAGTCCAACTAATTTCAATATGAAAGAAATGAGAGAATGACATGGCCTGTAAAAAAATCATGTGCCCTTGCTTCTTCCAATTTAAAAGTAATGTACTTTCCTCAGTTGAATATTTCAATAGTATAAATGAAGTTTACTTTGCCACTTATATTTTCATTTCTTCAGTGAAAATCCATGTATTTCCATCATGTACCTACTCCCTTGCCAGAGGATGTTTCACGTGAGAGCCACATAAATCTTTCATTTTCAAATTTAGAAGATCACTTTTCTTTTCCAGGATTCATGTTTCGGCATGTATTCTTTGAAACTTTTCTAGAAAAGTTTCCTGTGTGGGCAAAGAACCAAAAAATTGTGTTTATCAGTCTGGTAGTGAAGATCCTCCGGGTACTTCTGAGAAAATTTCATGAGACCCACAATTCCCTATGCCATTCAGCATCTGTAGATAGAATAAAACTGATTCAATGTACTTCTATTCACATATTCTCTATCAAATGTGTTCATCGTATTATGATGACTGATATTCAAATTATTTTTAAGTGGTACTGAATTGTTTTCTTTATGGATACTCATTAATGGGTATTAAAGTTTAAGCTATTATTGCATGTAATCTTTAAAAAATTATTACTAAAATATTCCTCATATTTAACAAAAAATTGGCAAACCAGATGATAAACCACAGATTCCTTCTTAAATGTTGGCACAGCAAATGGGATTAATGTTATCATGTAGACTAACTCCATTTTAGTAGAATTTTAAAGCAAACAGTATTTTTTAAATTATCGTTTGTTTGTTTGTTTTCCATTAGAGTCCTTGGCATTCATCAACACTTTCAGATGTCCCTATCAAGATAAATTTCATCAGAGGCTGTTTGTTTTTAGTGAGGGAACTACAAATTGAAATCTTGTATATATGAGCCACTGAAAGAAGATACCATGGGTAGCTACAGGTCTAACCCCCAAAATCCATAATAGGAACAGTGCCATGTGAGATTTAAGTTTCAAACATTAAAAGTTTTATTTTAATACTTAATTTAAAAAATTCTTATTACATGCTTTGAAGATGACAAAAACCAATATTTTTGAAAGTAACTTTGATGAAGCAAGAGTACTTCCAGTATTTTAATATTAATATATTATAGAATTATAATTCAAGCATGTTTTAAGCTTTTTCCTCGCATCTTATTATGAAAAATTTTCAAACACACAGAAAAGTTGGAAGAATTTTACAGTGAACACCCATATACCCGCCATCTAGGTTCAATAATAAATTGTATTATATGTGCTTTATTACATACCCACCCATCTATTCATCGTTTAATCCAAATATCACTCCATTTTATTTCAGTGTAAGTTGCAGACATCAGTACTCTTCACCCTTAAAACACTTCAGCAGGCATATCATTCACTAGAGTTCAATATTCATGATCTCTTAATGCAAACTTCATATATAAAGAAACGTACAGGCTGGGCACGATAGCTCACACCTGTAATTCCAGCACTTTGGGAGGCTGAGGTGGGTGGATTACCTGAGGTTGGGAGTTCGAGACCAGCCTGACCAACATGGAGAAACCCCGTCTCCACTAAAACTACAAAGTAGCTGGGTGTGGTGGTGCTTGCCTGTAATCCCAGCTACTTGGGAGGCTGAGGCTGGAGAATCGCTTGAACCCGGGAGGCAGAGGTTGCAGTGAGCCGAGAACGCACCATCGCACTCCAGCCTGGGCAATAAGAGCGAAACTCCTTCTCAAAAAAAAAGAAAAGAAAGAAAAAGAAACGTACAAATCTTAGGTGTACCATTCCATGAGCTTTGACAATCAAATGTGATTATTATTCACTGGCATTTGACTGGCATATATATTGAAATAAAAGTTGAAAATAAAGAATATTATATTTTTAATCTGTTACTTTTACTGTTGGGGTAATCCAAATGTTTCCACAGAAAGTAAAAGTAAATTTACTCCCAAGTATTTAATTTAACAGATTTACAGGTCACATTTACCATGGAATACTTAACAAATATACAATAACCACAAGAATTACTCTCAGTGTTTAATTATAACTTACATTTTTCAAATGTCATGAATTTAAATTTCAGTGAAACACACTGGAATAAACTTTCCAAGTACTGATTTCAGGGTTAATCCACAATGTAGTCTCCTTATATAAGTAGTAGATAATGTCAATTTTGTCATTCAAGAAAAGATTTTAATTAATTCTTTGATATTTGTCTTCTTTGTGTTTCCAGCTCTTAAGAACTGATTCGCTTGACAGTGCTACTGAAATTTTAGGGTGCAAAGGGCCAAGATGGCTTGAAACACTCAATTTCTAGCCAAACTACTTATTTTTTAAAATGTCAAAGAAGTATAAAAAGATGACCCTGTTCTGAAATGAATCAACAGAGAATTTAAACCTGTCAAAAACCATAGGATTTTGATATTGAAAATAGTGACAACTATTTTTAATTT
Source organism: Homo sapiens (assembly GCF_000001405.40). Taxonomy (NCBI): domain Eukaryota; kingdom Metazoa; phylum Chordata; class Mammalia; order Primates; family Hominidae; genus Homo; species Homo sapiens. The sequence continues at coordinate 28,922,474 of NC_000023.11, read as the reverse complement.
CAGCAACAAAAGACTTTATGTGAGTCCTTGCTTTTACTTTCAGCATTGCCAACAGTATTTGATATGTGCCGATGATGGAATCTTGAAGTGGAAATTCTATAGGAAAGGCTTATTTTGCTTCCTTTTAAGAAGGAATGCATACAAGAATTTCACATTGCAGGACTACATTGCCCAACAATCACTCACTTTGTTCCAGTTGGAGACTTATGACCAATTTGCTGATAAAATTTGGCATTAGCCTTTTGAAATGTATAAATTACATTATTGCTTTGGATTCTTGTATATTCTAGCAGGGTAGAATGAAACTTGACCGCCTGATTTCAAACTACTTGTACAAGAAACTGAGGTAGTTTCTTGATTTCAAACTACAATACAAGAAACTGATGGACATGTAAATTTCTCAACAGGCGAGAGCCACCGCACCCAGCCCAACTCCTTGATTTTTCTTAGTCATTGACCATTATATTAAAACTAAGGCAAGTTTTTTCCCCACAGAACATCAATTCACAAAATCATAAAATAAAATCTCAAAAGTACAAGGCCTGTTCACTCCAAACCAAGCTTCTTACTTTGGGAAAACTGTTAACATGTGTTAGTTGTGCCCACTTTGATACGTTGGTTAGTGGCTAAAATGCCTACCGGTTCATCAGAAATCAGTTACCTCTTTCCAGCAGTGCCATGGGTGTTCCTTTATTTTTTGGCTTTATAAGGTCAACAAAAAGTATTAAACGGAAAGAATTAAACCCACAGTGTGAATCCAAATATGCTGCTGGCAGAATACTTTGCCAGAGTAGGCAGGATGCTTTCTTGACTTGAAATCCTCACTTCCTCTTTCCCCCAACCTGCTTCTTTGTAGTTTGAATCTAGTGTAGGCTATTCCTAAGGCAGATGGTCTCTTTCAGCTAGCTGCCCACAGCAAGGTGGTCTTTACTGATAGATTTGGGGAGGAAGGGGAAGAGGGAGGGTAGACAGGGAAAGAAAGGAAAGAGAAAATGTGGCTTCCACCAGAAGGGCATATAACACCCAGTAATTTGAAACATTTTTGAGTTTAATTTTGCAAGAGCATGGAATTAAAATGCCTCCACACAGAGTATTTGGAGATGCTTGTCCTAACAATCACCCTTTAACTTTCTTTTCCATTTTAACATTTTGAAAATTGGGTTGCATCTTAAAATTAATGTGCCATCTAATATAATGGCTATTTCCTTCAAAACTATGAATTAAGTGGTAATACAATCAAATTAAAGAACTATGAGTATTCACATTTAGTCTTTATAATTACCATTTGTCCCAACTCCACAGACTTTAGAAACTATAGTTCCACTCGTTTTTTTTTTAACTCATTTTTCTAGATGAATCCACAGAACCTTTATTTGTGTAAGAAGGAAGCTTTCTGCTCTTCTCTTCACATTCTAATCTCAATCCCACCCTCAAGTAGGGCACTTTGCTCTCCCTCCTCCTGCATCTTACCTGACCCAATAAAAAGGTAGTATCCTATTTTTCAATGGTCATAATTATACATGCAAGGAGCTAAAATGTATTACTGGGCTGGGTTAGCTTCTCTCAATGTAAGAACCAGGTCAGGGGATTTCTGTTTCTCAAAGAGGCACAGGTAGTGCCTCCATGTGCATGACAATTGCCTATTCTTTGTTCGTTTTTCCTCAGCCACTCCTGGCCCACTTGTCTTCAATTAACGGGCAGACAGCAGAAGGCCTTATTTTAGGTTCAGGCAGAGCAGTTTGCTCTTTATGCAGCTATTGTTGACAGAGAGTCTTGTATTCTAGTACATATTGGATGACTGCCAGATACTAATAAATCAAGTACTTCAGTCACCATTTAGCTATCAACCCTTTGTATACAACTTTTGAAGAAGGGTGAGTGAATCTTAGCCTGGAACCACAACACCCCAAAACTACAAAAGCTGCAAATCTACTAGGACTATTTTTTTTTCCTGCTGCTGCTGCAAATGCTACCAAAAGAAGAAAAGATTTTACAGACATTTATAGCTCTAGGTGGGAAAAATAGTACTTTTCAGGCTGAATGATGTCTGAAAGACAATAGCGTTACTTCCTTATTAGGAACAACTCTGCTGCAAACACCCACATCATTGAAACTGTCATCATTGGGGCAACCGAGGAAGATTCAGAGCAGCAATATAGGTCAAATGACACATTCAAACCAACACTCAACTGAGAAGCAAAAAGCCAGTTTTACAGCTTAACAGAGTGCCGTATTTTAATCTCATTTAAGCAGGATTTAAAATATAGGTGTTGAGGAAGCTGTTGAGGTTTTCCAAGACAAGAGCTTATCACATAATGGTTTTGTGAAAAGGCTGATTCAGAAAAAAATGATATAACTGTTACTGGATGCACAAAAGAAAAGAAGGCAAAAGAATTATCTGATGTTGTACATTGTATCCCCCAGAAAGATCAGGCATGAGAAATGAACTTTGAGCTGTCTTCTCTTCACATTTTAAGACTAGATAATGAAATTTATTGCCTGCCAGTCCGTAGTACAATCAGACAAATTTAAACAATTATTCATGCAAATACATAAAGCTAACCTAGCAAAGATAACTACACTTAAACTTAGTATGTTGTCTTGAATCTGAAATCTAACAGGCATTCTTGTCCTAGTATATTATATGGTCACATGGATTTTATACTTTATAAAAATAATTTGCATTGTAGACTTTTTAATCACATTTGTCAGCTATAGCATTCATTTTTTATTTATATTATTTATGTATCTATCACTTATGGAATGCGTATGTGTCAGTCACTGGTCTAACCATTTTTCATAGATGGCTTTACATAACCAACAACTTCATAAAGTAGATGTCATTATGCCTATTTCCAGATGAAAAACTGAAGTTCAGAAGGGATAAGTACCTTACTCAAGTGCAAATGACTGGTAAGTGGCAGAACTAGAATTCAAACACAAGTTTGATTCCAAAGCCCATGCTTTAAAAAAATTCCTCTATAGTTTTCAATTCTATTTTTGTTTCTGAATACATTTTAACAGTAACTATAATCCAGCATATATCGTAAGCATCTTTTTGAGGAGATGATGTTAATTTTATGGGAGAAGAGACATTTTCAGAGATATGATAAATGTCTTTAATTGCACGTTAATAAACTACGACTACAGAGAGCAACTGGTTGTCCCATGCTCGTGCAAAGAGCAGAGTAGCATTAAGTGAACAGATCACAGTCAGATATATTATGCCTTATGAAATAAGTTAATAAGGGTTGAAACACTGTATGCTTGATGAAATAAATTTCCTAAGGGCAACAGACATTAACAGCTGTTCAAGTACTGTTCATGTCCCCGTAGGGAAGTATATCACTCGCGCAGTTATTGAACACATGTGATGTTCCTGTAGTATCTTTCATCTCATTTACACCAAGAAAGAGTAAATAAGTATTTTGGGGCTTCAGCAAGAACAGCCTTTAGCCTCACAGACACTCTTGTCTCCCATTCACCACTTAGTAGCAAGTTATTTTCCTAAAAATAAAAATTAGAAACAATGTTAATTTCCTGCTAAAAACCTTTCAGTGGCTTCTCATTGCACTCATAGGCTTCAAGAAGCTCAAACCCCCTACAAGGTTTTATATGACCTACAACCTGTGTTATCCAGCACTTTGCCAGACCAATCCCTCCTTCCAAAGTAGGCTTCCCTCTGCTGTGTTCCCAGCTCAGAGCTTTCAATCAGGCCTTTCTATTTACCAGGAATGCTTCATCCTTAGTTTTCATACACCAAACACCTATTTAGCATCAAGTCTCACTTCTAAAGTTCAGATAAATTTCCTTGATCTATCCATAAGATTAATCACTTCTGTTTTCACTTGCATGACATCCTGTACTTTGCCTTCCCAGAGCCTATCTGAACTGCAATTGGCAAAGGGATGTGATCAGTCCTCCAACTTGTTGAAAGAGCTGCTCCAATAGAGAAGCAAATATTTTAATGTCCTAGCCCTGTAAAAGTATCTTGAAAAACTAATCTTGCATGGGGGGCATTGGGCCTTTTAAATTGGAATTCCCAAAATGTTACTGGTGGCATCCGTTTCAGATAAAAATGCATTCATTTTATTACTTCTTCAATTTATTTGATTGGTTGGGTCACTGTCATTACTAAGAAAAAGTTTGTTCTTTCTGAGTAAATGCCTCTGGTCCTCTAATTTTTGTTTCAATATGATATTTTTGTGTGAGAACTGTTAGTAAAACATTTTTATGTTACCAGTGTTAAAAGGAGATGTTTAATATAATAAGATATAGTGACTAATAGTGTTTCTTGAAAGAAGGAAGTTACTAATGGAAAAAGTGGCATTTGCCAGAAGTGACAGCTTGTCAAATTGACTGTCAATATGTTTAAAGAAAATATTCATATAAAAAAGGAAATCATGAGGAACAACAACAGCAAAACAGGAATTATATTTTGAAAGTTAAATTTTTACAGTGCCCTCAGGCAGATGGAGCTCAACTTTCCCATTTAAAAAGTAACCTCATACATATAAAATAAGCATACATTTAATTGGACATCATTAACAAACTCAGAAGAGAAGAATCTAAGGGAAAAAATACATCTTAAAAAATAGTAGCTCAGTTCTATACATGGATGGTGATGATGGCTGCATAACAATGTGAATGTACCTAATGCCACAGAACTGTACACTTAAAATGTTTAAAGCAGTAAATGTTACGTATGGTATACCACAATTTTAAAAAACACAGTAAGCCAATAATTATTTATTTTCACATATCCATCTAGAAACACATTTGCTGATATTTCCAACTCAGGTATAGTGTGTTTGAAATGTGGAGCCAGTGAGGGGTTGGAAGAACAGGTATTGCCTCAACCTTTCAAAAATCCAGAGATAAGTTCAATTACATGGCCTATCTTCTCCCCTACTAAGAATCACTGAATCACTGTACTTGAACCATCAGCCCACAATCACTGCAGAGTTACTTAGTCTCAATAAATTTCATTTAGGCACTAGGTCTATAATGAACTGAAAATTAAATCTTAATATACTGTTGGCTCAAAATGTCACAAATTGCGTGTCATATCACAAAAGAATGATTTAATTTGATTTCAAGATAAGGCACATGAATATCTCCAGAATTATCATTGAGGTTGAAAAATATGTAAAAATGAAGGTAAATGAGTTGTACAATATTTTCCCTTGCTACAATATCATTAAAGAAAATTGGCTTATATGAAGCTTTTTTTAAGATATAGTAGAAACACTACTTTTATATTATCTTTTCTGTATCAAGAAGCAAGACACATGTCACTAATAATCCATCTTCCCTCAGGCAATGAAGTCCCAGTTAAAATACATTCAAATGAGGTTATGTTTCAAAAGTGAAGTAGAATTATTCCATAGTGGAAAAATTAATGATATTTATCAGAAAGGACGCAAGGAAAAGGAGTTTCTTAGTAGGAAAAACAAACCCCAAACTGTAATGCACAATTATACTCTGTGATTCAGAGGATAATGAAAACATGGTTGCTGAATCTGAAGACACAGTCATTACATTGGGAGCCATTTAGAAAAAAGTCATTCCAGATCTAAATTATAATAAAAGATTCCTAGAATAGAAATGTTAGTTTTAAAAAACAGAGCAGCACACAGATTTAAAATGCAGTCATCTGGCTCTGGGTATCTGACAAGATCGATCTTAAAACTTCCTTACAAATGTGTGAAGCTCACCTAGGTAATGCATCATCTGTGCTTTACAGGCTTGGTATTCCAAGTTTGCTCCAATGACCAGCTGCATGGGCATCCTCTGATAATCTGGTGGATATGCAGAAAACTCACTCCCCAAGTCAGGCCAACCAGATCACCATCCCCTTAACAATCTCTGCAGGTGCTTCCTACACAAATTAAAGTTTCAAACACACAATTCTAGCACAGCTCTAAAGAACACATGCAGAGCATCTATTCATAAACTGTTAGGGCTTGACAATACACAGCTATTCTGGGCTAGAGCGCTGGAGGTAGTCTCTACCTTTAGGCTTGGGGTACACTAGTTCTTGAATATGTTAAACCCAAATGAAGATGTGACCCTGGTTGATTCTGAGCTTGTAACCATTCCCTTTGAATGCATGTTCATAGATTGTTATTTACAACTTCCTGAATGATGACGTAAGCTGGGAGAATAAAAAGCCAGTGTCCCAGCAAGAATTGACCTAAGAATGGGGAAACAGTGTTTCTGGGAGTTATGTGCCCTCATTAGGGATGCTGGGGGCCAAGGTGTAGGCTACATTTGCTCCTACTCTCTGTGGTTATTCTAGGTTTTATATGCTTGACTGACTAAAATTAGGAACTTAATCCAATTTAACAGTGAATGTTAGTAGGGAAGAAATAAAGTCTCTTCCACACTAACAATCAGCCCATCAAAATGCACTACATCCTCTTAAATTGTACTTAGTTTTAATGTTTTCATTCTACTTGTAAGTAGCTGATTTCACTTAGTTCTTTATTAGCTATTTCAAATTAACAAGCATATATATATATATATATACACATACATATATAGATAGATAGATATATTTGTTTTTTCTTTTTCACTATTTAGAAGCTATGCTAGTGTTAACACTGCTACCCAAGTTAAAAAAAATGAATATGTTGGCCAACAGATGTTTGGAATATATCAAGAGCATTTACAGGTGCTGTTGAATTGTAATTTATTCATCACCTATTGTCTCATTTAATTCTCAAAAACTGATAAAGTAGATCACCTTTTAATCTCATTTATAGATAATAAACAGAGCCTGAGAAGCATGGTGTAAAAAAATAACAGGCTCTGGAAAACACTGTTGGGATCAAATCTCGCGTCAACTCTTTAATACCTGAGCTACCTAATCTATCAAATAGAAACAATAATAATAATGTACTTCTAGTGTTTCTGGGAATAGTAAATAACCCATACATGTAAAGTATGTGCAACAGTACCTGAGATGTTATACGCATTCAATAAACGTTATTTTTAAGCAACTTTTCTAAAGAAACATCATTAGCATTGGGGCCAAGATACAAAGGGAAATCTATGACTTTGGAGCCTGAGGACTTGCCATTACATTATATTGCCTAGACCTATAATCTTCCCTAACTCTTCTTAAAACATGGTAAAATATCAGAGAATGAAGCAAGAATCCAGAGCAGGGTTCCCCGACCCCCAGGCTGTGGACTGGTACTGGTCTATGGCCTATTAGGAACTGGGCTGCAGAGCAGGAGGTGAGTGGTGGGCAAGCAAGCATTACCGCCTGAGCTCTGCCTCGTCAGATCAGCAGTGGCATTAGATTCTCACAGGAGCACAAACCCTATTGTAAACTGTGCATGCAAGGGATCTAGGCTGCATGCTCCTTATGAGAATCTAACTAATGCCTGAAGATCTGAGGTGGAACACTTTCAACCCCAAACCATTGCCCCTGCCCCCCATCATCTGTCCATGGAAAAATTGTCTTCCACAAAACTGGTCCCTGGTGCCAAAAAGGTTGGGGGCCACTGATCTACAGTTTTCACTGTAAAACCTGGATTTTCATATGCCTGTAGTTCATATGCCTAAATTTGTAACAAATGGGATAGAAGAAGAAACAAATAATATCCTCTTTACCAAGCGATTAGTTTTTATTAATGGAAAGTTCATCTGCGAGTATTTTCATAGAGTATATACAGAATATCTCTTGCTGAGCTAACACATGTTTTGCTGTCAGGCAGCAACATTGAAAACATCTATATCAACCTTGTTTGTTTAGCTGGAGTTAAATAATGATACTCAGTATTTGCAAAGTGTTTTACAGTTTCAAAGTATTCAAATAACAATGTGTCGTACAGGTAGTGCAGATATTTTTAGTCCCATTAAGTACAAAAAAAAAGGTTCAAATGTTGAAGTGTACATGAAAGTCTGAAATAAGATGGTGACATTCTGAAGCAATTTACTTAAAATTTTACTTACCAAATATTCGCTTTGACAAAAGAAGTAATAAGATACAGAGTTGGTGGAATAATTTAAGGTCATTTGTGGGAGGAGGGGAAGTGACTTACAATAATGAGACTTGAGATCATCTAAAATTATTCAATGGTAGATGGCTATATGATGAACATTTTACATTTTTCAAATAATTGATGACTCTACATTTGATATGTGTGTTATATTTCCTGTGCTTATGTTAATTCCCTAAGTTTCCTAAGTATAGAGTCCATATTTCCTAAGTATAGAGTCCTAAGTATAGAGTCCATAAATGAGGTAAATACCTCATTTATCTTTCTGTACCGATCCAGCACAATGTCTAGGTATTTGCTGTCATCCCACTGAGTTTCCTAGGTCTTCACTTAGCACATAAAAAATGTAGAAATATTGAAATTTTTGACTAGTTTAATTTCTGAAATTTATCTCATTCAAATTACCCTAATTATTTGTATCTACTTGAGTTTTCTGGGTATAAAAACACAAGGTAGTATTTCCAAGTTCTCAGTATTATATATCACATGATGGTATTAGGAAAAATGATAACATTAACAAGATTCCAAATGCTCACAGGAGTACCTAAAATTCAATTTCTGATAACATACAACTGGTAAATGCTTTGATTATCACTATTTTATAGGTGAGAAAGCGGAAGTCATATAGCCAGAGCTGAACTTCAACTAGATTGTTCCATTTCATCAGATTATTTTCACCCTGAGTTGACAGAAACAAATATCTTCATGTTTCTATGCCATAAGAGATGCTGTATCTAATTCCCTAAGTTTATTTTATTTTATTTTATTTTTAGAAACAGCGTCTTGCTCTGTCACCCAGGCTGGAGTGCAATGATGCAATCATAGCTCATTGCAGCCTTGAACTCCTGGGCTCAAGTGATTTTTCTGCCTCAGCCTTCCAAATAGTTGGCCTACGTATTATTTTTTATTTTGTATTCAGCTCACCATTAGGCAGTTTAAAGGATATAAAAATCTCCAGAAAACATATGCTGACCTTAAAGGAGGAGCTTGCCATCAATTTGAGGAGCTAAGAAATGCTTACATTGAAACTGAAATACCTTTCAAAGGCAACACACTGTTAAGCATAAGACTATGAAGTACAATCTAAAATTATGTATGTAATTCAAAAATGGATGTAGTCAGCATAAACTGGCCAGAACCAAAATTCTAGAGGTGCAGATCAAGAATTTACAAGGATAGACAGAATGATTGCCCATGTTCCTTTCTGGTACAATCATATTCTCCATTCTAATGTGAAATAATTATCTCCAAAATACCCAATGATTATTTTTAATAAACTTCTACAGAACACTTCTTGCACTCAATCTTCAATTATTAAGTCCTTTTGCTCATCTTCCTGGATCATTACATTGCTCATTAGGACCTCCCATTAGAAGAGAAAGAAACCCACATTACAGAATGGCATCTTGTAAACAGCTGTTTTCAAGGGTGTTAAGTTACCTGTCACCACAAATAGAAGAATCTGATGGAACACAATAAATATAAATTAAAACGAATTTTATTATTAATATAACTGAATAAAATAATCACAAAACCTTTTTAATGGAAACACTCTGGATGACAAAACAACCATAAACTTTTGCTGATGATTCCATTTTTTTAAACTGAGCTACAAAAAAATTTTTTCAAAAGGTTAGAATAATGATTCCCTTTACAAGCTCTGTGGCTATTATTAATCTGATAGAATTAAAATTTAGCAAGACAAGTTTCTTAATACAAATTCAGGTGCATTTTAAATGTTAGAACCTGATATGGGAATAAATTGCCCATTTCCAACATCAATATCACTGCAGAATCCTCATCTCAAAGTTCCTCACCACTTGCTAAATATCCATACATAAATGTGTTTCAATTTCTCATACACAACAAATATACACACGGAGACACACACACTCATACATCTATAGTTATATATACAGACATTATATACATGGATGTTTGTATATGTGTATATATACACATATTTTTTCTATCATTTCTCTATCTTAATTTAACATCTTATCCTCTCAAAAATGGCATAATGGAGCCAGCATAAAATCCGGAATAAAATCCAAATTCTGCCACATCCTAACTGTTTGACTTTAAGCAAGTTTCTTAACCTCTAAGAGCCTTACCTTCCATAACGGTTCAAATGGAAGAGTAACACTGAATTACTGCACAAATTAGAAAGAATGTGTGTAGTATCTACTATGATATAAGACAGCATGTTCTCATTAAGAGGCAATTTGTTGCCTTTGTTGCTACTGTTATCCCTCCCCAAACATGCTCTTTTTCTTGAATTGCCTTTTCTTCAGTAATGCCATTACCATTCATCTTATCCATTGGCTCAAAACCTTAAAATTATCTAGGATACTCCTCCTCCACATGGAATCAAAGGCAAAGTGCTATAAATTCTTCCCTTGGAATGTATCATGAATATTTTCCCAATGCTACCATCTCGTATGTTATTGTTACCATACTGTCTTCAAGGTGAACTGCCATCAGTACTCTGATAGTGTCCTTCCCTGCAGTTTTGCTACACTTAAAGCTCTCTACACATTACAACCTGACAAGAGTATTGCTTTCCTTTTGTCAATCTACTGATAAAAACTCTTCATGGCTCCCTAGTAGCCTAAACACACAAACACAAATCCAAAGTCCCTGACGATTGGAAGCAATATACCTTCTAGCCCCATTTAAAAAATCTCCTTTTTTAGTCATCCAAGCAAACATTTATTGAGTGGACATTATGTTCAAAGTGCCATTTCTGGACATAGGAATACAACTGTGAACAATGTGGTCATGTTCCATGACAATAAGAACTTTCTTTTTAGTGACAGATAACACCATTAAACGACCAATCTTTAATTCTATATGTGATAAGTACTTGGTATAAATAAGTATAGAGTAGGTACTGACAATATCTGAGAATCTGAGAATGCCTTCCTGAGGAAGTGATATTTGAACTAAAATTTAAAGAGGAGTTGTGGGAGTTGAGAGGATACAATGGGGGAAGTGGAATTCTAGCAGAGAAAATGGCAGAGCATGTAGGACACACCGCCCCTCCTTGCTTCATGTCAAATGAATTATTGATGTGTTTGAAATCTGTATTATTCTCCACCCAAAGTTTGTGTATATTTTCTTTTCACTTTGAACATTAACCGTACTGAAGACACTGCTATGCAACCTCAATTACTTCCAGAAAAAAAAGCTTTATTTATGAAGTAAATACTTTCCTGAAAAATTCCTTTTAACCGTATAAACAAAAGATGACTTGATGTGATACTATGCATTACTGTACTAAAATAAAAAATCAACTTGCTCTATAGTGGAAATATTAATGATTCATGAGATTTTTCTGCTAATGAACTTTTTCTCCTTCATTTCAAATATTCGTCATCTAATTTTAATATAACATTCATTCAATTCAGAATATATTTGCATTTTCTTTGCTAAAAAATAATCACCCATTAGTATTCTGTACTGCTTTTAGGAAATTATTGGTGTATGACTGTGTCAACAGATTGAGCCTCAATAAGTAACTTTGATATCTTAAATTGCTTTGAGGGAGACATTTTTAATGCCATCAGATATCTTCTCCCAATAAATTCTTCAACCTTTATCAAAATAAAACTACATTTTCTATTGCCAAAATGACAAAGACAAGACAGATTATGTTTTAAAAAAAGACCTCACGTGTTTTTTTTTTTAATGCAGCTACTCTAAATCTATTAACCATTGGACAGTGATGAATTAGGGTTACACATAAGCACACTTAAGCAGCAACCATTATCTATATTAGTCATCTATCTTAGAATTCCTAGGGTCAGGCAGTCTTACAAAAACAAGTGTAGTATAGTAAGACTCATTCCAAAAGCTTTACAAAACGTTTTTTTTTTTTAACTTTTCAAATGAAAATTATTTCTTCTTTTTTTAATGAAAACATAGTGCTGAACCTAACACTGATGACAGTTTCAGCCTTCTTGAAATTCTTTCCTCTTCTGCTTTTGTGACACTGTACTTCATGCTTTAGTATATAAATCTCACTTTCCTTTTCTATATATGCAGTAGAAATGTATTAAATATGTATTGACCTATAAAATAAAGGGAATGACACAGAATCCTAAGATTTCACATATTACTAACATCAAATGTTTTTCCTTGTTGTCACTGTTAAAATCATAACAAACAAGGAATCAGGTTGGGTTGAGAATGGCAAAAGTTATCAGTGATTCTCAGATCAAATAAAGAAAATCCCTTGAAGTTTGGGGGAGAAAGGCTTCCTTTCATGTCAGAGAACCAATAGAATTATGCTCAAATAACAACATTCTGAGTTGTCTTTTTTCAATGGTTACTATCTGAGCCTCACATTCTCAGACTTCACGAAATGAAGAGCTAATTAGTGGTATTTATTTGTTTTAAGTAAGAATATTTCCTTGTAGTTGACATAGAGTTGGCAGAATTGATTATATTAGCCTGGCTAAAATACAATACTCCAAATTTCACAGGTGGTCAAAAGAATAAACAAGAATTTTAAAATGCTGTTGCACAAAATATATCCAGAAGAAGTTGTTTTTAAAGCCATACTTGTATTTTGAGAATTCAACAGCAAATTGCTTTATTACATCTTTGTGGAAGAACAGATTGAGGGCTTTTGGTGAGTTTGCAAATTTGCGAAGGGGAATAAACCAGTTTTTACTATAACCAGAGAAAAGTTTTGCTCAAAACAAAAAGCTGTTACTGCTACACCTCACAATATTTAAGGAAAATTCTTTAAATTCTAAATAAAAAGGATTGTATTTTATAAAATTTAAGCATGAATGGGAAGTAAAGGGACTATCATTAATCATTTTAAATCAACATTATTGAGAAAGTTCTTCAGAAATTCAATATCTTCTTAAAGGATTGAGTTAATCATCTGAGTAAGGTTCAGAATCAAGTTAAATGCAATGCCTGAAAAATGAAGATGTTTATAAAAAGGAAATAAGGAGGTTAATGAAATGTTCTAAGTTTAAAAATTATGGAACTGACATAGATTGGCTATAAACTGTCAGGAAACAATGCTATATGAACAGTTTCATGTTTCTGCATGGTCAAGGCTTTCGAAAAAAAGAAAACTAGAAGTTCACAATAGACACTTTCAGAGAGACCTGCATATATCCCCCCAGAGCCATTAATTTATGTTGCAAGGAATAATAAACCTAGTGACTTTAACTTCCTTTCCCCAAAGAACAGATGCAATAAATAGAAAACAGTTACAAATATGACAGTCATTAATCCATCTGTATCAATATTTACTTGAAATGTGAATGGTCAAAATACACCAATTAAAAAACAGACTGTAAGAGTAAATGAGAAGACAAGACTGAACTTGATGTTGTTTACAAGAAACCACTTTAAGTATCAAAGACAGATAGGTTGAAAATAAAAGAATAAAGAATGATATCGCATGCTAACATTATTTTAAAAAAACAGCTGGAATAGCCATATCAATGTCAGATAAAGTAGACCTCAGATCAAGAAAAGTATCAAGGATAAGGAAGGACGCTACATAACAAAAAAGGGTAAATTCTTCAAGTAGACATAACATCTTAAATATGTAAGCACCTAATGAGAGTATCAAAATACACGAGGCAAAAGCTGATAAACATGAAAAGAAAAATAGATAAATCCACTATTAAAGTTGGAGATTTCAACCCTCCTCTTTCAGTAACTGATAGATCAAGTAGGCAGAAAATTTGTTAGGATACAGTTGAACTGAACAGCATCATCAATTAACTTGATATATTCGACATTTATAGAGTACCTTATCCAACAACAGCAGAATACACATTCTTCTCAAGCTCACATGGGACATTCACCAATATAGACCACATTCTGGCCCATAAAGCACACTTTAACAAATATAAAGGAATAGAAATAACATGAAGTATGCTTCCAGACCACAATGGAATTAAACTAAAAATCAATAACAGAAAGACAGTTTGAAAATCTCCAAATATTTGAAAGTTAAACATACTTCCAAATAAATCACGAGTCAAGGAGAATTCTCAAGAGAAATTCTAGAATATTACTAAATGAAAATGAAAATACAACTGACCAAAACTTATGGGATGCAGTGAACATACTACTTAAGGGAAATGTATAGTATTAGGTACATGTACTGCAAAAGAAGAAAAGATCTGAAACTCTAAGCTTTCACCCTAGGAAACCAGAGAAAAAACAACACTTTATATCTAAAAAAGAATATAAACATCAAAATTTAGAGCAGAAAACAGTGAAACTGAAAGAAGGAAAATAGAAAAAAAGACATCAAAAGCTGGTTCTCTGGAAAGATCAATAAATTTGACAAACCACTAGCCATGCTAGCCAAGAAAAAATGAGAGAGACAAAAATTACCAATATCAAAAGTAAAATATTGATCCCACAGATATTAGATGGTAATAAAGCAACAGTAGAAATAACTCTATGGTCAATAGTTGGATAAATTATATTAAATAAACCAGTTCCTTGAAAGACACAAACTCATACAAGGAGAAACAGATAATCTCAATAGGTCTATGTCTATTAAATACAATGAATTAATTACTAATAACCTTCTAAGAACAAAAGAACAAGGACCTGATTATTTCACCAGGAAATTCTACCAAACATTTAAGGAAGAAATATTAATCTTCCAATATATTTCATAAAACAGAAGTAAAGAAAATTGTTCCTATCTTTTTCCAAGAGGCCAGTATTAACTTAGTACCAAACCCTAATAGACATTACAACAAATAAAAGCTATCTCTCATAAATATATATGCATAAATCTTCAATGAACTATTAAATAATCTAATCCAACAAAGCATAAAAAATTACATACACCATGAACAAGTGGGATTTATACCAGGTATGCAATGCTGGTTCGATATTTAAAACATCAATTAGGTTGGGCACAGTGGCTTGCGCCTGTAATCCCAGCACTTTGGGAGGTTGAGGTGTACGCATCACTTGAGGTCAGGAGTTTGAGACAGCCCTGGTCAACATGGCAAAACCCCGTCTCTACTAAAAATACAAAAATTAGCCAGATGTGGTGGTGCATGTCTGTAATCTCAGCTGCTAGGGAGGCTGAAGCACAAGAATCGCTCAAACCCGGGAGGCAGAGGTTGCAGTGAGCCAAGATCGTGCCATTGCACTCCAGCCTGGGTGACAGAGTGAGACTCTGTCTCAAAAAATACTAATAAAAATAAAAATAATAAAACATCAATTAATGCAATCCGCTACAACAAGAGACTAAAGAAAAATCATATAATCATATGAATTCATGTAAAGAAAGACTTGGCAGAATCCAGCACTCATTCATAATAAAAACTGTCAGAAAATTTGGAATAAAAGTGGACTTCCCCAACAAGACAAAGAATATTCACAAAAAATTTACAGCTAACATCACACTTAATGGTTAAAAAAAAAACCTGGTTACTTTTCCTCAGAGTATCATCAAGGCTATTTTTCACAACTAAGATTCATGTTTCCCACATAAAAAATAATATGCATTTCACTCTCTAAACTTTTTCATTTTAGGTTATCTTTCCAAGTGTTACTTGAAACCATTCTAACATTATCATGCAAAATAAATGCAAATCTAACTTTGGCTGGATATATTAGACTTACGTTGTAGACTTAGACTGTAAACTTGAGAGTATGATGTGATTTTGTCTTCTGATACATAATAGATACTCAAGAAATAAATGAAAAAAATGAAAAGAATGAAAGATTGTAAAATATCTTAATTTATTTATCAGTTTAAATCAAATTATTTACCTAAATAGCTTGGATATATACATATGTCTAGTGAGAAGATATTAATTTTTCCAAAAATACTTTGCTAGCTGGGGAAATAGTATTTTCTCTATTCATATTTGCTCTTTGTTTTGAGGCACTCAAACCATATTTTACTCAATTACCCAACCACTTACTTCCTTCTTAATGCTTATTTCACTCTTAACTCATCTAGCCAATATAAAATTTCTCACCATGGCCCAAGTTTCCTATTACCTCATTACGTCTCTGACTTGATCTCCTACCACACTCCCACTTACTGTGACTATCCAAATGTGCTTCTGACTCAGAGCCTTTGTCCTAGCAGTTCCTTCATCCTGAAATTCCTATTACAGACAACTGCGTGGTTTCTTCCCTTGCTGATATGGTTTGGCTATGTCCCCACCCAAATCTCATCTTGAACTGTACTCCCCATAATCCCAACATGTCTAGGGAGACCCCTCATGGGAGGTGATCAGATCACGGGGGTGGTTTCCTCCATCCTGTTCTTGTGATAATGAGTGAGTTCTCATGAGATATAATGGTTTTATAAATGGCTCTTTCCCCTTCACTCCTCACTCTTCTCTCTCCTGCCGCCACGTGAAGAAGGTCATGGATTCCCTCTTGCCTTCCATCATGATTGTGAGTTTCCTGAGGCCTCCGCAGCCATGTGGAACTGTAAGTCAATTAAACCTCTTACTTTTATAAACTACCCAGTCTTGGGTATTTCTTTATAGCAGTGTGAGAACGTCTGGACTAATAATATACTTGCCTTCTTTCAGTTTTCACTCAAATGTTAATTTTTCAGTTACAGGCCTTCTTTCTCTTACTAAGAATTATATCTCACACATACACACTTCCTACTGCCCTTCTGTGTTTTTATTTTTCTACATACCATCTTTTACTTTCTTATTATCACCCTCTCCCCCACTGAACCGTAAACTCCATCAAGGCAGAGGTTTTTGCAATTGTTCTTTACATATGAAATAAATTGTTGTGATTTCAAGAATTAGTATAAATACTCTAAATATGACTATCTTAATATAACAACATATTTTAGTAGTTATTAAAGAAATACAAATTCATTCAAAATGTTCTAATTCAGAAAGATACCACATAGAGAGTTGAACCTGTTCTGAATCTCACCATTCCATTCCCACCCCAATTGTAGGAAAATCATTGTTAAATCTTTGGTAGATTTTCTTCTCTATATATTTACACAGAAAAGTATCATACCATGATCCATTTTGTTCTCTTTCTGGTAAATCCCCTGGCAAAAGGAAAAACTTTTTTAGCATTCACTTATTTTATTTTCATTATAAATAATACATTCACAAATTCACTGAGATGAAGGTCCACAGCAAATATATGATACTTTTTGAATATCCATTTAAATAGAAGCCCTTATTTCTCATTATTGTCTAGGAAATGTGATCCAAAAACCTGAAAATAATATAAGTATATACAATACTATAAAATTACAGATTAGTAGTGATAATAATAATGCATAGAAAATGATACTTTGTTACTGAGTTTTAAAGATCTAGTGAAATCTACTGCATTTTAATAATAAATGTGTTTATCTTAGAGATTATGGAAGAAAAATGTAATGGGAGAAAATATCCAAAACTAAATGTAAGAAAAACATAAACTTCAAAGAAGTAACAGATACCTCAAAGCAAATCAAAAGAGAATCATAAGGCAACATACCATGAAAGTCTCTAATTATTGAATTCCTTAGAAAAGCTTTTATTCTCTAAGTTACGATATATGATTTTACTTAAATGGTAAGTATTAAAATTGTTATTTCAATGTATACATACATGTAGAAATATTATGGAAAACTTTTGATATTTCTCTATTGCATATATTTGTTTTATACTTTTTTCTCCATTGGTCTTCTGAATCTAATGCAATAGAATAACTCATTGGGTTTAAATCTCATATTCTTTCAACCTTTAAGATAATTTAGTTTGGTGATAAAATGTTAATTGAAAGGAATCACAAATTTGTAGAAATTGTAAGGCTTGAAGGATCCTTACAGATCTAACAAATGCCCCCATTTTATGAACAAGGAAACTGTGGCTAAGAAGTATAACTTACCAAGAAAACAGAAATTTAAAACGTGACTTCTTTTATGTAAACATTTAAATTATCACTCCTTTCTAACCTTAAGAATGTGATAATAATGATTTATTGTGCCAGATGTTAAGCTACGGCCTGTCAGATTCACAACCACTTTCTCTACTTTGCTCAGTGACGCTGTGGCTGATGCTACTGTGAGAAATATGCTTACGATGAATAGTAGTTGTTTTGAGTTCCACACAGTATTTCGTTATATATACCATTCCAACTAAGAATGCTAGAAATTTTAATCTGGATATTCAGACCAATTTTATATACCCTTTTTTCCATCTCCTGCACTTACAGTGTGTCCTTGAGCTTCCATGTTCTCAAAATTCACTTCACAATTATTTATTTATGATTAAACAATTTAATTTTTATAAATCTCCTAGAGTAGTACTTGGTACCTACTAATGGTACAGTAAACAGCTATTATTAATGTTTCCATGAGGATGATAATGTTTGAGTTTGATAGCAAGAAAGGAAATTCTAATACTCTGCATCTTCAGTAGAAGTTTGTGTTAAAAAAACTATAACTGTAGGTCTATCTTGTAATGGAGAAAGAGGGAAGACTATAGGTTATATATTACACACATATATAAATATATAATATATATGGTTATATATATCAGATACATATATACACATGTAATTTTATTCATTAGTTAATATTTTAACTTTTCTCATAATTTAAATATAATACAATTATTTAGAAAAACCACAAAGTATCTTAAAATACACATATGTATGCATTATATGAATATAATATTTTGCCCATAGAATATATGCATATAGGTAGCGCATAATAAATTCCAACATTAAGATATTTGGTTAGTTGTTGATTGTCTTACCTAGTCCTGATAACATAATCTATTATATCATGCATAATCAGAAATTGCTTTATTTGGTTAAGCTATTATCATTTCTTTTTAGGAGGAGGAAAAGAAATGCAAGCTTAGAAAAGGAAGGAATGACAGGAATTTTATCTACACCTTCTTTAACACTACATGCAGAAGAACGAAATGCCGTGTGGACATGTGGTAGATGTCAATGACACCCGGCTTGTATCGAAAATACATGACTGGGCCGGGCATGGTGGCTCATGCCTGTGATCAAAACAAAAAAAAAAAAAAAAGAAAGAAAGAAAATACATGACTGAAGCTTATCCTACTACTTTGGGAGGCCAAGGCAGGAGGATTACTTGAGGTCAGTAGTAGTTCGAGACCAGCCTGGCCAACATGGCAAAACCCCATCTCTACTAAAAATACAAAAATTCGCAGGGCATGGTGGCACGTGCCTGTAACCTCAGCTACTTGGGAGGATGAGGCAGGAGAATCACTTGAACCCAGGAGTCAGAGGTTGCAGTGAGCCGAGATAGCGCCACTACACTCCAGCCTGGGTGACAGAACAAGACTCCATCTCAAAAAAACAAACAAACAAAAAAAAGGAAAGAAAATATGTGACTGAAGCTTCATTTCCTACTTGTATTTCACCCAAAGAAGAGAACTTGCTAAAGGTTAAGCCAGTGGCCCTCAATCTTTTTGGCACAAGGGATCAGTTTCATGGAAGCCAATTTTCCCGCAGACGGTGGGGAGGGTTTCAGGATGAAACTGTTTCACCTCAGATCATCAGGCATTAGATTCTCATAAGAAGCACACAACCTAAATCCCTCACTCCCTGGCATGCACAATTCACAATAGGGTTCCTGCTCCTATGAGAATCTAATGCCACTGCTGATCTGATAGGAGGCAGAGCTCAGGCAGTAATGCTCACTCACCCACTGCACAACTCTGCTGTGTGTCCCAGTTCCTAACAGGCCATATACTGGTACTGGTCTGTGGCCCGACGTTTGGGGACCTCTGAGTTAAGCCATGAGTAATAAAAAAGTACTTCCTGTCCTCATTTTTTCCCTTAGTTTTGAAGAGTAGATAAAACATGCACTATTACCAGGTGTAGAAAGTACTTGTTGAAAATGATATAGAAAAGACAGTAGTAGAAAGTTTTATTTACCAGAAAGTCTCCACAAGGATGTCTCACAACAAAAATCGGTTAGAGTGAGAGAAGAACTGCTATTACCTGGAAGTTTCTTGAACTCTCAGGGGAACTGATGGGTTGAGAGTAAGGTATGAAAATTCTGGGTTCCCTAGGAAGTAGGAAACAGCAGAAGTTCCAATGACAACTTCCAGCAAGAAGACAGAGTGTCATGATGTGATAAAATGGAGGAGGAAGGCATGGTGGCATGCACCTGTGGTCCCAGCTACTTGGGAGGCTGAGGTAGGAAGATGGCTTGAGCCAGGGAGGTGGAGGTTGCAGTGAGCTGAGGTCATGCCACTGTACTCCAGCCTGGGCAACAGAACCAAACTGTAGTAATTAAAGAAAAAAAAAAAGGATAAGGAAGGTGAAGTGGCTTAATCTAGGCAATGAACAAACATGAATGGGAGGAAGCCAGAGAGATAATTTTGTGGCTGACATGAATATAGAACTTTGGGAAGGTCTTACTGACGATTTCTGGAGAAATGTGTGCATGTCATGGTATAATCTAGCAAAAAGTACACCTTATTATTTAAGATCATTAGATGCAGATTTAAAAAATGTTACTCTATAGAGTGGGAGTCACATAGCCATTATTTCTGGGTTATATATAAACTAACCCAAATTACTTAAAGAGTTAGATGAAGGAAATTCCTGAAAGCTGAAGTCAACTTGGAAAGCTTCACAAAAGTGACCTTTGAGCTATACAAGAAAGGCTGAGTAATATTTGAGCGAGTGAGGATGGAAATCGCTATCCTACTCATGGAGAATACCGCAAATGAAAACAAATTAAAGTTTTATGTGATGAATTTGTGTGAATTATTATACCTCAAACTTTCATGAATGTAGTGATACAAAATAAGAGGCAAAAAAGTTAGTTTCTGCCATCTCTTAGAAAGCCTTGAATTTCAGCCATCAGCATTTCAGATGGTGGGCAAGAGACTCTCACAACAAAGACTATTCTTTAGGAAAAGAGTCTAATGGCAATATGCAGGAAGGATTGAAGAAAAGCAGCAATAAAGAGATTGTACAGCACAGGCAACAATACAAGCAAGAAAAATTAAATGTCCAAATAGGGTGATAACATGAAGTGAAAAGCAAAATGGAAAAGTTAAAATATTTTTAACATACATGCTATCTAAATATTGAAAATAATATATGTATTACCCAAATTTCAAATGGCATGATGCTTCCTAATTGAAAAACAGTAACAGTGAAACAAGAGGGAGTTAAATTTAATTTTATTAAAACCATCATTGTATTATTTGTTTTCACCTAAGCACTGTAATTATATAGTATAAAATTAGTTGATGTGTGCCTAAGAAATGGCTCTATGTTAGTGTTTGCCCTAAGCACATAAATCCTCATTCTATTTTTTTCTTTCATTTGCATGCAACCATGAAGATTTCTGATATAATCTATGGTCCATTGTTTTGTTACTCGCTATAATTCCAATATTCAATAGATGCTCAATAGATGATGAGTGAATAAATGCATAAATCCTACCAGCTGTTAATTATCAAATTTATTTGCATGCTTATTGGCACTGTAGCAACTTATTCTTTGTACTATGTAATGGACCTAGTATATGTTTTATGTGATATATAAGAGTTAATATCCTTACAGTAAGTTAGTGATTTTCCCACTCTTCACTAACAGACTACTGGTTTCCCTTTATAAGGGACAAAGAAAGGGGGAGCTAGAACAGAGACATTCAATAGATAAGGTAAAGCTGGTTGTTTAAATGCTTCTAAAATAAAAATCCCAGTCTTCCAAATAAAAATACTTCCAAATAAAAATACCTGGAAGTGGGATGCTAATGTAACAAATACCTAAAAATGAGAAACTAGACAGTGTGCAGAGGCTAGAATTCAAGGAGCATACTAGAAAAAGGTTTTATCATTTGATACTTTTAAAACATTGTCAATTATGTCATTCCATTTTTCTTATTAGTTATTCTATGTAAACATGATTTTAATGTTAGAAAAAAACATTTTCTCTCTCCTAACTGGTATTTTAAGATTTTTATATATTAAAAACAGTTTCATCTATTCTGTTTTTATGATGTGTGCCAGAAAGCTCATAGTTAAATTTTTATTCAGTTAGAGTAACCATCTTAGCCTTGATTTTTGTAGAAAAACTATGTTCTCTTTCCATTAGAGGGCTCTTGTTTTATCCGTAATTTAATGGCCCTATTATACTTGATCATTTATATGTAAATCACAGAAAATCTTTTCTGGAAGTAGGAAGGCGGGGAAAGAGAGGAAAACTAACAGATTCAGCACCTACACATTGTTCCAGAAACAAAATGATTAAAAATGTCTTTGCAGAACAGCTATTATTCCTCAGTCTATAAATGAGAAAGCTTCCACAAAGGCTCAGTACCTTACCCATGACTGCCCACTCAATAGTCTGCACTAGGACTGCCTGTGTTCCAATCGGAGTCCTTAGTGAAGTCACACAAATCATTCATGTTGCTAAATATGAAACACAGTTTAGCTGGTAATCAAGGAAAATTCTTTTTCCCCCTCCTCTGCCCAGAATTGGTCAGTAACAGTCATTTGGAGAATTCCTGACTCCTGCTAATTACCATGCCTTTAACAATTTTCAATTTAAAGTCAAAGATGCCCACACTTCTGTGAAATGACACAGAAGGTCAATTGTACATCTGTAGAAAAGCATTCAGTTTCTGGCCAGCCCACAACTCTCTTCTCTCTGAGCTGCCACTGACCCACTGAGCCCTCTACAAGCCAGACCCCTAGCCACAGCTGATAGAACTAAGAACTGAACACCTAAGAGCTGATAGGTCTAAGGTAGCCAATTGGCTCATCTCTGCTGGGAATTAAAAACTCAGGCTTAGCAATGCCATTTTGCAACTCCTAAGTTTATGGCTTGACCTAATGGGATGTGATCTTGGAAGCAGTATAGAGGTTATAGTCTCCCACATACGGGAAGCAGCAAAGAAAGCCAGTTGTCAGACAGGTGAAAATAAAACAGATGCACAGTTAGAATGCACTTATAATTCTTTGTTTAGTACTTGTCTATTTCCTTGCTATTCAAAATGTCCCAGGAATGGCCAGGCACGGTTCATGCTTGCAATCCCAGCACTTTGGGAGGCCAAGGAAGGCAGCTCATTTGAGCCCGGGAGTTCAAAACCAGCCCAGGCAACATGGTGAAACCCTGTCTCTACAAAAAATACAAAAATTAGCCTGGTGATATGGTTAGGTTTTATGTCCCCAGCCAAATATCATCTTGAATTATAATCCCCACATGTGAAAGGAGAGACCGGGTAGAGGTAATTGGATCATGGGGGCTGCTTCCCCCATGCTGTTCTCTTGTAGTGAGTTCTCATGAGATCTAATGGTCTTGTAAGTGTTTGGTAGTTCCTCCTGTGTTCACTCTCCTTCCTGCCACCTTGGGAAGAAGGTACCTG
This sequence comes from Homo sapiens, assembly GCF_000001405.40. Taxonomy (NCBI): domain Eukaryota; kingdom Metazoa; phylum Chordata; class Mammalia; order Primates; family Hominidae; genus Homo; species Homo sapiens. The sequence continues at coordinate 28,899,095 of NC_000023.11, read as the reverse complement.
CTTCCCCTTTGCCTTCCACCATAATTGTAACTTTCCTGAGGCCTCCCCAGACAGGCTGAACTGTGAGTCATTAAACCTCTTTCCTTTATAAATTACCCAGTCTCAGCCAGTTCTTTATAGCAGTGTGAAAATGGACTAATACACCAGGCATGGTGGAGCATGCCTATAGTCCCAGCTACTCTGGAGGCTGAAGTGGTAGGATCTCTTGAGCCCAGGAGGTCAAGTCTGTAGTGAGCCATGATCACAACACTGCACTCTAGCCTGGGCGACAGTCTCAAAAATAAACAAAAAAAAAGTCCCAGTACCAGAATCAGCAGCATCACCTAGGAAGTTTGTAAGAAAGTAGACTCTCAGGTCCCACTACCATAACAAAATCTGCATTTTAACAAGAACCTCAGGTGATTCTTACTAACATTTAAGTTTGAGGAGCACCAGTCCTTTCTATTAGATTATAAAAATAGGTATCAAGCTAGAAAAACTGAATATCCACATGTAAAATAATGAAATTCGCCAGGCACATAGGGAGGCAGAGGCGGTAGGACTGCTTGAGCCCAGGAGTTTGAGATCAGCCTGGGCAACATAGCAAAACCTTGCTCTAAAAAAAAGGGGGAAAAAAAGAAGTTTGAAGAATGAAATTGGACTCCATCCTCACACCACACACAAACATTACCTCAAAATAAATCACAGACCTCAATGTAAGAGCTAAATCTATAAAACTCTTTGAAGAAAATACAGGAGAAATTTTTGTGATCTTAAGTTAGGCAGACTTACTAGTTATTCACTTAAAACAAAAAAGACAAAAAATAGATATATTAGAGGTTATCAAAATTTAAAAATCTTGTGTTTCAAAGGACACTGTCCAGATAGTAAAAAGGGAACCCAAGGAATGAGAAAAAATACTTTCAAATCATATGTATAAGGGATTTGTGTCAGGCCTCTGAGCCCAAGCTAAGCCATCATATCCCCTGTGACCTACACATATACATCCAGATGGCCTGAAGTAACTGAAGAATCACAAAAGAAGTGAAATGTAAATGGCCTGTTCCTGCCTTAACTAATGACATTCCACCACAAAAGAAGTGAAAATGGCCGGTCCTTGCCTTAACTGATGACATTACCTTGTGAAATTCCCTCTCCTGGCTCATCCTGGCTCAAAAAGCTCCCCCACTGAGCACCTTCTGACCCCCACTCCTGCCCGCCAGAGAACAACTCCCCTTTGACTGTAATTTTCCTTTACCTACCCAAATCTTATAAAACAGCCCCACCCCAACTCCCTTCCCTGACTTTCTTTTCAGACTCGGCCCACCTGCACCCAGGTGATTAAAAAGCTTTATTGCTCACACAAAACCTGTTTGGTGGTCTCTTCACACAGACGCGAGTGAAATTTGGTGCCGTGACTCAGATCGGGGAGGGGGGAACTCCCTTGGGAGATCAATCCCCTGTCCTCCTACTTTTTGCTCCATGAGAAAGATCCACCTACGACCTCTGGTCCTCAGACCCACCAGCCCAAGGAACATCTCACCAATTTTAAGTCCGGTAAGTGGCCTCTTTTTATTCTCTTCTCCAACCTCTCTCACTATCCCTCAACCTCTTTCTCCTTTCAATCTTGGCGCCACACTTCAATCTCTCCCTTCTCTTAATTTCAGTTCCTTTCCTTTTCTGGTAGAGACAGGAGACGCGTTTTATCCGTGGACCCAAAACTCCCGTGCTGGTCACGGGCTCGGGAAGACAGTCTTCCCTTGGTGTTTAATCACGCAGGGACGCCTGCCTGATTATTCACCCACGTTTCAGAGGTCTCTGGCCACGCAGGGACGCCTGCCTTGGTCCTTCACCCTTAGCGGCAAGTACAGCTTTTCTAGGGGGCAAGAACCCCCCCGACCCCTTCTCTCCGTGTCTCTACCCCTTCTCTGCTTTTCTGGAGGGCAAGAACCCCCCCAACCCCTTCTCTCCGTGTCTCTACTCTCTTTTTTCTGGGCTTGCCTCCTTCACTATGGGCAACCTTCCACCCTCCATTCCTCCCTCTTCTCCCTTAGCCTGTGTTCTCAAGAACTTAAAACCTCTTCAACTCACACCTGACTTAAAACCTAAACGCCTTATTTTCTTCTACAATGCCGCTTGACCCCAATACAAACTCGACAGTGGTTCCAAATAGCCAGAAAATGGCACTTTTGATTTTTCCATCCTACAAGATCTAGATAATTCTTGTCGTAAAATGGGCAAACGGTCTGAGGTGCCTGACGTCCAGGCATTCTTTCACACATTGTTCCCTCCCTACTCTTTGTTCCCAATGCAACTCGTCCCAAATCTTCCTTCTTTCCCTCCCGCTTGTTCTCTCAGTCTCAACCCCAAGCATTGCTGAGTCTTTCTAATCTTCCTTTTCTACAGACCCATCTGACCTCTCCCCTCCTCCCCAGGCTGCTCCTCGCCAGGCCGAGCCAGGTCCCAATTCTTCCTCAGCCTCTACTCCCCAACCCTATAATCCTTTTATCACCTCCCCTCCTGACACCCGGTCCAGCTTACAGTTTTGTTCCGAGACTAGCCCTCCACCACCTGCCCAGCAATTTCCTCTTAAAAAGGTGGCTGAAGCTAAAGGCATAGTCAAGGCTAATGCTCCTTTTTCTTTATCCGACCTCTCCCAAATCAGTTAGCGTTTAGGTTCTTTCATCAAATATGAAAAACCCAGCCTAGTTCATGGCTCATTCGGCAGCAACCCTGAGACACTTTAGAGCCCTAGACCCTAAAGGGTCAAAAGGCCGTCTTATTCTCAATATACATTTTATTACCCAATCCGCTCCTGACATTAAATAAAACTCCAAAAATTAAATTCCAGCCCTCAAACCCCACAACAGGACTTAATTAACCTCACCTTCAAGGTGTACAATAATAGAGTAGAGGCAGCCAAGTAGCAATGTATTTCTGAGTTGCAATTCCTTGCCTCCACTGTGAGACAAACCCCAGCCACATCTCCAGCACAGAAGAACTCCAAATGCCCGAACCGCAGCTGCCAGGGGTTCCTCCAGAACCTCCTCCCCCAGGAGCTTGCTACAAGTGCCGGAAATCTGGCCACCAGGCCAAGTAATGCCCACAGCCCGGGATTCCTCCTAAGCCGCGTGCCATCTGTGTGGGACCCCACTGAAAATCAGACTGTTCAACTCACCTGGGAGCCACTCCCAGAGCCCGTGGAACTCTGGCCCGAGGCTCTCTGACTGACTCCTTCCCAGATCTTCTCGGCTTAGCAGCTGAAGACTGACATTGCCTGATTGCCTCGGAAGCCTACAGGACCATCACAGACGCTCTGGGTAACTCCCACAGTGGAGGGTAAGTCCGTCCCCTTCTTAATCAATACAGAGGCTACCCACTCCACATTACCTTCTTTTCAAGGGCCTGTTTCCCTTAACTCCATAACTGTGGTAGGTATTGACAGCCAGGCTTCTAAACCTCTTAAAACTCCCCAACTCTGGTGCCAACTTAGAAAACATTCTTTTAAACACTCTTTTTTAGTTATCCCCACCTGCCCAGTTCCCTTATTATCTGCTTCCCTGACTGTTCCTGGACTACAGCCACGCCTCATTGCTGCCCTTTTCCCCAGTTCAAAGCCTCCTTTGCATCCCCCTCTCGTATCCCCCCACCTTAACCCACAAGTATAAGATGCCTCTACTCCCTCCTTGGAGACCGATCATGCACCCCTTACCATCTCATTAAAACCTAATCACCCTTACCCCCCTCAATGCCAATATCCCATCCCACAGCACGCTTTGAAAAGATTAAAGCCTGTTATCACTCACCTGCTACAGCATGGCCTTTTAAAGCCTATAACTCCCCTTACAATTCCCCCATTTTACCTGTCCTAAAACCAGACAAGCCTTACAGGTTAGTTCAAGATCTGCGCCTTATCAACCAAATTGTTTTGCCTACCCACCCCGTGGTGCCGAACCCATATACTCTCCTATCCTCAATACCTCCCTCCACAACCCATTATTCTGTTCTAGATCTCAAACGTGCTTTCTTTACTATTCCTTTGCACCCTTCATCCCAGCCTCTCTTCACTTGCACTTGGACTGACCCTGACACCCATCAGGCTCAGCAAATCACCTGGGCTGTACTGCCGCAAAGCTTCACAGACAGCCCCCATTACTTCAGTCAAGCCCAAATTTCATCCTCATCTGTTACCTATCTCGGCATAATTCTCATAAAAACACATGTGCTCTCCCTGCTGATCGTGTCCGGCTAATCTCCCAAACCCCAATCCCTTCTACAAAACAACTCCTTTCTTTCCTAGGCATGGTTAGTGCGGTCAGAATTCTTACACAAGAGCCAGGACCGCACCCTGTAGCCTTTCTGTCCAAACAACTTGACCTTACTGTTTTAGCCTAGCCCTCATGTCTGCGTGCAGCGGCTGCCACTGCTTTAATACTTTTAGAGGCCCTAAAAATCACAAACTATGCTCAACTCACTCTCTACAGTTCTCATAACTCCTAAAATCTATCTTCTTCCTCCCACCTGACGCATATACTTTCTGCTCCCCGGCTCCTTCAGCTATATTCACTCTTTGTTGAGTCTCCCACAATTACCATTGTTCCTGGCCCAGACTTCAATCTGGCCTCCCACATTATTCGGGATACCACACCTGACCCCCATGACTGTATCTCTCTGATACACCTGACATTCACCCCATTTCCCCATATTTCCTTCTTTCCTGTTCCTCACCCTGAACACACTTGGTTTATTGATGGCAGTTCCACCAGGCCTAATCGCCACTCACCAGCAAAGGCAGGCTGTGCCACAGTACCTTCCACATCTATCATTGAGGCTACAGCTCTGCCCTCCTCCACTACCTCTCAACAAGCTGAACTCATTGCCTTAAGTCAAGCCCGCACTCTTGCAAAGGTACTACACATCAATATTTATACTGACTCTAAATATGCCTTCCATATCCTGCACCACCATGCAAGAGGTTTCCTCACTACACAAGGGTCCTCTATCATTAATACCTCTTTAATAAAAAAACGCTTCTCAAAGCCGCTTTACTTCCAAAGGAAGCCGGAGTCATTCACTGCAAGGGGCAACAAAAGGCGTCAGATCCCATTGCTCTAGGCAACGCTTATGCTGATAAGGTGGCTAGACAAGCAGCTAGCCTTCCAACTTCTGTCCCTCATGGCCAGTTTTTCTCCTTCACATCGGTCACTCCCACCTACTCCCCCGCTGAAACTTCCACCTATCAATCTCTTCCCACACAAGGCAAATGGTTCTTAGACCAAGGAAAATATCTCCTTCCAGCCTCATAGGCCCATTCTGTTCTGTCATCATTTCATAACCTCTTCTGTGTAGGTTACAAGCCGCTAGCCCGTCTCTTAGAACCTCTCATTTCCTTTCCATCATGGAAATCTATCCTCAAGGAAGTAACTTCTCAGTGTTCCATCTGCTATTCTACTACTTCTCAGGGATTATTCAGGCCTCCTCCCTTCCCTACACATCAAGCTCAGGGATTTGCCCCCGCCCAGGACTGGCAAATTGGCTTTACTCAACATGCCCCGAGTCAGGAAACTAAAATACCTCTTGGTCTAGGTAGACACTTTCACTGGATAGTTAGAGGCCTTTCCCACAGGGTCTAAGAAGGCCACCACGGTCATTTCTTCCTTTCTGGCAGACATAATTCGTGGGTTTGGCCTTCCCACCTCTATACAGTCCTATAATGGACCGGCCTTTATTAGTCAAATCACCCAAGCAGTTTCTCAGGCTCTTAGTATTCAGTGAACTAATGGTCTTTTAAAAACACAACTCACCAAGCTCAGCCACCAACTTAAAAAGGACTGGACAATACTTTTACCACTTGCCCTTCTCAGAATTCAGGCCTGTCCTCAGAATGCTACAAGGTACAGCCCATTTAAGCTCCTGTATAGACGCTCCTTTTTATTCGGCCCCAGTCTCATTCCAGACACCAGACCAACTTAGACTGCACCCCAAAAAACTTGTCATCCCTGCTATCTTCTGTCTAGTCATACTCCTATTCACCAGTCTCAACTACTCATAAATGCCCTGCTCTTGTTTACACTGCTTCTCCAAGACATCACAGCTGATACTTCCTGGTGCTATCCCCAAACCGCCACTCTTAACTCTTAAAGTAAATAATCTTTGCTGGCAAGGCTATGCTGAACCTCCTTAGGCATTCTCTAATTAAACGTCCTAGGTCCTCCCAATTCTTAGGCCTTTAATACCTGTTTTTCTCCTTCTCTTATTCCATTTAGTTTTTCAATTCATACAAAACCGTATCCAGGCCGTCACCAATAATTCTACACAACAAATGTTTCTTCTAACAACCCCACAATATCACCCCTTACCACAAAATCTTCCTTCAGCTTAATCCCTCCCACTCTAGGTTCCCACGCCGCCCCTAATCCACCTCGAAGCAGCCCTGAGAAACATCACCCATTATCTCTCCACACCACCACGAAAATTTTCGCCGCCCCAACACTTCAACACTGTTTTGTTTTATTTTTCTTATTAATATAAGAAGACAGGAATGTCAGGCCTCTGAGCCCAAGCTAAGCCATCATATCCCCTGTGACCTACACATATACATCCGGATGGCCTGAAGTAACTGAAGAATCACAAAAGAAGTAAAATTTAAATGGCCTGTTCCTGCCTTACCTGAGGACATTCCACCACAAAAGAAGTGAAAATGGCCGGTCCTTGCCTTAACTGATGACATTACCTTGTGAAATTCCCTCTCCTGGCTCATCCTGGCTCAAAAAGCTCCCCCACTGAGCACCTTCTGACCCCCACTCCTGCCCGCCAGAGAACAACCCCCCTTTGACTGTAATTTTCCTTTACCTACCCAAATCTTATAAAACAGCCCCACCCCAACTCCCTTCGCTGACTCTCTTTTAGGACTCGGCCTGCCTGCACCCAGGTGATTAAAAAGCTTTATTGCTCACACAAAGCCTGTTTGGTGGTCTCTTCACTCGGACGCGAGTGAAAACTTGCATCTAGAATATATAAAGAACTCTTATAATTCAATAATAGCACAGAAAACCCAATTTAAAAATTACCAAACGCTATAAAGATTTATATCTCCACAGAAGATATATGAATATCCAATAGGTATATGAAAATATGTTCTGTATCATTAGTCATTAGAGAGATAATAAATTAAAACTATAATGATATTTTATTTCATACTTACTAGGATGGCCATAATGAAAAAGACCAATAACAAGTATTGGTAAGGATGTGGAGGAACTGGCACCCTCAGATACTATTAGCTGGAGTGAAAAATGATGCAGCTGTTTTGGTAAATCTGGTTCCTCAATACTTTAAACACAAACCACCAATATCTCCACACAAAAACTTGCAAGTGAACGTTCATAGCAGTATTATTCATAATAACCAAGAGGTGGAAACAACCTAAATGTCTACCAGCTGATGAAAGGATAAATAAAATGTGCTGCATCCATACAACGGTATATTATTCTGCAAAAAAAGGAAGAAGTACTTTGGATTATAGTGTGCTAAGTGAAGTAGGCCAGTCATGAAATACCACATATTACATGATTCATTTCATATGAAATATCCAAAACAGGCAGATCCATAGCAACAGAAAGAAGACTAGTGGTTGCTAGTAGCAGGGGAAAGGGGGATAGGGATTGACTGTTAATGGAGTAAAGAAAATGTTCTAAAAGTGTTTGTAGTGATGCTTATGCAACTCTATGGTTATTATTAGAAATCATCAAATTATACAATTTAAATGGGTCAGTAGCATGGTTTGTGAATTATATATTATTTTTAAGTCAAGTCTGTATTATACATAGTTCCAGTGACTGGATTAGACACACGGTCCTTAATAAACACCTGTTGAGTAAATAGACACATGACCAATTGACTGACTGAATTAATTAATTAAATCAAGAGACCAAGTAAACTCAGAGACTACATTGAGAGTTCTGCCTGAGTTCCTGATAGCATGCCTATTCTACTTTCTCTCCTTTATGAATCCTGTCTGCATTTGCAAACTTTGTATTCTATAAAACAACCTTATAACTATCATAGTGATAAATTTTCATTAAGCATTTTTGAATTGGTTATACATACATGCCACCAAAAACTACTTAATCCAGACAAATACCACACCCTTAATGAATACTATTTGCAGAGCAGTGATTCTGTATTTCACGAAGGAGTATTATCTGTCACAAACACCTTCATCTGTCTTCATACATTATTAACTACAAAGTGAAATATTGTCATTCATTCATGAAAGAGCTACCAGTGGTTTCTATGAGGGCACAATAATTATTTGTTGCTTAATTGTCAGACAAGAGTTCTTGGGCTTATACTGATAGGAACAATTTTCACCTCAACTAATATCTCCTATGAGGGACTTTATTATAAAATAACTAAAATGGTTCTGTAGAAAGTACCCAATGGTTTATTAATTATTCAACCATGATCCAATAACATTTTTGACAACAGTTAAATGTAGTGTCAAATAAATGTGTTGTTCAAAGTTATTAAGCTAATTGAAAAAACTTATTTGTATAGTGAGAAAAAAACAAAAGTTTTTCCAATAGAAAAATAAGCAAATAATAATAGAAACTATTGTCTATAATTTTCCTTGGTGCTTTGAATATTTGAGAAATTTAAATACAATGAATCACTTTCCAAAAATAAATGTAAGATATTAAGTAAAATAAATTGTTCTATATTAAAAACTCCTCATGTCTCTCTTGAAACTCAAACACACTTTAATACTGACCAAAAAAAATCCAATTACAAATATTTTATCAGGGAACTAGGGGTAATTCACAGCTCTGAAGTCAAAACACACTATTTATTAATGCCAATATATATCCTAAAAATGCCTGAGCTTTTCAAGTCAGATTCATTTCAACACTGTGGACAATGTTGTCCAAAGAAATTAAATATGCTAAGTGGCAGAGACATTGAAGCTAAGGTGTTTGTTCCAAACTGAGGGAAGATTTCATGGCCTTTAAAGACATTCTTTTATCTATGTTCCCTCCTCACTTACTATTAAAGCTCAACCACTGAACAAAGCAAACAAAAAAGGCACGTTCTGTTAAAGCAACTATCAGAGTTTACAGAGATTAGGAGAATAAAACACTGTCTACATTTAAATTCAAGTGCTATGGCATTGGAACTGGATACCTAATATCATCTGTCCTATTTAAGAAAATATAGAGGATTTATAACGGTGGGAAAGTAGCATAATAGATGCCGACAAAAGGCTTCTTTCAGTGAGAAAGTGTCTAGCCTAAGAAAAAAAAAGGAGTCAGACGTCACCAGATATTGTAAATTCGCTGTAAGAAAGCTTCCTTACAATGCCTCCTTTAGAAAGGTGAACAAAGAGGGTGAATCTATTACGGAAGGTAGGAGAAACTGAAGCCAAATACGAAAGCCCTAAAGAAGTTATTGCAATTTTTCTGGAGATGGTTTCTCCTTTAGGCGACCTGCTTAATAAGTTGAAAGATGTTGGAGAGAAGAGATGAGTGAAAAAATATGTCTTCAGAAAAAGAAAAATGATAAGTGCTTCATTCCAAATAGTACCAACTTCCTAATTTCTAGCCCAGCCATTCGAATTCACGTGGAACTATTTCACTTGCAAGTATAACAATTTCTTCATGTAGATAATGACACTGTGCTAAAAATCCTAAAATATTTTAGTGTTAATAGCTTTTATCATTATTATAAATTCTCTTCTCCCTCTCACCAAATCATACATTTATCTCAGGCTTATAGATATGGAATCTTCAATATATATTCTCATTTGAATATAGGTTTGCCTTACGATCTAAGAAATGTTAGGGATTGTAATAATATGCTCTTTATGCAAATGCAAAGTCAAATATATAGTCTAATATGTATAGGCAAGAAAAAATAATTAAATCCTAATATTATATTCTTAGTAGTGGAGTATTAATAATATCTTAAAATAGTATAGTATTTTATATCATCTTACTAAATCCAGGAACCCCAAAATAGGACAATTCAGACAAAAGCTTTTTCTATGAAGTGAAAAATACTAAAGCTAACAGAAATAACTTACTTTTTTAAACCTGAGTCTTAATGTAATAAAGTATTAAAAATGCACTCTGCCTGCAGAGTTTTTGCTACTTACACAATAGGTTGCATTTGTCAAATGGTACATAAAATGGAGATTCTTTGGGAAACAGGTAATAAAAGGGCTGTATTTGGTAATTATTGTTAGTTCTGGTTTCCTTTCAATGATATCATAATGACCACCACTTAAAATTCACGTCTTAAAAAAAAGGAAAACCAAGTTCTAGTGAGATTGTTATACAACAGAAATATTTAATGTTATATTAGCATGAAAATGTCAGGAAGCATTTTATGCAAAACTGAGAAAATATCCTGTAGACATGACTAATACTGTTTTAAAAGGACTTTTTTTTTTAAGATAATGGATAGCACTACATAGCTGTCCATGACTCAAATCTGTGATATCTCCAAAACCCCTGCCTCCACAACTCCAGTATTATTTCTCCCATTTATGATGAAACATGGTGGAAATGGTAAATGTTCTTGCTGTGTTACACTCACTTTGGCAATTTAATGTTCATTGGCTTTCATGTTTTTTGCCCTCTATATCAAAACGAGACCAGACATGGCATACCAATCAGAGGTAATTAGTAACAAATACTCCTCAAGCATTTAGTTTTTCTACCTGCTAAGGCTAAAGTGGGGTGAGGGCCACATGGCCAGAAATTTTTTCTGTGTTGAGGTGCCGACTGCCTAATTAATGAGCTCTTTTGAGATATCATTAACATTTGCTTGCTTTTATGTTTTTGTTTTTTTTTTTTTACCAGTACGTGGCCTATTAAGACGATACAACTCATTAGACAGGGTCCTTAGGCACATAAAACCAAGTCACTTCATCATGATTGAATCCAGAACCTTACTAGCAATTCCCAGCCTAATTTGCAAGTTTTCTGCCTCAAATCACTAATCAGTACTGATACTCTTAGGTTTCCTACCTAATATATTACCTCTAAATTAGGTAGAATTGGGATAAATAGCACCTGACTATTGAATCAGTGCATTATTTACTTATTTTTTAATTATTGATGCAAAGGCAATAGAAAAGCTGATTTATGGTCATATTAAATATGAATATTTATTTTTTCATTGCTAGTTGATTCAAAATAAACTTTAGTTTAATAAATCTGAAATTAATCATAATAATCAGAATATTGTCCAACTTAGGGGTTTTTTTTAACCACATTCTTTTCTGAGTAGGCCACCATTTGATAATGTAGACCAAACAGTGAAATATTATGTCACTGATAAAGAATGAACCAGAGCTACACATATCAAATGAATTTCACAAGTACAATGAGCAAAACAAAAGTGTGTTTCAGAACACATATTTTATCACACTATTTATGCAGAGTTAAAAACTGTAAAACAATACTATATATTGCTTGGGGATAGACAGCTATATTTAAAAAAAGAAATAACAAATGCATAGGATGATTGTCACTATATTCAGAATGGTAAGTATATCTGGAAGACAGGAGAGATGATCAGGGAAGGAAGGGAACAGACAAAGAGGAGGGGATTTCGCTGCTTTGGCAATGTTTTATTACTTAAGCTAGATGGTGAGCACGCATGTGCTTAGGTATTCCTTAAATATTGCATGATAAATAACTTATGTATTTATATATTTTTAACTTATAAAGAACAAAAACTTATTTCTTACAGTTCTGGAGGCTAGGAAGTCCAACATCAAGGCGCTGGCATTTTGATGTCAGGTGAGGGCCTTCTTACTCTGTCTTCTGGAGGGAAGGAAGGCTGAGTTCTCACATGGCGGAAGGAGGAAGAGCAAGATCGCTGAACACTGAGTGTAACCTCTTTAATAAGGGCCTTAATCTCATTCACACAGGAGGAGCCTTCATGGCCTAATCATTGTTTAAAGGCTCCACCTCTCAATACAACCACATTGGTAACACCTGAATGTGTGGAGGAGGCATTCGAGCCATAGTAAAACCTTGGAGATATATGGGATTTCTGACACTAGTAGGTAACTCTTTATCAGAGATGTGAATGTTAAATCAATGTACTAGGTACAAGTTAAATACTGTACCTAAAGTAAATAACTTATTTTACTCTGTAATTTCCTAAAAGATAGTTTGGCATCATTTCCTTGTCCCATGAGCTTTGTTATTCAAATAACAGTTTTGATTTTTTCATGCACGTACTTAGAGTATTATGAATATGAGGTTATCTTATGCCATTTATGTGGAGACTGAAGTATTAAAACAAACATAACTACATCATAATAGCTTGGTATAGACTCTCTGTGGTCAAATGCATAATAATTTAAAACTTAATTCAGTGTTTTGAGGCAGTATCCTTGAAATTAAACATGCTAATTATTATAAATCAATTCATGTTATTCTTCATTGGTAAACGTTTTTCCATTAATGAAAAACATAAACATTCGTAAACTAAGTTAAATCACACAAATTTAAAGCTAGGATTCATTATTTTTCTAACCACGTATACTTAAGGACATTTTCCAAGAGAAGCTTTTTTTTTTAAAACAACAATGCTCCAATTATTTTATTCTTTATCTTACTTGCACTTCAGAGAGATTTTCTCCATGATTTGCAACTTTGGTTGTTCTCTACAGACCAATCCTCCATCAATTACACAAAGAACACAGGGTTTAGAAATATATACATATATGTATATAGTACATATATATCTTCATGTGAAAAGATTTTCTACTTTAAAAATCTTACAAGGAATGTTACTTTACAGAGTGATACATTATTAGACTAAAGTTTTGAAAAATCAGATCCAAAGGAAAAAAAAACAATGTAAAAAGGAGATAATATAATAAAATTATATATATTCTAGTTCTTGAAGAATTTAGACAAAGTTGGATCATTATTTAAGTGGTATATCACTTAATCCAGCATCCAAAACTTTTAATGGTTTCATTTTGGTATTGTAAGTATCATTTCCTGTATTTTAGGCAGAAACTATAGGCTAGAAACAAAAAATCTGTGGTTTATACAGTATAAAGGAATTGAAAAAGTTATAAAGTGGCAAATTAAATTTTGTATGGAGCCTATGTTGTTAGTTATTTTTGTTACTATTTAACTGAAAAAATTCAATAGCAATTTTTTAAAAGTAAAAAGGAAATCACTAAAAAGTTAGATTTCCTTTCTTACTGGTTTGTATCTATTATATCTACATCTGTAGATATATCCATATATAATTTCCCGAAAGACATGTAGTTCAAATGCTATCTTCATAATGTTGAAGCAGGATCCACCAAACCAGCATTTAACCTTTTTACATGAAATGGGAAAAAATCTTACAGGGAATACCTGCTTTATGCTAGGTATGCCAAAAACAATTGCCCTCAGGGGTAACCTAAAGACAACATGTGTATTAAAATCCATGAATTAGGTAAATCCAACAGATTATGCAGACCATAAATACTACGGTGTTCAAGTTTCTTATTTTATTAAACATATGTTAAAATTAAAAACAAATACGTTAAGTTTTTAACCTTTTAAATTTAGAATATTGACTATCTTCTATGTTCAACTTGAGAGTAGGAATTTCAAATTTTTATATTAAAATGGCTGCAGGAGTCAGGCAAATAACACTAATGAGTCAAATAGGCAACACTAATATGACGTGATGGAGAGTAGGGTAAAGTGGAAACCATTTCTCATTTTCATTGGGGTTATAAGAAAAACACTGCGAAAGTCCTTGAAATAGGCAAAAAGTTAATTGGATGTGCTCTCTAGAGCACCCTTCTGAGTCATATCCGCCTTTCATCGTCTTTGAGTTATTTTACATCTCTGTAAATTGTAGAAAACTGATTATAATAATTATAATGATTATTGTCCATAGATATGTAAATGAATTGTGCCTCCTGTAGATGCAACTGATTACTGTCTTGTGGATACGAAGCATTTTTTTTGCATCTATTTGTACATTCATTTCACAGTTCCTAATTGGCTGTATCTGTGTGTTTTGTATTTTTTAAAATTCTCTTTTTACCAGTTGTAACATCTTATTGGTTTCCTCATTAACTGTTGAGCTAAATAAAATTTTTAACCATTTTATTTTACATTTATGACAGTCATAATTCCACCTTTTTAAAAATGAATTTTAATGGAATCTATATACCAATTGACAGATAAATCACATTAGGCAAGCATGACACAAAAACTTTGCAGAATTTTATTAAAATTTTACAGATGTGAGATACTTATACTTTGCCAAATAATCTATAAATATTTTATTTTTTGTCCTTTCTCTGCCTTTAAGTTCAAGTCTGAATGATAAAATAATAAGGTATGTTATCTGATCAGTCATACAAACCTAGATGAAACAATGCATGTTAGTTTAGTAATCAATCTCAGAATTCAAAAGCTTGTTTATAAAAGGAGATTTGCCAAAATAATTTCAAATATATTTTCGAATATAGATACTCTGGGATTCTGTGATATTATTCCTGGCACTGTTTGTGAAAGAGAGGAAGATGACAGACAGTCTATGTCCTTCCTTCTCTAGAATGAGATTCTGTCAAGGCTAATAATCCTCATTATCACAATAAGCAATAAACTTAGCTTCACTTCAACAGCAGGCTATTTTGGTATAATTTCCCAGAAGCCATAATTCAACACCTTCCCAAGTATAAAGTTTCCAAAGTTCTATACCTTAGTATTCATCAAATCCCTATTTGTAGGATAATCAAAAATAACTTTATAAAAATTTTAGTTGATCCCAGGCATTTTTATGTATTTCTGTATTTTGTGTATGGTTATTTTCTGAGATGACCAATACATCTACTTCTAGATGACAATTTCTGACTGTCATTTAATTACCTATATGTTCATATTATTTATTTATTTTTTAAATTATACTTTAAGTTTTAGGGTACATGTGCACATTGTGCAGGTTAGTTACATATGTATACATGTGCCATGCTTGTGCGCTGCACCCACTAACTCGTCATCTAGCATTAGGTATATCTCCCAATGCTATATGTTCATATTATTAGTTTAACACCAAAATTCCAAATCTAGTTTCTCCCAAGATTACATGTCTTGCATCATTTAGATCACTAGCACAAAAGTGTAACATGTCTTTATTTTATAAACAAACAAACAAAAAAACAAAGAACAAAAGAAACACTTCTAAGATATGTAAAAATTCTAAGAATTATCATTTGAAAAGCATTTGGTTTCCAAGGAATGCTATCAGTTTAAACTGAATTAAATACACATATTAGTTACAAATAATGAAAGATGTCTGTTACATTTTATTTTATATGATTAAAAGTGTTGGTATAAGATTTTAAAATAAATTTTTATATGCTAAAATACACAAAGTCATTATTTTTAAAGGATCTTTTCTAAAAACCTTCATTTTTATTTACTTAACTCATATATAAGCAGGCAAAAAGAATGTAAGTTGGTTTGAAAGTTTCTACTACAGAAACATAGCAAAAACTCTTCATGGTTAGGCTTGTTACTTCCTTGCCACTGGCAATACTTACAAGTCTCACTCCATAGATCTGTACAATATGTGATCACAAGTGACTATTTAAATTTAAGTTAAATTAAATGAATTATATTTTTCAGTAGCAATGGCCATATTTCAAATGCTTTATAGCTCCACATAGCTAGTCATTACCCTATTGGACAATAGATAAAGTTTCAACATCACAAAAATTTCTATTGGACAGAGCTATATTAGATCACACTATATTATCAATATTCAACTTTAACAAGATTGACAAAAGCCAGTATTTTTATTATAAATATCTATTTATCCAATACTACTTCATTTATACAAAAAAAGAGAGGTTTGCATAGGCTTTTATTAAAAGATATGAATACATGCCGAAGATTTTATTTCTTCTTATTCAGTGAGGAAACTGGCACATGTTGTAACCAGTTCATAGGATTATTTTCTATAGGTATTTTATTTGTGGTTATTATGGGGATTAAATAAAGTTATAGGAGTCTATTTTAAACTGATAACTTCAATCACATAAAAGATCTCTACCCCTTTACATCTCTCCCATACACACACTGTATGCTACTGATGTTGCAAATGACATCTTTTTATATTATGTTTCTATTATTATGGATTTATAGGTTTTTAAAATGGTTTTGTATTTTAAATTATATACCAGAATTAAAAGTGATTTACATATTAACATTACAATACTGCAGGATTCTATATTCGTCTATATATTCACTTTTATCAAAAATTTTAATATTTTTATATGGTTTCATGTTGTTGTCTAGCATCCTTTCATTTCAACTTACAGGATACTCTTTAGCATTTCATGTAGGGCAGGTCTACTGGTGATGAATTCCTGCAGCTTTTATTTACCTGGGAAAATCTTAATTTCTCCTTTTTTTTGCAGTGGCGGGGGCTCAGCTGGAGTTTCACTCTTGTGACCCACGCTGGAGTGCAATGGCATGATTTTGGCTCACCGCAACCTCCACCTTTCAGGTTCAAGCAATTCTCCTGCCTCAGCCTCCTGAGTAGCTGGGATTACAGGTGTGCACCACCACACCCAGCTAATTTTTGTATTTTTAGTAGAGATAGGGTTTCACCATGTTGGCCAGGCTGGTCTCAAACTCCTGACCTCAAGTGATCCGCCCACCTCAGCCTCCCAAAGCTGGGATTACAGGCGTGAGCCACCATGCCCGGCCTCTCTTTCATTTTGGAAGGACAATTTTGCCAGATATAGTATTCTAGTTTGGCTGTTCTTTTTTGTTCAGTATGTTGAATATATCATCCCACTCCCTTCCGGTCTGCAAGGTTTCTGCTAAGAAATTCACTGATAACTTGTCAAAGCTACCTTGTACAGGATAAGTCATTTTTCTCTTGATTTTTTAAAGATATAGTATGACTTATTTCAAGATATATATATATATTTTTTTAATTTTTAAGATTCTCTCTTTGTACCTGACTTTCTAAAATGTAATTATAGTGTGTCTCTGTGTGGATCTTTTGGGGTTTCTCCTACATAGAGTTCATTGAATTTCTTGAATTTATATTTGTATTTCTTTCCTCCATTTTGGGATGTTTTAGCCATTTTTTCTTAATTGAGCTCTCTGTCCGTCCATCTCTCTCTTCTCCTTTTGGCACATCCATAATACACATATTGGCCCACCTGATGTCCCATAAGTCCCGTAGTCTCTCTTCATATATGTTCATTCTTTTTACTTTTTGCCCCTCTGACCTGATAATTTTAAATAACATGTCTTGAAGTTCATTGATTCTTTCTTCCACTTAGTCAATCAAGTCTGCTGGTAAACCCTTCCGGTGATTTTTTTCAATTCAGCTATTATATTCTTCAAGTCCAAAATTTTTGTTCTTTTTTTATAGTTTGTATGTCTTCAGTGATATTTTCATTTTGTTCATTTTCCTGATTTTGCTTAATTATCTGTTTTCTCTCTTAGCTCATCGAGCATCTTTAAAATGGTTATCTTTAATTCTAAAATTTCAACACGAACACAGAAATAAAAACTCATTAGTCTAGATATCTACTTTCTGGTGGGCATGAAATTCTTCACTGACTTGAGCTCAAACTAGACAAATAAGACAAATAGAAAACCCTACCAAACAAGATTCTCTGTCGTCTTACACCCGACAGAGAAAATAACTCTTTAAACCATTACTGCATTTACAGAACTCATCAAATGATAAGACGTTGAGGCCAAATTTCCAACTACTCTTGCCAGTGATGTGCAATAACTTCACCAAATGGTCAGACCATAAAACCAAATTCCCAACATTTCCTGCCAGCAATCAGAAATAACTTACTGGCTGAAAACAAACCAAAAGCAAAACACAAAATTAGTAGAGTGGAAAATAAAAATAAGAAAGACAGTCAACAAAATTATTTAGTCAGAAATCCTAGGTAGAAGCCTAGGTTTAAACTGCTCAATAGGTGCCCTTCTCTGATGAGAAAGTATATCTGGCTCTAGTAAGCAAATCATTGGGCATCTTGGTGGGAATACCTCCACAAATATTAAAAGATAATTTTCAGAAAAGGTAAAATAATGACTAATACAGATATAAAAATGAAAATGAGCATGTATTAAAAATATTATTTTTATTCATTCAATAAGAAAACCAGATAGATGTTATAACCAGTTCAAAGGAAAATTAAAAAGCACACATTTCTGGGAGTAAGGGAACTGAATTGCAAATGGAGGCAAAGCTAGCTTACCCATGATTGGGAGAGAAGTCATTGGAAATTTTGTGAAATAAGACAAAATTTATAGTTATAAAATAGCTGAAAGGCAATGATAGACTAGAATCTAATAATCCACAAGCCTGTGCTATATGTGACAATGCATGCTCTTCCACTGAAACACATATTTTCCCCTATATTAGTAAACAAAATAGCAAAAATTTATGAAATTATGAGTCATGAGGGAAACAGTATTAAAAGTTACCAAACAATGATTGAGACTAATTCTGCCCCTTGGAGCTGGTATTCAATTTAGAAATTATTTGATATTTTCCATTTCTTTGGTTTTAAATTTTCAAAGCACTGATGCAAATTAAGTACTCCTCTTTTGCTAGGTAGTTATTTCTGAGTTCAGAAAATTCTTAACAATTAGAGCTATTCAAAAGTGGCATGTCTGCCCCTGTAGTGAGATTCCCAACACTAAGGATATTCAAACAGAGCTTAGCTGACTAGTTACTAAGAATTTCTTACAAGGGAATTCCTGCACTGTGTGGGAGGTTGGATTCCATGACCTTTAAGTCCTCTTGCAATTCTAAACTCTATGGTTCAACTCTAGATGTCCTAATTTCACAGATTACTCTCCTTTAAAACAATTTAGCTTAAAGTCCTAGTCACATTTTAATTTCCATTGCTTTTTAAATTCAAACAGTTTAAAACCATACATTGACAAAAATACAATCTGTAGGTTCTGGATATAATATGCTCATTCATATATGAATTGAATAATTTTAATTTTCACTGTACATGTCTGTTAGCAGACTGCAGAGAGAACTTCTCAGCAGGATCTCGCAGCAAGGTCCAAAGAAAAAGAACAGAGCCTGCCATAATGTTTAAAAGCAAGAGAATCAGAGAAGTTCACTTGGGAGGTGAATTCCTCCACAGTTATGCTTTTGTAAAGATTTCAGCCTTAGGGTCCTGTTCATTCCTGTCTCTCATTCAATCTCTATATTTCAGAACACAAAATACATATCTGTTTGAAACTGTATAGAGCATTTTTCTCTGCCTCAATGTTAAATCCAAGAGTAATATTAAAAGTTGAGTGCATTTTTCTTGAAATATGTATTCCACAACCTACTAATACTTCTCACTAAAATGACTGAAACTTGGGAATAATAGGAAAGCATTTTCACATTTTGAAAGATGACTTTTTTCTCTGAAAGACTGTACTATATTTGACATATATCATGCATTCACAGAATTACTAAATCTAGTTAAGCTAACTTAGCAATCATCTATTCCACATTAATAAAACTACCAATATTTTTAGTTTTTATGTATGATTTTTCAATTTCTTAAAAATACTCCTGACCAAATGTAAATTAATCTTTATTTACCTTCCTTTCTTATTTATACCTCTCTTTTGACAATGTGGTTTATTATTATAATTATTTATATATTAGGTATTGTCATAGCTTTCCCACTGGACTTTAAATCCTTGAATAAAACATGACTCATTTTGCATTCCTCTTCCTTTACAAAGACCAGTATCCTAAGCATAACTCAGTAGCTTTGAAGAATATTTTATATTTCTCTTAATTTTTAATTCAATAGATTCTAACTGTTAAGCAATATGGGGTCTCATTGTATAACTCAAGGCACTAATCATTTCTGATTTTTAGATTTCATGGTTAATTGTCAAACTGTCTGAATGGAACTCATCTATGAAAATGCAAGAGAAAAATAAAAGAACCATAAAAATTCATTAGCTTTTAATAATTAAAAATGTTAATGACTTTGTTATAAATTATAAAAACAAACTATTGCACCTTCTACTTCAGTTTGATGTCATAGTATAAATGACTATGAGTTTGATTTTTTTACTATGGACATTCAAGTTTGAATTCTAGATTAACCACTAAATTTCAGTGACATATTTGGCCTTTCCAAGTCTCAATTTCAACACCTAAAACTGGATAATAATTCATACCACATAGGGTTGAGATAAAGTGATCATGTGCAGTGCTCAACTGAGGGCCAGGCAATCACTAAATGATACCTATTATTGGATGAGACTTAGCTAGACCCTATTGCTTTATATGAACCATGAACTTTCCCAGAGCCCTCTGATCCTGAAAAACAATGATGGTTAAAGATGTCTTCCCACCCTTTTACTTCTGGAGGCTTACTGTCTTTCCTGTATGACTTAGATAAGACTCACAGATGCCCCTCTTGTTTACTTAGACAAGGCCAGACACAGACCCTCCAAATTCCCAGTCTTTACCCCATAAATGATTAGATGAACTGTTTATACCTCTGACTAATCTGGATAAAATACCTACCAGTTTGGCTTCACCAAATTTAACTAAAGCTTCTCTCTTTCCTTCAGGTCTCTGAACTGTGACACATGCACACCGCCTGAGTCGGCATACAACCTCTCCTTAAGAGGCCTTCTGGACCATTGACTTACGTTAGGAAAAAGCATTCCCTAATCAACTGTATGATCATGCCGTCATGCCACCCTTTCAATACCATTTCCCTACACCTAGTTCTTCCTAACTTTGCTCACTACCCCCATAAACCAAAATATCAGTGACATATTTGGCTTCTCTGTGTCTCAATTTTGACAGCTAAAAATGGATAGTAATTCATACCACCTAGGGTTGAGATAAAGTAAGCATATGCAGTGCTCAGGTGAGGGCCAGGCAAAGAAAAGATTTTTATCTGACTTTGAAAATACAGATCTCATAGCTAGAGCATTCTTTCTACTGCAATAGTCCCTCTCCCAGCTCTTAAAATAATCCTTTTGAATAGTGCCTCTCCTTACCTATGTCTGGATTGTTTAAGCTTGACAATATCTGCATTATGTGGCTTCATTACTATTTATTTCTATTAAATGCTCATTTACATAAATTAAAGTATATTTTAAAGCAAACAGAGAGATGAATAAGCATAATATTTATTTGACAGTCTTTCATAGAATATGCATTTTATCTACTTTATTGAACTATGGACATCAGAATGATGTTTAGTCTAATTTACTTTCAAAATGACATGCTTGCAACAGAAGCTTTAAACAGGATGAAGTAAAGGTACTTTGAAGACAGAAACAATAAGTTTATTACTACATGGATTCCTGTAATTACTGGCTTCACAATTGGCGTTTACTATCCTCCATCTCTAGGATTCATTTTAACTCTAGTCTCCTGACTCAAAATATATGATTTAAAAAAAACCATTTCCTGTTTTATTACAGTGTTTTAAAGAAAGGTATTAGAGCAGGCAAATCAATTGTTAGTTACATCATTTTGTCCATTATTTTGGTGAATCATATATTAGAATAACTATGATAATGGGATCTGTATCTATTAACTACAACAGAGTGGCATTCTCAAAATGGATGTATTCCCTACTCACTGACTTATAAACAAGAACATGAAACACATAAAGACTGGCAGGATTGCAAAATAATCTATGAATTATTTAACAACTTCAGTGTTTTCACATAAGAAGTGAACCAGAAACATTGTAAGCATGGATTCTGTACTGCTAAATAGATGGCCTTATTCTTAAAGTTGGAAAATTAGGTTTGGATAGTTATTTGATTTAGAAAACAAGTTCAAAAATAATAACTTTCTTTTACATAACATTCCAGGACAGTTCTCACTTCTGGCTGCCCATCGGAATCACCTGGTGAGATTTAAATATAAATATAGATGCTTGGGCCTCACCCTAAACCTCCTAAATTAGAAACATTGAAAGTAGAGGCCAAGAATTTACGTATTTCAAACTTTTGCCAAGTGATTTTGTTACATGGTCAGGATTAAGCAACATGTAAGGCTACAAAGCCTTTTTGGCCTCTGATAATAAAATTGGATTACTACAGTCTTTAGAGCTACCTACATTTCTCTTGCCTTAAATATGAGTTTCTCAGGAAAATAAACATAGTCCATAGCTGGTCTGTACTCCTCATTCCTTCAAGTATCAAAAATGAATCAAAACTGATAAATAAAATCAGTTTTATTCTTGTGAAAGGACAGAGAGAATAATTAACACAAATCTTGTAGAAAATCTTGATTTAATAGTTGGACTGGCTTTTATGTTGTTAGTTTTTTTTTTTTCCAGCAAGAATAAAATGAGGGTGCATTTCATTCAATAAGAATTAAATTAAGCATGGATACACAAATGAACTGCAGCTTGCAGGTTTCTGTTGCTGCCAATTCTAAATTCAGTTCTAACAAGAGAAGCATTATCATGTTTGCAAAGCTACAGCTGCCAGCTTGGGGCCAGTGGAGGGAATCAAGTTAGGGTGAGCTCAGAATCAGCAGCTCTAGGGTTAATCATGCTTTGTTTGCCGAGATGGGATGCCTGGACCTTTGCTCTGATGGCTAATTTGTTCCTCAGATGTGACAGAGATATCTAATGCTCTTCTAAATCTGGTTCTTTTTTCCCTCCCAGCCACATGAAAGAATGGTACTTCTTTGCCACCTTGCCCTTGGCAGGGTCATGAGAATAATTCTGGCCAAAGAGTTGTGGACAGAAATGCTGTACATCACTTCTGGACGACAGCATTTAATTAAATTGCAAGATTTTCTAGCACTCCCCTTCCTCCTGCCACAGTGACCAGGAGCATTCCACTTGGAGTCTTCCTCAGGCCTGAGTCTGGGATAGCATGCAACACAGCCCATGTCCCGTCTTAGTCCATTTTGTGGCCCTATAAAGGAATACCAGAGGCTGGGTTAATTTACAAAGAACACAGATTTATTTGGCTCCTGGCTCTGTAGGCTGTACAAGAAGCATGAAGCCAGCATCTTCTTCTGACCAGGGCTTCAGGGAGCTTCCATTCATGGTAGATGGCAAAGGGGAGCAGACATTACATGGCAAGAGAAGAAGAAAGAGAGAGGTGCCAGGCTCTTTTTAACAACCAGTTCTTAAGGGAATAAATATAGATGCTTGGGTCTCACCCTAAACCTCCTAAATTAGGAACATTGAAAATAGGAGCCAAGAATTCACGCATTTCAAACTCTTGCCAAACGATTCTGTTACATGATCAGGATTAAGCAACATGTAAGGTTACAAGGCTTTTTTGGCCTCTGATCATCAATAAAATTGGGTTACTACAGTCTTTAGAGATACCTACATTTCTCTTGTTTTAAATATGAGTTTCTCAAGAAAATAATAGAATGAGAATTTACTCATTACCATGAGGATGCCACCAAGCCACCAAGCTATTCATAAGAAATCCACCCCCATAATCCAAAGACCTCCCATCCCACCAAGCCCCATCTCCAATATTGGAGATCACATTTGAACATGAGATGTGGAGCAGACAAATATCCAAACCATATCAGCCAGCAACTCCATCCTGAAATAGACATATAGCAAGAGCTAAATGCAAACACATCTTTTGTTTTTTCAGTTTTAGCCCATTCATATTCGGGGCTGTTCATTACTACAATGTAACCTAGACTATTCTGACTGATACAGCAAGGCAGTTTGATGGAAATCCATTACAAAATGCAAAGTCATCAGAAGCACAACATATATCTACTTTTGGAGCATTCATTTTTACTTTTGTGCTGTGCCTATTCTTTAACTCTCTAGAGGCATTCTCCTTCCATAATCTAAAAGTCAATGCTAAAGGAAGAAAATGGAATAATCATGTATGCCTAATCATGAGTTAAATAAAGCCAATGTGCTCTTTCTATCCATATATTACATTTTATAAATTATTCATAATTTTAATCAACCCTACTTCTATGAATTGCACTATTAATGATTCTTAGAAGTTGTTTTCTAGGTTGAATACAATTCTTAACTGCTGAAAATCCACAATCATTAATCTATGAGAATATTACCATCTTCTTTCCCTGTGACTCCTTAATCAAAGCATACACCCATCAATAAGTAGAGAAATCAACATGGTTCCTTCTGATTATATACCAAGAAATTTGGCTTGATATTTAGATAGAACAAAGACTTCTATCTGGATAACCTCAATTAAAACTGATTACTGTTCTGAATTCTTCCCATTCTTTCTTTAGAGGTATCAGAAAAGCAAATGTAACACAAGCCAGCAGATTCCTATTTACTGCTAACTCATGCCAACTTGGAAATGAAACCAAGAACATCTTAAATCTAAATGAAAGCATGAAATGAGAAAACACAAAGTACCACTTGTACTGCCAGCTTCCTTATAATAACACCATGTTCATTATAAGGATGCTGGTTCATTGAAAAATATTTCAGTTGATACAAACATTATTGAAAGTGTGAATTACACACCAAACATATGGTTCTCACATAGTCACTTAAGTTTGGCATGAAATAATTAACTCAAGATAACCTAGTGTGTATCATTGTCTCCTAGATAACTGATGATTGAATGTTTCTTTATCATCATTTGCACATATCTGAAACATATATTTGGGACATATGATAGCCATGAAGGTTGTAATTTATGAAGGCAATAGCTGTAGAAGTTTATATTTCTATATTTCTATTTATTTTCTATATTTTAAATACCAGTAGTATGTGAATAAAAATGATGGTGGATACTTCAGGCTTAATGCTATGCTATTTTGAATATATGTATTTTCATGTTGACTACAACACTTTCCATATTTCATTGAGAATTATGCCTTCATTGGAAGTGGAACAAAAACACTTTCTAAAAAGCAATGAATAAGGCCTTGAGTATGAAAATCTCAACCACTTATTGTTACGTGTTGACAGTCAGACACTGCAAAACACAATATATCTGCTATGTCACTTGGCCCTTGATTATTGAGTTCTTCTCCCTCAAATGTTCAGATATTGGGATTTCCTTATTCTCCTTAAACTATATGACTTCTTTTTCCCCCATCCATCTCACAAAGAAGAACAATTTTTTTTTTTTTTTTTTTACTGGAGAAGCAAAAAATCTGAACAAGGTGGCTGAAAGAAGCCAATGAGCCAAATAAGTCCCATATTACCCTAAAATCTGCTGCTCGCTCAATTTTAAGACCACCAATATTCTTCTTAATAATGGTATTAGAAAACAATAGGCCAGGTGCGGTGGCTCATGCTTGTAATCCCAGCACTTTGGGAGGCCAAGGCGGGCGGATCACGAGGTCAGGAGATCCAGACCATCCTGGCTAACACAGTGAAACCCCGTCTCTACTAAAAATACAAAAAATTAGCCGGCTGTGGTGGCGGGCTCCTGTAGTCCCAGCTACTTGGGAGGCTGAGGCAGGAGAATGGCGTGAACCCCGGAGGCGGAACTTGCAGTGAGCCGAGATTGAGCCACTGCACTCCAGCCTGGGCGACAGAGCGAGACTCCGTCTCAAAAAAAAAAAAAAAAAAAAAAAAAAGAAAGAAAGAAAACAATAATTGAGAACAAAGATGTGCTGCTACGAACTCTATGTACATTAACTCATATCCTTATGGCACCACTTAGGAGATTACTGATAAACTTAGGCTCAGAGGCCGGGCTCGGTGGCTCGCGCCTGTAATCCCAGCACTTTGGGACGCCAAGGAGGTCGGATCACCTGAGGTAAGGAGTTCAAGACCAGTCTGGCCAACGTGGTGAAACCCCATCTCTAATAAAAATACAAATATCAGCTAGGCATGGTCGCGAGTGCCTGTAATTCCAGCTACTTGGGAGGCTGAGTAACGAGAATCGCTTGAACCCGGGAGGCGGACGTTGCAGTGAGCCGAGATCGTGCCACTGTGCTCCTGCCTGGACGACAAGAGCGAGACTCCATCTCAAAAAAAAAAAAAAAAAAAAAGTGAAAAAAAAAACTTAGGCTCAGAGCAGTCTGAGTAGAGAGTCTAGGATTCCCATCTAACTACAAGAAAAACACCTAAATACCTCTCTCCCATGGCTAGAATATACTTACTTGGAAGTGAAAAGCAAACTGAAGGCAGAATAGCAAGGTGTTTCATCATGAAGCTAATAAGAGAAGGAAAATGTCATATTTATCTTTTGTAGGTAATAGGGCTTATAGACAATAATATTTGTGTAATACTATAGTTCCACTGTACAGACTTTTATTATCCTTCTCTTGAATGTCTTTTCCCCAAAGTCTCTACTACAAAATGCCTTTTAGCACAAGACAATGCCAACTGGCATGGCCAAGCTAGTAAAAACAATGAGGACAAAATGACTTAAAGACCTGTACCCATGGAGGACAAAACTAGCCAACAATCAATAATCAGTGACCTCTTTTCCATGGAAATCAATTTTTAAAAGCAATTAAAGCAGTAGATAATCCTGAGTACTCTGTTAAAATAAAAAAAAAATCAAATTTGTTTGTTTGTTTGCTTTTACTGCTCCTTATGGAGAAGGGCTAACTCCTAGGCAGTGGGCCCAGAGTTGGCCTGATTTTTAAAAATAGCATTAATTATAAGAACATTTAAAAAATATGTATTATGTGCCAACTGTATCAAATCAAATAAGTGATGTCATATAATCATCACAGTAAATGATTACATAGCTATGCTAGATCACATAATTTATCCTCTAAAGTGGGATAGTTTTAAGAATAAAGGAAGATTCTATTAATAATTGGGCAGCAGCTGGGTGCAGTGGATCATGCCTGTAATCCCAGCACTTTGGGAAGCCAAGGTGGGAGGATGCTTGACCCCAGGGGTTTGAGACCATTCTGGGCAACATAGGGACATTCTGTCATTACAAAAAAAAAAAATTGTTTTTAAATAGCCAGGCATGGTGGTGGTTTCCCCCCTGTAGTCCCAGCTAATCAGGAGGCTGAGGCAGGAGGATTGCTTGAGTCCAAGAGGTCGAGGCTGCAGTGAGCCATGGTCATGCCACTACACTCCAGCCTGGGTGACAGAGCAAGACCCTATCTCTAATAATAGTAAGAATGATAAGGCAGAATTATGTTAATAAGTCTTTATTCTTTAGGTAAATAGAGATTATAATCACCTTTTATCTTAAACTTTATAGCTGAATACAGTGGAGGCTGAAAGAATTTAAGAGGCTTATCCAAGTTTTGATCACAATGAAGTAACAGAATCAGAACTTAAATTCAAATAAGCCTGACACCAAAGTCCATGCTTTTAACCATTCTGCTCAATCATAGTCACTACAGCAGGGAATACAGTACAGTATAGTGGTTCTCAAACTTTAGCATATGTGAGAATCACCTGGAAATGCTGATAAAACGTACATTCCTGGACCCTACCCTAATCACCTGGGGTTACTGATAAAATGTACATTCCTGGGCCCTCCCTTAGCCCTATATCATAACTCAGCTCAGAACTCTTAGAGGTTCTGATCTAAGAGCCATGATGTAGGGCTAAGAAAAATGATATTTTTGCAATCACATCCCTCTTAGGAGATTCTGATGAAGGTGGGTTGCTGCTACATTTGGAAGCACACTGTTTTATCTGAACAAGCACTTATGAGCCAAGTGTGTGCTTTCCTAAATTTAACAGGGTCAAAAAAGGAAGAATAAAGGAAAACAAGGCAGTTAAAGCTTATCCTGTTCCTACTATAAAACAGCAAACTATGAAACTGTAAAAGATACAATATAACCAAATGTGCTTTGTTAACTGGAATGAGGTTAGCAGGTCTATGTTATCTCATTGCATTAAGCCATGTCCTTGAATTATTTTAAAAATAATTTATTTCTCTCCCACTCGGAATTATTGTTTATATTCCTTTTACGGTTATGTTCCTTCTATTCACTCTGAAGAGAATCAAGCTGCTTTTCTCTTACCGGCTTAGTGCTATAATTCTTTCCTTTCATACTTGTATATGTAATGAAGGATAAACTCCGACTAAAACCATAATAAACCTTTACATTTTTAATATGCTATTAATAATTAAGCCACAAATTAATATTTTCACTTTCTCTCCTTAATTCAGTGACTTGTATGATTTAGTGGGTGGGTGCTTCACAAATATTTGTTTACTTAATTCCTAACTAAAAGGTTTAAAACCATCACTCCATATTGGACTAACTTGAGTACAATTCCCATACAATAATGGATATTACATACTGTGGTTATCTCCACTGTACACAGTAAATTACAATATTTTCCCCAGATTTCCCTTGGAATTAAGTAACACTGACTATATCAAAAAGGCATTTAGTTAATAGAGGGGTTAGTAGAACACATAGGTGGTCAAACAAAATGTAGCACAGTTGAATTCTCAGATGCATCCCACTGGCAAGCAGACAAGGGCATTTAAATTGAGCCCAATTATTTTGGCAGCATCATGGAAGAGATATATAAAGAAAATAAAATTAATAGAATGTTAGGAATCAAATTTTCCTTTTCATTCCATGTGTTACCATAGGGGTAAGAATATCTTTAATTATGGAAGTGTTCATGTCTAAGAATCACAAAACTCTTTTCATATTTCTATTCTATAAATGATGTAATTTTAAAAGTTCAAGGAAGTTGTTATTTGGTGATGAAAGCAAAGCACAAAAGAAATCAGGAAATACCTGTTATGGTACAATAAACTAGTGGTCAGATATATAAGGAATGTAAAGCCTACAGTTAAAAAAATAAATATTCCATTTTAGAAATCAGGAAAGGATCTGTTTGGCAGATCCTCAAAATGTTAAACATAGAATATGTTTACATATTAAACATAATCCAACAACTACACTTCTAGGTATATACCCAGAAGAACTGACAACAGGTATTAAAAGTAAAACTTGCATACAAATGTTTATAGCAGCACTACTCATAATAACCAAAAGATGGAAGCAACAGAAATGAACATCAACTGATGAATGTATATCCATAATATGGCATAATATGGATAATAAAACATGGTATACCCACAATATGGAATATTATTCAGCAATAAAAAGGAACAAAGTAGTGATACATGCTATACCACGGATGAATCTTGAAAACATTATGCTAAATGGAAGAAACCAGATACAAAAGGCCATATATGATTTCATTCATATGAAATGTCCAGAATAGGCAAATCTATAGAGACAAAAAGTAGGTTAATGGTTGCCTAGGTATAGTGGATACAGGAAAATAAGGAATGACTGCTAATAGGTATGGGGTTTTTTGGGGGTTAAATAAAATATTCTAAAATTGGCTGTGACGATGGCTGCACAATGTTGTAAATATATGAAAAGCTATTAAATTTTAAACTTTAAGAGGGTGAATTGTATGGTATGTAAATTATACCTCAATAAAGCTGTTAAAAATAAAGTAAAATAAAATCTACACTAAATGCCATTGGCGTTCACTTTAAAGTGGTCAATTTTATGTTATATGAATTCCATCTTAATTAAAAGAAATAAAATATAACCTAAATTTTTTTCATTTTCTACTCCAATAAGTTTTCATTTATTATCATATCCCACTTTACTTTCTTTTAGCCCCTTAGTGCCTATGCAGTTTATATAAGTATTCCAATGTATCAAGGTATACTTTATTCAGCTACAGGCTTGACTATAATGTATAGCAAATAAATAACCAATTAATAATTCAACAATGATATAAATTATAATAAATGAGGGCCTTTAGTTGAATTTTAGAAATAATTAAATTTTTAAATGGAAGCAAAGGTAAGAGGAGATGCTAGGAATTAAACTCCCCAATCCACTCTGCATGAATTTGATTATATGATGGCAGTGAGGCCGATTCTGGATCTCAACTAAAGAAGAATATAAACACTTGAATTTAGAGGAAACACACACACAAAAATAACACTAGGCAAAATGTTTTAAAGTAACTAAGACTATTTGAGTTTAAGAAAGCAAAGATCGAGGACATTGTAGTACCAATCTTCATGTATTTAAAGGCTTTTACATATTAAATGCAGCATGCATAAATTAATAAATTCTCCTCATAGTGATAGCACTGCAAAGCATGGGACAGGGAACAGCAGAGATAGTTTTATCTTTCTTTAAACAAAGGAAGTTTTATACCATCAGCGGATCATGAAGACAAGGAAGATTTTACATCCTAAATGGATAATTAAGACAAGCCTAAAATAAAATCAACGATCAATACAAGAAATTTAATGGTATAAGAGGATAAATTATACACATACAAAGAGGAACTTCATGTAAGTGATGTCTCAATTGTGGTGAAGTTAGTCAATGATTTCTGGGATGAAGTAAGACTAAATATTGTCTTTAAAATAGAGTTACAAATACAGGTTTGTGAACTAGAGATTATTATATGCAATGGAAAATTGATGCAAGAGAAAATATATAGAAAATGGTGCAAGTGGGCGGTATGCAGGAGGCAGTAAGAAGGCAGACCTGCTGAGGGACAAGGAACCTCTGGAAGAAACTAGAGAATGGGTAGGAACACAGGTAGCAAAGAATGATTGCTGGCAAGGAGTACCATGTTGAAGGCTTGAGAAATGGTTATAGAAATGGAGAAGGGGCAAAGACATAAAACCCTCGCAAATATCAATAGGTACTAATGTAGGTGGTGCATGGTGTAAATTGAACCAAAGAAAGGAAGGTTTTAAAAAAAAAGTATAAACTAAATGTGAGTAAACAAAATTAGTTTATTCAGTCTTTAACACAGTTCATTTTGTGGATGAAAACTGAGGATTAGAAAGAAATTCTGACTAGCTAAAGGTACATAACTAACTAGTAAATGACTAACTGGATTCCAACACAAATTGATCTGTCTCTACTTGATACGCCCATGATGATGTTGGCTCTCAGTTTAGGGGAAAAAGGCAAGATAAGAAATAAGGGCCAAGAGCGTGGAAATAGGCCCTAAGATTTGACAAGGAGTATGTCATTGTTTACTTTGGTGACTATACTTTTTTTTGTAGTTATACTGTCATAAACTGATATAAATCTTTGAAAAATAAAAAGATTGTGAGAACATATCAAGGTTTAAGAAGGTAAATATAAGTCAGTTTTGGATTTCCTATAATAGACAGGAGTAAAGTAAAATATTTGAAATATCTGACAAGTGTAAGATTTTATTAAAAATTTTAACTAAATGTGTCTCTTGAGTTTAGTATATAAGAAAATGGAAATTAGATGAAGTGGTACAAATATTAAGTGACATACCTGAAAGCAATCCCTGAAAGTAAAGTTTGCTAGACAGTGAAATTTGTTACTAAAGGAAATTGTGGAATCTCCTTTTCTCTCTCCATTTTACTCACCTGAAAAAAAACCCAAAGTATATTTAAAATAATTCTCCCTATATGCCATGTGTCCATCAGAACAGTGGCCTATGTTGAGAGAAACTGCAACATCTGAGTCTTGCTGCTAACCACCTGTTTGCCTCCATTTAACCAAAGTCATATTTTTAGGTTTTGTCCCTTTAGCAACCCGCTTCTGAAAACAAATTCTGGAATAAGTTAGGATTAAGTCTGACTATAAGAAGAAGAGACTCCTAAACAGGCTTAGACAAGATACACATTTATTTCTGACTCCCATTAGAGATGTCTGCAGGCGAAAAGTCCAGGACTGCTGTGGCACTTCAATGAAGTCATCAGAGAACAAACTTCTGCCGCCTGGCTCAATATCCTACCACCCCTAGAGTGTGGTACTTATCTCCATGGTCAATTATGACTAGCAAAGTTCTAGCCATCACACCTCCATGCCAGATAAAAGGATGACAGATATGAAAACGAAAGGCATGCTCTATTCCTCTAGATTACCTGTCAGTCCCACCATCGATATTTCACTGGTGACACCTTGAAGCAAAGATGGATAGAAATTAGCTCTCTGCCTCACATGATGATGCATCTCACTTTAAAATAATGACAAAAATCTTCAAGAGACCTTGGCACTGGCAGATTTTGCAGGTCATTTTCCATGGCCATTTTACTCCTGTACTTGACAAATATTTCATACCTTTTGCTCTTTCCCTACATTGCCCATCCCTTCTTCAACTCTCATATTGTCCATCCCTCAGTGGCCCATCCCTCCTTCTTATTCTCAGATGATAATCTTGCACTTAACTTTAGTGAAAAATAGAATAAAAACTATACTATATCATCTTGTTATGAAGACATGTAAAAAATTCCCTAACTTTATCTGTGTAGTCTGCCTTTTTTCCCAGTTATAATATGTACATCTACTGTATAACATATAACTCTCTAGAGTGGTACTCTGGAATGAGATAACTTGAGTTTGGAAACCACCTCTACCAATTACTAGCTTAACCTGCTGTGTTTATTTTTCTGTCCATGTAAAATAGAGGTGGTAATAAAATACAGCTTACAGGGTTATTTTTAGAATTAAATGAGTTAATATATGTAAATGACTCATAAAAAATGATGGCCATTATTGTCATTATCTGAGTCCAAGCCCTCCACTAGTGCAATGGATTCCATTTCTTCATGCCTACTCAAATAATTTGCTATTTATTTATTTATTTATTATTTCCATAGTTTTTGGGGGGAACAAGTGGCATTTGGTTACAGAGTAACTTCTTTAGTGGTGATTTGTGAGATTCTGATGCACTCATTACCCGAGCAGTATACACTGAACCCAATTTGTAGCCTTTTGTCCTTTACCTCCTTCCCACCATTTCCTCCAGAGTCCCCAAGGTCCACTGTATCATTCTTATGCCTTTGCATCCTCACAGCTTAGCTCCCACTTATGAGTGAGAACATACAATGTGTGGTTTTCCATTCTGAATTACTTTGCTTAGAATAATAGTCTCCAGTTCCATCCAGGTTGCTGCAAATGCCATTAATTCATTCCTTTTTATGGCAGAATTTACTATTTGAATATTTCCTTTTCTCTGCAGCATCATAAATTTCTCCCTCTTTCTTTGGAACATTCCTATTAGCAAACAAACGTATTATAATGTCATCCATTTAAAAAATAACCTTCCTAAGTCCCGTGTCTTTAGTCAGCTACAAGAGCATTTCTCTGCTCCTTTTATAGCAAACTCAGTCAAATATTTGTTTATACTCTTTGTTTCCACTTCCTCACCTATTTTTTTCATTAACTGCAGTTTTTAATTTCTCTGTTGAAACTCTTCTTTTCAAGGCCAACATTCTCTTGCATCTTGCCAAATCCAATGAGCAATTTTGACAGTTCTCATCTTACTCAATTTCTATACAGCTTTTGCCAATTGATCACACATTTCATCTTGAGGCATATTTCACTTGGCTTGAGGGCTGTGACACTTTCCTAGCTTTCCTTGTAACTTGCTTTGCACGTCTTGGTCTTCTGTGAAGGTTCATCTCTTCTGCCAAACAACTAAAATTTAAATACCTCAAGATTTAGTATTTGGACTTCTCTGTCTACACTCACTATCTTGATGATATTTATACAGACTCATGGTTTTAAATACCATTTACATACCGAGTCCTCTCAAATGTATATCTGCAATTCAGATCTCTTCCATGAACTCTAGATTCCAATGTTTAATTGCCTACTCAACAGCTCCATTTGAATATAGAGAAAGCCTCACAAACCTAACACAGTTAAAACTGAACTCTTAATTTTTTTTTTTTTTTTGAGACAGGGTCTCCTTCTGTCACCCAGGCTGGAGTACCGTGGCATGATCTCGGCTCACTGTGACCTCTGCCTCCCAGGTTCAAGTGATTCTCCCACCTCAGCCTCCTGAGTAGCTGGGATTATAGGCACATGCCACCACAGCCCGGCTAATTTTTGTATTTTTAGTAGAGACGAGGTTTCATCATATTGGTCAGGCTGGTCTCGAACTTCTGACCTCAGGTGATCTGCCCGCCTTGACCTCCCAAAGTGCTGGGATTACAGGCATGAGCCACTGCATCTGGCCTGAACTTGTGATTCTTAACAACTCCCTGTCAACATAAACCTTCCCATCTTAGTAAATGACACCAGAATCTACCTGACGCAAATAGAAAACATCCTTGACTCAGCTCTTTTTCCAACACTCTACATTCAACTCAACAGCAATTCCTATTAGCTCTACCTTGGCATGTATCCTGAATCACCTCTTCCCACCCTTGTCACTGCTGCCACTTTAGTCTAACAACCATCATTTCCCAGGGAAATGCTATAATAGCTTCCCTACTGGTATATCTACTACCACTGGATGGACCAGAAGGGTCTTGGGAAAACTTTAATGATGTTCACAGCACTGCCCTACCCACAGCCATCTCATGTCTGCCTCAGAGAGCTACACTGATCTAAAAACAGCCCACGAGGCCCTAAATGATCACTGACTTTATTTCAGATCACTTTCCTTCATGCCCAACACTAGCCTCCTTCTTTTCTAAAAATATCCCAGCTTTTTTCTCATCTCAGGGCCTTTCACACTGTAGTTCCCACTGTCCAAACACTCTACTACTAGATCTTCACATGACTTGCTCTCTCACTTCATTTAGAACTCTCTCTGTTCAAATGCCTCCTTCTCTAAACAGTCTTTCAATACCACCCTATCTAAAATAGTTATTCACTCTATTTTTCATAACTCTTTCCCTTAGTCTCTCTGGTTTTTATGAGAGTATTTCTCTAGTAAAAATTATATCCAAGTTTTAAAAACTCATTTGTTATCTTACTTTATAAATGTTATTTTATAAAATGTTAGCTCCATTAGAGTAGAAAAACTTAACCTGGACATGGTATAGGCACTCAAAAAATATCGTTTTGAATTCACAGATTTAAATATGGTATTTTCTATTTAATCTTACCTACAAATAAAAAGATACATTAAAAAGTCCTAAGTGTCAGTCAGGACTGTGCATTACTAAAATTTGAATATGCTTAACTAAATCACTGCTTTTCTAGGCTTCTAAAGCCACATTTTTCTGTCTTTCTCTTATCCCAGTAGAACATAATTGTCCCCCAACTGGAATATTTTAGGTTTTGGATATTTCTAAAAATCTGGTAAAATAAAAAATAGTATATATGTGTATAGTGTATGTGGTAGAGTTGTGATGAACATGTCTTTGACAGAAACAAGAATATTTCAGAACATTGGTATTCAATTGTCTTTCTTGCTGAGAAACACCTGTATTATATTTATAATATGCAAAAAATAAGG
Source organism: Homo sapiens (assembly GCF_000001405.40). Classification (NCBI taxonomy): domain Eukaryota; kingdom Metazoa; phylum Chordata; class Mammalia; order Primates; family Hominidae; genus Homo; species Homo sapiens. Next base: position 28,863,925 of record NC_000023.11, on the reverse strand, counting down.
CAGGAGTATAAACAGTAAACCAATGTATATCAGTTTAATGAGCCAAGTTTGGGGAAATGGTTAGAAGTTTAAAGAATATATGAATGGCAAATGAAAAAAGCATATATTATTGAATCTATTCATATCTACTATTAGAGAAAACCCTTATATATGCAATATGCAATCGAAACACTCAATCATCTGAAGGTTTTCATCCACAAAATCCTTCACAGTGTATTTGGTTGGTTGATAAATTGAAATCTAGGTATAGTAGTAGTCACTGATCCAGGTTTTAAAGAAATATATATTCAAGATGTAATCCTTATAAATGGTTTAGATGTGTTTCTACATTTCTCTAACAGTTATTATAATAAATAACACATTTACAGCATTCACTACATGCAGACATGGCTCTACGTATCTCACATATATTAAATCACATAATCCTCATAACAAACCCTTTTCTAGCAGGAAACCTGTCACTTTCTTTACTTAATTCAAGGATTGACAAGAAAAAAAAAAAAAAAAGGCCCGTAGGCCAAATCATTCCAAGCATCTGTTTCTGTAAATCAAGGTTTATTGGAACACAACCACACTCATTTTTTTTTTTTAAACATATTGTCTATTACTGCTTTCATGCTACAAAGGTAGATCTGAGTAGTTGCAAGAGATACTATGCGGCCTGCAAAGCCAAACATATTTTCTATCTGGCTCTTTGTATAAAAAGTTTGCAGGTCCCCAATTTAATCTAATAATACAAGGTTTGAGACCAGGCGCAGTGGCTCACACCTGCAATCCCAGCACTTTGGGAGGCCAAGAAGGGTGGATCACCTGAGGTCGTGAGTTCGAGACAGCCTGGCCAACATGGTGAAACCCCATCTCTACTAAAAATACAAAAATTAGCTGGGTGTGGTAGCATGTGCCTGTAATCCCAGTTACTTGGGAAGCTGTGTGAGAGAATCACTTGAACCGGGGAGGCGGATGTTGCCGTGAGCCAAGATCATTCCCACTGCACTCCAGACTGGGCAACAGAGTGAGACTCCAACTAAAAAAAAAAAAATGGCATAATTTCCCATGAACTAATTATTTAATAAATATTTGGTTTATTGCTTTTAGTAGTATCAGAGAGAGAAACAGAAGCATAGTTGTTTCTAAATATTAAATATCAATCTCCAAATTGTGGCTTTTTACTCTGAAATCTTCAAAGCTAGCCAGGACACTGAAATGTACAAAACATCAAATAATATAATGAAAGCATTTCTTTTCAAAGTCCTAATAAGCGCTTGGGCAAAGTAATGCATTCCTCCTGCAATGCACCTGGTCCCACTGGAGCCTGACCCATCCAGAGGCAAGTGTCTACGTTACACATCTTACCCCAGCAATTAACACAGGGAGTGGCCTGAAGTTGAGCCTCTATGAACGTTTTGGCACAGATTCATTAACACGGTAAATACTTTTCACATAACTGGAACTCTTTTCTCTGCCCAATTTAATCATCAGATTGAACAACTGAAGATTACATGATATTCTCTAGGACTCTCATGATGTTTGTTATATCTGCTTATAAATCAGGATCCAACTAAAGTTTTTCTAATAGAAAACTTTAGTTTCTGCAAAGAAAAAAATTACTAGTACAGTAAAAGACTTCAGAAACAAAGCACAAATGTTGCTAACAATGATAGCATTATACAATAGTCCCCTATGAGTGTTCACATAAAGATTGCATAAAGATATACATAAGCACACAATAAATTGTATGAATGTTTTAAAGAATATCTGTTGACGGTAAAACCAAAGCTGTTGACTAATCTGATAGCTAGTGTTTCATAAAATGCTTGTAACACTTTAGATATAAATTATCTAAAATTATTCCTTCAAATTTTCTTCTTAGCATTTATATTTCAAAATCATCAAAAAATTAAATCAGTCTCTCTTTAAAAAAACTCCTCGTTAATTCTATTGCTGCAGGACACTGTGAATTGTACTAATCTTTGCCAAGTCATTTCTAGCAACTTGCATTTAGAAAAATGTCCTCTAAGTATATTATTCTATGATCTAGGTCAAGGGGAAAAAAAAAATAGAAAATTAAATAAATACTAAACACAGTAAAACATAAAGTTCTAAAACTTTAGTAAACAAAGTTTGGGGACCTTTTTGAGACAGTGGAAAGGGCTAAGGGATGTTGTGCATCTTTCTATTTTAGAAGTCCTAGTGAGGGTATGTGTGAGGAGAGATGGAACAAATTGCTCAATGAAAGTAATGGGGTCAACCCTCAGCTGCCTTTAGGGATGCTGTAAATCGGGATGTTTTTCATTGTGCTTCTAGGTTTTTTCTATTTCTTATGTAGCCTCCAGCAATTTCATTTTAGAGTCCACTGCAGTTCATTACAGGGTGCATTTCTCTTTGTAAACCGAAGTGTTCTTCTAGCCAACCCTTCAGCTCAAAACTCCAAGTCACTCATCTTGAAAAAAGTTAATGCCTTTATAATAAGAAATGATCTCTCCTTATTGGTCCCATCATGTTTTGCCCTCTTTTTGTGTGTTGCGTTCATCTTGAATTTTAGCTATGTGTCAAACATGCTGCCTTGTAACTACTGGGACAGTCAGAGAGCTACAGAATATAAAACAACTAAATAGGCTTCCTGCCCTTACTATTATCAGTATGCTGTTCTCTCCTAGGGAGCCTCTTGTGAAAGTCAGACTGATCGATTGTCATCACTTTTTATGTTGAAGAAAGACATATTGAGCGCCCTTTTGACATTCTTAGCTTACTTATACTATAAGTGGCTGTCTTGTTTTCTTAAGGAAAAGTATTAATGCTGCTATTAAAATAGGGTGGGTTGGTTTCTTATCTAGTTAACACTGTGCTTGGATGAAATCTATTTTTTCAGTAGTATTATTGAGAAAAAAATTCTTATAAACAGATTTATTAAATAAATAAAAATTTACAACAGGGAACAATAAAACATAGTTAACAGAATTTATATGATAGTCTTTTACACTGTAAAAAACATGGCTAACGTAAATGTTTAAAGTGATATTGATTTAAAGTATATCTAGATTTGACTTTCAGAATGCCTTTCTCAGAAAAAAAAATTCTTAGATTGGTAAAGTCCTAGGGACAACTTGGTTAAATATGAGGCATTTCTCACTTTGCAACATAAGCAAAGAAAAGGAAATAGGCCAGGCGCAGTGCGGTGGCTCATGCATGTAATCCCAGCACTTTGGGAGGCTAAGCGGGGGGGCGGATCACCTGAGGTCAGGAGTTCGAGACCAGCCTGGCCAACATGGTGAAACCCCGTCTCTACTACAAATACAAAAAATTAGCCGGGTGTGGTGGTGTGTGCCTGTAATCCCAGCTACTCGGGAGTCTGAGGCAGGAGAATTGCTTGAACCCAGGAGGTGGAGGTTGCAGTGAGCCCAGATTGCACCACTGTACTCCAGCCTGGAAACAAGAGCAAAAACTCCATCAAAAAAAAAAAAAGAAAAGAAAATGAAATAAATACATAATTATTATATATTATCTCCTAAAATAACTTATACATGTTGAGTGCTTACAATATGCTAGATATTATTATAAGAACTTTCTGTGTGTTTTTACTCTTAACCCTCAAAACAAAGTAATGAGCTATGTAGTATTATTAGCCCCATTTAACAGATGAAGAGAATTAGGCATAGAAATTAATTAACATGATTAGTAGCACATATGGAATTTTAGCTTGATAATGTCCTATGAGAGCCCATGCTTTTCACCATGATATTAATAGTTTGAATTATTTTTTTCTGCATTACAATTGACTAGAAAACAGTGACAAGGTAATTATAGTTTAGTCAAAGCAATTTATGTAAATATCTAGCTAGTATCAGCAATTTCTTAAAATAAGACAACAATGAAGTCTGCTTCTGAATAATTCTTCAAAAGAAACACACAGAAATCTTACTAATATGAAGTGAGTGGTACCTTCAATGGAAAAACTAAATGATTTAAAAACATAAATGCCATAACTTATTTCAAATTTATATTATAACAATAATCTTAAGTAAACAAAGATGAATACTAAGTAGAGATTTTGAAATATATCTTTTAAATGGCTAAGATCTTTTTTGTAAGAGACCACCATTGCATATCAATAAATAATTGATATACAATAATAGTAATAAATATTATTATTGTATATCAATATTATATAATTATTACACAATTATATATTATTGTATATCAATAATAATAATTTTTCCATAGAGTGGTACTCAATGGAAAAATTAAATGATTTAAAAACATAAATACCATAACCTAGTTCAAATTTATATTACAACGTCTTAAGTAAACAAAGATAGATACTAGGTAAGGAGAGATTTTGAAATACGTATTTTAAATAGCTAAGATCTTGCCCAGGCGCGGTGGCTCACTCCTGTAATCCCAGCACTTTAGGAGGCCGAGGCAGGCAGATCACGAGGTCAAGAGATCCAGACTATCCTCGCCAACATGGTGAAACCCAGTCTCTACTAAAAATATAAAAATTAGCTGTGCGTAGTGGCACGCACCTGTAGTCCCAACTCCTCGGGAAGCTTGAGGCAGAAGAATCGCTTGAACCCAGGAGGCGGAGGCTGCAGTGAGCCAAGATTGCGCCACTGCACTCCAGCCTGGAGACAAAGTGAGACTCCGTCTCAATCAATCAATCAATCAATAGCTAAGATCTTTTTTGTAGGAGACCATCATTGCATATTATAACTGCATGTATGTTTAACTTTTACTGTACGTTTAAAAATAGATTTCTGTGTACTATAAGTTGCATAAGAAATAATATCTAACCTATAAGGTACACTGTCTACCCTTCAAAGAATGATCCACTGGTTTTCTAGCAGAATTGGAAAACATGGGTAAGTAATCTTAGTAAAGATGACATATATGTTTGAAATCATTCAATATTTTAAGAAATAGGTGATCCTTAACATATTTATCATTTAAATTTTATCAAAGAAAAAGTTTAACTTTGAAAAAGGATGTTAATTGCTTAAAAAGAGGCTTTTTCCAAAGACCAGGCATAGGGAGCAGACAACAAACAAATGTATCTTCTGCAGATAATTTTTTAAAGTAATAATAAAATTCACTTAAAGTCAATTGCTTTCCGTTATCACCATGTGCTGGCAGTTCTAAATAATACAAGCATACCTTGGAGATATTGCAGATTCAGTTCCAGACCACTGCAATAAAACAAATGCCTCAATAACGCGAGTTGCGCAAATTTTTTTGGTTCCTCGGTGCATATAAAAGTTATGTGTATTCTATATTGTAGTCTATAAAGCTTGCAATAGCATTGTGTCTGAAAACAATGTACATAACTTAATTTTAAAAGTACATTTTTGCTAAAAATGTTAATGATCATCTGAGCCTTCCACAAATCTTAATCTTTTTGCTGGTGGAGGGTCTTGCCTCAATGTTGGTGGCTGCTGACTAACTATGGTGGTGGTTACTGAAGGTTGAGGTGACTGGCAATTTCTTAAAATAAGACAACAATGAAGTCTGCTGCACTGACTCTTCCTTTTATAAAGGATTATTTGTAGCATGCAATGCTGTTTGATAAGATTTTACCCATAGAACTTCTTTAAAATTTGGAGTCAATCCTCTACAACTCTGTCACTGCTTAATCAACTAAGTCTATGTAATAGTCTGAATCTTTTGTTGTCATTTCAACAATGTTCATGGCGTCCTCACCAGGAGTAGATTTCATCTTAAGAAACCACTTTCATTGCTCATCCATAAGAGGTGACTCCTTATTTGTTAAAATGTTATCATGATATTATAACAATTCAGTCATATCTTCAGGCTCCAATCCTCACTGTAGATCTTTGGCTATTTTCAACACATCTACAGTTACTTAATCCACTGAAGTCTTAAGAATTCAAAATCATCTGCAAGAGTTGGAATCAACTTCTTCCAAACTCCTGATAATGTGGATATTTTGACCTCCTCCCATGAATCACAGATGTTCTTAATGGCATCTAGAATGGTAAATTCTTTCTAGAAGATTTTCAAATTACTTTGCTTAGATCTATCACAGCTATAGCAGATCTATAGCAGCTATAGCCTTATGAAATGTATTTCTTAAATGATAATACTTGAAAAATCACACCTTTATCCATGGGCTGCAGAATGGATATTGTGTTAGTAAGCATGAAAACATTATTCTCCTTGTACATCTCCATGGCAGCTCTTGAGTGACCAGGTACATTGTCAATAAGCAGTAATATTTTGAAAGAAATATATTTTTCTGAGCAATAGGTCTCAACAATGGATGCAGAATACTCAGCAACCCATGCTATAAACACATGTGCTGTCATCCAGGCTCTGTTCTTGCATGTATAGAGCACAAGCAGAATAGATTTAGCATAATTATTAAAGGCCCTAGGATTTTCAGAATGGTAAATGACCATTTGCTTCAACTTAAAATCATCAGCTGTATTAGCACCTGACAAGAAAGGCAGCCTGTCCTTTGAAGCTTTGAAGCCAGGCACTAATTTCTCCTCTCTAGCTATGAAAAGTTCTAGACGGCATATTCTTCCAATAGAGGGCTGCTTTGTATACACCAAAAATCTATTGTTTAGTGTAGTCACCAACATCAATAATTTTACCTAGATCCAGACAACTTGCTGCAGCTTCTACAACAGCTCTTGCTGCTTCACCTCACACTTTTATGTTATAAAGACAGCTTTTTTTCCTTAAACCTCATGAACCAACATCTGCTACCTTTATACTTTTCTTCTGCAGCTTCCTCACTTCTTAGAATTGCAGACTTAGGATCTTGCTCTGGATTAGGCTTTGGCGTAAGGGAATGTTGTAGCCGGTTTGATTTTCTATCCAGATTACACAAGCTTTCTCCATTTCATCAATAAGGCTGTTTTGCTTTCTTAACATTTGTGTGTTCACTGAGTAGCATTTTTAATTTCTTCTAAGCACTTTTCTTTTGCATTCATAACTTGGCTGTTTGGCAAAAGAGGCCTAGATTTCACCTTATCTCAGCTTTCACCATGCTTTCTTCACTAAACTTAATCATTTCTAGCTTTTGATTTAAAGTGAGAGACCTGTTACTATTTCTTTCACTTGAACACATGGAAGACATTGTGGGATTATTAATTGACTTAATTTCAGTATTTTTGTGTCTTGGGGAGTAGGGAGGCCCAAGAAGAGGGAGAAAGATAGGGGAGTGGCTAGTCGATAGAGTGGTCAGAACACACACATTTATTAAGTTCCTATGTGGGCATGGTTTGTGGTGCCCCAAAACAATTTCATAATAACATCAAAGATTACTGATCACAGATCACCATGACAGACATAATCACAATGAAAAAGTATGAAATATTGTGAGAGTTACCAATGTGACACGGAGACACAAAGTGAGCAAATGCGTTGAAAAAATGGCATTGATAGACGTACTGTACAACAGGATTGACACAAACCTTCAATTTGTTAAAAATACAATATCTGCAAAGTACAATAAAGTAGAGCACAATAAAACACGGTGTATCTGTGTCAAAATAGTACTCTTGGAAAAAAAACTCCTTTGTTCCAAGTTTTAAGCAATTTGCTGTGGTTCCTGTTGAGTTTTAACAACATTTGCATAAGCTTCAAATTAACTCATTTTTATGACTTATCCTTGAGTAAACATTGAATTCTACCTGGAAGTTTATCGGGAGAACTCTCAGTCACATATTCTAACCCAGACAAACACAGATTTGCCTACATAGGTTCATTTCAACAGGAGTTCCTAATGTCTCAAAGTCATTGAAGGTCTCTTTGGATGCAGCTGCTATCTCCAAAGCACAGGTATTACATAATTTCACTTTTAAAGGTAGATTTAAAATAAACAATAATCTCACCATGATTATGAAGACCAAGAAACAGAACTTGAGTTTCTTCACTGCTAACAATTTATATGACCACTTGGAGATTTTGTATTAAATATTCTTTGACATAGAGACATTTGAAAGCCCCTAGAATTTATCCCAAAGAAACAAAGATATGGACTATATTGCAATTTCCAGAATTTACTGTAGAGTAGGATTTTTAAAAATCTCTTCCAATCTTACCTTATAATTAAGATTTTTCCTATTTGTATATCTGCTTGCTGATGTGAAAGAAACTTTTCAAAATGAAACTTAATAAAAAGGGCTCTCCAGACAAAGTCATTGGCAACTTTGTAGGCGTTAAGGCTCTAAACTAGAAAACTATGGTGCACTAGAAGTAAATGCATTATAATGAACTGTAAAGAAACTGAAACTAGAAACAACTAGAAATGACTGCAACAGATCAATAAGTGCATATAAGTTTTTTGTCTTTATTCAGAAAACATATTAATGAAACTAAAAGGTATTATTTCAACATCTCATGTACCCCATAAATATATTAATCTATGTACCCACAAAAATTAAAAATAAATTTAAAGGAAAAATAAAAGGTATTATTCCATTACTTCCCCCTTCTTTGGTGTACTGTAATATTTAATTTATTCATTAATTTATTTTCTTGGAATGATTATATGATCTTTTTTTTCTTTTCTAGCCATTATTAGTACTTATTTCCAAAACTAATGTTGCAGACAGGACGGAAGTAATTAAAAATGATACACTGGGCTGGGCACAGTGGCTCATGCCTGTAATCTTGGCACTTTGGGAGGCTAAGGCAGTAGATCACCTGAGGTCAGGAGTTCGAGACCAGCCTAGCCAACATGGCAAAACCCCATCTCTAGTAAAAATACAAAAATCAGCCAGGCATGGTGGTGCACACCTGTAATCCCAGCTACTTGGGAGGATAAAGCACGAGAATTACTTGAACTTGGGAGGCGGAAGTTGCAGTGAGCTGAGATCGCGCCACTGCACTCCAACCTGGGTGACAGAGTGAGACCCTGTCTCAAAAACAAACAAATAAACAAACAAAAAAGATGCTGTGCATGTCAAATATGCTAGGCACAACACTACAAGATAAGAGGATCTGAGACAACTTCATTCATTTGCTTAATACAACCATTTACTCTTGCTGACTCCAGTTACTCATGTCTGTCCCTTTTCAAGAACAATCATCAGATTTGTGTGCATTCTGTTCCCAGGAACTGGTCTTGCCAAGGTCACTGATGACCTCATTTTATTTAATCTCTCCATAGCACAACTCTATCTTTGATTTCCACAACACAGCTCTCTTATCCTGAGTTTTGTCTTACTTTCCTAACAATTCTCTTTCTCTCCCCTTCCCCTGCCCCAATTGTTCCTGCTCTTTAAATTGGATTCCTAGGATTTTGCGTTTGGTCTCTTCCCACTCCACACATTACTGGTGTGTCATCACATGCATTCCAGTGATTTTACCTACTAATTATTTGCTGAAATATATCTTTCTAGCCACATTCCCTGATCCCACCCTCCAACTCTGATATCTATGCCTAGACATCCCACAGGTTCCTTAAATACAGCATAATCAAACCTATATTTCACATCTTCCTAAACTTCACATCTTCCTAAATTTCACATCTTCCTAAATTTCACATCTATATTCTCTAAACCAAAAAACCTAGGGGTATCTTAGATTCCTTTCTCTCCTTCATCCTGAAGTCCAATTGATGATCAAATCCTGTTTATTCTTCCTCTTTTTATGCATTCCTCATTCCCCATCCCTATTGCTACTACTCATTTTCTCTCACCTGACATGCTGGTGTTTTCTTAATTTGTCTTTCCTCCTCTGGTCCTCTTCACTATATTCCTAGTGTGATCTTACTAAAGTATACATCCAATTGAATTGCCTTTATGTCTCTGGTTTCACACTACTCAATCTAGAAAATCAGTATTCCTTGGTAAGGTATATAATCTGACTCTGGTCTGACCATATCTCTTGTGATACCTCTGGGAAAGCCCAATGATTTACTTATTTCAAAATATTTGGAGTTCTCTGAGTGTTCCTCCATGTTTCACACTTCTATATCTTCTGTTTGTGCCCTTCCATTGCCTACTCAATGAAAACCTCACTATGATGATATTATCAAATTGTACCTTCTCTTTAAAACTTTCCTCATAACCACAGTCAGTAAAATTAAACACTCTCATCTTACAGAGTTTCTATGACAGTCCTTAACCACACTTTGAAACTTTTATACATCTTATAATTCTTTTTAAGCTATAAACTTCCCAAAGGCAGCTACCCTATCTTAATGATCTATATATCTGTAGGTAGTTGATAAGTGATTCCTGGATAAATAAATAAATCATATTTGTTTTGGCGTTATTTTTCTTTTACTGTTTATTTTCCTCATTTTGGTTATAAAGTAGCCCTACTTTATTTCCTCACACTAATATAGGCTAACAAACATACATTATGGCTGCCTTTATTTAAGAAATGTTTACTGAGAATCTGTACTGTAACAACATATTTTTGTTAGAAGCATGAGTGAGAGTGTGTGTGTGTGTGTGTGCGCGCGCACACACATGCACTGAGGGGATTGCAATGGGGAAACAGGATAAAAAGGTATAAAAACTTGGTCCGAAATCTTTGCTTATTAACCTTGGCCCTGCTCCTCACAATGTTTCTACACTTAATTCATAAGAGAGGTAGATAACTTCAATGGGGTTGGAAAAGGTCGTTTTCAAAGGTATATTTATTTCGACACCAATGATACCTACATTTTAGGCCCCCTTCACTAACCTGAGCTTTCCCCGTGGAAACTGCAGGCATTTATATTTATAATTTATTTTATGCAATTGCATTGAAGTTGCTGTAGACAGTCTGCATTCATAATTTTGTTTTCTCTTTTGTAAACTGCTCTGCTCATTTCCACCCCATGCTGTACAAAACTATTAGAACTTCAAGGATTTAGAAAATCCAGATCAATCCCATGCCTCTATTTTTAATGGTAGCTGTTATTTATTGAGCACTTCCTATGTGCCAAGCACTGTTCTGTGATTGGTTTGCATTTATGTCTATCTATATCAGGATATTGAGAAGCCCATAATAATAAAGAGTTCTCAGTGTACTAGATGGATTGTGCTAAATGCTATTTATACATCACTTTTTAGAAGTAAAAAAAAAAAGGAAAGCACAAAGAGATTAAGGAACTTGCCCCAAATCATACAGCAAATATCTGAAGGCGAGCATTCAGGCACCAATTCTGCATGCTTAACCATTACCCTGTAAAGCTTTGGCCGTAATTTACCCCTTCTGTGGATTCTGATGACTGCAAGTCCAATAAGAAAATGCCTTTCATTCTTTCAATATCTTATTAGAGACCTCATGCAGAATATCTCTTGGCAAATAACACACTGACTTACAATGAGGCACATGAGTTATTTCCATGTGTAAAAATTAAGAGGGTAGAAAAAGCAGTACCAAGAAAATGTAGAGTGGGATAAAATGCCAAAATGCAGGCTTTGCCAACTTAATTATATTAAGTAGTTTTCATCCTGAATGTTGAAAGAAGCAAATTATCAAGGTTAATATGGAAGTGAATCAAAGCTGCTGTGAGACAATACATAGACAGTACACCATAAAATACACAAATTTGTTATAATCTTCCAATTTAAGGCAATGCATTGCAAATATCAACATCTAACATTTAGCAAAAAAAAAAAAAGTTATGGATTAGGTTGCTCCTGGGAATAAAATATTTTAAGCTATTGTGAATACTATACATCATACTGTTTAAATAGCTTCATTTTTATAAATTGTCATGCTATTGTCTATTTTAAAATCTCTGGGTTTTCTTTGCAAAAGGTCTAAGTATCATTTACTTCTTGAATTTAGCTTCATTTCAAATTTTCCTTAGTGCTTCTCTGAAAATCCCTGTGTGCGTCCCTGTTCTCTGCTGTAAGGTAGCTGTGGCAATTCCAAAGGTCATGTGTAGCAACTGAGTGGAACAAAGTTACCACATACCTCCTATTGGCATTTTAAGCAGGTGTTGCTGGATAACTACATTCCCAGCCACCTCAGTGTGTCAAATTCAGGAAGATAATTTTCTTAAACTATAATAGAAATTTCACTGAGGCAATTTGTCTTCAATGCATGAGATATGATTGCTCAGCTATCCCCAGATTCTGTCTGAGAAATCAAGCAAATACATTTTCAAATAGTGGCTTTGATTATTTTGATCCTAAGTACAAAGCAATATGTTGATGGTGTCATTTGGGGGTTCCGTTTACATAAAACAAATTTATAATTGATGTGCCACTTTGTAGCCACCAGAGTTAATGGGCCTTTTAAGAACCTCTACTTAATAACAATAAAGTGACATTTTTACAAGAGTTAATGTTGGAAGAATTAATGCACCTCAGAGGCTGACCTTCAGCTGCTCCTTCGATGGTAACTACTGTACCATTTCATGCTCAGAGATTCTCCAGATTTAAAGTTGACATTATAAAATCAGCATTCTCAGATGTTTTTAATAAAATTGAAATATTAATTGTGGATGTATGGAGCAAGCTGTTAGTATGCCGATAATACTTTAATAAGGAAGGAATTTTCACCAAGATTTAGGTAATACTTAACCGCCAAAGTTCCCAAATAATTTGTATTGATATCCAGGTGTTAGAAATGATTGTTGATGAGTCACCATAACAACTCTGGGAGGCTATCCACAAGCAAAATTTCTATTTTTGCAAAATATGTGTGCAGTTAAGGAGTTAATAACTGCTGCCTCCTACAACCCTTCACAAGGATACATGCCAAAATGATATGCAGGGGGATGGTAAATGTCTCATTGTCTTGATCCTGGATAACAGGCACAACAAAACAAAGCACCACTCATTCTAAATAGCAGGGTGTCACGTCTTCCAAGGCAAGTGTGAGTCCTTAACTCCAGCCTGAGCCTCTGTTACAAAATTGCATAATAGGATCTAGTAGCCTGTGAAAGTGTTTTCCGACATATCAACATTGTAGTGGACCTAGTAAAGAGTCATCAAGTTGTCATGATTTGCTAAATGGGGTAAACAAACTACCTTTGACTGGCAGACACAGAAGAGACTATACTTTTCCATACTGGTTGGCGGAGTTCAAATTGAAAAGAAGTGAATGCTAGGTTCAACAACATAAATGAAGAGAATATTCAGACTTATTTAACAGCTTCCAAAAAAAAAAAAAAAACCATAGGGGTATATAAGTTTAGGACTACAGATCAGGTTTTTAAAACTTGTGGCCAAATACGAATAAGGGGCCCAAACATGAAATTATTTGGACAAAAGCATCTTTTTTGCATGTGGTAATCCAGGTTCTCCTCCTGGAAAAGCAGACACAAAGATAAGATTAGACAAACCCAAGAGTTATCAGAGGCAGGGTCAGAGAGGAACACCTATGAAAGAAAACAGGAGGAAGCCAGAGGAGGCCAAGAGACCGATCTCACCTCGATGTGGGTCTAACCTCTTTGAAGAATAGGGGGAAGAGAGGGAGGAAGGAAAACAAGCTTTACACTGTAGTGCAGTGTAAAGTTCATGGGGATTCTTGAGCTCACATTGCCATCAGTGGAGTTCCCACATCCCTCAGCAATGGGCCCGTTTTAGTACCCCTGCTGCTGCACTCTGTCACTGACTAGAAGCAGCTCCTAAGAAGAGTGGGGCCTCAGCACCAAAGCTGTGATGGATCCAGAAAGCAGCATCTCGAGCCCAGTACTCAGTTGTGTTTCTTGCGGTAGGAGATGTGAGAGGGCATTTTCGTGAGCATCACAATGCATTCAGCCAGTCACTATGCTTTTATAGGCATATTTTAATAAAATTTTAACAATATTTTAATAAAAATCTGAGCTCCAACTAGGTAAACAAACATGAGTGATTTTACTTCCAATTTGCAGAAATCAAATACTTATGGATAAATAAAAATTACTGTAGAAAATTCAGCTAAAATTAGCAAAGCTAAAATTAACAAAAGATTTCAATTGACCACAAAAACAGAAAATCACCCTAATTAATCAGTTCCATCAAATGTATTCCTCACTTGCAGACAGTAACTACCTTTAGTACACATAAGCACACGGTAGTTTTAAGACCTTAGTCCAATAAGGGAGTACTGGCATTAGTTGAATAAAGCCAGTAGAGCAAATCAGCAACACTGCTCAGATAATCAAAATGAAGATTCATAAGACAGGGACAAAGATAAACAGAAATGTGTCTAATACGCAGTATATAAGATGTGTTACTCACTATGCTATGGTTTTTAAAAAGGGGATAAAGATGAGCAAGAAAGACCACCTATGTACTAATGTAAGTATAAGACGAGAGTTCCATTTTGCTTTGATACTGCAGATTGTCAAAAGGGCTGGCTTAGGTTGGTTACATCTATGCACCCTGGTAAGACACAATCCAAGTTGTCTAATTAGATGTTCTTAGAAAAACTAATTTGTGAAGTCAGAGTCTTATATCGTTGTTTAATATGCTTTTTAAATGTCACTTTAAGTAGTAAAATATTTTTAAAAATCAGAATTAAAAAATAAGCTCAAGTGGGTACATGGCACTTTTAAAGTATCTTTCATATGATTTTCTAGGAAGAAGAACATCAGACCCACAGAAGTCCTTAGTAAAGATGTCATGTTATCCCAATAGGAATGTCTGACATCTTGATAATCTTGCAGCTTCTCGTGTAATCCAGAAGGAGGTAAAACTACAGTGAAGTGCATGTTCTCAGACTTGAATGGGTACACAGAGATGAAAATATAATTAATTCAATTGTACTTCTTTGAGATACTTCCAACACATTCAGCCAACAGAACAATGGTGATTTTTTCCCCTTTTCAGAAGTAGAGTCTTTTTGAAACATTCTGCTTTGAATACGGGGCTTTTTTTTTTTTTAATTGCCTTGTACTCCTTCTCCCTAGGATAGTAAACTCCAAGCTCTACATAGGTAAGTATAAAGGATTTTATAAAATGCAAAATGATAAAGTTTACAGAGAAAATTGCTAGGTTTTAGACAATAATACTATCAGCTTAGGGCTGAAAGAATCAGAGGTCTAAAGGTTTACAGACTCAGAATGAAAGCACATATAACACCTAGCTCTGAAAATTAGGTCATGTTAACAGAACTATTTGACTGCGCCGTTTGCATCTGAAAGTCCAATATTTGAGGAAATGTGACTATTTTAATAGCAGGCTTGTGTCAGCAGTTATAAAAATGAGGCCTGAAGCACTGAAAATAGTCTCCTTTCCTTGTTGTCTTCGTCCTTCTAATTATTCCAGATTGTGTTGGAATATCTGTCTTCTTCCTACACCTTACTTCTCACCCAGCAGTGGTCCCTAATTCAGAGCTAATCTGTAAAGGTCAAACCAAAGTTGGAAGCATCCCAAGAACCCATGATTATGCACCAATATTGCCGAGTAGCTAAAAGGTAGACAGCTTTTGGCTAGTGACAGATTTCTTTTTAATAAACAAGTTCACTGAGGGAAAAAATAAAATGATAAATCTGTTAAATATAGAAAACCCAAATTAAAAACAAAGGAGTTGTTGATTGCTTTCTCTCCTTTAAAATACACAGTTGAGAAAAAAAAAACCCTACAAGTACAGAATTCCCTAATATTTAGAATGTATAAAAAATAATTCATTCTGTCAATCAATACTTACTAAGCAGGGGACTTAATTTTTATTTCATTTTATTTATTTATTTATTTTACTTTAAGTTCTGGGATACATGTGCAGAACGTGCAGGTTTGTTACATAGGTATACATGTGCCATGGTGGCTTGCTGCATCTACCAACCTGTCATCTAGGTTTTAAGCCCTGCATGCATTAGGTATTTGTCCTAATGCTCTCCCTCCCCTTTCCCCCCATCCCCGACAGGTCCCAGTGTGTGATGTTCCCCTCCCTGTGTCCATGTGTTCTCATTGTTCAACTCCCATTTATGAGTGAGAACATGCAGTGTTTGGTTTTCTGTTTATGTGTTAGTTTGCTGAGAATGATGGTTTCCAGCTTCATCCAAGTCCCTGCAAAGGACGTGAACTCGTTCTTTTTATGGCTGCATAGTATTCTATGGTGTATATAAAGCAGGGCCTTTTGTAGGCATGCAGGATATAATAGTGAACAAAACAGACAAAACTCTCTCCTCATGGAGCTGACATCTGAAGTGAAGGGAGACAGACAATAAGAAATTATTTAAATATATATAAAAAGTCATTGGTGAAAAGAGTTAAGAAGTAGGTTGCAAGTTTAATCAGGTGGCTAGAGAAGGACTCACTAAGCAGAGGTGTTTGAGAAAAGACCTGAAGGAGCTGACTGTGACAGGCAGGGGAGCGGGAATGACTCATGAGATAGCTGTGTGGAAAGCATCCCAGGCAAAAGGAACAGCAAGTGCAAGGCACTGACGTGGGAGGGGGTGTGTCTGATGTAACAGAGGAGCCTTGTGCCCTGGAGTCGAGCAAACAAGGGGAAAACACTAATGGATATACTAAGAGGCATTGGGGAGCCAGATGTTTATGCATGAGAACCTTGTGAGCAACTGTGGGGACTTGGGATTTTATTCTGAGAGAGATAAAAGACCATTATAAGTAGAGGCTGAATAGAGAAGAATATCATACAATTGGTAAGTGAAGGAATCACGCTGGCTGCCATATTCAGAATAAAACAGTTAAAGGGAGCAAGGGAGAAAGCAGAGAAAACAGTAACAAGACTATTGAAATAAAACAGGTGAGAGACAAGGGGCACTGGGCTAAGATGCAGCAGGTGTGGTGAGAATTAGTCAAATTTTGAGTCCATTCAACTCTTCTTTTCAAGGAAGAGTTGAAAGAATTTGCTGATAGACTGGAGTGCATGAAAAAGAAGAGCTAAAAGGAATGAAGGTTATGGCATGATCATCTGAAAGGATAAAGTTACTACTGAGGAAGAATGTGAAGGGTCAGGTGTGGGAGAAAAAGTAAGGAATTTGTTTGGGGTCGCTAAGTGTGACATACCCATTTAGACAAAAAATAAAGATGTCAACTAAGCAGATTGATACATGTGTCTGGAGTTCAGGGGAGAGGTCCAGGTTGGTGATGAAAATTTGGGAATTGCCAGCATAAAAATGGTATTTAAAGCCATGATACTGGAAGAGATCTCCAAGGCAGTAAGTGCACAAAGCAAAGATGTCCAAGGACTGAGCCCTGGGGCCTTCTAATGTTTGGTAGCATACAGCTTTTCTGCATCTCATGACAAGAAGCATTCCATAGATGGTCTTAAAAGGATTCTGGATGAGATGATTGCTTAAAACGAAATATTGCAGAGTAAGTTTATACATTAAGTGGTGATTTTAACCAGATGCTATCTAACATTCCTTCCAATGCTATATGATTTTTGTGACTAAAAATGAAATCTTCAACAACAATGAGATATCACTACACACCTATTAGAATAGCCAAAATTCAGAACACTGACAACAAAATGCTGGCAAGAATACGGAGCAACAGGAACTTTTATTCACTGTAGTTTGGAATGCAAAATAGTACAGCCACACTAAAAGACAGTTTGGCAGTTTCTTACAAAACTGAACATGCTCTTACCATATGACTCAGTAGTCACACTCCTCGGAATTTACCCAAAGGAGTTGGAACTGTATTTTGACATAAAAACCCGCCCGTGAATATTTATAGCACCTTTATTCATAATTGCAAAAACTCAGATGCAACCAATATGTCTTTCAGTAGGTGAACACATAAATAAACCTGGGTACATCCCGACAATAGAATATTATTGAGTGCTAAAAATAAATCAGCTATCAAGTCATAAAAAGTCATGGAGGAAACTTAAATGCATATCACTAAGTTACAGAAGCCAATGTGAAAAGGTTACATACTGAGTGATTCCAACTATATGACATTCTGGAAAAGGCACAACTGTGGAGACAGGAAAATATCAGTATTTGCTAGGGGCTAGGCAGATGGAAAGATGAATAGGAGAACTAAAGAGGATTTTTAGGTCAGGGAAAATACATATGATACTATAATGGTGGATGCATTTGTCCCAAAGCATAGAATGTATAACACCAAGAGTGAATTCTAGTGAAAACTATGGACTTTAGGTGATAATGATGTGTCAACACAATAAGCTCATCCATTGTAACAAAGGCACCACTTTGGTGGGGGATGTTGATAATGAGAGAGGCTATGCATATGTAGGGGTAGAGGGTGTAAAATAAATCCCTGTACCTTCTTCTCAACTTTGTTGGGAACCTGAAACTGCTCTAAAAATAATCTTTAAGAAAATAAAATCTTTTTAACTTCATAAAATTCTAATATATGAATATGTGTTATAAGTATACAATAGAATCCCCTGATTTATTTATACTTTATATGAGGATTGACCTTGTATTGTTCAGATGAAATGCTACAGTCAAAAATGTGTTACTTGTCTGTGAAAGTCAAGCACTCAGTTGATGTTTCAACAAGCTGCCATTAGATTCAAATCAATGATTTAAACATAAATGTATATTATTTAGACTAAAAATACCCTGGGCCCTATTGGTTAAATCCTGAGTTGACCAGATATAGAGGTACAGAATAGTTTCCTTTAATCTGACATAGCTAGATTATTTTAAATCATATAAGGAGAGATTTTATATCATTGATTATTTTGATAAATTTTTTTAATACGTACAATTAAAGTAATGTGTGTTGAATATATAAAAAATGAGAATTTCAGAAAAATCTAACAATATTTAATACCATACATACATATCAATTTCAATATGGCTTGTTTATCTTGGACTATATATATTTTGTTTTTGTTTGCATAATCCCTAAGCTATGTAAACCCTGGGGAAAAATGTCTAATAAACAAGACCCTACATCATTCCTCCTGCATGGGCTATGATTCTTTACTTTTGTAATGCACTTATAATAACATGACAAATCGTATCTTTTACTTCCACCTCCACTCTGGTTGTCTTTGGAATTAAATTCACCAGAGAAGCCTTCTGAAAAGGTGTGATATTTCACCTGTCATGTATACATCAATAGAACATCTTTTCTTGGCACTTGCTTTCAAAATCACTCAAGATATAGGTAATCTTAAAACAAGAATCAAAGCTTTTTCAAGAACTGTGACACAAAAGACTCAATACTGAATGCTATCAAACTGTACACAATGCCAGTAAGACAATATCAATAAGAACTGCATTTCTCTTTTCTAAAGGAAACACCATATCTCAATCAAGTAACATGTTCTTTCCTCATTGTAGCTAGTTTAAGTCACATTTTCAACCATAAAAATATAGAGACAAATACTTTGTTTCTATTAAAGAGATTCTTGTCTTTTATGTCAAGAGACATAAAGAGTCACAGAAAACTTCAGCGAAGTCCATTAATGTCATATCTTCCAGAGGACTTATTACATCTTCTTAGAGGAATAACAATACAGAGGTATTAAATAACCATATTTTAAAGTAAGACATGAGTACCCACAACAGCTAACCCAGACCTATGAGGAAACCTAGCCAAGATTAGGGGATTTCTTGTTCTACAATGGCCTCGCTCATGTCTGATGATTGGCCACCTGTCGAATGGGGTGAGTAAAACGTTAAGTCTTTCATCATCTGTTGATAGCAGGGTTCCAAGAGAATAAATGGAAGCATTCAAGGTCTCCTAAGGTCTAAACCTAGAAATGGCATGATGTCAATCTTACCACATTGTATTTGTCAAGGCAAATTACCAAGGTCACATGGCATTCAAAAGGTGGGAACGTAAACCCCCACCAAATTTGAATTTCAAATTCAAATTTGGTGGGGGTTTACGTTCCGTTCCCACCTTTTTTGGGAACTTTGGTGGGAATTTGGTGGGAAATTTGAATTTCCGACCATATGAATTTCCAAGGTCATATGCCATTCAAAAAGGGGGAGCTTAAACTCCACCTCTTGGTGGGAGAAAATGAAAAGATATCACAAATGGATGTGGGTGGGGGCATTTACTAAGGCTGGAGAGAGGGGAAGTGTTAGGAGATGAGCTCAAAGAGCTAGGCAGCAGGGAGCTCAATAGCGAAAGCAGGGAGATCAGTTAAGAGGCTATTGAAACAATAAGGCAGAGAATGCAGACTATTGATTTTCAAGTAGCAAACTCCCAATACACACTGCCTGACAAAAATTTCATCTTAATGAGCAAGCACCTGAAACTCAAATAAGGCATGCCTTACAAACGCACTGCTCTGAATATCCTGTGTGTTCATGTTCTAATCCCCTTGTTCTTGCCACCAAGCAAAGTTAAGGTTTTTGTTTCTTCACAAATCAAGATATAAAAAATAAACTACATAAAATTTGAATCTGTAGCAACTCTTACAGTCAATTTTCAATTTGTATAACATGCTATTTAGACTTCAAAGATGCATACAAATTTGAAATATTGTTTTTACAAAATCCAAAGATTCATTTTATCCAAAATATCCACAATAAATGATGCACTAAAGCATCAATCCAGAGACAAGGGAATTAACAATTGAAATAATAATTGAGACATAGTAAATTGTTTATAATTATGGAAGCCATACCCTGGACATCTTGCACATATAGCAGCAACATGCTTTAATGGATGGTACCTGGGGCATTTTCTTTGTAGATTCACCTATCTTTTACGTTCAGCTCATTAATTATATGAGAAAATGATCCCGACTAGCTAGGGATTATCTTACACATTTTTTCTTTATGGTATAGAAATTAAGCCAAGCCCTTTAAGACAATTTTTATAAGACAGAAAATAAATAAATTTGTAGATTCACCTATCTTTTACGTTCAGCTCATTAATTATATAAGAAAATGATCCCGATAGCGAGGGATTATCTTACACATTTTTTCTTTATGGTATAGAAATTAAGCCAAGCCCTTTAAGATAATTTTTATAAGACAGAAATAAATAAATAGATGCTGCATAACTAATCCCCAGACTCTTAATATTTAACAGAAAAAAAGGGAAATTTTATTTCAACTTTATCCATAAATATAAGACACGAAATTGCTTGAGCTAAAAAAAAAAATGGGTAAATAAAATGGTCTATAACTTGCTTGCATTTCTAGTATCCATGTCTTTATCATTTCAACGTTTTCTCCCTGTGATTCAGAATTGATCTTGAGAGGTCATCATGAACACACCAGAATCTTGAAACAGAGCCATACTTATTCTGTATGAGGCAAAAAGCAGGAAAACAAATCCCATTTTAAAAGTTTAATGGAACAATATTTTATAACTTGCTTTGGAAACTTATCCCAGTAATCTTCATTACCACCAAATAAATAGACTTACTCATTTTCTATCAATTCATACTGCCAAGCTTTTATTAAGTAAAAGATATCAGTTTTATAATACAGCAAATTTAATCCACAATTTCATTCCTTCAACGAATATTGACAAAGTGTCCACAACATGCAAAGCTCCTCAATATGTACAGATTAAAAGTAATTGTCTTGTGTGATAATTAGGGGATAGGAGAATGGAACATTTGCTGAATGTCTGCCATGTATTAGGCTGTTTTGAGGTGCATTTTGAATTCTCACAGGCACCCCAGGAGATTCAACAGTTAAGGAATTTGGCCGAGGTCAAAGAAAAGATGTTTAGCGAAAATGTGGCAGAGATTAAAGAACAGAACTCTCTAATATCAAACTTTTTCCACAGAACTATATTTTTTATACAGGTTGAATCGTTCATAAAATACAAGTAATAGAAGTTATTTTTACATAGCCATATTTTAAAACTATTTTTTTTTTGAAATTTATATCGTAACATACCCTCCCAACTCTGGTTACTTCAGCTGTAGGCTCCACTCTAGCCAGGTCCTTCAAATAACATAATCATAACATATTTATCCTTGAAGTACATGCATAGGTAAACATTTTAGGTTCCAAATTATGGCTAGAAAGGTTCTAAAATGTTCATAAGTATTGATAAATATCATGGGAGAGGTGACAAACCAGGGTAAGCCACTAAGGGACCACTAGCTGAGAAAGATTTAAGAAATCAATTCATCATGTTTTTCCCTACATAATGCACTTTTGAGTCCTACTACCAGTGTAGCTCACTGGCATGTCTAGAACTCAGAATTTAGATAAATCAGATTATCATACCATTGTACATTATTTTATTTCCATATTCATAAGAATCTCTACTTAAAATATATAGCTAAATTTAAAAGTGTCTAAAGTCAAATATATGTGACCATGTAATCATAATTTTAACTCTTAAATAATCTATAAGCCAGTCCTGGATAAAATACACCATACAGAAACCAATGATTCCAGACTTGGCCTTTTGTTTGTTATAGAAAAAAAAATGTGTTTTATTTGATTTATCTCAAACTACCACTTACCAGGTTTTATTCTGGTGTATTCCAAAATCACTCCCCAAGCAATTATGATGTGTACCAAAGGTGCAAATCATGGCTTATATGATGATTATCAATTTCATTGCAATTTCTCTCTTTTTAAATTTATATTAAAATAGAGGGGTTGTGAGCATAAGACTTTTCTCTGTTTATAAATCAATTTTAGGCAATGTATTCTTAGTAATGTTCTGTAATGTTAAAAATATGTATCATTTTACCTTGTTTTTCTTCTACTAACTTTATTTGTGCACTAAAAAGCTTTTGCTATTATCTCTAAAATGTGTCTGTGTGCTTTCTAATTTTAGATATGTAATATGTTATTCTTGGTATCTGTTTAGTCTTTGAGTTGAATTTTTCTTATGTAAATTATTCTAAGTTATGCATTATGGTATAAGATTTATAAGAAGTTCTGAATCTCCTAGTCATAAAAGACTTTGTGGTGAACATAATAAGTGTAAATTTGTCTACTGGTAGACTACTGGAATATTAAGTATTGCATACTTTGCTAAAATAAAAAATGGAAAAGACATTTCAAAAAGATTTATAGTTTTCCTTCAAGCTTAGTATATTAGAATATTCAAAGAGTCACATTTTGACAAACATTGACACTATTTTTCATATTATATTGAAAAAAATATTTTCCTCTGAAATTCTCTGCTGGAATTTAAGGTTTAATATTCAGTATGTCTATTGTCGTACTGAAATAGAATTGTTCATAAACAGGACTATTTTACAAGACCACATATAAAACATATTTCCATTGGAAATTAGGTTCCATACTTGTTGCTGTTAAGATGATTTGGAGGATATAACCTAAGGTTTCCCCACAGCTCCAGTTACTACTGTATCTGTCTCATTCTAGCTTCCAGGGGTTCTAGTCTCAGTGATTCTGACTCCATTGGGAAGTACAACTTAGACACGGAAGCTTAAGTCTTTTAAGACATAGAATAAAGAGATAAAGTCCAACCATCTTATAACTCATATTCAGAAAATGAGTATAGAAATATATACTTATTATTAAGTTAAATTTAGTTTAAATACTTTTATCCACAAAAAATATTTAAATGTAAAATTAAATCAATTAAATTAATTGTACATGTTTAAATAACTAAAATAGTATAATTACATTGTTTGTAATACAAAGGATAAATGCTTGAGGTGATAGATACCCCATTTACCCTGATGTAATTATTATGCATTGCATGCCTATATCAAAATATTTCACATAACCCATAAATATATGCACCTACTATGGACTCACAAAAAATAAGATTTAAAAACAGGATATATATTTTAAATCCTTTTAAAGTTTTAGTGTTAAAAAATGTGCTTGCTGGTGAAATCTGAATAAGGTCTATATTAAGGTAACAGTATTGTGCCAATGTCAATTTTCTGATTTTGTTCATGTACTACGGTTATACGAAATGCCACTATCAGAGGAAGATGGGTGAACTCTAGTATTTTTGCAAATTCTTTAAGTATATATTTCAAAATAATGAGTTTAAAAATGTGTTTTGTGATATTTACTCCTATATAAAGTGCCTGTTTCCATTGCTTTAGAATTCTATTCCCATGAGTCATCTTCAGGTGACAAATAACGAGGCTCCAATGTCCAATATCGTTTTGGTACACTCTAAGAGACGCAACTAGCACTTCTTACTTGGTGTAGTATTTTTTTCTTCTCTCTCAAAGCAAAATACTTATGCTCAAATATTTAACAGTTTTAAACTCTACTATATATTCTAAAATGCCACTTTACTTACTTGTTCTTTTCTGATTTTTTTTATTAACAGAGGTAACTGATGTCATGATTTCTTCCTTATATTTTCCTAATGAATGAATTCCCTCCAACTCTCTTTGGGTGTCAGGCTTACATCCTGAGTTTCCTTTATCAAGACAAGTTGTTGAAATATGCAATGTAAAAACTTAAACAAATTATTTCCCATTTAAATAGTCATAAATTTTTTAAAAATATGTACTGATAATAGTTGCTATCTATTTTTCATCATCATGATGGATTAATCCTTGATGTTTAGATGTGGCTTGTAGCTCTCACTGTCAACATGCATTTGCTCAATGCCTTGAACACTAGCTGTTCAATAGACATTTTATTTAAAAATTTGGTATCACATATAATTAAAAGTAATTATTATTTTAAAATATCATTTCAAAATAGTGTCCAATTACTTATATTTTGTTTCACTAAACAAATGATGCTTTATAGTCATATTTTAAAGTCCATCTAAATCATGAAATACATTTCATTAATTTTAATTATCAACAGATTTATAAAATTATAAATATAAGAAAAAACATAGGTAATATTAATTTTACTTCTAAGCATATTTTGCTTAGGATACAGTAAATTCTGTCCACCACAGTTTGGTATAGGTTCTAGCATCAAGAAGGTCAAATTTCAATGTTAGAGATATTACTAAAATTCTGGAAAATTTATAACCTGAAATTTGCATTTACCAAAAACATTATAACTCATTTGCACTGTTTCATCGTTTTAAACTTTAAGCACATATAAAAATTCCAAGTGTTCGCACAGAATAACACAATAGAACGAAGTTCTAATTTGAGTTCTAACTCAAGTTCTTTTTCCTCACCTTTATAATCAATGTGTTCACATGGTTTATTTCAAAGCTTCTGTTTAAATGCAGGATTATGTAGTGCCATAGGAGCTGGAGACATGAAGTCCTTCTGAAGCAAGCTCCAATCATTTGAAATTTTTATAAATTTACTCTCAAAATTAATGTGCGTATTTCAGTGTGCATGTGTCAGAGACACCATTACAATTAGGAATTCCCCTAGTAAACTTCCAAGTAGAATTCAATGTTTATTCAAGCATATAATAAATATGGGTTAATTTAATGCTTATACATATATTATTAAATACTGATTATAACAGCAGATACTATTTAGAATTTAGATTATAAAGTATTTTTTTCAAGGAGGAATAGTTTATCACTGGTATTGTTTGCAATTGCCAGGTCATGGTGATAACAAAAAAAAGGAAGACAAAAACCCGAGTTTGTTTTAATATTACTTTTAATTTCTTTAGCAGAAAAACATTTCCTTTTATTGCCTTCACCAAGACTCCTTTTACCCAGCCTTGGTACTATATGGTGTACTGACCCATATGTTCTTCCCTAACAGGACCACACTCATTTCTCTTTTCTGCATCTTTGTTTCGTCTATTTCTTGTTTGGGGAATACTAACCCCTTTTACTTCCGGTTATTTCCAGCTGTCAAAATCTGGTACCTCATTTTTGTTCAAGTTGTTCAAATAATATAAGCCAAAGCTTAGATTCTGTGTAGTGTTGTGGAAAGTATACTGGCCAGGGAATTACAAGACCTAATTTTTAGTACTTACTGTCAAAAGAATATACTCCATTACTTACCAGATGTGCAAGCCCTCTGGCTCTCAGATTCTAGAACTCTCAAATGAGGGGTTTAGACGGGATGGATTCTAAGACTCCTTCCAGTTTTTCAAAAACTGAAGTTCTGTGATACAGTTTCCATCCCTAAAATATTTCTTTCTCCTTATTTCCACATAGCAACTAACGTTCTTCCTAGAGTGATTCCAGGGCATTTGTTTCTCGTGCTAAAGTAGAGCTAACCACATGAATCCATGAACACTCAAAGATACATAATCTACACTTAGTGATTTGGTGAAGATAATAACACCTAGGAAAACGTAAGGTCAAGGAAGTCACAGTATGGGGAGAACATTTTATTGTGTGGAGGAAATTTGAACTGGGATGAAAACAATGGCAGAGTTTGCAAGGGGTAAGAGATGGGGCTTGGAGAAAAATGATGGTATGTGGTATTGCTATGTGGGTGAGGGAAGGGTGGTGGTAGACAGGAATATTGAAGAGGGAGATAAGGAAAAGATGGGACCGTGGTGGGCTTGACACTTGGTAAACCAGAGGCCTGGTAATCAAAATAAGTCTCAAAAAAAAAAAAAAAAAAAAAAAAAAGAAGTGGAATGAGTACCTAGTAACTGTGGTAGCACCTCTGTAAGAGAATAGCACCTCATGATCCAGAAGCCTCTCCTGCTTCTCCTGGGAATTATCATCTCTTGCCCTGTTGCTTATGAGGAACAGGGCATGAAAACACAGGAACGGTATTGCCCATCTATCTTTTTGTCTCATGTGTAACACTCTAATCAATCATTTCCGCTATTCCCAAACTACATTTTATTTTTTCTAAATAGAGACAAACGTTCCTGAAAAACATGAACATCTTTTTACAGAATTATAAGTAGGCCTTTTGCTACACTGAAGGCCCCTTTTATAAAAGCCAAGGCTTCAAAAATGAGGAGTGTCAGCCAGTCTCTCCTTCTAGCTCATCCTTAAGAAGAGATTTGGAAGTAGGTTAAAAGACTGTAACACATAGCAAAATGCAGTTGCACACCAAAATTCTCATAAATAAATGAGTTCTCTGACTTCAGCTTTTAGACCTATTAAATAGCAAAACAATGATATTAAGTATGTGAGGTAATGCCTATATTAGTGTGATTTAACCATTCCACAATGTATACGCATATCAAAACATGATATTTAATGCCATAAATATATATAAGTTTTGTCACTTAAAAATAAAGAGAAAAGAATATCAATACTTATTCTTTTAAATCTTTATCTTCCACTCCCATCCTCGGCTCCCTCTTTCTTGGTCTCTCGTTTTTTTTCAAGGTGCCAACCACAGGCAAAATTGGTTTTAAAAAACCCAGATTTTTTGCCATGCTGAGTTTTGAGTAACATACTGTCATTCAGTAAGACAGGCAAGAAACCTAAGAACAGTAGAAATGAGATGAGATGCCAGGTAATCAACCTTTGTGTCATGATAATAATAATAATTAATGGCAGCAGTGGTGGTGGTGGTGGTGGTGATGATGATGACGATGATGATGCCGATGATGACCACAGCAAGTTTTTAAGGATTTAAATCCCGCATTAGGAAACTTTCTTAAGTTTCCTTCTCGTAGATCGTGTGACCTTGGTGAAATATCAACTTCCTTTATTTTAAGCCTTTCATTGGCTATGAAAACTAGGATTACAAAAATGAAACGTAATTTTATCTGCCACAGCATCTTTAAATAAATCCTTTTCTTTCTAAATGAATTTAGACAAATGGTCTTGTTTTCCCTTGGCCCCTTAATTTCAAAGAGAGAAGTGAGTTAACACCCTGTAATTCAAGCTTTTCAATTTTATTTATTTTTAATTGCTATTAGTGTGTGTTTATATATGGACTCTCTCTCTCTGTCTGTCTGTCTCTCTCTCTCTCTCTCTCTGTCATATATATATATATATATATATATATAAAATTGGGAAGCAAAAGGCATTTTATAACTTTCAAGCCCTTTGGCATACTTCCTGGAAGTCTCAGTAATGACTATAGTTACTCTTAATTGCCTTCAACACACTTACATGAATGCTACATTCAGTTGAATTATTTCCTGGATTCCCTCTAATTAATCTGATAGCAGCTGTTTTAAGGCCTGTGCTGATTAACAGTTGCAAGACAGCTAAATGCCTAGTACAAGAAAAGCTCACTGAAGCTTACGTATGTTCATCCACATAATTTTGTCTTTTAGGCATCAACATTTCCAAAAGGATCTTCTATTTTTAGACAACTTTATTGTTTGTTTATATAACACAAATGGTTTCTCCCTAACATAGGGAAATATCATCTCAATACATATAATATTCTAATAAATATTATGGAAATTCAGCATCTCAAAAAACAAATATAAAAACACATTTTAAAGATTTAAAGGAAACAACAAATAGGGAGGCATTACAGTGTATATTTGTACCAGCTCCACTGTCTTGGTTCAGAAAGTATAAATGAACTTTATAAAAGAAATAATATATTAAATTAGTGACTCATTTAAAGTGCTACTAGGCAAACTTGTAATGCCAAACTGCATGTACTTGATACTTTATTCCTTTTAACCTACAAAAATGGCGGTTTATTGCATTTCAGCCTATATGTTCAATTCAAATAACCACACTTAAATGACAGTTTCTGGAATAAGCAATGTTTAGGCTGCATTTGGCCTGTTAGAAAATTAAAGCTCTGATTTTGTCATTCCTCTATAAAAGCTTTCAAAACATAGAATTTCCTAAGATATTAAGGTCAGATCTTATGTTCTGATTAGTTCCCCCCACTGTGCTGGATTTTGGGCAATCGAGATAGTTCCCACCTAATTCCTATTCCTTCAGCTCACCCAGCAAGTGCCATTCTTTCCTTGCATTGTACTATTCCCTCACACAGCCTGGAAATCTCTATTGAAATTCTTTAAGGTAAAGCTTAAAGCCACTCCTCAAAAAATTATTTAATATTCATAAACTCATATTCCTCTCTTCAGAAAGCATAAGCCATCAAGGCTGGCTGCAGGCCCAAGGGAAGTAGTTGAGGGTCAGCTTCAGACCATGGCAATGGGCAAGGTTTTCAGATATCATGATGTGTAGGAGGATGCCAGAAATCCAGATATTAACGTGATATCCTAATTTTTAAATGTTGGCAACAAACAGAATATAAGTTTTAAGCCCTTTGTAGGTCAAACATTATACCTCTTCTGACTGGCTTCTGCCTCTAATAAGTCACTTTGGTGGCCTTTGCCTTAATCCTCTGAAGAGGAAATGACCTCTATGTGGGGTATTCTTCCACTGCACCCTTGCTAATCTTTACATAGATTATCTTTCTACACTGTATTATCGGTGTGTGTGTTTGTGTGTGTCATGCAGATATTTGGCACACAGTGGAGCTCAAATAATGTTAACTATTAGGAAGTAGCAGGCATAGTACAATGCCTGACAGTGTAAGAACTAGATTTCAAATCCCCAGTTGGCCGCTCCCTAGGCGCATGATCTTAGGCAAATCACTTATCCTCCAAAATGCACAGTCTACTTGTCAGAGATAATATGGTAATTTACCTACTTTACAAATTGTTGTGAGGAGTAAATGGAATGAAACATGTACAGTACTTATGCAAGAGCCCAGCTCAAAGCGAACATAAACAAATGTTACTTGTCATTATAATTACTATTATTATTAGACATTTAGCATGTGTGTATATATATCATTTTTGTAAGCATATTAATGCATAATATACACACTCACACATTACCCACTTTCTACAGAATTATAAGAAGGCTTTTTGTTTAAACTTCATGCCCCTTTTGAAAAATCATAGCCTGAATGTTCTTCATAATAGTCCCAAATTTGAAGCCATATCCAAAAAAATCTCCATTCCAAAAGAATGAATAAAAAATTACTGTGTATTTATGTGAAAAAACTCAATAAAGAAATAAAAATGAAAAACCAACATACCTAACAAGAGGGATGAATTTTTTAAACATTAAATTTAATAAATGAAGATACACACAAAAATTGCCTACGGTATAATTCCATTTATATGAAGTTCTAGAGCAGTTAAAATTAATTGATGGTAATAGAAATCAGAATGTAGTTTACCTTTGGTGTGTACCTAGGAAATGGCTGGAAGGAGCATGAAGTAAAGATGTGGAGTGATAGAAATGTAATCTTTTAATCAGGATGTGAGTTACACATATGCATACATTTATTAAAACTTAACGAATTACTCACTCAAGATCTACATTTCATTACAAGAAAACTTCACCTCAATAAATAATTTGAAAGTGGTTATTGCATTAAATACATGCTGTACTTTTCAGAAAACATTAACTTAATGTTTACATAAATGCATTATTAAAATTATAAAATGATATTTGAACCCATAAATACTGAAAGTTTCTCAAGCCCACTACATTACATAAAAGTCACCAGTAGATTTTAAATCAAAGTCTATTTCTCCTTCATTAGTTGCACATGAAATATCGGGGAAAAGGCCCAATTGCTTTTTATGTCCATTCATCTGCTATCCCTTATTATGTTACATGTTGTACATGAAATCTATAGAAGGTAGTTAAAGCTTAGAAATTTTCTAAAGGATTGTGGAGATTGTGAAGAAACTCAATTACATCATAACATTCAGTAAATATAGATATTTGAATTATATTGAATTGGTATTGATCTAAAGGGATGTGCTATCATCACTAATCACCAGAGGAACACAAGTCAAAACC
This sequence comes from Homo sapiens, assembly GCF_000001405.40. Lineage (NCBI taxonomy): Eukaryota > Metazoa > Chordata > Mammalia > Primates > Hominidae > Homo > Homo sapiens. The sequence continues at coordinate 28,833,545 of NC_000023.11, read as the reverse complement.
ACAATGAGATACCATCTCACACCAGTCAGAATGGCTATTATTAAAATGTCAAGAAAGAACACATGTTGGCAAGGTTGCAAAGAAAAATGAACACTTACACACTGTTGGTGGGAATGTAAATTAGCTCAGCCACTGTGGAAAGCTGTTTGTAGATTTCTTAAAGATCTTAAAACAGAACTACCACTTGACCCAGCAATCTCATTACTGAGTATATACCCAAAAGAAAACAATTCATTCTACCAAAAAGACACATGCACCCTCATGTTCTTCACAGCACTATTCACAATAGCAAAGACATGGAATCAGCCTGGGTGCCCCATCAATGGTGGACTGGATAAGGAATATGTGGCACCTATACACCATGGAATACTATGCAGCTGTATGGTTTTTTATACAATAACGAAATCATGTCCTTTGCAGCAACATGGATGCAGCTAGAGGCCATCATCCTAAGTCAATTAATGCAGGAACAGAAAACCAAGTACCACATGTTCTCGCTTATAAGTGGAAGTTAAACATTGGGTACTCATGAACATAAAGATGGTAACAATAAACACTAGAGCCTACTAAGGGGGTAGGGAGGGTTGAAAAACTAACTGTTGGGTACTATGCTCAGTACCTGGATGACATGATCATTTGTATCCCAAATCTCAGCATCACACAATATAGCCAGGCAACAAACCTGCAAATGTACCCCCTGAATCTAAAAAAAAAAAAAAAAAATTGAAAAAAATAAGAAATTTAACAGACATGCTGGAAGATACTTTGAATACAAAAATAAACTACTAAGGTTTTAAAAAAAAAAAACCTTGACCAACCCAATATAAGGCTTTAAATGTATTTTAATTCTCTAAAATAGAATATAGAAAAATAGGTTATTTCTTTTCCAAATAAAGGCAACTTGTCAAAGTTTACTGTAATAAAACTCTGTACTTTTCAAAATATTTAGTAATTTAGACTTGATTTTTCTCCAGTTCAGATGAACTTGGAGGGATTTTCCAGCTCTTCTACTTCTGGTTTATTTTTATTAAATGACAACAAATGTTTAATTTTGGAAAGAAACAGTTTTCAGGACGAAATGAATAATTATATTAAGATTCTGAAAAGAGAATTTGGGGGACTGTAAATCTTTATATTAAAAAGTATTGAGTAGAATAAAAACAAAAAGCAAGTGAATTTCTTCAAATACTTAAGTCCTAAACTTTTAAGAGTACTTCGAGTAAATAAAGACATTGATCTCATAGAAGTAGAGAGGAGAATAGTGATTACCAAAGGTTGGGAAGGGTAGGAGGGAGGGAGGATATGGAGAGGTTTGTTAATAGATACAAAAATACGGTGATATAGGAGGAATAAGTTCCAGTGTTCTATAGCACTGCAGGGTGACTAGAATTAACAATTTACTGTATATTTTCAAATGGCTAGAAGAAAGATTTTGAATGCTCCTAACATAAAGAAATAAATGTTTGTGGTGATGAATTTGCTAATTACGCTGACGATCATTACACCTTGTACACATGTATCAAAATATCATACTATACCCAATAAATGCGTACAATTATTATATCAATATAAAATAATAATAAAAAAGAATAAGTACTTCAAGCATATGAAGCACTATTGTAATTATTTAAAAAACTGAAACCATTAATAGCTTTTTTAAAAAGTTAAGTACAAAGTAATCAAAAATTGTCAAAATATTATATCATAAAGAAAACAAAAATATTAAAATGAGAAGTACTTCTGGAATAGTGGAGTATGAAACTCTGAAATTCTTGTTTCCATGAAATAAAAAAATCCAGAAAATTATCAAAATCAACTTTTTCAGAACTCTGAAAATTAAACAAAATCTAGCAACAATCTGAACAGCATTTATTCAAGAAAAATGGCTGACTTTTAGTAAAAATAACAAACACTGTTATATTTTAACTTTCCCTATTTCCATCCCTCTTTCCCCAAGTCTGTATTAGCCTTGAAAAAAACAATAGCCTAGGAGCCAATAAAGAGGACAAACTGGTTTGGAGCTCGTCACAAAGCTCCATCCCCAGAGAACTACTACTATTTTATCTCTCTGGTAGCTGGCTGAAAAACCCCATTCAAGAATTTCTCTTTATTTCACCTGACTCAGAATTTGCTCAATGAGGAAAGTTCTATCCCTAATATGGCAAAAACTATCAGTCTCAATTATTTAGCCTTGCAGCTGCCTTAGGTGGTGAAGCCACATGGGACAAACAAGAAGATAGACAAAAAATGTAAAAGAAAAATCTATAAAATGAGATGGTCATAGGAGGCCTTGCAAAGCTCTGAAATATTTCTGGGGATCTAGTAGGCTGTGAGTAAGTTCAGAGCTATAGTCATGCCCAGAAAAGACGTGAGATCACCTTAATCTCCCACCTCTACACAAGTTGGAAGAAAAGGCTAAGGCAGAGTTGTAAATTGCCAGAATATTGAAAATGTGCTTACACATACAGACACACACACACACACACACACACACACACACACACACACACACACACACAGAGAGAGAGAGAGAGAGAGAGAGAGAGAGAGAGAAACCCTGGGCAAAGGTTGGGAGAATTACTGGTTCAAGGCATTTTTAAAAATTCTCAATCATTACCTGAGCAATGAATTAGCCAAGAAGATATTTCAGTGGCTGTGCCTTAAAAAAGAATACAGACTCTGCAAAATTAGTTAAGGAAAGTTGCTAAACAAATAAACAACTACACAAACCCTGGAGCTTCAGGGAGGAGGACAGACTTGATTTCCAAAGTAGCCATGTTATATGATCTAAAGTGTCCCATGTTGAACAAAAAAAATTTGAGACACATACACACAAAATAGAAAAGTATAGCCCATACACAAGAAAAAGGCCATCAATAATAACTGTTGCAGAGGGAGCCCAAGTACTGAACCTACTAGACAGACTTGAAATCAGCGATTGCAAGAATATGCACATAACTAAAGAAAACCATAGTTAAAGAAATAAAGGACAGCTTAATAATTGTATCTCATCAACCAGAGAATATTAATAAAGAGATAAAAATTAAATAAAGGAAGCAAATTTAAATTCTGGAGTTGTAAAGTATAACAACTAAAGCAAAAAATTCTCCAGAGATACACCATGGCCAATTTGAGCTGGAAGAAGAAAGAATCTGCAAACATGAAAATAGATTAATTCAACTTATTCAGTCTGAAGAACAAAAACAAAAAATGTAAATAGACCTGTAACAAGTAAAGGCATTGCATCAGTAACTTAAAACTTGACACAAATAAAATTTAAACCTCCCACACCTCACTGGTCTATTCTACCAAGCATTTAAAAAAGAATTAACATCAACCTTTCAAAGATTCTTCCAAAACATCAAAGATGATGATAAACTTCCTACCTCATTCCATGAGGCCAGTACTACTCTGATACCAAAACCAGACAGAGACAATTCAAGAAGTAAAAACTACTGACCAATATCCCTAATAAATATAAATGCAAATTCCTCAAGAAAATAATAGGAAATAGAATCCAGCAGTATATAAAAAGCATATATTATGACCAACAGGAATATTTCCCAAGAGTGCAAGGCTTATTTAATATCTAAAATTCAATCAATGTCATACACCATATTAAAAGAATAAGAAACCAAAACCACATGACCATCTCAAAAGATGAAAAAAAAAATCTGAAAAAATTCCAGGCCGGGCACGGTGGCTCACGCCTGTAATCCCAACACTTTGGGAGGCCGAGGTGGGAGGATCATGAGGTCAGGAGCTCGAGACCAGCCCGGCCAACATGGTGAAACCCTGTCTCTACTAAAAATACAAAAATTAGCTGGGCATGGTGGCGGGTGCCTGTAATCCCAGCTACTCCGGAGGCTGAGGTAGGAGAATCGCTTGAACCTGGGAGGCAGAGGTTGAAGTGAGCCGAGATTGTGCCACTGCACTCCAGCCTGGGCAACAGAGCAAGACTCCATCTCAAAAAAAAAAAAAAAAAAATTCCAGCACCCTTTCATGATAAAGCATTCAATAAATTGGAATCAGAAGGGAACTTCCTCAACTTGATAAAGGGCATCTATGATAAAACCATAACTAACATCATACTAAATGGTAAAGGGCTGGATCCTAAGATCAGGAAGAAGACAAGAGTTTCCACACTCACCATTTCCATTCAACACTGTACCAGAGACGTTAGCCAAGGAAATTAGATAAGAAAAAGAAATAAGAGGCAACTATAATGGAAAAGAAGAAAAACTATAGGCATTAACAGATGACATCATTTTATATACAGAAAATACTAAGGAATCTATACATATACATGAAAAACCTATTAGAGCTAAAAACCAAGTTCAGCAAGGATACAGCATTCAAAATTAATATAGAATAATTTGATTTCCATACACTTACAATGAGCAATCTGAAAATGAAATTAAGAAAACAAATTAATTTACAATAATATCAAAAATAATAAATCACTTATGGATAAATTTTAAAAAAGAAGTGCAAAAGTTGTATACTGAAAACTGCAAAACATTGTTAACAGAAATTAAAGACCTAAATAAATCCACTTTCATGGATCAAAGGATTTAACACTATTACAGTGGAAATACCCTTCATATTGATTGACAAAGCAATCCCTATCAAAAGGCAATCCTTTTCAACATCTCAGCATCGCTTTGGCCAAAACTGACAAGATGTGCCTAAAATTCATCTGGAATTACCAGCGACCAAGAATAGCAAAAACAATCTTGAAAACCCGAACAAAACTGGAGGACTCATATTTCCCAATTTCAAAACTTACTGGAAAGCAACAGTAATCAAGAGTGTGTGGTATGAACAAAAGAACAGACATCGGTGGTCCTAAAATAAACCCTCACATTTATAGTCAATTGATTTTTTATTGATAAATAATAGTTGTACATATTTATATTTCAAAATAGCTAGAAGAGAAGATTTGGAATGTTCCCAACACAAGTAAACGATTAATGTTTGAGGTAATAGAAATCCCAGTCAACTGATTTTTGATATGGCTAACAAGACAATTCAATGTGGGAAATAATAATCTTTTCAACAAATAGTCTAGGGACAACTAAAAAAAACTCTCAAGTCAACCAAATTAAAATATGGGGAAAGAATTTGAAAAGAAATTTATCCAAAGAAAATATACAAATGGCAATAAGCACATGGAAAGGAGCCTTTTATATTCTAAATTATTTTATAATGCTAGAAACGTGTTATATTTTAAAATTACTTGAAATGATAGTGAAACTATTAACAGGCCATACTTTGTTAGATATTTCACTGAGATGGGACTTCATATAGACTGATGTTCACATATAACGATTTCATGAAAAGTACTAGTTTATATTCAATTTCCTCACATTAAATGTTGACTTTGATGTTCTTCTTGTCTGAACTCATTGGCAAGATGAATTCTAAATTTATCTTTCAATTTACGACAATGAAACCAGGATGTAGCTCTAAAAGTAGCAAAATGATGAGTATTACTAAATGTACAGACCATTCTAAGATCTAGTCCCAGGTCAAAAAAAAGAAGAGTAAACTAGTGGAGACACATACAAATCAGAAACTTTCAAGACATTTGCAAAATTATACTGCTAAGGAGAGATAAACTGTACTTATAAAAGTGTTATTAGAGAAAACAATTTGACATAATACCGCAGGTGAAAAGTGGATTTTCACAGGTAGATTAAACTTTTAGAATGACTAAAACATACAACTGTTGCTTAAAATAATTCAACTCTTAATTAAGCTAACAGAAGAGATACAAAAATGTCAATGACATTCAATATTTGTGGGAAAGCAAAACAACCCACATTTTAATTACTTCTCTAACTTTATCTTTGCTGTAAGTACAAATAAATGAATAAAACTTTTCAGTCCTACTGACAGGAGAAATTAATTAAATGTACAAATAACTACCACGTAATATAGATCCTCTTCACAGCCACTGTAGGTAAAGGTAAAATTTAATTGTTCAAATTTTAGAAAAAAGATCAAGACAATTGGGGGTTCTTTTTATGAATTAAAAAATAACCTAATAAAGTCAGAAGAAAACTTTTACATAGTCTACATCAAAATCACTTCCTGTTTCATATTAAATGTGTAATTTGGAAATCTTCTATTTTTAGTCCCATCTGTAATATGAGTAAACACTCAACGTAGTCTATTCTAGTCTTGATTAGACTAATGAGTAAAAAGACAGCAAATTTTCCTATACATAGCTCTGACACTCCCAGCCTACAAACCTAGTTAAGAATGAGATTAGTTCAGGTTTTTAAATAATATAAATGTTTAGGAATTTAAAATAATGGAGATTATTTAAATAAAAATATGTAGCTGAAGAAAATATTTATGCTTTATATGTATTTCTGCTGAGCATGAAAATATGGCACATCAAAAAAAACTTCTCAGAAAGTGTCCTAATTATAGTAAATTATATATTTTGCACAAATAGCAACTTCAACAGCCAATGTGAAAACTGCCTATGTTCAAATAAATTCAATTTAATTATCCATGCTGATCCTCTCCAATATTTACACAGATAATTAATGATCTTTACAGCATATTTAAGATTATAGACCTAATTCTTATAATTGGGCTGCCTCTGAAACTACTTGAATATGCAAAGAAACTTTCACACAAGATGTACTGGTTCTCTCTCCCTATATTACTACTATGGTGTAGGGAAGCTTGTCTCCAGTGCTAACGGAGCTAAAACATCCATGTCTGCAATAACAATATAGCATCTGGGAGCAAGAATAGGGATTCTACAGGTAAAAGGTTTTAGAACCAGCTAATGTACCCCCCTAAAGAGTTGGCTTCATGATCCTGACTCTGTTCTGGTATTTTCATGTTTTAAAATACAATATAACCTTCCCATAAGAACACTATATCACTGAGGCATCTATTAGGTGCCAGAGAATCACAAAAATCAGGATACCTTTCTCTGTTGCAAGGGGATGGCAGGGTGTCAAAAATGACTGTTCATCTTGAAAGTTAAGTCAACTTCAGAGTAGGTCTAAGAGGCTAAAATGTGGATACTTAATAAATTAGCAAGTCAATGTATATAAACATTGTACATTATTGTACATTGTACATCATTGGCCTCATAAAAGCATTTTTAATACCATTAAGGAGGTAGGTTCTGTCACATAATGTGGAAACTGCCTCTAGGAGTTTCACAAACATGCTAAATGCTAGTTAAGCTACATGAGAATACAGAAATTAAAATTTACATTTTAGTCCACCAATGGATATTCTTAGGGTTTACACTCATTTCGTTTGTCTCACATTTCCAAGTAATATATATCAACCCTACAAGATAGGAAGAATGATATAAATTTTCTTTAATAATTGAATGAACGTAACAAATACATTATTTGCATCTGGCAAATCAAATAAGAATTTACTTTCTGAACACTGCACATTTTTAAGCCTATTACAGAACTTTGCAACCAACAAATTTAGGTAAAGATTTTGATAACAGCTTAATATTGGTGATTTGTGCCTATAAATAAGCATTCATTCTTCCTCAGCATTTCCATAATTTTGTATTTCAATGATGAAATAGTATCAGTGCTCAGAGAAGCTGAAATTCAAATGTCTTACTATATCAAATCTGTGTCATTCACTTCAGAGTCTTACCAATTTATATTATTTACAAAGAAGTAATTCTTGAACCATCCATATGTTTACAGGAATGCAATTAAACCTTATTGAGTCACTGCTACTATATTCAAAAAAATAGCATACTAATCTAATCAATTACTATTCACTGCTTATTATCAGGAGGCCAACGTGATTATTCAAAAGTACATTTTCAATACCTGAAGATTTACTTAATTATATTATATATTATACATTCAAATGTTAAAGATTCTCAAATATGCAGGTGTATGCTTTCCAATGAAATGGAACCACAATAATAATTTATCCTCTTGAGTGTAAAGAGGAAAATGTTCTGCAACAGTAAAAAGAAAAATTAATGACATGGGCAATTATGAAGTTTGGGGAAATGGTTATTTACATATCTGTCAAAGCTACTGAAAATGACATATTCCAAAATCTGCATAGATATTCAAGCATTAGGGGCACGGAATTTCCCTCAATATTGGATTAATACTCCAAGTATCACGATGCCCCTATTATATGAACCATCTTTAAAGAAAGCTCTGCAGGCTCTCATGCTATTGTGCCATTCTCTGTCAAAGGTAATGACTGATCAAAATGCCTGCTGAGATGACTATCTTATAGCAGCATATAAACATCCATGCCTTTTCATGACAACTTCATTTCTAATAAATGTCAAATAAAAGATACTTCTAAAGAATTATCCTGCTGTATATCAAGTTCTCATTGGCCTCAAAAAAGCATTTTTAATACCATTAAGGAGCTAGGTTCTGTCACATAATGTGTTAATTGCCTCTAGGAGTTTCACAAACATGCTAAATGCTAGAATTCTGCTGTTGTGTAGTTGGAAAAGTCACAGTGGAACATATCCTCCTGGAAGCTTTTAGAAGACAGCCACCTTGGCATACACATCTGCATACCCTTCATAACATTGGCACAGTGTTTCTCAGTCAATATGAATGCAACTAATGAATACACAAATACAGAAAGGGTATGTTGCATAACATACCCTGGATTACTTGATCTATCCAACATAACTATAATAGGGTTTTCAAAAATAACTCAGAAGCTATGCCAGAAGGTGTTTCTTAAAATCAGAAAAAGTCTCCTAATGAAATAAATTCAGGAGACAGTCATTTAGGTATAGTTGGCTGGCAGGTGAATTCTTCAACACATATCTTAAATCAGCACAGCCACATACAGTGTAATTTTAAATAACATCACAGTAATGCTATTATTTATACTTTGATGTACAAAACATCGGAGCAGGACTTAGGAGATATGAATCTGGGCAGGATGTGTTTTCTCTTCCCTGGGTGGTGTGGTAGGAGGATAGGACAGAACACTACACAGTTACATAAAACACAAAGCAAAGAAAAATGACTACTGCCAGATACAATAACAAAATTCAATAGGGGGAAGGGCAGAATTTAAAAGGGGTTGAGACACATAGGATTTGTGGTATAAATAATTATTAATTTGAAGAAGTCACCATTGAGATACAGACCTTGAATAATGATAAGAAATTCTGACTAGAGTTTTCAAAGAAGGAATTTCAGACACCAAAGAAAAAGCATAGCAATGGGAGAGAATAAAGTATGTTGAGAATACATAAAGTAAAGGGAAAAACTTTGAAAAGTAATTTAGGTTACTCTTTTGGAGTACCCAGATGGTCCAGATGATGAAATCAGGGGGTCAAATGATATTATTTGAATGGAATCAATTCAAGTGGTAATAGGAGCTTAAATTGAGGTGTAGGTAAATTAAAGTAAGAATCGATTGGAATAATTTTACAGAAAACAAGTTTGAAATGCAAATAAATAACCTTTATGAATCAAGGCATACTTTTGTAAAACAATTTACATTTTTAAACAGGCAGAGGGTACCAGTAAGATTGAAAAATAAAATGCAACTGAGATCCAATGGTGGCAATCTAAGTAGACTAGGCAGAATAGTGGCCCCCAAAGTGTACACATCTTAATCCTTAGAATATGTGAACATGTTACCTTACATGGCAAAAAGGACATGGCTGATGTGATTAAGTTAAGGAACTTGAGATGGGAAGATTATTCTGGATTCTTCCAGTGTTCCCAATGTGATCAGGGAGGCAAGAAGGTCAAAGTCAGAAAAAGGAGATGTGATTACAGAAACAGAGCTTGGAGTGAGGGAGGAAGGAGCCACAAGGCAAAAAAAGCAGGCCTCTCTTAGAAGCTAGAAAAGACAAGGAAATTAATTTTTCCCTAGAGCTTCCAAAAGTACACAGTTGTGCTGACACCTTAATTTTAACCCATATACCCCATTTTGGACTTCTGACCTCTAGAAATCTAGGACAATAAATTTCTGTTGTTTTAAGTCACTTAGCCATAATGCTTACAGCAGTAATAGGAAATAAATATACTAAGAGTTATCATACTTAGGTGGTGGAAGAAAAAATTAGAACTAAGAAGGGGGAAGGAGCTATCAGAAAAATCGGAAGGCAAGTTGGAGACTGAAGTACCATAATAGCTATAGTTACAAAGCCAGTTAATAGTTGGAATGAGAGGGCAATCAAGGAGAATGAGATATGAGGAAATTAATAAATCTAAGGGCTTTAACAGGCCATTAGCAATCTTTGAATGAACAATCACATAAGTTACCGTCAAGATCTGGTACATTTTTGTCACCACCTTTATTCAATAAATAAATGAGATAATATCAACGAGATCTCCTAGAAAGCAGCCAAAGACATCTTGAAGCTAGGGCCATTGAAATATAACTACCGGGAAGGAACAAGGACATAGCATTAAAGGACTATAGAAATCTCAAGAGGTATTATGAGATGGGTTGAAGAAAATGAAACACAATGAAAGAGAAAATCCTTTTAAGAAAGTTCTTGATCACTCTCACTCTTTTCAGCAGTAACTATGGAATTCTGGGAAACTCTTGGGTTAAAAGAACAGTCTCGGATGGTCCTCGCATGGATACAGCAGCTTGGTATATATCTGAGTTGGTTATAAGGAAAAGATGTTGTGTCACAAAAAATAACAGGGGTTGGTGGAAGTGGTACTGGACCAAGATGCAGGGTCCTGATGATGCCTTAGCAGCTGATTATGACCTATGGCCTTGGGTACACCCCTTCCATCCCTTGTCCTTATTTCTTCTTCTGTAGCAAGATGCAGTTGGACAGGGCATTGTTCAAGGTCCTTTTAGTTCCCAGATACTTTATCATTGGTGAGAATTTTTATCTCATCTATGTCCACCAGCCATCTCCCACAAGTCTTCCCCTCCTGAATTAATAAGATATCCCATGGCAACATGTCCTCCCCGAATGAAACAGAAAAGCTTGACCAAGGAGGGTAGATGGGAAGAACAATTTAAGGATGACAGCACTATGTGGAAACAACTGCATTAGGCACAACAGCAATGTGTCAGGAATAAGACAGTTCCTTGTATCTGATAGTCTAACACAGGGGTTGGCAACCTTTTGCTATAAAAGGTCAGATAGCAAATATTTTAGGATTTTCAGGCCACATGAGGTCTGAGTCACTTATTCCTTTCCTTTTGTTTCTACACCCCTTTTAAAAACTGGAAAAACTTTTCTTAGCTTGTGGGCTGCACAAAAACACGCTGTGGGCCACATGTGTTCCACAGGCAACTGCTTTCTAAACCCTGGTTTAACAAGTCATTATCAATGTGTACACAGAGAACTAATATAAAATTTGATTTAAAGGAGGTTAAGGAAAAACTGCAGACAAGGTACTATGAGACTGCAGATGAATCCTTTTTAGGAGAGTTCTGGAATGTACATGATGAGGAGCTCTTTGAGGGAACCCTTCCTGTGTACAGTTTAGTATCTTCCAAGTCAATCGTATATCACCCCAAAACAAACTAAGTGGATGGTGGGAGGGGAAAGCAGGGAACAGAGCCAACATAATCACAGAGGAATCAAGCTGGAGACCTAATGCTATCAAAACCTCTAACTCAAACTATGAACCACGCTTAAAGCCGACCCTGTGTCTGTGTATATTGGTTAAATAATAAACATATTCATCTCTGTCATAATTTAGGCCAATTTGATTTAGATTTTGTTTCTTCTGACCAAAAGGATGCTAACTGAAGCAATGTGTAAGAAATAACCCCTTCCATCAGTAAACTTCACCCAATTTCTGGCCCTTACACCGTGGTACGCATTATCTTTACATGCACAACCCATTACTCACCTTACACTAGGGCTGAAGAAAGCCAGGGGTGTGGTGAAGCTTAGAGATCAAATGAGGCTAGGAAATATTTTGGTAATATTACTTGCAAAGGAAAAAAGTTTCTTTTTGTCTAGGCAAAATGACTCAAGTCCAAATAACCCACATCACAATGTACTGCTTTACCATACATATCTGCATTTCTGTGTACACTGACAATACTGCTTAGAAAGTGTTCTAGTACACTGAGAAATGTCTTTGGGAAACTTAAAAGATTTTTGTAATTTTACATACTGTTACTGGAACTACAATTTCTGCTGTAGGCTGAGTAATGGACCCTCAATTTTGTCCACATCCTAATCCCAAGAACCTTTGAATGTTATACTGAATGGATATTCTCCATTAAAAAAATCTAGGAACAAAGTAAATATAGATAATGTTCAGACAAACACCCCACAAACAAGAAGAACTATCATGAAACTTCTCCAACTTTTATATGTATACATGTGCATGTATTAATTAAATCTAAATTCAAGTAAATGCCTAACCATTCCTGGTTAGATAATTTCAAATCAAGTTAAAATGTTTCAATTTGTCCTAAATTTGTTCTTTTAAAAATGCAGGCATTGGCTTTAGTTATATTTCTTTTAATATTTTTTACCAAACACCTCTCTGTGCTTGACAGCGTCCGGTGTTATTATTTCATGCTGGTTTATATGTTGCCTATTGTCAACTCAGCATCATTACGGCCCCTTTGTACTCTCTATCACAAGGGGAAACCTGTAACTACATTTTCTGTAACTCCTTTCCTTGTATATTCCAGAACTGTTTCAGCCAACTCGAAGCATTTGTACTTTCCTTGGGGGTTGAGAGAAAAATGGGCCATTAGTTTCCAAGGGCAGCTGTAGCAAAATCAGATGACAGATGAGGAGTCCGTGGCAGCTCCTGAGTGAGCTCCTCCTGTGAACCACCCACTTTGGTGCACATATAGCCAGCAATGGCTTCCTGATCATCCAACATTCTGATTTCGTGAACTCAAATGCTAGCTTCCCTGACCTCTCTGTTTTCAGTTTTTCCATTGGTTATGTAGTTCTCTAATTTCTTAAGTTGAAACTCTTCCGACTTAAAAAACCTGAAATGATTTCTGATTTCCTGACTAATATGTACATTTACTATTTGTATTAATCCCATGATATAATGTGTTGTTCCTATTTGAATAACAAGGCAGGTAGATGAAGCAGTGAGTGGTGTAAACCAGCATTGCACCAAATGATATATGTCACTGATGCTCAGGTAAGTGAGAAACATCAAAAGTGGTAATCCAGGCTCTGCAACCAATTAGATGCATACCGTTAAGTCAGTCACTTCATCGTCACAGACATCAGTTTCCTCACTTATAAGGAAGAAGCAGGTATAGATTATCTTGAGGGTCATTTTCAAAAATAGTCATTTAATTATATAAATATCACTGTTACATCAGGGACAAAACCCACTGGTTCCACAGTGGAGTAAAGTATCCATTTGAACAAACTAAAAACAAAACCCCCAAATGGTTATCTTCATACATTTTGTAGATTTTGTTTTCATCATTTTTATATTGAGAATATAAAAGGATAATTTGAGTAGGTAGTATTTTATAGAGTAAACATAGACTGTTCTCTGATAAAGTATCTTAATTCCATTAAATGTTCTTTCATTTGTAGATACAGTACATGTATATATATATATATATATATATATATATATATATATATATATATATCACTATGTTTATGCAGTAATCACAAAGGTAAAAATAGAACAAAAGTTCTTTATCTGTGGGGAGAAAATATAATAAATCAAAGACTTTATTTAAAAGCTCCAATTTGTTTCCCTTGGTATAAATGGAAAAAACTATGCAATTCTTAATGTTACATATACATATATTAATGAGTATATAAAACCTGATAATGAGTATATTTAATTTTGCCTCTGGAGTTATCCTTAAAAAGTAACCTGCATCCTAGGTTTCTGGAACAATTCTGATCTTACACAATTTTATTATTTTCCACAGAATGATTTATATAACTAAATGGGATTTTAAATACCTGCAAAATGTTTATAAGCATTTACAACTAAAAATCTCTTGCCAGTGATGAATTCCTATTTCTTATTACAAAAATTTAGACTTCATAACAATATGTGTATGGCTTAAACTTCACTTTAGTTTATCTTAAGAGTGTATATATTTGTTTTAGCCAATTTGGTTATACAGGCTTAGGCAAATCTTGCTAATATTACGACATATTCTTCAGTACATTTTTAGTTGTAATAAAGATATTTACCTTAAAACACCCTTCAGTAAATGAAGAAATTGTTAATAAGAAAAAATAAATTAATTAGCTTGCTCCATATAATTATCTTGTCTGCAACACACAAACATGCACATATATAACAAACATTTTGAATCACTTGACATATCAAGATTCCAAAAAAATAATTCTTAAAGGATCCGAAGATTCATGGGTTTTTATTTTCTCAGACACATCTATACTTCTTTAAGGGAATAATTCATTATTTTTATAGTATAATATCAGAGTAGTTTTAAGATGATGAACATGTCCAGGTATATTTCCTGGGGAGTGGGTGTTTGGAGGGACTGACTTGTAACTCACATATAAACACAAACATAGTAGCATGCTTCCATGGTTCTTGTAGAGTTCCTGCATTTTTGGAGTAAATATCGAGGAGACAGAGGAATAAAACTATGACATCTAGCTTTAAAATACTTTTACTGATCCCCAATATGAATAACACAGGAACTATGTACATGCTTCCAATATTTCACAAATACCTGTTCTGTAATTTCTCAAGATAGTACTAGAGAAACTAGAGTGTACGGGAGAAAAAATAATGGACGTTCAGAAGCTAGAGGTCATACTGAAGACATCAGTCAGATTATAAGACAGAAGAAATTTAGCTCAGGAACTTAAGTGTAAGTCCTATAATCACTTAAAAATTTCATGAGACCTTTTAAATAAAGTTAACCTATTTTACATACAGAATTTATTAGAATCAAGTTATAAATCCTTAGCCCTAAGTCACCTGAGAAACAGCAAACCTCAACCAGGACTTCAGAAATTTTCAGGCATTAACCAATTTTCAGAGTCTAAGATGAAAGCACATTTGATGTATTTATGTTGTTGTATTTCCATATAAAATATAATGTATATATATAAATTAAATCAAATTCTTACACTAAGCCACTCATTTGATAAAACTATTTTACAGAGATGTTCCCATCTTTACTGCCAGTTTTACAATGTAGAGTACTTACATTTGATATTAACCAGAGATTTTCCACGCTCTTAATTGGGATACACTGCAAACAAATTACAAATTCAAGGTCACCTACCATTTCATCTCTAAAATCTTTGTTTGTCCCAAATGATATTAATCACTACTTCTTCAAAATTGAGACTTTTAAGGTTCAATGTCCCTAAACAAGCCTTAACAAAATAGCAATCCCCGTGTCCTTAAATTTTTGTAAATCTAAAGCTATGCTTTCAAGTTAGTTCCAAATAGGTAAAAAGTTGTCTTTCACAACCCCCCTCACAAAACTCAATATTTGGCTTGCTGGCATGCCTAAGCTATGCCTCTAGCATCATGATGTATTGTTCTAACATTTGATTTGTAATTCAGGCGGCAGCAGTTGAAATCATGATCAAAAGTGAAAAGGTGTCTAGAGATTTCAGACAGTCATGAAAATTATATATATTACTAAACTGCTCAATCATATCCAGACTCACAATCCTGTCACCATTTACCAGGTGGACTACAAGTCCAATGATCTTAAACACTCCCCATCAAAACAGAAAAGAGCTTGCCAGTAAGTGACACATCCATCATTCAGCTATATGTGAGGTCAACATTTTAAAAAGGTCATCTTCCAGAGGAGGCTTAGCAGAACCTGCCTGGTAAGAATTAATTACTTAGCTACCTGCCTGTATCCTAAGATAAAGTGACTAGTAATGTGCACTTGGGACAAAAGTCACAATACTTAGACAGGGATATTTTTAAAAGTTACCAAAATTGACCTCAAATCTTATCCAGCTTGGGTATTCTTGTTTAAAACATGTCTCCTGTGTCAAAGTCAATATTTCCATTTACTTATCTATTCTGTGCTAGATGTATGACTGGTACAATTGGTTCAGAAATGTCTCTAAGCACATTATGCATTATATTGACTCTGCCAGCAGTCTCCTATTAGTGGTGTTTCATGAGATTATGGCAAACTGTTGCTATCTCAGCATGGTAGCTTCTGTATACTATCTATCACTGTGAAAGGTCTGCCTGATACATGGTGGACCTACTACAAATGAAATGATATTGGGAGTTGATGGTTACTGACTCATAGGTTACAGTACATGAAATCCAGTATCTGAGGTCTTAGAAATGGTAGAGTGGGAAGACATTGGTCATAAGAAAAACTTGATTTTTTTTCCTGTGTCTTCCTTATACAATTGTTGCTTATAATATATTTCTAGAAAATATCACTGAGTATATATTTTAAAATGGTGATCCCTTTACCATCACAATAATTCCAGATAAGAGGTTATAAGTTTCATGAAGAGCTATCAGGTCAAATTTCATATATGTATAATTGAATAAATGTCTTTATCTTAGGTTTATATATCAAATAATTTACACTGGGATTCATAATTACATTATTGTTACTGTTAACAATACAATAGCTGAGATTTATTGAGAACTGAACAGGCATCAGTGAGATACATCCATCTCACACCAGTCAGAATGGCTATTATTAGAAAGTCAAAAAACAATGGATGGTGGCAAGACTGCAGAGAAAAGGGAATGCTTATATACTGTTGGTGGAAATGTAAATTAGTTCAGCCACTGTGGAAAGCAGCTTGTGGATATATCTCAAAGAACTTCAAGCAGAACTGCCATTCAACCCAGCAATTCCATTACTGGGTATATACCCCAAGGAAAATAAGTTGTTCTACCAAAAGGACATTTGCACTTGTATGTTCATTGCAGCACTATTCATTATAGCAATGACATGGAAACAACCTAGGTGCCCATCAATGGTGGATTGGATAAAGAAAATGTTACATACCATGGCATAATATGCAGCCATTAAAAAAGAATAAAATCATGTCCTTTTCAGCAATGTAGAGGCAGCTGGCGGCCATTATCTTAAGCAAAATAACACAGGAACAGAAAACCAAAAACTGCATGCTCTCATTTTTAAGTGGGAGCTAAACACTGGATACTCATGAACATAAAGATGGCAACAAAAGACACTGGGGACTACTCGAGGAAGGAGGGAGGAAGGAGGGCAAGTGTTAAAAACTAACTGTTGGGTACTATGCTCAGTAACTGGGTGATGGGATCATTTGTACCCCACACCTTAGCATCATACAATATACCCATATAACAAACCTTCAAACGTGCCCCCTGAATCTAAAATAAAGGTTAAAATTACTTTAAAAACACCACAATGAGATATCATCTCAAACCAGTTAGAATA
Source organism: Homo sapiens (assembly GCF_000001405.40). NCBI lineage: Eukaryota > Metazoa > Chordata > Mammalia > Primates > Hominidae > Homo > Homo sapiens. The sequence continues at coordinate 28,816,196 of NC_000023.11, read as the reverse complement.
GCTTTTGTCCAGAAGACAGGGACTAACAGATGCTGGCGAGGATACGAAGGAAGCGAAAACCTCATATACTGTTTGTGAGAATGTAAATTAGTACAGCCACTACGGAAAACAGCATGGAGTTTCCTCAAAAAACTAAATATAGAACTATCATATAATCCAGCATTCCACTACTGGGCATACACCCCAAAGAAATAAAATCAATATATCAAAGACATATCTGCACTCCTATGTTTATTGTAGCACTATTCACAATAGCCAAAATATGGATTCAATCTAAGTTCCATGAATGGATGAATGGTTAAGAAAAAAATTATATATATATATATATATATATATATATATATATATATATATATACATAAACACACATACATACACAATAGATTAATATTCTGCCATAAAAAAGAATGAAATCTTGTCACTTGCAACAACATGGATGGAAATGGAAGTCATCAAATGAAGTAAAATAAGACAAGCATAGGAAGACAAATATCACATGTTTTCACTCATATGTGGGAGCTAAAATTGAATCTCATGAAGATAGAGGGTAGATTAATGGTTGTCAGAGGCCAAGCAGGGTGGGGTAAGAGGGGATGAAGCGAGGTTGATTAATGGGTACAAATACACAGATAAATAGAAGAAATAAGGCCTGGTGTTTGATAAATTAGTAGGGTGACTACAGTTAACATTAATCTATTATACATTTCAAAATATCTAGAGAAGAATAATGCTAATGTTCCTACTGTAAAGAAAGGATAAATATTTAAGGTGATGGATATCCCAATTATCCTGATTTGATTCTATGAATGTATTCAAATCATCACATGTGCCCCTAAAATGTATACATCTATCATGTAACAATAAAAAAAGAAAAAACATCAATCTAGAATTCATTATTCACTGAAATTATACTTCAGAAGTGAAGAAGAAATAAAGCATTTCTCTGGCAAACAAAACTTGAGGGATTTCATCATAGCAGATCTGCCCTGCAAGAAATGTGAAATGTTTTTTCAGGCAGAGGTAAAATAATATAGGTTATAAATCTGGCTCTACATAAAGGAAGAGCATCAAGGGAGGAAATAAATGAAGGTAAAGTATTTTGTTTTTATTATTCTTATATTATATAACTGCTAATTTTAATAATAGTAACAATGTATTAGGTAAATATAGTATGAGGGTAAATTATGTGAATAATATCAGTGTCATAGGTAATACAAGAAAAATTTGAGATCACTGTATTATAAAGTACCAGCAGCATGCATATAGCAGTATACTGTTATTTGAAGATAAACTTAGATTAGCTAATAATGTATATTTCAAATACTAGGGCAACCACCAAGATTTTTTAAAATAGAAGTATAATTGATATGCTAAGAGAGAAGATAAAATGGATCATATAAATGCTCAATCAAAGCCAGAAAAGCCAGAAAAAGAGGGGAAATAAAAATATACAAAGAACAAATGCATAGAAAACAGTTGCAAACATGTACATATTAACCCAACTATTTCAATAATCACAATAAATGGGCCTAGTCTAAATATACCAATTAAAAAATAGAGATGGTCAGAATGGATTAAGACAATCAAGACACAAGGATGTGCTGTGTACAAGAAACCCACCTTAAACATGAATATTCCTATATGTTACACACAAAATGATTAAGAAAGATATACCATACTAACACTAATCAAAGGAAAGTTGGAAAGATCCACTTTTGAGATGACAGCATGATGAGCTCTATGGACCATTCCCTAGTGAAACAAGCAAAACTTGTGAAATCAGTTTTTTAAAAACTACACACACACACATACACATACACACACACACACACACACACACACACACACACACACAAACCTGAAAATTGCCCCAAAGGAATATAGTAAGTGAACGAAACATTTATTCAAGAAAACATACTAAAATTCAGTTAGAATAGTGGGAGTCTGTGGCATTTGAACCATTATCTGCTCCTTTCCTCCTACAACCTTCCACACAGCTCAACTAGGCAAAAGCTCAATTACTAATGGATATGGCTAAGAAGATGGGGCACTCTCTAGCTTTATTTCCCAATCAAAGATTACCGTAACTCATTAGGAGGAGCAATTTGCTAGCATTTCTCTTTCTTTCTAATTCCAATTTCAAGAAGCAAAATCACTGTGAGTGCAACCAAGAAGTTGAGGTAATCTCCTCTTGCACTCAGCCTTCATAGGACAGAATACGTGGGTCCTGATTCACTCGGGACTCAGCTCATTTGCAGGGCAGAGATTCCACACTAAGAGAGGCAAAACAGAAAGATCAGAAACTACTGTACTGTGCAGTGCTCGAAAGGCAAGCTGGAGTTTTAGTTTATTTAAGATCATTAATGTATTAAGACATTTCAGACTTCCAAATGTGCAAAGTTATCAGTAATAAAGAGGTATATTACTTAATAAAGGGGCCAATTTCCCAAGAAGACATTACAATCCTAAACATGCCTACACCTAAGAACAGCACATCAAGCTCCACGGGCCAAAACTGATAGAACTGAAAACAGGCAAATCCACTATTATAGCTGAAGACTTAAACATCTCCTACATCAGTAATGAGTAGATTAAAATGGCAGAAAATCATTAAGGACATATATGACCTGAGTCACATTATCAATCATTTTTAACTCATTGACATTATAGAATACTCCATCTAACAATGGCAGAATACATATTTGTCTCAAGCTCACATGGAACACTGATGAAGATAGACCACATTCTGGGCAATAAAGCATAACCTAACAAATTTAAAAGGATAGAAATCATTCAATGTATTATCTCAGACCACAATGGAATTAAATTGGAAATCAACAACAGAAAGATACCTGGAAAATCTCCAAGTATTTGCAATTAAATAACACATTTCTAAATAATCCACACTCAAAAAAGACATTTCCAAAAAATGTTAAAATCTTTTGAACAAATGACAATAATCAAAGTTTTGGGGATCAGTGAAAGCAGCACCTAGAGGGAAATTCATAGTGCTGCATGCATATGTTAGAAAAGAAGGAATATCTGAAATCAGTTGAGAGAAACTTGAATTTTTTAATGAAAAATACAACGAAACAGAAATGCTATCATTCATTCAAACATTAATTTCATTGGTATTTATCAAACATCTTTCATATGCCAGGTATTGTTCTGAGATGCTCGGGATATAGAAGTGAACAAGAAAAAAAAATCTTCTATGACTGAGTTTACATTCTTATATGGACAGTGGAACATTAAACAAGTATGTTAATACAGAAAATTCTTTCAGAGGGCCCTGGGTGATGTCAAGAAAATGAAACTGGGTAATGTGACAAGTGTGGTAGGAAGAGTTAACAGAATGTGCCTGAGGAGACAGCGTTTAACAGAGATTTTCATGATAGTGTTATGACACTATATGTATAGTATTACCCTTAAGCTTCCCTTTCAAACTACTGAGTTATCTGTTTTATTTGTTTTATGTTAGGTAATATGTCACGTTCTAACTTATGAATATACTTCTATTATACACATTCATTTATATATATTAAACTATATTAGCTTATGTGCAAACTGAAGAGCAGGCACTTCTACCTTTTGCCTAAGCAAATCTAGACATATGAAATTAAATACTGGATAAGTATGTTTTTTAAAAGAGAAAAGAATTACTAGTATCAGAGAGATGTACATTTTAACAACTTTAAGTTTGACATTTTAATTACAACAAGCAAAAAATCATCAAGACATATTCTAAATCTTTTATATTCAAGAGAAGAAAATGGTAAGGATCCAAGAATATGTAGTTAAATTTACCCAAAATTACATATTTTACAATATTCAGAGAGTTGACACTTTAAAATTATTTATCAGAGAGTGATTCTTTGGCAAATCAATATAATTGAATTAAAAAGAAAGGTTAAATTATTTGTTTTCTGATTTCTGAAATTCAATTGGGTGCTTGCCTGAAAAAAATATATATATACACACATTGTTTCATTTTGTGTGGACAAAACTAATAAAGGCACATAGAAGTTTCTTTATATATAAATTTTCCTGCAATATTTATACTGTTGCTGATCTCTGTAATTCAAATATGCTATTTAGTCAGCAATTGATTTTTCTTCCCCTGGAATCCTGCAGAAGGAGTAATGCACAAAGGTCGGTTTCTAACACATGGCTGTGACCTTTCTTTATATCATGTATAATTCTCCTAAACAACTCATCCAAGGAGGACCACACTGTCTCTGATGGTCTAACCTAGTAGGCCACACAACCAGTTGAACAACCTTAAGTAGGTTATTTCACCTCATATGAGGGAGTTATAAAGAAAATCTCTGACGTTCTGGGCTTCAACATTATTTTGTTTAATACTGTTATTTAGAGAATTCTTAATATGTTTCTGCTCCTCTCTCAGCTTGTGGTTACCTTAAGTCTTGCACATCTCAACACCTGCTTTCACAGTGAGATGTCTGACATCCATTGCATTTGGTACATATGTGGGTCTGAACATATTCGTAATCATTGTATTCATCTCCAGGCTTAATGTATCAATTTCTAATCATTGTATCTTATTCAATTTATTTCACATTCATCTCCACAACTCAAGTAACCAACCCATGTCTTGCTTCTTTATTCTGTCAGCCTTCCTTTATCTGACCATGTGGGTCTATCTGTACTCCTAATTTCCAGAGCACATCTTCATTCAACCATCTAAATTCCAACTTCAACAACCCTCAGCTTCAGAATATTGATAGCAATCTATGCAAAACGAATAGGATTTTAGCTACCATTACCACACATTCTCTTTTTCCTTACCAGGAAAATTCATGCTTTACAATTTGTCAGAGGTGCACATTACTAATTACAATAGGTCACACTTTTTCTATGCGCTTCATTATAATATTGGCAACTTTATTATGCCCCATTACATACTGTATTATGCTCTTACTTTATATGCATTTTGAGATTTAATTTTATTTGTATAAAATTAACTGAACTAAACTGGGAGAGGGTTATCAGATTATTTAAGTTGAAATAATTCAACAAGCTTAACCCTCTACCAAAGGGAGTATTAAATGACAATGTGTCAGCATGATACACTTAATTGGATAGTATTTAAACTCTAAATCCAAACAAGTTATTTGGGCTTGAGGAAGTTGTCATTTATACTTAGTATCTATACAAATGAAGAATGCTGGGGTTAATTTTATAGTCTGAACATTTCTAACTTATGAGATTTGACCAGCTGATAGAAAAAAAAGAAAAACTGGATTGTTTTTTTCAAGTGGCCATCTGTACCTATCAGAAATTTCACATCTAATTTCATTAGATGCAGGTGGCAGGAATAATTAACACAGCTCTTCATTACATAACAGCATAATAGATCTCATAGGACAGTGGGCATGAGAAATATGGGGTTGTGAAGCAAATTTCAATCAATTTGATGTTAACTAGTTTTTGTTCCCTAAAATAGTTTGATCTCTATGCTTCTGTTCTTTTTGCTTTTCCATTTGGCCTACATGTTCACCTTTAGCTATCTAGTGGCATACAAAAAAAATTCATATGCATTTTACATTCAATAGAAGATTTTAAATTTGCTGCAGTGTCATGCCCATATTGCAAATAAGACTTCTGGGCTTGCTCCCTTGACTTCTGCCTACCCACCATTCTATGCTTTTCTGTGATATTCATTGATTGCTTTACATTATTGATAGTTATACCTGTGTCCAAATCCAATGAGCAATCTTCTATCTTCATCTTATTTCACTTCTCAGCTCTATGCAATACATTTAATTACGTATTATTGAATCATTCTGAGCTCCCATGAAATCACACTCATATTTTCTCTCTCACTTTTCTGGTATCTCACTTCTTTACTAACTACGGAAATGTTGAAGTATCCTAGGGTTCTGTCCTGCAACCTCTACTTTTTATATCTACTTAGACTTAGCTTGAGTGATCTCATCCAGGCAAATGGTTTTCAATACAATTTACATGCCAATGGCTCCTTCCACTTAAATATCCATTATTAACCTGTCCACTGAGCTGCCTGCAGACTCCTTGACAAAGCCACTCGAAGACTGAATAGGAATCTCGAACTTAATTCTACATTTCGAAAACAGGAACCTCTCCCTCCTCTAATTTTCCCCATCTCAGGAAATAGTCCCACCATCAATACAGTTACTCATAAAACTTAGAAGTCATCTGTGCTTCTTTATATGGTATATATCCCTTACATATTCCTCATCCCCTATATCCAGTATGCCATCAAGTCCTGTTTGGTTTTACTTCCAAACTGTACCCGAACCAGTCTTTATCTCTCCATCTTCCACTTAATACCCAAGATCTGGTAACTGTCATCTGTTGCTAGGATGATTTAAATAGCTTCTTACTCCACAGCCAAAAAAAAAGATTCTTTGGAAAAAATGTAAATCATATACTCAGTCTTCCATTTGCTAGATTCCAATGGCTTTGCATTACACTGAGAATAAAATGCATACTCTAAACCATGACCTAAGGGGCCACGGCTAATTCTCCAACATTTCCTTCCATTTTACTCCTCCAATCATTGCTCTGCACCCTTTGAAAACTTTACAATTTGACTCACTGCATGATTCTTCGTCACTACCTGTCATCCATAATGACCATCTTTCTATTTCTTAAATGTGTCTTGTTTGCTACTGCTGCATATCTTTGGTACTCACTATCCTGCTTGGAATGAGCTTTTCCCATGTTCTCACTTAATGGGCTCTTTTTTCAGAGTCAAGTCTCAACTCAAATGATATCTTTGCAAAGAGACCTCCCTATCTGAAGTAACTACCTTTGCCAATCACTATCATGCTAACTTGTTTTATTTTATTCATAGCATGAATTATTATGAAATTATCTTGTTTATTTAAGCCCACTAGGCTGTACTCTTCATGAGAAATGCATGTATCATTTTATCCTAAGTTCCTAGAATAGTAGGTATCACATAGTAGACAACTCAAAATATTATATGTTGAATGAGTATTAAATGAAAAATAAAATTACTAGATCTACTTTTTGAAAAAAAGAACTGTCTTATATAATTTAGTAAATCCCTGGCATATTCTTGTTAAATTAAACACACCTCAAACAGCCATTAAAAAAGCAAATACTAGCTATAAGATCCTAAGAAGAGTTTGGACAACCCGACCAAAAATAGATTTACTCTTTTCATTTGCACGTTTCCAAATATTTTCTTTAAAAAAAGACACCTCTTATTTAAGGGTTTAGCCTGTTAAACCATTGAGAGAATAATTTACAATGGGTAAAATAACAATGTACTTGGTGCAAAAACAGCACTGAGTAAAAGCATTTCACCCATTGACTCAAAAATGCTGAGAAAAAAGCAACAATAGTAGAAAAATACCCTCCTTCTCCTAAAAATAATAATTGCAAAGAGTAACGTAACCTCTTTTGGCTAAAGTGAGGTATAAATTTAAAAGGCTTCATATTTATAAGCTGGCAATGAATACCTAATTTGTTTTCCAAAAAATATTTAACTTATTTATATTAAAGCATATTAATATTTTCATATTAAAAGCCTACGTCTTGTTTAATACCCATTCCAATTCAAGTATTATAACATATAAATATGTAACTACATAATCCCATAAAGCATGTAAAGAATGTATAAATTATCTATATGAAATAGTAAAACATGCATTTATATTCATATACACAGGAAAACAGTTTCTCATTAACTCTTCATGTATTAATGCAAGTTGAGTTCAGTTTTACATGCTTGCAATTCGCAGAGATGTAGGCATCTAGATTAAAATTAACCATGAGTTTGAATGTATAAGTTTTAATAATGTGTCATTGAACACTAATTTACAGATGGTGTGGTATAACCACATGGTGGCATAAACTAAGTGTTTCCATTTAAAATGATCTCAAACAGCATCTATATGTTTTTTCTTAACTCAAAACATCTGATTTTAATGTTATTTTTCCCAGTCTTAAACTTTGTCTCAAGGTTTCTTCACAACAGAAACGTGTCTGAGTTAAGCCATTAATCCACTGGCATTGTCCATCCTTTTCTTCATAATACCTGCCTCAATCTACTGCGAGGAAAACTGGTTTTATTTGATGTCAAAATCATATAATGGCAAAGTGTAGCCTTGGACACAGAAAGAAGAAGGAGGAAGACACAAGTCTCTACTCTGTCCTTACATATTACTTGATACACTGCCTCAGAAGCTTCTCCTACTCTGCATTCTCAGCTGCCTCCTACTTGGGACTCCTCTTCTACCTTCCATTTGATGGAGTTTTCTTCTAGAGTCATCAGTCATCACTAGAACATTTGTAGAAGAGATAGTCTGATGCAAAAGAGCTTTTCTGAAAACCTTCCAATTAAATCCAAAAAGTGTCAATGTAATTCTGTTTTCCCCACTTATTAAAGACTATAAACTAAAAATCAAATGTAGGATGAATAGGAGAACAAATGGCGTACATCTATAAAGTTTAAATATTTTTCCTTAATTATATTGAACCTGGTTTCTAGTTAGGATAATTATGAGATCTGCATAATAAATTTCCAAGTTTCAGAGAAGTCTTAGTTTTTAAGTCATGATGGAACAGCTTTAGAGAAGCATGAGAAAACATAAAACTAAAACCAAAAAGTGTAATCAAAAATTAAAATAACTGCACAAATGAAATTCATTATATGCAAGTTTCTATGTAAGGCATCAATTTAGTTGAGCATATGTTCTTGTCTAATTCAGAATATGTCAACAACGTAATCACTCAGGTGGTGATCATAAGAAAGAAAATGTGATAAATACTATTCTGTACCTACCAGCTGTAATTCAGAACACAAACATTAAAATTGAAACAGAATTTAATATCACATCCAGGTAAAGCAAAAGGGAATACAAGTCCATCAAAGGCTTACTAATTCCATATTAGGTCTAAAGAATGGTTGAGGATTTAGGAACATTATTACACAGAGTTTGGGAAGGGTCTATATGGAAATCCTGAGCCTTACCATTAGAGATAAGTAATTTTAAATTGAGAAAGATTTATCTTAAAATGCTAGGTACTGAAAGGAAGTGTGGACAAAACAAAATAACAACAACAAAAAGGAAAAACAACCCAAGAAAGCAAAATTACTATTCTGCTGACTCCATACATGCTGCAGAATGAGACACTCTCCAATTAGCTTCTGTAGATAGTCTCATCTCAGACAATTAGAGCTAGTTGCACAAAAATTGTCTCTTTCAGAACATGCTTTGAGAGGGTTTACAAGGTCCCAACGGAGCTTCCAAACTTGCTTTGTTTTCCTAATTGAAAACTTAGAAGGTAATAACCTCTCCTCAATTCACAGGAAGCCGGAAACCCTAGGATACAAAGCAGTTTCCAAAGAAATTTAAAATAAAATCATGTATCATTAAAAATTGAACAAAACAAACCAAGCACGTCTCCCAAAGAAAGCGAAAACATGCCTTTGAAACAAACAGTAAGTCATCACTGTTCATCACGGAGCAGCATGTCAGTTAGAGTGGCAGAATGAATGCGCAAGTTGCCAAATTGAACTAATTTATGTTCTGAATTAAAATTAAACACCCTCAATGTTGTAGGCCACTTCTATTCACCAGCATTCCTAGGGTTTGTTATGATCCGTTCTGAGAGACATGGAGACATTGAGCAGCTGCTTTGGCTAATGCCTTACTCCTTCCAGCCACGCTTCCATGCAGGAGTCCTTTTGTGTATCTGCTCTTCCTTCATGGAATGACCTTCATATGTACAGACATGGCAAAATCTCTCAAAGATAAGAAGGAGGCAAAAGCTGCACAATTCCTATTATAACAAAGTAACTGAAAATTTGCCCTTTGGAGCTAAAGAAGGAGTGCCATCTCAAGATTCACTTTCCAGTATAGTCTCAGTGCTTTCAGCTTCAGCTATTACAATTTCAGCAGGGGATTATACACAATAACCATGAATGGTCAGGTCACCCTGCCAACTAAAAATAAAGCTTTAATTCCTCCTTTTCAGAGAAATGTAAACTCTAATGAAACTATTCATTTCATGTAAGTTAAAATTATTCATTTGCTTATATAACAATTGGTCAAATAATGCTATGTGTAAAGCCTCATTAATGAACTTAACCTATATAGAGATCATTCCTCAAGGAGTTTCTGGTATCAGAGAAGAGTTATGACATGCATGTACATTGCCACAGGAAAATAGAGAGTGCTGTGATGAGATTTTTCAGTGTTCTTAAATCCAGAAATGAAATACAAAGATGTACTGAGTACTGATTATGCAATGACTCTTTTAAGCATAGCGATTACAAAAGATATATATATATATACATACATATATGTATACATATAAAAACGGATAAAGATGTTTTTATACTCAACGAGCTTATACTATTTAGTTAGGTAAATAAAACAGATATTTTTAAAATGCAGCGATCATATATTCTTATTGTTTTTGAATCCTCAGCAACTGGCATATAGGAAAGCTGCAATACAAGTGTGTTTTGTGAATTAATAGTTAACTGTGTGTATATTTGAGTGGATACATGTGCATATGTGTGTATGCATGTAGGTATACCACAATTTAGCACTACATACTAAAAGAAACTTGACATCTTAAAAAAATAAAAAGCTTCTCCCTGTGTTAACTTGAAGTTCTTCACTGAGATTATCAAGGCAAGACCCATTGATACAATACTTCATTATAGGCACAAGGGTAGAAGACATTTGAAAGAACCCTACAGTGGACCCAAACGCAGATTTTTATTTCAGATGTACAATTTGTCAGTCGGAATCCACACTGCAAAAGATACATCATTTTGAAAACCCAAAAATGTATTTGACCAGGAAAAATATAGACTAGAAATATAACATTAGCTACTAGTTCTCAACAGAATTTTTAACTTAATAAAAGCAGCTGGAATTACCTTCCACCTCCCTCTCTTCACTGTACAATCACCTGCTAGTTTTTATTACTTCCAGTTTTTACTAGCAATCAAATCCATCTCTCTTTCTTTTATTCCTGCTGTTACTGGCTCAGTTCATGACTTTCTTACCTGGACTACTGGCCTCATTTCCCACTCTCTTGTCTTAGAGCTCTTTCCAATCTATCTGGTCAGGTTATTCCTACTAAGCTCTGCTGCAATTTCTTCAATGGTTCCTGACTTCCTAGAGCATAATATTAGCATTTCTTGTCATGTCATACAAAGTCCTTGTGATATGGCTCCCATCTATCTTTTTCCACCTTTTCTCCTGACACTCCCTCATCACTTATTCTGTACTGTGCCCTGATATAGATGTATTCCATCCATATCAAACTATTTTATGTAAAAGCTACTCTAATATACCACTGTGATTGACAGAATAATGACTCTCCAAAGATGTCCATATCTTAATTCCTAGAACCTGTGACTGTTAAGTGGCAAAAGGAACCTAGAAGGTATGATTAAGTTAAGGATCATGAGATGGAGAGATCATTCTGGATTAAAGTGGTGGGCCCAATGTAATCACAAGGATATTTACAGGAGGGAGGCAGGAAAGTCAGAGTCAGAGAAGGAGATGTGACAGTAGAAGTAAAGGTTACAGAGACTGGAAGATGCTATGCTGATGATTTTGAGTTCAGGAAGGAGCAACAAGACAAGTAATACAGGTGGTTTCTAGAAGCTGGGAACAGCAAGAAAACAGATTCTTCCCTGGAGCCTCCTAAAGGAATGCATCCCTGCTGATACCTGGATTTTAGAACTTCTGACCTTCATCACCATAAGATAATAAATTTGTGTTGTTTTAAGACACTAAATTTGTGGTGATCTGTTACAGCTACAATAGGAAAGTAATATACTATACATGTATGATATCTCATATCACTTATTTTTTGCAAGGTATTTAATAGCAGAGGTGGTAGATTGTTCATCTTTTTTAATCCCCCAGAGAATTCAGTCCAGTTGCTTGTTTACAGTATGTTTTGTCTGAAAACATTTGCTAAATACAAAGAATAAATTAGAACTGACTAGTGAATATGAAAGGACAATGCCTATAGCACCACCAGTTCCAAAGACATGACAGATACATGGATTTTATAAAGTAAAAAGGCATGCAGTTACAAAAATAAGCACTCCATATGTTTCTTAAAAAAATCAGCAAAGTTATGAGGAAATTATATAAACAATTTTCAGGATATGATTCATAGGTATAGAAAACTAAGAATGATCAAATTAATAAAGATAAATCATATTGCCTTGGTTTCTATTAATAAAATTTTCCACAAGTTTGTTTTTTAAATAAAGAATACAAAAGGCAAGTTTCTACAAACAAATATCTAAACATTTTAACCTTTTTTATGCCCAGGCATAGCTGATGTGAATCAATGTTATCAAGCACTTGGTATATACTAGGAATTCAATAAATGCTTGTTAACATTGGTGTACACAACCTGTTACTTTGTCCTTTAAGAAGAAGTAGGTTCCATGCATAAAATCCTAAAAGAAACACACGTAATCAAGTACAGTTGTACATATTTTAGATGAGTGCTCATAACAGGAAAAATATTCTTATCAAAGTTTGAAAACATTGGTAGCATGCTAATATTTTCGTGTGTGGGGGGTGTATTATATGCCTTTCGTTTGAAAACGCATTTATAACTGTTAAGACCCTTTGAAAATTTTTCACTTTAAAAAAACAAAACATTGCCGACCAATAATTTCTCTTGGTCTTCATTCTTTGGGACATGCAGATAAAAGTAACTGCTTTTTCAAGGTAACTTTGCCTGATGACTAGTGCTTTCCATTTAGCTTGATTCTACCTAGGCCCTCCCATCTCCTATTCCAAGGCCTGTCCAATAGACCAGCAGGAAAACCTAAGTCGTGAAGCACACATCTATCCACACAAGATCTTCACTTCCATATTCTTCTCAGCAGCTCTTATTTATAATAGTGAGCAACTAAAATCTTTAATGACTTTTTCTCCTTTCGACACCTGAATTATTAAAATGACAAGACCTTAATGACAGCAATGTATTAAAAGAGGATTTTTAATAAGTCTATAATATCAATGCACTTGTCAAAATAATTTGAATTCTGGTAATATAGGGCTACAAATGGACATGATGCTAAGATCATAAAAATACGATATTTTTATCTCCTTACAAGATCTCAATGAACATTTCTATTATAAAAATGTAGCAAAATATAGGAGAAATATATATATACTCTTTATAAAACCTAAGGCAATAAATCAGGGCAAATAAATGTTTGAACAGTATTAAGATCAAGTAAAATAATCACTGAGCAATAATTCATCAGAAGTTTTCTTCCCATGTTTATTTCTCCCTGTGTTCTGTGTTTATTACCGCATTTTCATCAATCCTAAAAAGCCACAAGATGGCATTGGAGAGTACAATTGCTTTATAGAACATATTTATAGAAAAAATTGGAAGAATCCTCTTTTCAGATAGTTGCATTTTTTCTGATATGACAATATATTTCAGAAAAATATTAATGCACCAGAGTATGAAAATCTTTCTTCATCATTGATAAGAATAATTTTTCTTTACTATTTACAACATAATATTTGGAATACAAAATAAGTGGAATATGCATTAAGAACTTAAAGTAAGATGCCAATGGCAGTACTTTATTGAGCTCAAGGTAGCAAAACTAATTTGGAAATATTTTAGTACAGTTAGTAAAACATAAATGACAATTGAATAGTGTTGAGAATACTCACAAGAGGCTCACTGACATTTTTTGAAGAAATATTTATATATAACCCTCAGAGATTTTAAAACTTGGCAAAGTTATTCACTGTCATCGCCTTAAGGCAACATTTCCCATGCAAGGTGTCTTGCATAGATGTCTTAAGAGACCATAACTCTACAAAAAGAAATTTGCCTTAAATAAGCAAAAATAGACTAAAACATGGTTTGGTATTTGAAACTGACAAACCAAATTTTACTTAATCACATCACCACATGCAAGGAGAAGTATCTTATTTTTAATTTGGCTTTCTAATGATATACTGTGTGCTATTTAAAAAGAAATAAAAACTAATTTTTTTTTCTCTTAACAGAACCTTTGTTTTAAGCTAATAACATCCTCCACTCTGTAGTGCTGACTCAAACTGTATAGCACAAAGTTAAATGTAGCTAACAATGGGCCTCAGGTACTCTGGTCACAAACTCTGCCTTTTTAAACGTGTGATCAATTTGCAAACATGTAAAATAAGTTACAGAAAAAAGTGTCAGGTATATACTTAGTATGCATTGAAAGTGCTCAATAAATATTTGTGAAAGGAACAAAAAGATGAACTATTATTTGTATGGACAATGTTGTAGTGCAAAACTTTATGAAAAAGGAAACCAAAGATATGACAGCTTCAGTTAGGGACATGTTCCCAATCAACAAGGCTCGTTAGCAGCTGCATTGAAACCCAAGTGTTTTAATTTCCACTGCTGTGGGTATTATAAGGTAGGTGCAAAACTAATTGCGGTTTTTGCCATTGAAAGTAATGGCAAAAATTGCAATTACTTTTGCACCAACCTAATATAATACTCATCAGATTAATGTAAGCCACTTCTGAGATACTAACTAAAAAGATGTAATTTTTGTGATCATCACTGTGAATGAAAGTTGGAGTGTAAATATTAGCTGTCTGTAGACCTTTCCTGGAACTTACGATACTTAACATGAAGATTAACCGTGGAAAATTATAATACACTTGTAAGCTATCTTCCATATCTGTATTTATGAAATGAAAAAACGAAAATTAAATCAGTATCACCCTTCCTTCAGGAGGTTTATCTATGGCAAAACATGTTTTAATTCTTGCTAAAAGAAGTTTTTGATTGGAAAAAAAAAGAAGTTTTTGATTGGAAAAAATTTTATCTATACTATTATATCTGTACTAATGTACAATTCTTTTCATTAGCATGGATGACCACAAGTTTTATACTCGTTTTACCTAAATAGAAAAAGCATAATTTCTAAACAGTTAAACAAACTTTAAAAAGTAAAATCCCTGGCCAGGTGTGGTGGCTCACGCCTGTAATCCCAGCACTTTGGGAGGCCAAGCAGGGGCGGATTACGAGGTCAGGAGTTCGAGACCACCCTGGCCAACATGGTGAAACCCTGTCTCTACTAAGAATACAAAAATTAGCTGGGCATGGTGGCGGGTGCCTGTAATCTCAGCTACTCAGGAGGCTGAGGTAGGAGAATCATTTGAACTCTGGAGGTGGAGGTTGCAGTGAGCCGAGGTCACACCATTGCACTCCAGCCTGGGCGACAGGGCAAGACTCTGTCTCAAAATAAATAAATAAATAAATAAATAAATAAATAAATAAATAAATAAATAAAATCCCTTTAATATGCAAAGGCCCTTTAATATACTGATTTTGTACAATATATACTTTTTAAAACCTGACATCAACTTCTTTCAGACTCCGTTGTCTCTCCACCCCTACATTTTCCTGAATCTTCATTTAATGACGTATTTTCAGTTATCTGACACAACTTTCCAAAGAATGTAACATGATCATTCTTTCATTTTGAAACTTTCTCCACTCTTGGTTTGCAGGAACCAAAACAAGTAAGGTCTCTTTCTTCCTCCCTTAGCTTTCCCTTAGTCTCTTTCCCTGACTGGCTGCTCTTTCTCTGCCAGCCTCTTCAGGGCTAGTGTTCCACAGAATCCTTGATCCTCACCCTTTCCCTTTTCTTTTCCTCTTCTCTCTCTGCATGTTTTCCCTGGATAATCTCATTCCATCATGTTGCTCTCAATATGAGGACAATTTCAAAATCCATACCTCTTGCTTTGACATTTGCAGTGTGAACAGTGGTCCCCCAAAAGATATGTCCGCCAAGACCTGTGCATATGAATTTATTTGGATAAAGAATCTTTGTGGATGTAATTAAGGTTACAGATCTCAAAATGAGATCATGCTGGATTTTCCCAGTGGATCCTAAATCCAATGACAGGTGTCCTTATAAGAGAAAAGCAGAAGGAGATTAAAGACACAGAGGGGAAGGCCATGTGAAGATGGTAGCAGCTACAACCCAAGGAAAACTGAAGCCACCAGAAGGTGGAAGAGGCAAGGAAGTTTTCTGTCACAGAGCCTTCAGAAGAAGTGTAGCCCTGCTTATACTTTGATTTCGGGCTTCTGGCCTCCAGAACTGTGAGACAATAAATTTTATTGTTTTAGGTCACCCAGTTTGTGACAATTTGTTACAGAAGCCACAGGAAACTAGTACAATTCCAGACCAATAAATCCATTAGCTCAATACTTCCAGTGACTACCACAGCTTGTATGTTCCGAATTGACTTCATTCCATCCACTCTCCCCGCAAAAATTGCCATTCATCTTCTCTCTGTAATTGGCGACACCATCAATATAACCTCTCCTCGAATTATTTCACAATTCATCTCCAAACACTCACTAGATCCTATATATTCTTCAGAAATTTATTTTCAGTGCCTTTGATTGCTTTTCAGGCCCTCAGTATATGTAAATACGATTTTTATCGAGTCCCTTACTGGTCATTCTGGAATCCCACCCTAGTCTTTTCTACAGGGAGTGTTACATGTCAAACACCAGGTTTGACCATGCCATTTTCATGTATGATCCTACATAGTTTGATTGTGTGTCTTCCCTTCTCTGCAAAGGCAGCTTTACTGATGGACTCACAAATGTGTGTAACACCATCATACACAAAGCAAGAAGTTTCATCTTTATGGTGTAGAGAAGACACCACAATGAACAGATCTATCAAATCAGAGGCCCAACCACCCAGACTGAATTTTCTACTAAAGGGATTTGCAAAGTTATTAAATATCTCAGCCAAAATATTTTGTTCTCAAGATAAAATCTAAAATTCCTTGCAAGATATTCAAAATCCCTCATATTCTATCCTCAATCTACATTTGGGGCTTCATCTTAGTCACAAAGACCTTACTATTTTCCTTCAATAAGTAGTCATTTCAAGTTTCTGTGCTTTGGGGACCTTTAATATGATGGATGGTATCCCAATCCTCTCATTACAGAATGTTTTTCTTTACCTCTTTCTTTATAACCTCTCACATCTAATTGATCATCTATTTCAATTGAGTCTAACTTTAAAATTGCTCTCTCTTCTGTCTTCACTATTCTCACTGCTATTACTTTACGTCTGGAAATCATTTTCAGGTCAGGTATTACTTTGTTGAAAGGAACACAGACGCCTTTAGCCTACCACAAAGAAAAGGGGGTATTTTTGAAAGTATATGTGTGGAGTGCAGATTAATCTTAAAATGTTCTTAAGATCCAAAGCATCACTAGTATCAGTTTCCTCTTTCTCCTTCCGCATCTCTCATCCTTCCTTTCCCTCTGCCCTGTTTTCTTTCCCTTTTCTTCTTTTGCTACAAACCCTCTGCACCTTTTATCATGCACCATGGATTGCACAGGCCCTTCAGCAAAAGTTTTCAACTTCCCTGTTCTTTTCTCTTCCATTCCCATCTGGCTCCTGGCTGACAATTCTTGCTCTAGTCTTCAACGCATTCAATAGACAGTTTGTTTGAATTGGCTAATTGCCAGTTGCAGTAAGCTAAATAATGTTCTCTAGAAAGATGTCTACTGCCTCATCCCTGAAGCATATGACTATGTCATATTACATGGCAAAAGGTACGTTTCCAATTTGATTAAATTCATGATTTTAAGATGAAATGATTGTCCTGGGTTATCTGAGGATGCCCAATATAATAATGAAGACCCTTATAAGGGAAAGAGAGAGGTAGAAGGGTCAGAGTCAGAGGAGATGTGATGATAAAGAACCTCAAGAACTGTAAGATAATAAATTTGTGTTGCTTTAAGTCACTATATTTGTAGCAATTTGTTAAAACATCAGTAAGATACTGATACACCAGTGTCCCTAATTTCCAAGCCACCTTATGGATCACGTGCAAGCCTATAGTTGACCACCAGTGGATCAGGGGTTAATCCTCTGGTCCTAGCAGTGAATGCCTGTATGCTATCTCTACAATAAACATTGATATGGTTTGGCTGTGTCCCCACCCAAATCTCATCTTGAATTGTAACTCCCACAATTCCCACCTGTCATGGGAGGAATCTGGTGGGACGTGATGGAATTATGGGGGTGGGTCTTTCCTGCACTGTTCTTCTGACAGTGAATGAGTCACATGAGATCTGATGGTTTTAAAAATGGGAATTTCCCTACACAAGCTCTCTTTTTGCCTGCTGCCATCCATGTAAGATGTGACATACTCCTTGCCTTCCACCACGATTGTGAGGCTTCCCCAGCCATGTGGAACTGTAAGTCCAATTAAACCTTTTTTTCTTCTTGGTCTCAGGTATGTCCTTATCAGCAGCATGAAAACAGGCTAACACAGTAAATTGGTACCAGGAGTAGGGCATTGCTGAAAAGATACCGGAAAATGCAGAAGCGACTTTGGAACTGGGTAACAGGCAGAGGTTGGAACAGTTTGGAGGATTCAGAAGAAGACAGGAAAAGGTGGGAAAGTTTAGAACTTCCTAGAGACTTGCTGAATGACTTTGACAAAAATGCTGACAGTGATATGAACAATAAGGTCCGGGCTGAGGCGTTCTGAGATGGAGATGAGGAACTTGTTGGGAACTGGAGCAAAGGTGACTCTTGTTATGTTTTAGCAAAGAGACTGGCAGCATTTTGCCCCTGCCCTAGAGATTTGTAGAACTTTGAACTTGAGAGAGATGATTTAGGGTATCTAGCGGAAGAAATTTCTAAGCAGCAAAGTGTTCAAGAGGTGACTTGGGTGCTGTTAAAGGCATTCAGTTTTATGAGGGAAGCAGAGCATAAAAGTTTGGAAAATTTGCAGCCTGACAATGTGATAGAAAAGAAAATCCCATTTTTTGAGGAGAAATTCAAGCTGGCTGCAGAAATTTGCATAAGTAATGAGGAACCGAATGTTAATCCCCGAGACAGTGGGGAAAATGTCTCCAGGGTATGTCAGAGGTTTTCATAGCAGTCCCCCACCATCATAGGCCCAGAGGTTTAGGAGGAAAATGTGATTTCATGGGCTGGGCCCAGGGTCCTCCTGCTGTGTGCAGTCTAGGGACCTGGTGCCCTATGTCCCAGCTGCTCCAGCTGTGGCTGAAAGGGACCAACACAGAGCTCAGGCTGTTGCTTCAGAGGGTACAAGCCCCAAGCCTTGGTGGCTTCCACATGGTGTTGAGCCTGGCAGTGCACGGAAGTCAAGAATTGAAGTTTGGTGACCTCCACCTAGATTTCAGAAAATGTATGGAAATGCCTGGATGCCCAGGCAGAAGTTTGGTGTAAGGGTGGGGCTCTCATGGAGAATCATTGCTAGGGCAATGCAGAAGAGAAATGTGGGGCCAGAGCCCCCGCACAGAGTCCCTACTGGGGCACTGCCTAGTGGAGCTGTAAGAAGGGGGCCACCATCCTCAAGACTCCAGAATGGTAGACCCACCGACAGCTTGCATTGTGTGCCTGGAAAAGCCACAGACACTCAACACTAGCCCGTGAAAGCAGCTGGGAGGGAGGCTGTACCCTGCAAAGCCACGGGGGTAGAGCTGTCAAGACCATGGGAACCCACCTCTTCCATCAGCATGACCCAGATGAGCAAGACATGGAGTCAAAAGAGATCATTTTGAAGCTTTAAGATTTGACTGCCCTGCTAGATTTTGGACTTGCATGGGGCCTGTAGTCCCTTTGTTTTGGCCAATTTCTCCCATTTGGAATGCCTGTATTTACCCAATGCTTGTACCCCCATTGTATCTAGGAAGTAACTAACTTGTTTTTGATTTTACAGGCTCATAGGCCGAAGGGACTTGACTTGTCTCAAATGAGACATTGGACTGTGGACTTCTGAGTTAATGCTGAAATGAGTGAAGACTTTGGGGGACTGTTGTGATGGCATGACTGGTTTTGAAATGTGAGGACATGAAATCTGGGAGGGGCCGGGGTGGAATGATATGGTTTGGTTGTGTCCCCACCCAACTCTCACCTTAAACTGTAACTCCCACAATTCCCACCTGTCATGGGAGGAACCCAGTGGGAGGTGATTAAATTATGGGGGCAGACCTTTCCTGCACTGTTCTCATGAGAGTGAATGAGTCCTACAAGATCTGATGGTTTTGAAAACGGGAATTTCCCTGCACAAGCTCTCTTTTTGCCTGCTGCCATCCATGTAAGACATGACTTGCTTCTCCTTGCCTTCCGCCATGATTGTGAGGCTTCCCCAGCCATATGGAAAGCCCAATTAAACCTCTTTATTTTATAAATTGCCCAGTCTCAGGTATGTCTTTATCAGCAGCATGAAAATGGAATAATACGAACATCATTTCTCTAACAAACTTATATTGCCTACCATTTGCCAGCTTCTATACTGCTTCCCTCTATTCCTCACCTCTCCCATCAAATACATAGAACAATATATTATTTTGTACCCTCATAATACAGTACCACACTTATATACTTATGATACTTTGAATATTATTACTTATTATAAGCAATAATAAGTAATAAGTTGGAATACAAGTTAATAAGTTGGAATACTAATACAACTAATAATAATAATATTCCAAGTTAATTAGTTTGAATTCCAAGTTAATAAGTTGGATTAACTTGGAATACTATACTTATTAACTTGGAATATTCTCCTCCTCATTGAAGTCTTAGTCAACTTGGAAGATTCATTCATACTGCCTTTTATCCTTAACTCACCATGAAGCAGGCATCATTTTCCACAATTGGTATTCATCTGTGCCAACTCTATATAAAATTATACTGACAACTAAAACTGAATGGGTAAGTTTGTGGGGAAATTCATAGGTATAACAGAATATAGGTATAACAGAACATAGATATAACTAAACAAAGACATTGGCTAATTTTATTTTGTTTGTTAGGTGCAAGTTCCATTTTTATTAGACTTATTATTTTATTTAAGGACATAATTTCAAAGGAATATTAAAATTACTCTAGATCTAATTTCAAAATTTGTAAAAATTACAATAAATAGGAGAATTTTTTTTCCTGAGAAAAAATTAAAGTGCATTTTTTTTAACTTCAAAAGGTAAAGAAACAAAGTCCCAGAAGTTTGGTCTTATAAGCTACCCCAAAGGAAAATAAGGAGAAACACCTTATCTTTTTTGACATATTTGACAAACTGAGAATAAACACATGGTAACATAATAAAAGGCAGATGCTGGGGGACTAGGTTGTCTCTTAATCATGTGAAATTAAGCTCATTGACTTACAGGAATGCTCAAGAGAGCAGCTGCACATAAATCACATTGACATGAGATGGAAGTACCCCCACTAGACTTTCTCATTCCTATTCAGTTAAATCTCGCTTTCTTTACACAGTAGTATAATTTCTTTTACTTAAATGAATATCCATACATAACAACACAAAAATTAGAACTGAAACTGTGTCTTTGGTTATTTGACTACTCTTACCTTTTATAAATTATTTGGGCCTAGAGTCACAAGTTTAGGAAAACCTTTTGAGGCTTGCCTTCCTCTTGCTGTCTAGAAGAATTGCATCTAAATCATTTACACAAACAGGTGTCCCCTGTCAGGTTCTAGAATGAAGAGAAGATCAACTCCTTTTGGTAACCCTTTTACTCTCTAATAGCTGGATGCTTTAGGGAGCTTTTATATAGATGAAATTCCTCCTAAAATAACGTGCTTTTTGGTAATGCAGCCACTTACTCTTCTCCATATGGTCTAATAACTGTGAATACTTTTTTCCTATACTGAAGTCACTTGCTTATTTATCCTGTATTAGTAATCATGAGCTACAGCCTTTTCATAATGGCCATTATGGAACAATACCATTAAATTCAAAATTCTGCACAATGACATTAGTACTTCTTTAAAGCGGCACTAAACGTAGTAGAATTCCAATAGAAAAATACTCGAAGAATCATTTTCCTTACCCTTTAACAGATTTTGAACTGCATTTCAAGCCCATGAAAACACTCCCCATTTGTAAAGGTTCATTGTCTTCATCTAAACCCTTATTATGTCCTAGATATTGCTTATTCCGGGTTATATCTTTTGCTTCAGTAGTCTCACATTATACATTATACTGATTGCTCTTTAAGAAAAAAAAATCATTTTTCTTAAATGCCTCTATTTAATTTTACCTTTATCTTTCTAATATCGTTTTGGTCCTGTAGCATCCTCACTGATGTAACTCTGATTATTAAAACCACTCACTCAACCATTCATGCAGTCATTAAGTCATTAAGTCATTAAGACATTTCCTTGAACCCTGACTCTGAAACAGCATATTTGGCACTGTAGAGATTATAAGCATACATTAATCATGGTCCTTGCACTCACCATCTTATATTCTGAGGATGTTTTTGAGAGAAAAACATCATGGAACCCCTTCTCTTACCTAATTTCTACATCCAGACCCCTCTAGCTTCATTTTTCTTCAGTATCCCAAACTTTTCAGGCAAATTACAACTCACACTTTAGTCCCCGCAAAGTGCTATAGTCATACTTTGTCCATAACAGTCCTTCAACTATTTATACTATTTCCCTGCTCCCAAATCTTACTGCAGATTTTCTTATACACCATTTTAAAATGTATATATTTAAGAATAGCTATTATTAACAAAGACTATGCTAACCTCTTTGAATGGCCTTGTAAAGATAGAATATTTCAAATACTTCAACCATGCAGACAAAGTAATAATAATATTTTTATAGTTTGAAAAGTCCTACCAAGACACAGTGGGAATATGAAAATAAATTATTTTTATTTGCAGATAAATATACTAGCAGAGAAGAAGGAAGGGAGGAAGAAAGGAAGGAAGGAAGGAAAGAACAAAAAGGGAAAGAAGGGAGGAAGGAATGAAGAAAGGGACCAACAAACAAGAATGTAAAGCTAAATTTCCTCAACTGGTTGAGATACAAAGATTCTCCAAGCAAGCGTTTGCTTTACATGTGGGGGATTTTTTTTCAGAATTCTAAAAATGACAGCAACCGAGATGTTTACTTACTGAATTGCTATAATATTTCACATGCTTGACGGGGATTGGTAATATTGGTCATCTTAGCCTCTTTCATCAAGTGCTACTTATAAAAACTAAAAAAAATAGGTATGAAATTGTCCCAGGATAAAATCTATTGTGTAACGAATGCTGAATATGTGCTTCCATAGATATTAAAAGTCTTCATTCTAAATGTAGGCACAACTTTAGGACTTTACCTGAGAGACCAGATATAGTCCTTAGTTGTCATACATATTGTACATATCTGAAGTGATATTTAAAACAAAATGTTATAAAGTTGCATTTTAATATTTCAATCAAGAATGTTATAATGATATAATTGCCTTATTTTTTATATATATATATATATATATATATATATATATATTTTTTTTTTTTTTTTTTTTTTTTTTTTTTGAGATGGAGTCTTGCTCTGTCGCCCAGGCTGGAGTGCAGTGGCGTGATCTCGACTCACTGCGAGCTCCACCTCCCGGGTTCACGCCATTCTCCTGCCTCAGCCTCCCAAGTAGCTGGGACTACAAGCACCCGCCACCACGCCCGGCTAATTTTTTTGTATTTTTAGTAGAGACGGGGTTTCACTGTGTTAGCCAGGATGGTCTCGATCTCCTGACCTCGTGATCTGCCCGCCTCGGCCTCCCAAAGTGCTGGGATTACAGGCGTGAGCCAACGCGCCCGGCCTGCCTTATTATATTTAATCTGTTCCTTAAATTAACAGCGATGGGACTGTAAGCCAATGTGATAAAAATAATGCATTTCCAGCTTGTGTAATAAGACCTCCTATTGCTTTCAAATTAGTTCTGTTAATGAGAAAACAATATCTACTTTTATGGAATGACCATATGTGTTAATCTAAAGTAAACACTCTACAAAATTAACATGCCATTAAAAATCAATATTTCTCTGTGTAATATAATATTGTATATGTTCCTAATTATTAAAATATCTAGTTCTGGTTTTCTAGTGGTCACAGTGAACTAAAAATAATATTCTAGTAAAAGACACATGAAAAGCATTGGGTTTTGAGTCATGTTTACTGACCTTTCAAAAAGATGAATAAAATAAAGAATCAAAAGAGAATTAAATGATAAGACAAAAGAAGAAAGATAAGAAGTCCTCTTGGTTAATACGTAAAATCAAACATCAAAAATTGATTTTTATCCCCTGGCCATGGTGCTGCTGGTTTTATAGGTTGGGCTGGGTATGAAGATTGAGCTATTAATCTTTCAAGGAAAAGATGCCAACTACACTCCTCTTCTACTTGATGTATGGAGATGAGTAATGACACTATTCAGTAAGCTACATATCTGCTTCCTTCAAACAAAGGTGCCACAGGAACAGACATCAGCTGAAATCAGTCCAAGCTATGAAAGTATGTGGATAGAATAATATTATTCCTTCCCAAAGTGCACACTTAATATCCAAAAATCAAACAAACAAACAAGCCTCCATCCATCTGGATCTTAATATAGACACTAGGGGAAGGAAGGTATGTTAATTCACATCATATAGAAAAGTAAACAAATCAGGCATGCTGCAAAATCCCAGTACCTGCCTTGTCATTTTTACATTATAATATAGAAAACACATTTGGTTTAGAAGGTATTATATAATTACGTGACAACTGCATTCATAAACTGAAGAGAGAAAGGTCTCAGAACTTCTGCTTAGCTTAGCACAGCATCTTATTACCATTCTTCTCAAATAATTACAAAATTAAAATAAAACTGAATTTGAGACAGATTCTTGAGTTTTCTCAGGTCTTTAGAGCAGAAAATTTTTACAACAATGACGTTTTCTAGAATAGGAATTTACATTAAAATCACTTAATATAGATTTTTGAGACATTTTAATATTTGCATTTATATTAAATTTGCATTTTCCAACTGCCCCATGTTTCTAGCTCTGCTCTCATGCTTCTCAAACACACAAAGTAAGTCCCAGTTTGATAAAATTTCTTGCCCCCAAATTAGAGGTTATATAGAATGGACCTATCACCATTACTTTATGATTAAAAAGGAGTAACATTTCTATTTGAATAAATAAATCATAGATCTGACATACACAGAAAGAACTGAAAAAAAAACAGATTTTATATAATTAGTGGTAATAACCAGAAAAATAAAGTTTTAAAGAATTAATCAATATTTCTATTTTGGATGAACTATTGTCATTTTGTTATAATACTTACACAAATGAGTGTTTCTCTTATATATAGCTACTATCTCAAAAACCTATCTTAAGTGATTTTAATGTAAATTTCTATTCCAGAAAACATCAGTGTTGTAAAAATTATCAGCTTTCATCACTATTTACCCCTCTTTCTACCTACTCTAACTCTCTTGGTTATGCTCAATTGTACTTGAGCATAGTACAATTAAAGAAATCAAGATATATGTTATTTCCCATTAACCCATTTGAATTACATAAACCACAACATCATAATCCTGCCCTAGGGTTTTATCTCATTCAGAAGATCCACTGAGAAGAAGAGATGAAATAATGTGTAGACATAACAACAGTATTTTTTTCACGTTGCCTATAACCACATCAATGGCAGATACAACAGCTGTATAATAACCAAATATGCTAGAACCAACAGTCTCAGTATTTTTTTTTAACTTTCAACCATGCACCAAACCTTTGTCCATGCACAATGCCCTCCCCAGTTTCCCTTCAGACTTTATCCCCAGGAGGGGCTCACGAGAGCAGAGCTGCTCCCTATTTCCCCTGCATGTGGGCTTTTTCGTTATATCATCAAAGTGAGTTTGAAGCCTTTTAACCTCATGGTTAAGATGTTTGCTTCACAGCCCCATCTCAGCCCTTTCATTCCCTTTCCTTTCTGAACTCCAAAGATGCTTTTGTCCATGCAATTGCTTATATCACAACACTGCAACCTCTTGTACATTATCTCATCTTCTTTTTCCCACAGGCTCTCTAGAACTAACAGACAATACATTCTAATTCTAGCAACAAAACACAATACCCTTCATCTTCCTTCATACCTAAAAGCTATAACTTCAAAAATTATGTGACTCCACATAGTGTGAGCATGGCAAGGCTTTATATTATTAGTGACTTACTAGACAAGATACAACTTCACATTGATAATGGTATTTATTCAATTGTCCCATACAATTGAACTATCAACAGTCCACTACAAACCAAGATGCCTGATAACATGTAAAGTTTTTCATAAATGCCAACATTAATCTATTTAGTAGTTCCTTTCATTACCATCCTACTTTACCTCTATATTTCCTATTAAAATATTAGTGCTTCCTCATGACATTTTCTTCAATAACACTAGTATTTTCTTTATATACTTCCAAGCAATTCATCAAATCAGCTGGAGTACAACCCTGAAAAGAATCTTCCCTAAGTATAGCTGACATCAAAATGGTAACAATAAAAGTTAACATCAAAGATACAATAATATTTCCATGCAAAAAATTAAATAACACTGTTTATATAAGAATACTTAAAATCCTACCACAAAATGAAATCTAAATACAAGGCTTTGCTATTGAATCCATGCCAATTCATAGTAATCGATAAAATAAGCCACATTCTTTTGAATCCACTCTCACTTTCCTAATTCCCTATGAGTGTGCTCCACCTATTTACTCATAATATCTACAATATCTCCACAATATTGATAACTGATCATTCTCAACTTTTCCACTAATGGCACATGTGTAGATGTAGCACTATCACTTTAAGCTATAAAAACACATAAAAAATAGAGGAATACTGCTTACCGGAGCCTCTTTTGGTCACAACCTTCAAACTCTGAGTAAAAGTAGCGTATAAGAGAATCAAGTGTGGAATCGGAGCTTTCATCTTCCAGCTCTTAAAGGCCGTTCCCTAAAGCAAAGATTAAAAAGAAGAAAAACATACATGTTTTAAAAATAGATAGCAATATTATTAGAGTTTCATAACTTTGATCAAACATGATCGGTGCAATGAATTACACAAAAGGAAAGAATATAACCAGGATTTCTATTATATTTTCCCATATGTTGTGGTTCCTAAGTTAAATCGAAACTGGTAATACCAAAATTATGCCTCCATAGCCCTCACCCCCAAAATGCTTTAAAATCTTATGTTCACTTGAGGTTTTGGATTTTTTATTTAAACGCCCTAGTTGTATTTAAATAAATGGAAACAATCCCGTCAAAAGAATTATTTCACTAACAATTTATCTTAATAAAAATCATCCAAACTGACATTTTTAACATTCCATGCTGCAATAGAATGTGGTTTTATTCAGTGTCATTCTTTCCAACAGAGATTAAATCATAAGCTGTCTGCCTCAAAATATTTAATCGTGATTTTATAATTTTCTTTCAAAAACCTCTAAAAGATATTGTAAGATAATTTTAAGACTTTTGTTTTTATTAAAAGAATGTATACTCTGGCCAGGCACAGTGGCTCATGACTGTAATCTCAGCACTTTGGGAGGCTGAAGCGGGTAGATCCCTTGAGCCCAGGAGTTTGAGACCAGCCTGGGCAACATGGCAAAACCCCCATCACTACAAAAAAAAAAAAAAATAGCTGGGCGTGGTGGAGTGCACCTGTAGGCCCAGCTACTTGGGAGGCTGATGTAGGAGGATGGCTTGAGCCTGGGAGGTCAAGGCTGCAGTGAGCTGAGATTGTGTCACTGTACTACAGCCTAAGCAACAAAGGAAGAAGAAGAAAGAAGAAAGAAGAAGAAGAAACAACACTCAACGAAACTACCCAAAAATCATTTCTTTCTATTATAAGGCTTGCAGAGGAATATAAGAAGGGACACTAACCTAGTGTGTTTGGATTTCTAAAGGAGAAATATTTCATTTGAAATTAAATAAACGAACATTGTCTTCCTCAGAAAATCATCCTTCTGTGTCTCAGCTTTATTGAGGTATAATTCACAAAGTTGGATATGTTTAAAATGTACAGTGTGTTTTGATATGCATATATATTGTGAAATGATTACCACTATAAAGTTAGCTAACACATACTTCAACTGATACAGTTGTTATATTTTTGTGTGTGGTAAGACTTAAGATCTACTCTCAAAAAATTTTAAGTATACAATGTAGTATCATTAATTATAGTCAACATGCTGTACATTAGATCCCCAGAATGTACTCATTGTATATCTGCAAGTTTGTACCCTCTGACCAACATCTCCCCATTTTTCCCCATCCTGTCCCAGCCCTTGGCCACCACCATTCTACTCTCTGCTTCTTTTCTTTTTGTATAAGACTGAGATAGTGGAGCTGAAAGACCGACTTTCAAAAAGTGGGAAATCAGAACACAGTTCAAATATATTGTAAACTTATGACAGGACACCTTTCTTTGCAAGACACTTGAGGACTGATCAATCCAGCTCTCAATCACTATAACTTTATTAAAGATGAAAATGCCAAAACTATCACATTTTGGGTTCTCCCAGAGCCTCATTCAGATACTTCTGAATGGTTTTAATTGATTAATTTACTCATATTAATAAGTCTGTTAAAACACATTTTAATTCACAAAACAAAAGCAAAATCCATTCACCTGTGGCAAGGTGTCACCATCACCATTTTATTCAGAAAATCAGTGAATTTGTAATAGCATGGAAAATAATCTATTTTAATGGCGGCACCTTTAAGGGATGACAATCTGTTTAAGTTTTCTATCCAAAGACCTTAAGTTTACATAAAGACATAAATGAAACCTAATCCAAAGAGCTGATTCATCAGACACATCTGATGAACTGCCACATTAAAGTACAAATCTGAGTCATGCATTCCTAAAACCCGAATACCATTTCCCAGCCACCACACTAACTGGAGCTGCAGGAAATCTTCAAGTTGACACCTTCAGCCTTCAGGTTAGCTGTGAGAATCAGTTCTTCTCTGTGTAAGTTTAATCAGCACTGCCCAAGAAACTCCAGGACCCAACTATACACTGCAAGACCTTTCAGCTCAACTATCTTATTACTTTACTCCTGTTCAAAATACTATTTCCTTACTCATTTCATTTCTATAAAGCATATAGGCTAGTTTGCAATTCTATTTCTTAAAATTAATATGTGTGGAAAGCATCAATTTGGTAATATCAAGATCCTTAACTGAATCTCTTGAAACTTTATGTATTAGGGAACACAAAAAGAAATCCATAGAATTTCACAGACTTAACATCTTGGTCAATCTATAATAATCTTTACAAACTTCTTTGAGGAAGTTTATTGTGTCTTAAATTGCAAAACAGATTAAATGTATCTAGCCATAGACATCCAAGTTTTGCTATCCTTGTTGCATAATCAAAATTTGCACCCAGAAATAGCAATACAAACTGTACATAATCATTTAGTGAGGTTCTCACATATTTTCTTATTGCTTATACTATTGGTGAACTAATTTCAAGAGGCCTCAATTTCTGGATAAATGGACCTGAAACCAGTTGCCTGTTTCCTGTCAATACCATTCACCATTTGGCTTCACATAAACCACTACTAAACCTTATGCAGAATGAGCATATCACAATGGTTAAGAGCAGAAAGTCTATATATCCCAGCTTTGCCACCTATAAACTGTGATTTGGAACAAATAACCTCTCTGTGACTAGTTTCTTTATTTGCAAAGTAAGTATTATAATAGTATATATAGCATAGTGCTTAGAACAGCACTGGCACATTGAAAGAACAACAAATCAAAGCTTCCGGGATTTTTGTTTGTTTGTTTGTTTTTGAGACAGAGTCTCTCTCTGTCGTTCAGGCTGGAGTGCAGTGGCGCGATCTCGGCTCACTGCAACCGCTGCCTCCTGGGTTCAAATGACTCTCCTCTTTCAGCCTCCCAAGTAGCTGGGATTACAGGCGCCCACCACCATACTCGGCTAATTTTTGTATTTTTAGTAGAGATGGGGTTTCACTATGTTGGGCAGGCTGGTCTCGAACTCCTGACCTCAACTGATCTGCCTGCCTTGGCCTCCCAAAGTGCTGAGATTACAGGCAAAGCTTCTGTTTTTATTGTTGTTATTGCAGTTAATTGTTATTACTTTTATTATTATTGTAAGTACTACCAATTAATTCATACTACTAATATTCACATCCTTTCCCTATCAAGTTTTCTGTGTATCCCAGTTTTCTACTTGACTGGAAGGCCTTGAAGGGTAAATGTGAGTTTTATGCAACTTTTAATTTCCAATGCTCAATGAATACTAGCTGGAAAAAAATAAATGAATGAAAGACTGGATATGGTTGCTATTATATGCAGTTCAATTTTGATATTTAAACCCATCATTTGATAAACCCTTATTGAGCATACACTAGTTACAAGATGTTTTGCTATGATGTAGTGGGGACACAAAGACAATGCAATGGAGTCTAATCAAAAAGGCTCACAAACCAATAAAGGAAACAAATGCTTACCTATTTAATTAGACTGGCCCTGTTAAAACTTTCATGTAGTTTATTAAAATATTAGCCAGGAGCTTAGTAGAGAGATGGAAGATAACACAACACTGTAACTGTAGCTGAAGTTAAGAACATGTATTAGGAAAAACAAGAAGGAAGTACAGATAAAGAAGAGAAGAAGGCTCACATTATCCACCCTGGGGCTTACAAATATTTATAGGACAGGCAAAATGAATCAAGAGGGAGAAAAAGTGAGAAAAGCAAGCCACAGAGGGAGTGTGAATCAGAAAATACTGGGTAAAATAAGCAAGCAAGGATATTTAAGGATACAATCAGGAGAGTTTGTGTATTGTGAGAATAAAAAAAGACATCTGGGCCAGCGTTGGTGGCTCACGCCTGTAATCCTAACATTTTGGGAGGTCAAGGCAGGAGGATCATTTGGGCCCAGGAGTTCAAGACCAGTCTGTGCACCACAGTAAGACCACCATCTCTACAAAAAAATTTAAAAATTAGCCAGGTGTGGTAGCACATGCTGTAGTCCCAGGTACTGGGGAGGCTGAGGCGGGTGGATCACTTAAGCCCCAGAGGTTGAGGCTGGAGTGAGCAGTGATTATTTCACTACACTCTAGCCTGGGCAACAGAGTGAGATCCTGTCTCGAAATAAAAAAGACAACTGGTATCAGAGTTAAGATGCTAATGACCAGTCTTTTCATTACACAAATAGGAGTATAAGTGGGCATAATCAAAAGAGTCCAAGGTGGAAACTAGGTTTCATCTGCTTGTTTTTGAATGTTTTTCAAAAACAACATTCAAAACAAGCAACAATGTGTTTTGAATGTGGATGTGGAATCCACAATTCAGGGTAGAGAAGTTGAGGATTAACTGGGGAATTCTGGATGACATATGTAAACTGAGGCAAAAGAGATTCAGAGGAAAGAAGAGAATCTAGAAGGAAGAGATATTAGTATGGGGAAGTTGAGACTCCTTTTATAGGTAGAAAATAAAGTACAAATGGGTGAATATAAAGGTAAATTTGGAAGTGAAAGGGAGGGAAGCTGCACTCATTTGTTTTATTCTTAACTATAAAGCAGGGAGAATACGCTTTAGAATCAGAAAAACCTGGATTATTGGCCTTACTGTATGTTAAGGTAAGCAAGTTACTTCATCTTTATAAGCCCCAGTTTTCTCACCTACAAAGCATGGACATAAGTATCTGCCATATTTATTTCAGTTTTTACCTACTTTTCCTCAACATGTTGAGGTAGCAAATACCTACTTCAAAGTTTCATAAGCCTTAAATAAAATACTTGTCTTTATGGTGACTATTAGTGTTTAACAATGACATTTAATTATAGACATTTTCTAATGCTAGCTCTTTTCTTATGCCTTCTTTCCACTCCTGGCTTGTATGTAGTAATTACCTATGCTAAAAAAATGATTCACTATATTTTACTTAATATTTAAAGTTTTGCCATTACTATATTCAAGATTAAAGCAACCATTTTTCACTCTAATCAAAAATTGAAGTATCCATTTGTGCCTGACACGGATAAAGTATTTTTCCAAGAGTTCAATTTACACAAAGCGATGCATGTTATGAGATAGATTTCCTGGGGAGAGGATAAACAGAAGCTCTTAGATACTCTGCAACCATAAGTTACTAAAAGGCACAATATTTACAATTAGTCACAGGGAAACTTGTGTCTAAATCATAAGCTTTGGCTACTACCTTGAGGAAATTAAACACAAATTATAAAGTTATGTATACATTTGTTTTTTTAATTATGGAGTGCCTATCATGATGCAGATGCTGTTCTAAATACTGAGGTACAAAATGATTAGGAAATGGTCACTGTGGCAAGGATTACATGGAAGAGAGACATGGAAATCAACAATTTTAGCAAAGGGATACATGTTATGAGAGACGACTTCTCAAGAATCCATGGAAAGTGCTCAGTGCAGCCTGGATAGGTCATGAAAACATTCACAGAAGAGGGTGGCATTGGGCTGACTTTGGAAGCAGAAGAGGGAGTTCATTAATGACTAAGGTAGAAAGGGTTAAATAAATGGTGGGCAAGAGATTACAGGTAGAGTAGGACAGAAAGAGTGCATGGTCCATTTGGAAAACCACTGATGAAAATAAAGCTAAATACTTGACAATCTATTCAATATGAGTTGGGGAGTAGGGAGGGGGATACATTTAGATCATCGAAAACAAGTTTTAGGTCACCAAGATAATTTTTTTCTAAATTGGCCCTGACAAAACTCTGTGGGAATTTGCTTGTTTTCTTTTTAACACAATTCTAAACAGAAGACCATTTATTCCTATAGCGCTTCTCTGACAAGGGAATGTTGACCTTCCAAATCTTACAACCAAGCTTCTAAACTGATCTCCAAAAGCTAATTCACAATATGACTAAAAAACCAAAGTTATCAATAAAAATCTGAAGTCATACGCTTCTTGGCAGATTACCCTACAAGGTGATGAAGAATACTATACGCAGCAGTCAAATAATCTTATCCAAAATGCATCTGTGCCTTATTTAAATATTGTCCCGAGAATTAAACACTGTGGAGTTCACTGTGGAGCAATCTAACACAAAATGCTGTGGAATGTCTTGCAAACCTATAGACTACTGGAGCAGTAAGCGCAGTTACTATGGGATAATTGGCACACCTACTGGGTGGCACCAGGTGAAGCTGAAAAGTTGTACAGGAATCTGGTAAGGAAAGGGTTGGTTTGACTCTCAAGATGTCCTGACTATATGCTTCAGGAGGTTAAAAACCAATAGTGCTTAAAGAACAGACTGTCAAAACCGGTTTTGTATTACAAAGAGTTGATGAAACTTCCCTCTAATCTATTAAGAAAAAAAAGAGCAATGATATAAACAAAATTAGAACTGAAGAAGTTATAAAATATACAATGACATAAAATATTTAGAACACTGAATTTTACTAAATTTGTAAATTTTACAGAATGGATGATTGGGGATAAAAATAACTAAAATTCATTAAACAGAAGAAAATTACGAGTAAACCCAAAACCGTTTAAAATCTCAAAATGCTATTAAAGTATAAACTCCAAAAATGTTAATTGAAGAAAACAATACAGATGAGTACTTCCAAACTTTCAAGAAACAGAGTTTGGTCCAAGGAATAGAAAATCATGGTTATGGCTATAAAAATATAGAAAACCTTTTTCTTTTTAAACTGACGAAGTGCTTTAAACTAATATAAAGAATGAGGGCAAGGATAGTTAATGTTACTATTTTCATTTAGCTTTGATCTGGAATTCCTAGGCAGTGACTGTAAATATTAGAAAGAGAGAAATGTAAAATTTTTATTAGTAGTAGGGTATGGTGACAAGAAGTTAGAAAACTTTATTCCATTATAAATTCATGCAAATAATATGCTCCAGGATTAAAATATTGACTACTTTATCAATTTTGGCATAAAATGTCAAATTTTTCCAAAATGGGAATATGCACTTCTAGTCAAAATTCAAATGGAATATTTATTGTGTTTTTTAGAACATAAAAATATAAATTGTATAGGGAAAGTTAAAAGTCAAATATAAATTAGCAAACATATTTCCAACATACACATCAATAGGCTAGTGCCCATATAATATAAAGAATGCTTACAAATCTATTGGGAAAATTAGCAAAGGGAATGAATATAGAAAATGAACAAATCAAGTGAATAGGTAATACCTAGAAGACATACAGTCACTAAATATTACAATCATAAAACTGATAGTAAATAAAAGCATATACTAAAATAATTTGTCAAATAAAAATAAAATTTTCTCACACAAAAATGCCATGATTGTAATTTTGTATATTCATACATATATAATTATAGAGAAAGGAAAATAGTAATCAAAGTTATTTAAATGACTATTATGTCAATATGGATATAGTAAAACAAGTATGCTGATAATCTGATGATGGGAGTGAATATTAGTACAGTTTTACTGGAAAGCAATTTCTCAATATATAGCCTTTAAAATACTTAACCACTGGGAATCAATCATCCTGCTTCTAAAAATCCATCTGTAAGTGGTAAAAATTCTGAGATGGGCCCCAAGACTTCCACTCCCTTGTGTCCACACCCTGTAGAATTGTCTTCTTTTAAGTTTGGGTGGGGCCTATAAATATGGTAGATATCATGCCCATGATTAGGTTATATTATATAACAAAGATAGAAGGATTTTGTAGGTGTGATTAAGGCCACTAATCAGGTGCCTTTAAGTTAATCAAAAGGGAAATTATCCTGGTTGGGCCCAGCCTAATCAGGTGGTCTTTTAAAAAAGGTTCTAGAGGTTAGAGATAGAAAAGGTTAGAGGAAAGAAGTAGCAGAGATTATTTCCTTTTGGCTTTCAACAAGAAAGTGCCATGTCATGGAGACAGCCATGTGACAGGGAATGGCCATCAACCTCTAGGAGCTGAGGGACTCAGTTCTAAAACCACAAAAAAAAATAAAAATAAAAATAAAAATAAATAAAAAAAAAACCCTCAAGTTTGCAAAAAACCATAAGAGCTTGGAAGAGGACTTCAAGTCTCAGATAAGACCTAAGACCCAGATGACATCTTGATTTCACACTTGTGAGACCCTGAACTGAGTCAGCTAACCTGTGCCCAGATTCCTGACCCACAGAAACTACATGATAATATATTTGTATAGTTTCAAGCTGCTAAGTTTTTGGTAATTTGTTATGTAAAAATAGGTAAATAATATACCACCTTAAATATTCATTAATCCAGACAGATTTATGTAAAGAGATAATTATTATATTTTCTATTGACTAATATAGAGGACTAGTAACAATTGTAGAGAATATCTGTAAGATGGAATATTATTTAGCTTTCACAAATACTTCTGAAATTAATAATTTGCAAAAATAGTCAAAATAACATGGAAAGGAGATGAAAGCATAATATAATGCTGTATAGAGAAAATTATCCATAGTATGAATAATATTATTACTATTAATAATAGAAAAATGACTTAAAAACTACAGCACAGCAGATCACATGAGCTGGCTATCATAAGTAATTATACTGATTTTGGCTCTCCTCCACATTGCTATGTTTCCCTAATTTGAAAAAAAAGAACATGCACTATTTTTTACAAAAATATGTATGTATTTATGCCTCTTTAAAATTTCATTAGAAAAGGTTTTAAAGGATCAAATTATATTACTTTTTTTCCAGAATCTGAATGATTTATTATAATTCTAATTCTACAAGTAAAAGCCATACGTTTCTAAATCCAAGAGTCATCCTGATAAATCACATTGTGCAAAATATTTTCTCAATGCAACAACTTCCACTGTTTTCAACCATATGATCCACTTTAATGGATCACTAATAAAAAACACCAGGTTAGCAATCTGAATCTAATTAAAATAGATTCTGGACAGACAGACAGACACACACACACACACA
The DNA here is from genome assembly GCF_000001405.40 of Homo sapiens. Taxonomy (NCBI): domain Eukaryota; kingdom Metazoa; phylum Chordata; class Mammalia; order Primates; family Hominidae; genus Homo; species Homo sapiens. Next base: position 28,780,349 of record NC_000023.11, on the reverse strand, counting down.
CACACACACACACACATACACACACACACTGTGATTGAAAGAATGAAATGTATACTGTGGAAGAGATATGCCTGTAAATGTATCCACCTAATACTACTTTAAGGAAACATTTGAGAATCTGAAACAAGCAAGAGAGATTATTAGCTATCCTTTCCATGGAAAGGTGGAGCCTCTGGGAATTATCTGATCTTATATGTGTAACTTTGCTTTTGAATAAGCTATTTTATATCTCTGTAAAGATACAGTGAACATCTAGAAAGCTAATAGCAATGCAAACAATTCTTATCCATGGAAATGCTTATTAATTGTGTCTGGTAGAATGCAATTGATTATTGTTCTATGGATAGACATGCTGTGTTCAATTGAGTTCAATATTCCTTTATTGCATATAAATTTGTGGTTCTTTGACAACTCCATCAAGTCAGGTGTAACATCTTGTCTAGTTCCCTCATTAATTAGTGATGTAAATAAAACTTTGACAAAAGTTCATTTTATATCTTTATGAAAGTCAAGTTTTAATTTCTTTTTTAATTTACTTAATACTACATTCATTTATTAAAATCAAGTTAGTCAATAAATGCTTTAAGATAAAGTATTTTTTACAGTTTAAGCAAGGTAAGTATTTAAGATGAGCAATACGCTAATTAGCTTGATTCAATCTTTCCACATTCTATATATATATATATATATATATATATATATATATATATATATACACACACACACACACATAATAGTATCACTCTGTACCTGATAAATATATACAAGTATAATTGTCAATGTTCAATAAAATGTTAAAAAGGAAATTAAACAAAAGAAATCATGATAAACTAATTCGGGTTAGATTTCGTATTCTAGTCAGAGCTTAGTATCATGGGGTTTTAATCAGAAACCATGTGAACAACAATATAAAGACACTGTCAAGGCTGCTAAACAAGAGATCAGTGGAACTGCAAAGGTGCATAGAAAAAGTCCATTTCCATAACATTATCATCAACAGGAGCAACTAAATGTATTTTGAGACACTAGGTCTTTCTCTCAGATTTGGCAAAGCAGAGAAACTACCCATCTTAGGGGAATAGTGGCTAGGAAAAGGCTTCAATCAAGGTCATTAAAAACAATGGAATCATCCCTTGCAAAATCTAGAGTTGCCTAATGTAACCAATATAGTTTAGAAAATCCCTGGCACTAGCCGATGCTTGCCTGTGAAGACAGACCTGAAGAAATATACAATGAAAGTGGTTAAGTGCACACACTCAGGAGTAAAAGTCCTTGTATATGAAACCCAGCTCGACTTCTTACTAGCTATGCAAACTTGGAAAAATTACTAATACTTGACATTCCAATATCTAATATCTCATTTTCTTCATCTGTAAAATGGCCAGATGAATAGTCTGTATCTCAAAGGATTACTGCAAACATTGAATACAATAATGTATGATTACCCTTAAACATTGGTGTCTAGTTAGATCCATGTTACCTTTTATTTTTATAAGCCACAGAATATTAACAGGGCTATGCTGATAACTGTAGTCTTAATTGAATTAATTTGTATAATAATTCCAAACTTAAATTACTGGGAATTACTGGGGAAATTGATATGTTTCATACACTGCCAGAAAATTCTGTGAAATTCAATAGAGCTCACACTTATTTGGTGACAAGAAAAAATACTGTAAATGGATGAACCTGACTAGCTAAAATGGAAAGTGCACTGTGCTGAAGAATAGAGAGCATAAATAAAAACACTACACAGTTTCTATCTGCCACTTTTCTAATTCACCTTTCTTACGCCTTTCGTATTCATCATGCCCTCCACTGTAATTCAGCTCCAAAAGCCCATACCAAAGAAACTTTTTGGGTTCTAAAGTCAGCAGATTGGATGAGGCAAGTGACAGAGCCAGGGAGGAAAAGCAAATATATTCCATCATCGCTCTTGCAGGCTGCAAACATGATCCTAGCTGAGTGAATTTGCCCTCCTTTGTGAGTTCTCCCTGCCAATATATTTAACGAATAGTTGGATAAACCTGACTCTTACCACATATCTGTGTGTTTACAATTCAGTACACTGAGGAATTTATTATTTATTGCAATTCTCAAGAAAAAGGTGGCTTTATGCCAATTAGAGCTCTAATATATGATGTTTGTTACACGTGGCAAATTTTTTAGTTTTATTTTTCCAGTTAAACTCTATATATCCATAACCATAACAACTTATGAGTAGGGTAAGATAATGGGAGAAAAGCTAAGGCAGTGATTTTCAGCCTTGGCTGAATTTTGGGATCACTTGGGGAGATTTCAAAGAGACTGATGACCCACGTGATGCCAAAACTGCTGGTCCATGCACCACACTTTTGAAAAGCAAAGGCCCAAGCAATAATACTGTTTCTTAAAATTGCCTATGGCAGGGTTTCTCAAACATGGTACTATTAATCTGGTGAGATAGATTATTCATTGTTGGGGAGGTGGGCTGTCCTGTACATTGTAGGATGTTTAGCAGCATCCATGGCCTGTATTCACTAGATACCAGTAGCACCTTCACCTAGTTGTCACAAGCAAAAATATCTCCTAATGTTCCAAATAATCTGGGGCATGGCTGGTACCCTCAGATCACAAGTTTAATCACTATTCACAATAATTAGCTTTATCAAACAATAAAAATTCCATTCTGAGGCCATGGAGCACAGAAAAACTAGTTACCTTTTATAAAAGAGCTCCATAGTCACCCCAGCGTTACTCAGCGAGAACATGACCACTGAAGCTTCAAGGAAAAGAAATATAAGTATTTGTCCTATGTGCCAATGTGTCAATAGAATCCTCTTATAGAGGAAAAAGCAATAATAGAATGTATTTGTTTCAAAATAACTGTTAAAATTAAAAGATAGTGACTGCATTTGTGCTAGACAGAATAATGGCTTGCAAAGATATCCACACCCTAATCTCCAGAACTTATGAACATGTTACCTTACATGTCAAAAGGAACTCTGTAGATGTGATTCAGTGAAGAATTTTGAGATAAGGAGATTATTCCAGATTACAAGGTGGGCTCATTGTAATCACAAGGGTCCTTATAAGAGAGTAGCAGGAGTGTCAAAGTTAGAGAGAAGGCCATATGATGATGGAAGTGGATATTAGAGTGATGCAGCCATGAGCCAAGGAATTCCATCAAAGACTAGGAACTAGAAGATGCAAGCAACAGATTCTCCCCTGAAGCCCTAGAAGACCTAGCCCTGCCAATGCCTTGATTTTAGCTCCATAAATTTCATTTTATACTTTCGACCTACAGAATTGTAAAAGAATAAATCTATGTTGTTTTGAGCCACGAAGTTTGTGATACTTTGTTACAGCAGCAATAGGAAGCTAGTAAAATATTTGAAAAGCCAGAAAGCTAACAGGAATATTTTTGTTTATCATTAGCATTTACAGATAATTGTGATATTATCTACAAGTTCATATCTAATTTTTCACATTCAGTTTTCAATGCCTGTAAGTAATAAGCATTATTAATAATAACTGCCAACATTTGTTGAGCACTTTCTATGTGCCAGGCATGTATCTGAGCACTTTATATGTACTATCTTATTAATCCTTAGAAATTATTAATCAGGTAGATGCTATTGTTGTCTATTTAGAGTATCTTTCCCAAGGTCATGCAGCTAGAAAATTAGGTTCTATGTTTTCTACTGACAATAATTTAAATAGTCAATAATAAATAAAACAGTTCTGAAACCTCTGATGCAAATATATACACAAAGGACATAAATGATCTATATCCAATGTTCAACCTGCAGACTATGCTACTATTTCTCTGGAAACTGTGGGCTTGCAAAGTCTCTGCATGGACTGAAATTCTAAGTGATATTTATGTGACTTTCAACTAGGTATTGGCTATAGTCACTCAGCTCAAAGATTTTCACTATCTGAGGTTCCTGCTTTATTGCAGGAGCTGCACTGTCTCCTCAAAGAGAATATAAATTGCTTTATGTCTGTTTGATCTTGTTGCTTCTTAACTTCCCAGTACTTAGCATATGGTTTTCCCTGCTTGGAGTTCTAAGAATTGACTTCTAAGATTGACTGTTCTTCCCACCACATCTAGAAATACTACACATTAGTTCTTACCACCTCCACAAGTTCAGAAGATCAGAGGTAAATTAGCATTCTACTTTCCAGAATCTACTTAGCTATTATGCATATCATCTTGCTCTTTTAGGTTATAATGGGGACATAAACTCATTGACCAATATATTCCATGCACTGTCCTAGATATTAGGGTATTAGAGACATAAGAAGAAACAGGACAGACCCATATCCTATCTTCATCAAGCTTACATTCTTGCCAGGGAAAACATGAGTGAACAAATAAAAAATATATGTCAGTTAATACACATTATGAGGGTAGAGAGTGATGGAGTACAGAAGTTACTATTTTAATTTCTCCAAGAAGTTGTCTGTAACTTAGGACTTAAATCATGAGGAGAAGGCAGTCACAGGTGGATACAGGAGAAAAATTCCAGAAAGATATAAAACATATGGAAAGGCCATAAGAACAGGACAAGCTTGGCATAGTTGTACAACATAAATAAGGCCAATGTGGTTGGAGTAGATTGAATAAGGGTGAGAGTGGAACTAAGTGAGACACAAAGAATAGGCTGAGGCCAATTCATGTAAAGGCTTATTAACAGAGTAAGTATTTTGTATTTTATTGTATTTGTAGTAAAAAGCCATTTGTAGTTTAAGGTAGGGGACTGTTGCAGGTTGAATTGTCCTCTAAAAAGATATGTTGAAATTCTAACTCTGAGTACCTATATATGTGATCTTGGAAAGAGTGGCTCTGCAGATAAAATCAAGTTAAGATGGGGTCATAACAGATTAGGGTGTACCCTAAATCCAATTACTGTATCCTTAGAAGAAGAGACACAAACTAACACTCATCAGGAGGAAGGCCAAATGACAATGGAGGCAGAGATTGAAGTGATGTAGCTACAAGTCAAGGAAAGCCAAAGATTGCTGGTAACCACTAGAAACCAGGAAGAGGCAAGAAAGAATCAACCTCTAGAGACTTCTGCGAGAGCATGGCCTTGCTAATACCTTGATATTTGACTTCTAGCCTCTAAAACTGTGAAAGAATAAATTTCTGCTTTTTCAAGCTACCCTGTTTGTGGTAATTTGTTATGGCAGCCCTAGGAGACAAATACAAGTACTAATAAGATAATATACATTTTTAACAAGTTCACTTGTACTATAATGGAACAAAAGAAAGGAAGAAAAGATATTAATAAGGTAGAAGGCTAATGCAGTAGTTCAGACAAGAATTTATATCATCTTAGACTACAATTTTAACAAAGGTAATGATGGAAGGTCATCAGACTTGGTGAATAATTTGTAGATAACAATAATATGAGTTACTAATACATCGGGTATGGTTAGTGAGTAAAAGAGAAATCAAAGATCACTTCCAGGTTTGGTCAGAGAGTAAAGGGGTATTGTGCTACCATTTACTGAGATGAGGAAGGCTAGGGGCATAGAAAGTTTGGGAAGTCAGGAAGTCGTTTTGTTTTGGATAAAGTTTGAGATGCTTTTATCATACCATATATGACCCTTGCCTCTTGTTATTCATTACCTTGTGTAATCCCCCACCTTTGAGTGAGAAATGGACCTAGTGACTTGGTAATAAGGCCAGAGTGATGGTATGTCATTTCTGAGATTAAGTTATAAAACACTGGCCCACCTTTTGCTGACATTTTCTCGTTTACTCACTTTGATGAAGCCAGCTGCCATTTTGAGAGCTGCCCTATGGAAAAGACCATGTGGTAAGAAAATGCAGGTGGCTCAACTTTCAAGGAACTGAATTTTGTAAACCATTATTGAGTGAACCTGAAAGTGGGTCCTGCCCCAATCAGACCCTGAGATGACTGCTGCCCCATCCAATACATTGACTGCAGCCTTGTTAGAGATCCTGAGCCAGAGGACCCGGATAATCCATGCCCAGATTCCTGACCCACAGAAAGTATGATATAATAGATGTTATTAAGACACTAAGGTTTGGATAACTTTTTATGCAGCAATAGATAACTAATACAGATGGAAACAATATAAGATAAATATAATCTGCAGGTACATATTTAGGAGTCATCAACAGGCAGATTTTATTTAAAGCCAAAAAACTCAATGCAGTCATCTAAAGAGGGAAAAATATAAGGGAGGGCTCAGGATTGAGGTCTTGAACTACAACATAATGAGAACAAATCGAAAAAAAGAATCAGTAAAGTAAATCAGAAAGTAATGAGGTAGGCGTAAAACCAGAAAAAGTTTTGAAATGAAAGTTGTGGTCAACTGGGTCAAATTATATAAAGGATCAGCTAAGGTGAGAACTGAGAATTGACCACTGGATTTGGTAAACAACGTTCATTAGTAACTTTAACGTGGACATTTTGCGAGGAACAGAAACCTCATTGTTTTGACTAAGGAGATAATGGAATGTGAGAGAGCAAAGATATCAAATACAGATAACTTTTAGACAGATATTTCTGTGAAGTCAATAGGGCCATAGCATGAGGGGACATTTTACTTAACATGTGAAAAAAGCTATATTTGTATACTCATGGGGATGACTTTATATTGAGAGATAAATTGGTGATATAGGGGAGGAGACAGTTGAAGGAGCAGTCTTCGAGAGATCATTGGAAAACATAACCTTCAGAGTTGGCTTCAGATAGTAGCAGAGTTCATCTACTCTAAATAGAGGTAAAGGTAAAGGTAGAGTGGTAAATTTAGTGATAGAAATATGAGCTTGTTCTATTTCAATGCATCATTTGTAAAATAATAAATGGGAGGAAAGGTAAGTTGACTGTTTCACAGCTGAGTGTGCAGGGTGTGCAAAGAGTAAGAAGTTTAAAGATAGAGGAGAATTAACAAAATAATATCTCAAAGAGTGGTAAAGTGAATGTCAAAGAGAAGTAAAAGGATTGTGTGATTCAAGGCATGGTGGCTGACTCTTGTAATCCAAGTGTTTTGGTAGGCCAAAGTGGGAGAATCACTTAAGGCCAGGATTTCAAGACGAGCCTCGGCAAGAAAGTGAGACCCTGCCTCTTCAAAAAACAAACAAGAAATTAGCTGGGCATGCTGGTGCACATCTGTAGTCCCAACTACTAGGAAGGTTGAAGTGGGTGGATATCTTGAGCCCAGGAGTTCGAGGCTGCAGTGTGCTATGATCACACCACTGCACTCCAGCCTGAGCGACAGAATGAAACCTTGTTTCTTCAAAGTGAGAGAGAGAGAGAGAGAGAGATATTATAAGAAAAAAGGATTATTTGACACCATTTCAGGTTCATTGGAGATATGTGATCACAAAGACTAAGTCAGAAAGGTAATATGATTTATTTAATTAATGCTGAACAACTTGGGTGAAGGTGAGGAGCAGGTAGATAGTTGAATTTAATTCAGGTTGGAGTTCTTTTCCACAAGTGAGTATAACACAAAATAGAAGGGCAAGTTTTAGAGTTTTAAGGGTTTAATAAGTTGTCATAGTGCTGGACCATGGAAATGTACCAATAAATTGTTCATGTATGTACTGTCCATGCCAGAATCATATTTTGTCTAACAGTTTAGACCTGCCAATATAACGTCATGCTAATTGAAAGCTAACTTGGTTCAAGTAGTCCCATAGAACAGTTTCATGATAATGATTAAGAAGCAGACACACATAATTTGACAGACTGAGAAAATCCAGTTCCCTTTAGCTGCATATGTTTTAACTTCCTGGGTAATATATCCAATGTTTACACCTTAAGAAAAATGTTTTACAGCATGATGGGGTCTAAATACCCTCACATTTCCTGGCGGAAAGCTAGTCTGCCACTCCCTCCATGTTAACTTCAATGCAAACTATGGGCTTGACACTAGTTTAACAGGATTTAAGCTTGTTCCTGGAAAAATAGGCACAATTTTAAACTCCAGTAGTAGTTTATTGCAATCACCCCAGCAGAAAAGCTAATTTTGAGAAAACTATGGGCTTTAAGGAGAATAGATTTTTTTTAAAGTTTCTCATCAACATCATGCAGAGAACCATGTGATCAACTATTTACTAGACAAAATAGGAATCTGAAATGTTCTAAGGTGCAACATGATAAAGAACCATATTAATGTTATCATCCCAGTAGGAAGAACTCACTTTCTCTGTTGAGAGCATTTCTCAACAGACTCTACCATCCCTCTCTTTTTCATCTACCAACAATGAAATGTTTCGAGAGAAAGGGGTAGAAAGCGCTCTTAATCCATAGTTGTCAGTAACAGTGAAACCACTGTTTTTTCACCCAGTATTTAACATTTATTTTCTGTAAAAGTTGTTTCCAAAAGCTAGACTAGATTGTCTCTAGCAATTTTCTTTTTTCTTTTTTTTTTTTTTTTTTTTTTGAGACGGAGTCTCGCTCTGTCGCCCAGGCCGGACTGCGGACTGCAGTGGCGCAATCTCGGCTCACTGCAAGCTCCGCTTCCCGGGTTCACGCCATTCTCCTGCCTCAGCCTCCCGAGTAGCTGGGTCTCTAGCAATTTTCAACCCTTCAGAATGCATAATGGTATTATCCATTGGCCTACATTATATGTGACTATTTTTAAATAAGATACATATTAATTACTGTTTTTAAAAGTTTATTTATCTAACAGAAAAACCTTTCAAAATATCAAGTCTGAGTAAGAATGTTAAAAAGATGTCCTTGGAAGGCATTTCCCAAGATCATTCTATTAATGCAGGCTCTGCCTTTGTTCCTAACAGGTTCTCCATTAAAGGATGACAAGTTTGGGAGAATTCCAAATCTTCTGAACTATGATATATGTGCTTTGCTCCATTCCATTCTTGTTTTTCCGGCCACTTCACTTAAAAATTTAATTCACGGTGACTGACACTCTCACTGAAATTTGTCTGCAACTAATATATTCTAGCAGCTACTATCACGCATTCATTCTCTTCTCTTTGCTCACTTCGACTTTCTCCCCTAAAGACATTGCTTATTAGAAATCTGCTTGGTTGACTATTTTCCTGCCAAAAGCTGCAGATTCTAATTAAGTAACACAGAGAAAAGCAGTCATAATGAAAAGCTAAATTACAAGACTTTGAGAATGCAATCGTTTCCAGGTGGGGTATGACAGTGGAGATGGTAGAAACTTCTATTGGCCTCTCAAAGAGACAGAGTGGGATGATTAAAAAGCCTGCTGCCCTTTGTGTCCTAAGTCTTGGGCTTGACTCCCAGCTATGTTACTTAAGGTAAATAAGTTAATATCCTGCAACTGATTTTCTTCACAAGAATGGCAAACATAATAATGGTCTTGCCTATCTCAAAATACTCTGTGATGTAAAATACTACCCTTATTTTCTCTATACCTATCATGCATTCCATGTGTGGAATACTAACACTGGACATTGGCTGGAAAACAATATTTTGGAAATGCATCATTTCACTGAATACTTCCACTGGCCTCCACTTATATCCAACCATTTTCAACAGACATGATATAATATCCTCATTGATCCTCATATTGTAGATGGAGAAATTGAGGTCAAATAATCTGTATTTCAACGACTTACAAAAATATGCATACAAAGGATAGCTTTAACATACCAATCAAATGCATCATTCACAATTCTTTAGTTTTCAAAGATCAATAGTACTTGCTTCCTACCTAAATGTTGGTGGCTGGAGATATACAAAAGGCAGAGCTGCATGTCTAAATCATTATGCAAGGCAGTATCATACCACTAAGAGCTAGAAAGTATTCTCAATTTCTTTGCATATGTTGACACATGTCAGCAAGATTGCATTTAAAAACTATTATACACGTTGGAAGGATAGCACTTTAAGTCCAGAAAAAAGGTTACCCTTTTCAAAGGCGACAACGATTTGAAGAAATAACACCTTGTTCTTAAGTCCTTCCCAAACTCTAGTATTTCAATTAAACTAATCAACTCAACCACAGAGACTGATGAAGCTTGAGCTTGAGGGTTCTTAAACTACACAGGCCTCTTTTAAAGCCATGTACTTATTTTGCAGTTGTAATTTTACATCCTTTCTTCTTACAGAGTAGAGCCAAACTTGTAAAAGCTTCAGGGCCCATCAAAACTAGATCCTCCCCAGCTCACCATATGCACTTAAATTACTCACTACCATACTTCTTTCAAGTTGACTAAACATTTTCACTCTGTTAGAGATCCCAAAACATGAAAATATAATGAAATAACAAAGTTTTATTCACCGTTTGGTGAAAACAGTCCTCCTACATGGATTGCCAGATTGATAATTACACCACAGACTTTTGGAAAGCAGTGTCAATATATGGAATAATAAGAGTAGTAACTCAGCAGTTAAAAGACTTAGATTCAGAGTCTATATAGCTCATACATTAAGATCTTTGTGAGGTCAACTTCTCTGGGCTTTAGTATTCGTATCTTTTTGATAAAACAATTGGACAAGAAGATCACTACAATTCCTTCTTGGAATGTTTAAAATTATATAATCTGGTAATATTCCTCAAAGTCATAGAATTTTAGACCCAATCCCATACTGCAATGAGCAGATGCAGCAGCAGTAGGGAACTCTGTCTTCCTAATGCCCTCTTGCACTCAGAACCTCCAAACTGGGAAGCGTCCCCAGAATGATAACAGGTCTGCCTGCTTCATCAATTTGAAACCCAAAAGGACATACTCACTGTGTCATACTCTCTGTCATCAAATGAATGGACAAAATCTATATGTATTACTTTAATTAAGTAGATGAGAGTAAAATTACCCAGGTAAACTATTTTCAATATGTCCTTGTCATGATAGTGATATCCAATATACAAAAGTATCATTAAATAATATTTACTTCTTAGATAGCTGTCTCCAATATGGTTCAACAATTCAATCCCTTCCATATGTGCATGTCATTCCTTCATTGAGAGTTGGGGTCTATTCCTCCCTTCCTCTTGAACACTGGCTGCCCTTTTGTCTTACCTTTTCAGTAAAATGTAACAAAAGTGACATTTTATGTTCTATGTTATATATCAATAGATAACTAGAACACTTATGCTAAACTAAAACTCCTTATAACTTTTTCCCATGTATTGTTTTTCCCATGTATAGCTGGAAAGTACTTTTTCCATATATACTCTTTAGCTTTTTCCCATATAATCTCATATATATATACTCATACACACACACACACATACACACAAACACACACACATATAGGTGTAAGCTGTAACTCATATTCTTACACCATCATTTCTTTTCACATCAGGTCTAAAATAATTCATCTTTGTGGTATTTCACTTCACACTCGAACTCATTTGAGACTGCTGATTTGTTTTAACTAGCTATGGAACTCTTGATCATTTCTTGATTTCTTACTTCTTGAGTTGTTTTTTAATACTTTGTAGGGCTAACCTCTCAGCTTTAGGTATCCATCCAATGCACGAATATACAACCTTTTTACACTAAAAAGTATAGCTCTTATAGTTAGACTGCCATATATATATATATATATATATATATACACACACACATTATATATATAATGTCTGTATATATATAGTGTGTGTATATATATATATATATATATATAGAGAGAGAGAGAGAGAGAGAGAGAGACAGAGAGAGAGAGAGAGAGAGAGAGAAACAGAGAGAGAGAGAGACAGAGAGAGCCCACTCAGTAAGTTACTAAAACTTTATCCTAAAAGCAATATTACATTGATTAGGAATTTCAATGAATTAATGATTTGACACACAGGCTGTAGTCATGCGATTTCTAATCACAGAATAAAATTGATATTGACACTCCAGAACTGAAGGAAAAACATTTTTAAAAAGACCAGTTTCTCATACAGTTTTTCACAAACACAATCTATACACTAATGTTGAATTAGAACAAAGAGTATTTCCTCCACATAGTTCTTTAAATTCTTCATAAGGTTTGTGACTGGGAAGTGCTGACTGGAGCATACAGTACCAATTCTCAGTGTCATAACTGTGCTTGGAAAGAGAGCCAATTCTAAAATAACTACTATCCAAGCAGCAGATGTGTTTATAGATCAACATATTGACTTTTATATAATACAAAGTAAAGATCAAAGTGCACAAAATCAATGTAGTCAAGATGATGGAAATCAGAATTTTGTTGAACTAGGCCTGTAGTTAGAACTCCAACGAAACTGAGTTATAATTTCACGAACATAAAATCAGAGATGATGATAAATAAAAATCCACACGATGTGTTTAATATTCATGGACTTCTCAGGACTCTCTAAAAATTAGAGCCCATTATATCTTTATAAATACAACACGTAAAAATACAGCAAGGGATTTATTCCACAACATTAAGATTTTCAATTTAACAGACATATTCTATGTGTACATATTTGCATGATACTAGCACTGAGTAATACTCTTCTGTTAATTCAAGGTTACTCTGAATTTAAATCCCCAGACTTCCAGAATAGCAACAGTCTGCTTATGATCAGTGATCACTTAACTTTTTTGCATTGTATTTTAGATAATTTCAGAGTTGTAAAGAATTTCACAGGTTATTGCATAAAATTCATGCTTAGCTTTTGAATATGAACACACATGTGCATGCACACACACACACACACACACACACACACATCCCCCAGGCTCAGATAAGATTGAGAGGTGGAATAAATGGATTTCAAATATATATATAAATACACAGACACACACGCACATGCACATACACACACATGTGTGTATGTTTGTGTGTGTATATGTAAAATCTAAAACCTAGGTTCCTTCCATTATTCCATAGCTGTTTCTTAAGGGAAAAAAAATCCCTAATTAAAAAGTTGTCATTCTATACCCTACTTCTCCTCTGGTAGGTCACCTGAGAAGACACTGAAAAGTTCATACAATTATTCAACTATTTATGTATTTTCCATATCAACTATCTCAGGGGTCATTAAAAAAAAGAGTCAAAGTAGACCACAGATGATGATAGATTTTATGACAAAGATAGAGAAAAGGCTATTAGACACTGACTAGACAGCCAATGTCAATGACACTTTCATACTAAAGTCAAGCATGTGTCACCTGAAATCAAAACTACAATGAGGTATCATCTAACCTCAGTTAAAATGGCTTATATCCAAAAGATAGGTAATAACAAATGCTGGCAAGGATGTGGAGAAAAGGGGACCCTTTATACACTGTTGGAAATGTAAATTAGTACAACCACTAAGGAGAATAGTTTGGAGGTTCCTAAAAAAACTAAAAATAGAGATACCATATGATCCAGCAATCCCACTGCTGGGTATATACCCAAAAGAAAGGAAATCAGTATATCAAAGGGATATCTACATTCCTATGTTTGTTGCAGTACTGGTCACAATAGCTAAGATTTGAAAGCAACTGAAGCGTCCATCAACAGATGAATGGATAAAGAAAATGTGGTATATATACACAATGAACTACTATTCAGCCATAAAAAAAAAGAGATCTTGTCATTTGCAACAACATGGATGGAACTGAAGGTCATTATGTTGAGTGAAATAAGCCAGGCACAGAAAGACAAACATTGAATGTTCTCACTTATTTGTGGGATCTAGAAATCAAAACAATTGAACTCATGGACATGGAGAGTAGAAGGATGGTTACCAGAGGCTGGGAAGGGTAATGGGGGATGCGGGAGGAGAGGAGGATGGTTAATGGGTACAAAAAAATAGAAAGAATGAATAAGACCACTATGTGATAGCACAACAGGGTGGCTATACTCAATAATAACTTAATTGTACATTTTAAAACAACTAAAAGAGTGTAATTGGATTATTTTTAACACAAAAAATAAATGCTTGAGGGGACGGATACCCTATTCTCCATGATTTGATTATTTCACATTGCATGTCTGTATCAGAACATCTCATATATCCCCAAAATATATACACCTGCCAGGTACCCACAAAAACTAAAAATAATAATTTTTTTTTTTAAAGAGTGTGTCATTTGAATCTGCTGGACCTAAGATAAAGGAAGTCTTAGCAATTGTATTACCAGTTCCTAGTTGATTTGATTTCTATTTTCTAGATATTGCTAGAATTTGGGTTACACAGACATGCAGGTCTAGAGTCTTAGAATTAATTTCTCTCCAAATCCCTTTTCTCTTTATGTTCCTTTTTAAAGGATTGAATCTCTCTAGAAACCAGAGCTTTCTATGGTTACTATCTATGAAAAAGGTAGAATTCATTTTTTTCTTACCCCATCAGAGGGTCAATTTGGGAAAGAATGACAAAGGATTATACGTCATTGAAATTTTTCATTAAAATGAATATCAGGGTATGCATTTTCCTATTGGGTACAGACATGCTACACTTTGGTGGTGAGATCTTCCCATGCAAAGAAATAATGCAGAAACACTCTCAGAGGGGAAAGTTTTGCCTACATGCCACCTTCTACTTTTCATAACAAATTTAAAGATTCTTCATGTCAATTTTCCTCCAGTATGCCCAGAAAGAATATTGAAAGGAGAAATTAATAAACACGTCCATGTGTTTTTCAAACTATATTTTATGGAATCTTGAATTTCCAAAAAGTGTGGCTATTGTTCCATGATACTTTTTAATGCAAAGACAGAGATGATGTGAAATTATCAATACTTTATCTTTTTAAGTCAGTGTAAGAATATATATTTTCAAATGGTCAAATTACATTCTCATTTTCATCTTAGGAATGTACATATTATCCAAAGATTAAATAAAGATAAATACCAGATAGTATACCAAAAAAGTATTGTCACCATTAGCTATTTTATCCCATTTTTTTCATTTCGCTCATGATATCATTTTCTTCTGTAACTTAAAGAATTGTATCAAATTACCTTAAATTTTTTCATAAAGATCATTAAATTATCAGTATATGATCAATCCAACATAATTTATATGATTATAATTTTTATAATTTTAAAATCATTGGAAACTATGACTTAGGGCAGGGGTAAGCAAACAATAGCCCATGAGCCAAATCTAGCCCACTGACTTTTTTGCAAGGCACACAACCTAAGAATTTTTTTTTTATACTTTAAGTTCCAAGGTACATGTGCACAACGTGCAGGTTTCTTACATATGTATACATGTGCCATGTTGGTGTGCTGCACCCATTAACTCATCATTTACATTAGGTATATCTCCTAATGCTTTCCCTACCCCCCACCCCCACCCCACAACAGGCCCCAGTGTGTGATGTTCCCCTTCCTGTGTCCAAGTGTTGTCATTGTTCAATTCCCACCTATGAGTGAGAACATGTGGTGTTCGGTTTTTTGTCCTTGTGATAGTTTGCTGAGAATGATGGTTTCCAACTTCATCCATGTCCCTACAAAGGACATGAACTCATCCTTTTTTATGGCTGCATAGTATTCCATGCTGTATATGTGCCACATTTTCTTAATCCAGTCTATCATTGATGGACATTTGGGTTGGTTCCGAGTCTTTGCTATTGTGAAAAGTGTCTCAATAAACATACGTGAGCATGGGGGATATGTGTGTGTGTGTGTGTGTTTGCGTGCATGTGTGTTTATATTCAAAAGCATGAATTTTATGCAATAACCTATGAAATTCTTTACAACTGTGAAATTATCTAAAATACAATGCAAAAAAGTTAATAAATGATCACTGATCATAAGCAGACTTAATATTCTGGAAGTCTGGGGATTTAAATTCAGAGTAACTTGAATTAACAGAAGAGTATTGCTCAGTGCTAGTATCATGCAAATATGTACACATAGAATATGTCTGTTAAATTGAAAATCTTAATGTTGTAGAATAAATCCCTTGCTGTATTTTTACGTGTTTCACCATATTGGCCAGGCTGGTCTCAAACTCCTGACCTCAGGTGATCTGCCCACCTCAGCCTCCCAAAGTGCCAGGATTACAGGCGTGAGCCACTGCATCCGGCTGTATGTTTTTTAAAATAATTCTAGCATAGCATCATAAGATGCTGGTGTATTTCTTAAGATCTGATCACTATAAAAATAATCAGCTTTGTTGTTATCTTAGGTTTGAGGCTTCCAGGTGCGACAAGATTAGCTATTTTCTTTTCCATTTATTTATAGAAGTAGAATTGTGATTTACTGGAATTCTCGTGGCCCCATTTCATTAAAATGAAATGTGGCTGACCACCTCTGTATTTGTTATTTATATTAAATAATTATTTTTCTTTCTTCCCATTAACTCTAAAGTGCTTTAACCCAGAACAGGCAAGGATGAGGTGAAATGTGCCTGTACATATCCTATGGTAGGAGTTTAAATTGACATAAATTATTTGGTAATGGTAATTTAGCAATTGAGCAGAGTTTCAAGTTCCTGTGGGGTAGGCTTTAGAATTGGTATGAAATATGAAAATAGGGCATACTCAAAATTATCCTTGAGATATCACTAAATCATACACACACACATACACACAAAATATAATATAATGACTTGGTAAGTACAAGCCCGTCAGATTTTCCTCTGGTGTTGAACAGATTGCTGTTTTCTTTGGAGGAATACTAGATTAAGGGTTGCCATGTGTTTGGAGTCCATGGCATACAAAAAAAGAAAATCTAACTCTTACCACTAGAATGAAACTCAGCTAGGCACAATCTCACTCTACAAGAAGCAGGCCAACATTGAGAAAAACTGACATAACATAGGACTAGAGACTCCTAGTTCATGCTGCTCCCTCTAAGCATAAGGTCATTGATTCTGAGGTAAGTACGGCTGAGCTATTCAACTAGTTTTTATTCTTCTCACTGGTCCTCTCACTCACTCTATCTCCACTACTGTTTTCTTAATTTCTCTACCCTGTATTTCTGATTCAACATAATTGAATTTATACAGGTTAAGTACATGAAAGATGTGACTCTATGTATTCATAGCTACATGGGATTGCATAAAATAATTTCAATTCTAGTAAATTATCCTACAAGAGAAAACCAATAAAAATTTCAACAAAGCCGCATGCATGACGACAATTATCATAACATTAATTATAAGATCAAATGGTAGAGAAACTTAAGTATCCATTAACGTACAAAACACTGAATAAATTGTGGGACATTCATATCGTGGCAATCATTGTTTTCGGCTGCTCAGCACCTGTCCATCCTCTTCTCATAACAGCCTCTCCTAACTCATCTCTGGATTGATAAGAGTCTAGGCTACTTATCCTATGCCCCTGGCCACATAACTGCTCCAGGAATAAGCAGATGACCCAAATATCCAACAGAGGTCTTCCCTGGAGTTCCCCTAATTAGAGTTAGAAGGGCAGACCTGTTCATCTTTTCTCTGAATTTGGAGACATGGAGATACTAGCTTGGAGTTATTTGTGTCAATGTTCCCTGACATACCAGAGAAAACTTGCCTAAAAATGTAAAGCTGGCATAAAAAGCTAAGCCAAATCAAAGTGATTATTAATGGTGTAAAAATACCTCATTTCTGTAATTCCATCAAGTCTTTCCTCTGCTTTGGTTACGTGAAACAAGCTTCTCTCTCTCTCTCTCTCTCTCTCTCTCTGTGTGTGTGTGTGTGTGTGTGTGTGTGTGTGTGTGTGCGCGCGCGTGCGTATTAGATTTTATATATATACAATCTAGTTCAAGTTGAGTTTCAGGAACCTTCAACTAGAGACCTGATTGACATACTAATACTCTACAGAGCCAAATAAAACACTTTAAAGACTGTTCTTAGGCATGAAAAAATTACCATGGAATAATGGAAAAACATGAAGCAAAATGCAGATAGGATGCAAAGTGTGTGTGTGCCCGTGTATGTATGTATTTACACATGCATGTGGATATGTCTGAAAGAGACTCTACCAAGTTTAAACAGTGATTATTAATAAGAGGTAAGATTGCAGATAACGTTACTTCTTTTTTCTTCTTTATACTAATCCTTTTCTGAACGCCATGCAGCCTTTTGCATTTCTTTTGTCTTTTCCTTTGTGGATGTATGCGTGTCATAAAATTTTTAAATTCATGCCCTTTTATTCCTATTTTGATTTACATTTTCCTACTTAATTGTAAAATTTTATTATACACTAAGGATATTAAATGTGTTACTTTTCATGGCAATTATATTTCCAGTTAGTCATTGTTTTATGTTCTTTTTTTATAATGTCTTTCATCATTTATAATGTTCTCTTCTATTTATAGATCAGCAATTGAAAATCATATATTTCCTTCTGGATTTTGGTATATTTTAACATTTCAGATCTAAATTTTTAATTCATCTGGAATTCATTATGATGACAGATACTAATCATGATAGTTACTATTTATTAAGTATCACAATCTGTTAGGCGCTATGCTAAGCTGTTTACATAAATTTTCTCATCTATTCTGACACCTGTCTAAGGGTTGGTGCTATTATTAGACTCATATTATAGATAGCGAAACAGGTTTAGAGATGTAAGGTAACTTGTTAGTAAGCCGGAGAGCCAGGATTCAAACCCAGGTATGACTGACTCTTATGACTACACTGTTAAGAACTGATAAAACTATCTCCGTTTTTTCTTTTCTCAAAATTTCTATTTTAAATTATAAGCAGGTATCTGTGTTTCTTCTGAATATATCGAAGTTTACTTATTTATTTGTATGAATTTTAGATTCGGGGGTACATGTGCAAGTTTGTTACATGAGCACATTGCATGACTCTGGGGTTTCTAGTACAAATGATCTCATCTCCCAGGTAGTGGGGATGGTACCCAACAGGTAGTTTTCCAGCTCTTGCCCCGCTCTTTCCCTTATTCCTCTAGTAATCCCCAGTGCCTACTGTTCCCATCTTTATGTTTATAAATACACAACGTTTTGCTTCCCCTTATAAGTTAGTATATGTGGCATTTGGTTTTCTGTTCCTGTGTGAATTCACTTAGGATGATGGCCTCTAGCTGCACCCAAGCTGCTGTAAAGAAATGATTTCATTCTTTTTTATGGCTCCATAGTATTCCACAGTGTATATGTACCACAATTTCTTTGTCAAATCCACCATTAATGGGCATATCAACAGTGAACAGTGCTGTGATGAACATATGAGAGCATGTGTATTTTTGGTAGAATGATTTATTTTCCTCTCGGTATATACCCAGTAGTGGGATTTCTGGGTTGAATGATAGTTCTGTTTTAAATTCTTGGAGAAATCTCCAAGCTGCTCCCACAATGCCTGAAATAATTTACACTCCCACCAACAGTGTGTAAGTGTTCTCTTTTCCCCACAGCCTCACCAGCATCTGTTCTTTTTTGACTTTTTTTTTTTTTTGAGAAGGAGTCTCGCTCTGTTGCCCAGGCTGGAGTGCAGTGGTGGGATCTCAGCTCACTACAACCTCTGCCCCCCCAGGTTCAAGCAATTCTCCCACCTCAGCCTCCTAAGTAGCTGGGACTATAACCGCACGCCACCATGCCCGGCTAATGTTTGTATTTTTAGTAGAGATGGGGTTTCACCATATTGGTCAGGCTGGTCTTGAACTCCTGACCTCATGATCCACCCACCTCGGCCTCCCAAAGTGCTGGGATTACAGGCATGAGCCACCGCGCCCAGCCAATCTTTTTTGACTTTTTAATAATAGCTATTCTGGATAATGTGAGGTGGTGTCTTATGGTGGTTTTGATTTACATTTCTCTGATGATCAGTGATGTTGAGCATTTTTTTCTTATGTTTCTTGGCTACTTCTTTGTCTTGAATAGACTGAAGTATATTTAAAAAGAAGAGAGACATTTTTACTTTTACACGTTATGGTATTTTATTTATAAGCATTATTCTTATACAGCTAAGCTGCAAAGTTTCTATATTACTGCTTTTGAGACCCATCCATATGGGCTAATAAAGTGTTAGTGCCACCTTGGCCCTGATGAAAGAATAGTCACTTTGGCATTCACTAATCTAAGATAAAGTTTGTTCTCTATTGGATTGTAAAATGTTCTACAGCTAAGACATTTGTTTGGTTGACCTACAAATTGTCAATGACCCCTGTTTCCTATTCATTTTTGTGATTATTTAAGCATTGTTGTATTATTCAATAAAAATCAAGGAGAGTTAGGGCTAGATAATAGACCTAAGAGTTCATATGCCAGTTATTCTGTCAGTTTCCAATTATTAATCATTTCTGACACAAATATTTGGTTGCACTAATAGCATATAAACAAAGCATTTTTGTTTACCTTTTCACTAAATAATAATTATTATTCACATAATAATATCATATTTTCAGAAAGCCACATGAAGCTGGCTTCTCTTTTCCTCAGTGTGATCTCATATCTCACATTCTACATGTCGACAAAGGGAACGAAGTATTTAAAAAATTAAAAACTTTTTTCTTTTATCAATTTGAGTCCTAAAAGTACAGAAGAATAACTTTTTTAATTCCTCATGAAAAAGTCAGGTAAAGTAGCTAATGAAAACAGGCATGCATGATTTAGAGGATATTTGTCTTTTTTTAAAATTAGGCAAAAATACTTCCTAGGTACAAGAACTCACGTAATTCCTGATTTCTGGTTGTTACACTTTAGTGACACCAAGATTTAGCAGTGGTTCAGGAGGTTTCACCCTAATCCTTCCATACTCAAGCATCTCCACCAACCTTTGAGCCAAAGGCTTGGTGATCATTTCGTACCATTTTATTATGGGCTGCAAAAGGGTGATATTCTTTCCTGCATTTATTAGCTGAAACTATACTTCAAAAATAATATTTATGTATTTCCAATGTGATTATCCTAAAATACGTACAGTTGGTACGAAAAAAGGCAGGCCAAATGTATGCTTCCTTCCCTTTATTTGTCTCTTTGCAGAATAATGAGTCGGGATCCTAGTATGCTGCAATGCTGTAAACTAACAATGTTTCCTTGATTAGTATGTTTATAAAATCATCAGTTTTTAAATATTTGATGTGTCTCAATTCACTGTAGTTGTTATTCTTATTAAATCTCAAATTTTCCCAACTTATGGGAATGATGTCTTCCATTTTTAATGGAAGACAGATAGTATTGCATTCAGAGCTCCTTCCCTTCAAGAACTAATGAGGTGCTAATGAATCTCTGTGTTGCTTTAAAAACCAAAAAACTCCACGTTATTGGATAAGGACAACGTATATTATTATTATTTTTTTTTTTTGAGATGGAGTTTCACTCTTGCTGCCCAGGCTGGAGTGCAATGGCGTGATCTCACCTCACTGCAACTTCCGCCTCCCGGGATCAAGCGATTCTCCTGCCTCAGCTTCCTGAGTAGCTGGGATTACAGGTGCCCACCACCACACCCAGCTAATTTTTGGTATTTTTAGTAGAAATAGGGTTTTGCCATATTGGCCAGGCTGGTCTTGAACGCCTGACCTTAGGTGATCTGCCCTCCTCGGCCTCCCAAAGTGCTGGGATTACAGGCGTGAGCCGCTGCACCCAGCCAGGACAATGTATACTATTTTATGGAGTGTGAAAGGCATCTTTTAAATCAAACTTTTGTATTTCATAGAAAGAGGTCAGGTTACAGAAAAAGGGAATTTGGAAATCTAAGACTGAAGGAGATATATAAAAGGACATTTTTGGTGGGTGCCTCCAAAATGGGAAGCTATCATGGGAATTTTCACTGATAGTAAAAGGAAGATACAATTTTTTTAAATTGTAACAAATCACCAGAAAAAAAGAATAGGTTTTACCAGTCTTCATTTTAATTTATAAGAAGCATTCTACAATGCTGAGCATCCCTTTTTTTCTTGAGAACCTCTGTCTCTAAATCATGTGCTTGCTCTTCATCCTTCTTCTATTTCTTACCTGCAGGAGATCCCCTACGCTGTGGAACCTTAACAATGGCAGCTTCCCTCTTTTGGCCATTGAGAACTGAATACCTTTGATATCTTTCAAAAGTAGCTCTATTCAACTACATGTAATGTTTTTCTCCACCTCTAATTTACCTCTAATTTCCTGTCACATTTTTCTATCACCTAGAGGACATTTTTACCAGAACACCACTCCTCTCTTCAAATAAAATATTTTCTTCCTCTGAAATCTGTTCTTTCTCTGTATTTTTCCATTTCTCTCTATGGCACCATCATCATCCTGGTTATCTAGACTCAGAAACTCTTGCTTTTATTCCCCTTGTCATCTTATAACTAATCAACTACAAGCTTCTGCAATTAGCTTCCTCACTGGGCCTCTTATCCAAAGCCAATCATCTACATTATTACTTTGTGGTATGCCTACTCAGGGTCTTATGGTCTCCTGCTATAATATTTGCAATAGCCTGAGTGGCTTTCAACTTTAATCTATTTATCTCACATTAGCAAATAAAGCTATCTAAATTATTTCTTCCCATTTAAAATATATTAGTCATCCCACTTAGTCTAGAATGTAGTCACATGTAATAATGGTCACCTGGCTTTTCAACAGCTTTACATGCTTTCACCTTATCGTCCAACTGAATTTTAATGCTTACTTTTCCTATATAGTAAAGTGAAAAGTAAATGGGTTGTTGCAGGGTAGAGGGGGAGAGTGATAAAGAAAATAACAGGATAAAATGAATTAGAAAAGGAAACATAGTAATCTATGTTGTATGGAACGTCGACTAAAGAGTAAATAAGCTATAAAGCAGAGCACATGTGTTGAGTTGAGTTTTCTTGGCTAATGAGAGCCCACATAGCACCTTTGGGCAAATTGGAAATAGGAGCCTCTCTCCATGACAGTGCTGGAAACTGCCTTACTATAAAAAACAAATCAGTGATGTCTTCAAGGTGGAGGTATCCCTTTAACTGTGGTGTCCTGCTGCGGTGCACCACCTTCACAGCCTAGAACAGCAGCCCTGTTTACACTACATGGCTGCACCATCCTTGCTAAGTCACATCTGTCATTGTGGCCTCACTTTCCAAGTCTGCACAAGAGGCACAGTAGTTCCTGCCCTACTTGTTTTGCTTGGTTACTACAAAGATAACAGTAGTCAACTGGTGTGGAGCACAGGCTGGAAATAAATCAAGCTGTGATTTGATAAAAAACTAACAAACCTTTAAGAACATTTGGCACAGTGAGAGAAAGTGCTGAGATGATGTTGTGTTTGTGTTCTTATTCGCTTGTTGTTTTCTCTTGTTTTGTGTCAGTGTTCAACTGCAAATGAGAAACAGAGGTAAAGACTTTCAAAGTTGGGATAGGCAACTTAGAGGAAAAGGCAAAAGCTAGTAGAGAAGTAGAATAAAGATCTGGAAAATATTTATTGCAAATTTTTTGCATCTACTGCAAGGTAAAGAAATTGAAGGATAAAGAAAGAAATAACTTCCTTCATGGGAAACTGTGATTAATATAGCAACATTAGTAAAGGCCAAGATTTAAGATTTACCATAATCCAGGCATTGTGCAAAGTACCTTCTTTCATTTGTTCTTCTCAATGATTCTATAAGATAGATGCTAATATTAGCCCATTGTGTAGGTGAGAAAAATGAGAAGCAGAGGTGGAATGTGAAAAGGGTTGTTCTAACTCAAGAGGCCCCCCCTTTAACAATACTAGGCTGTTACTGAAGAGTTGCTTAACAGGGGATGAGAGTTACAGTCTAGCAAGAGATAAAATTGAGGTCTGCTTATTAATTCAATTTGGAATGGATCCAGGGTACACATCATGCAGCAGTTCAAATGCTGGGAAGTAAGAAGTTTGATGTAAGTTCCAATTAAACAGAAAAATGGAAACTTATTTTGAGACTGTACAAGAAGGAAAAGAGTCAAAGCTTTAGAAACAAAATAAACATACTGTGACACCGTTTTGAAAAAGTGATTAAGTATGAGCCAGTCCAGTAGAGGTTGGGACATTTGGAGAATTGAGCTGCAAAAAGCAATTTTTAACAAGAGAGGTGACAAAATGGTGAGCGTGCTGACCACCTGCTGAGAGATTCTCAGTAAGTTACAGAGAAATATTATTGCTTCTACACAGAAGACAGCTAAAGACATGATATAACTGTCACTTCCCAGGTCACTTAAGTATAGGACACAGTTAGGAAATGTGGTTTCAGTCTGGAGTGCAGTGATACCACAGTGCCTACTGAGAAGAGAGCCACTAGTAAAATAAAAATTAAATGCCAAGGACACATTATAGTGAAAGGAAGGAAGGCATAGTTGGGCCATCTTCAAGAGCCAGCATGCAAGAGCAAAAGGAAACAGAACAAGAAACGTCTGTAAAAATGAAATCTTGAAAGTCTCCTGGAGAAGCAAGGGAAAAGAGAGAACACAGACAGAAAGGGTATGGGGAGACAGGTAGAGTTAAGAGAGATGGATTTCAAGTTATGGGGGAAATACATAATGATTAAATAAATAGAGGAAGAAATAAATAAGCTGTATAGAAAATACTGAAGCAGGGTGTATAAAAAATAGCTCTGTGCATAGAAAAGTGGGCAAAGAGAGGTAGAAGCCTTCCCTAGGCAGTGGTTCTTAGGGTAGGAGCCCCCAGAACGAGTAGCAATAACAGAAGTGCAAATTACTCGGCCAAATCCTAGACTCTCTGAATCAGAAATTCTCA
This sequence comes from Homo sapiens, assembly GCF_000001405.40. Classification (NCBI taxonomy): domain Eukaryota; kingdom Metazoa; phylum Chordata; class Mammalia; order Primates; family Hominidae; genus Homo; species Homo sapiens. The sequence continues at coordinate 28,755,869 of NC_000023.11, read as the reverse complement.
GGGTAAGCCCTTCAATATGTGTTCAGCAAACCCTCCAAGTAATTTTGATGCTCATTAAAATTTGAGAACCACTGATCTAAGGAATACATAGAATAGGAGAATGCAAGAAAAGAAAATTTGGCTGAATTAAATGACAAACAATGGGAAAAAATGAAATCAGAAATAGGAGTACATAATACAAAGTGTAAATTACCACTAAAGTTTAGAAGTACAACCCATGGATTCCGACATGAAATGAATCAAATTTACACACTCTTCATACAAAGAAGAGAGCTTAATGTGATAGGGAGAGATGTGTTACAAATGAAGGAACTATGTATGTTTTCTAATATTTAGTGTCCAGTAGAGAGTTCTGCAATAATGAAAATGATCTCTATCTGCACTATCCAAGGTGGAAGCTCCTAGCCTCATGCTACCATTGAACACTTGGAATGTAACTAGTGCAGTTGAAAAACTAAATCTTAAATTTTACTTAATTTTAATTAATTCAAAGTTACACAGCCACATGTGGCTAGTGGTTATCACATTTAGAGCTAATTTCACATGGATAAATGGGATAAAAATGTGAACATGAGGCCAAGTGTGGTGGCTCATGCCTATAATCCCAGCACTTTGGGAGGCCAAGGCGGGTGGATTACCTGAGGTCAGGAGTTTGAGACCAGCCTGACCAACATGGTGAAACCCCATCTCTACTAAAAATACAAAAAAGTTAGCTGGGCGTGGTGGCAGGCACCTGTAATCCCAGCTACTTGGGAGGCTGAGGCAGGAGAATCGCTTGAACCCGGGAGGCAGAGGTTGCGGTGAGCCAAGATCGTGCCGTTGCACTCCAGCCTGGGCGACAAGAGTGAAACTCTATCTCAAAAAAAAACAAAACAAAAAAATGTGAACATGAATTTTTATTTGTGCAGATATTTAATAATCTATGCTTTGCACTGGAAAATATGTAATCAAAGAAATAAATTAGGAATTAGGGCCTATCACATTTATATATGTAGCTACCCTACATCCAAAGAAACAAAGAGGGGAAGCATTTTATATCCGTGCTTCATTCACGAAGGAATTTTCTGTCTTGAAAGGGATTTCCAACGTTGTTCCAGAAAAAGATGAAAATGTTGGAAGTAACTGGAAGTTATCCGTGGTCACAATACATACACTTACACAATACATGCACACAATACATACACTTACATACACTGGTAAGAATATAGAATTTGAGATTGTATATTTAGATGCTTGCTATCAGAATTATAATAAAAACAGAGATGGATGGGAATGGTCCCCAGAATTAATAGATTTATGTGCAGGTGAACATAGACATGGTAGAATACAAACTGAAAGCCCACATCTTGGTTACAGTTAAATTAATTTCTCAAAAAAATTGGTATTTTTATCAAAAGCATTGACAGGCATAAATTCTTGTTTAACAGGAAGAAAATTCAATGAAAATATATATTCAAGAGGAAGAATGAACTATTCCCCTTTCAAGATTTCAGATGGTAAAGGAGCAAGTTAAAATGGCATAAGAAATGTACTCAAGGGAAGAAAAATATTGAAATGCCTTAAAGAACAAAATGAATGTTTCCATCTGTAAAAGCATTTAATGATGAAGAGAAAAGATTTTTTAAAATAGAGGTTAAGAAATTGTAAGAATTGGAGCAAGAAGAGTAGAAATCAAAGAGCAAGTGAGAGAAGTATGCAGAATAAGACCCAAGGTGATGAGCAAAGGAGGAGGTCATACAAGAATAAAGGACTACCTCGGGAGAAGTTACAATGTGTGAGAAAAAAGTGTTCTGTTTTACAAGATTAAAAAAAAATACCTGAAGATGATGCTGAAGAAGAAATAGCTGATGATAGCTGATAAGAAATAATACTTGAGAATAGTTAATAAGAAAACCTTTTAGGGTGTGTTCTCGTTCTCTCTTTCTCTGTCTCTCTCTCTCTCTCTCTCTCCCTCCCTCCTTCCTTCCCTCCCTGCCAGCCTTCCCGTCTTAAAAAAATGACTTCACAGCAGAAAAAAATACAAAAGATACAGGAGGATAGGGGAAAAGATGTGGGTGAATCATTGGTTGGCAAAGAATGAAAAGCCTTTTATTTCATAAATTGCCTTCATGGCTCAATAGTGACCAGCATGATCAAGTTGCTAATAAGATTCAAGGCCTAATTACTGGGAGTAAAATAGACCTACTATTGTATCATATTTTAAAAATGTTATTAAGATATGGAAGCTACTAGAAAGCAAAGATCATTGGTATGACTCAACAGTGACTATAAGTTTTGAAAAAGAATTCGGCTGTCCTGTGAAGCATGTGAGAATCAAGATTATACGATGCATTATTAAAAATCAGATGTTTGGAAATGTAGGTGAAATCACAATGCCTAGTGCAGGAGGAAGATTCGGAACCTATTCATTGGCTTGGTTGAATGAATACTTTTCTCTTGGGTGCATGACATTTTTATTTTTAAGATCACTGACAGAGTCCCACACAAGTACGTGCAGTATGATGATATTTTCCCATAAGATAAAAAGCCTATATTCATTAAATCAATTATGAAAGAAATTCAATAGGCAAGCACGTGAGAAAAATCTACCTGTAGTAGTTCCTTTCTTTACATAATATCCATAGTAGGGGTCAGCAACTTTTTTCTATAAAGGGCCAGATGGTAAATACTTTAGGCTTTGTGTGCCATATGGCCTCTGTTGCAAATATTCCATGCTGCTGTGGTGGTGTGAAAGCAGCCACTAACAATGTGGAAACAAATGGGTGTTGCTGCTTTCCAGGTAAGCTTTATCTGCACAAATAGGCAGCCTCGGGGACTTCGTTTCTGCGTCATAGTTTGCCTACCTATAGTCTACAGACTTGTTTGTAAAAAGGATAAGTTTCTGAGATAAATGAAATATAAAGATGCCTAAGAGAGAGTAGTATGTATGCTAAACATAAGTAAACCTCTTTCTGCAATTGGAGCCATTTATTTATTAAGTAATAATTATTGCAATAATAGGAGGCATAGGGATCAGAACTGAAAATAGAGAGTATGCCTGAAATTGGAATGAAAATGAACAGTCATATACAGGTGAAGCTGTACCAGCTTCTCTGTTGGCATCTCAGTATCATTCCACCTGCCATGCTCTCCTCTGTTATCATAGGGGCTGGAAGCCTGGGCATCAATCACCTTTTCCCAAACCTTGTACCAGATTTGCAAGCTAAGGAGAGGCTGAAAATTTATTAGGGCTTCCCCTGGGGGTGAGAAGCAGAGGTTTGGATTTCTGCAGACATGAGAATTTTACAGTGGCCACTGGGTACTTCCTAAACATCACCTGCTTTGATAACACAAGCAGTAGTGAAAACTGCTAGTGGTTTCCTGTGGTCTGCACAATTTGCTCATTTTCTGAACATTGTAGCTAAGTGGAGAGCTAGTGGCATCGTCACCTGAATCCTATTCTCCCAGCCTTTCCAGGGGTTCAGTAAAGCACTTAATTCTTTGTATTAAATCTCTTCACTGCTTGAAATCTATAGAGCAGCTCGTCTTTTTGTGACCAATCCCTGACTAATACAGTATTATTGTAGAACTGAAGATGTAAAATAAGAGGAGAAGCTGGGGAAGAATCTTTGCTTATGCTTCAGACATAAGTTGCGCAAATAAACTGGAATATGGAAATAAAAATAGCAGAAATAAAAGAAAATGGAGAGAATGTTAAAAATGCATTAGAACATTAGGTAATTGAACAATTTCTAAAGCCCATTTTTTAAAAATAAAAGTTATTTTAAAAATGTGCATGCCAGTTTATGTGGATCCCATTATCTCACAGTGTAAAATACAATGATATATACTGAGCATCTTCTTTCAGCAATGCAATTTTTCATAATTGTTAAAACCATCACAAGTTTTCTATTAAGAAACTTTGGCTTAGAGAAGTTAAGGGATATACCTAAGGTCACACAGCGATTACACAGCAACACTAGGATTTGAAACAAGACTTGCCTAGCTTGAAAGCTTTCACCCTTTCCACTCTACTATACCAAAAAAAAACCACTTGTACATTTGCAGCTGGACTCAAACAGGGTTAGGCCTGCACAGATGAATTTCATTTAGATATTATTTTGAAGATGTACATTGAAATCAAACTTATTCTTTCATTTATTTGTCAAAGATAGTTACTCAAAACTGGTTTTGCAGCAACTACCGAAGACTGACATGATCTCTGCTCTCATGGAGCTTGTATTTTATCTACTGCTGTAGCAACATTGATTATAATGGAGTATCTGCTGAAGTAGAAATAAATGTATATATTACTTATGAAAAACTGGAAATCAAATATTTATGACTAAAAAAGGAAAGACCAACTTTTTTTACATAAACATTTTAAGGGAAGAATTTAATTACAAAACATAAACTTGTAGACATATGACTAGAAACCATAATATTTGGAAATTTTTCGGAAATTGATGGTATGCAAAATGTCTTCTACTACACACTGCTGGTTTTAATTACTATACAAGTTTGGACAGAAGAAAGATAGCACCTATTTAAGTAGCAGACTCTAGAAGTTAATTAATAGATTAAACATACATGCAAAGAAGACTTTTATGGAAGATTATTAAAAGAAAGTTAAAAAGAAAAGTATTCAGAAGTAACAGCTATCATATTGCTAATGATATTCTGAGGTAGTGCAAAAGCTCTATAAATATTTAAGAGTCAAAAGATCTCTGGGAGAATAAAACATACTACAAAAAAGATTAAGTAGGTAAAATAAAAACAATGAAAAAGTGAAGATTCCAAATTTATAAAAAATTCATAGGCCTGTGGAAATAGTGTCCTATTATATAACGTAATACAGAATCACGGTTGAATTAAAGTCTACAGCCAGCGTTGAGAAATCCGCTAGGTAATCTAGAGCCAGAGTTGCTTCTAAATTATCCCAAGTGCTAAGACATTGTGCTCACACTTACAGACTGACAAATTAAGAAATATAATTTCAATATTTAACCAGTACTACTGACAAACATTTTTGGCTCACTTCCTGATAAGTATCCTCTTACATATATAACTATTTCCAAACTGATTTGTCCTAATCAATATACTTATCAACCAAATATACATATTAGGATGTAAAGTTATTTGAACTAAAGAAAAAATGTATGGCTTTTCCTTACAAGTTCAGAAACAGTTGTGTGGGTCCTAAAAATAAATGCCACTTCTTTAACTACTGAAAGGTTAATACTAAGTGTATAGAAATGACTCATTCCATCATTCAGTATCAAGAAAAATATGAGTAACATAACAAAGGACTATGATGAAAGCTAATACTCCAAATATGATATAAATATAACTATTAAAATTAGCATGCTGTGTAAAGATCTATATAAAATTTTTTCTGACATTTAATGAAAATGGCTGAGTTATCTCATACTATAAATGGAAGAAAACACATACTTAGAGCAATGACAAAAACAAGGAGTGACTAATTCAGTCATTTTAGTTTTAGTGCTATTTATAAACAATGGTACCTGGGACAAGTCACAAAATATGTTCACCTTATTTTTCCACTTTTAAGTAAAGGCATTGTATAATACATAAGATGCCTAAAAATCCAAAAATTTAAAAAATAATAGTTATACTGCCATCAAGATACAATGTAGATCTGTAATTCCAGCACTTCGGGAGGCTGAGGCAGATGGATCACTTGAGGTTGAGTTTGAGACCAGCCTGGCCAACACAGTGAAACCCCCTCTCTAATAAAAATACAAAAATTAGCCAGGGGTGGTGACACATGCCTGTAATCCCAGCTACTAGGGAGGCTGAGGCAGGAGAATTGCTTGAACCTGGGAGACGGAGGTTGCAGTAAGCAGAGATCGTGTCACTGCACTCCAGCCTGGGTAACAGAGTAAGACTCCATCTCAAAAAAAAAAAAATGTAGAAAGTGATTAATTTTCTTTTTTTTTCTTTTTTTTTCTTTCTTTTTTTTGGATGAATGACTTAAATGTAAAATCCCAAACCATGAAACTACTAGAAGAAAACATAGGGGAAATGATTCACAACATTGGGCTGAGCAAATTTTTTTTTAGATAAGAACTTAAAAATATAGGCAGCAAAAGCAAAAATAGACAAATGGAATTACATCAAACAAAAAAGATTTTGCAAACCCAAAGAAACAAGAGTGAAGAGACAACCTACAAAATGGGAGGAAATATTTGCAAACTATATATCTGGCAAGGAGTTAATATCCAGAATATATAAGAACTTAACAGCAAAAACCAAATAACCTGATTTTAAAATGGGCAAAATACCTTAATAGACATTTTTCAAAAGAAGACATACAAATGGCCAACAAGTGTATGAAAAAAATGCTCAACATCACTAATCATTAGAGAAATGCAAATCAACCTCAACGACATACCATCTCACTCCTATTAGAATGGCTATTATCAAAAAGACAAAAGAAAAGAAGTGTTGGTGAGCATTTGGAGAAAAGGGAGCTTTTACAAAATGTTAGTGGGACTGTAAATTGGTACACCCATTATGAAAAACAGTATGAAGGTTCATGAAAAAATTAAAAATAAAACTACCATAGGATCCAGTCATCCCACTATTGGGTATATACATCCAAAGGAACTGAAATGAGTACGTCAAAGAGATATCTGCACTCCTGTTTACTGTAGCACTATCCACAACAGCCAAGACTGGGAATCAACCAAAATGCCTAACAACAGATGAATGGATAAAGAAAATGTGGTATATCTACAGAATCGAATACTATTTAACCATAACAAGGGATGATATCCTGTCATTTGAGACAAAGTGGACAAACCTGAAGGACATAATGCTGAGTATGCCAGGCACACTGAAAAATACTGCATGATCTCATTCATGTGGGTTTTTTAAAAGTTGATCTCATTGAGATATAGAACAGTGATTAACAGAGAGCAGGGAGGGGAGGAAGGAGAGAAGTTGGTCAATGAGTGCAAAGTTACTATTTGGTAAGAGGAATATGGTATCATATTGCACAGTAGGGTGAATATGGTTAAGAGTAAGGTACTGTATATTACAAAATAGCTAGAAGAAGGTTTGTAATGTTCTTGCTACAAAGAAATGATAAATCCCCGAGGTTATGGATATGCTAAGTACATTGATTTGAACATTACACAATGTATACATGTATTCAAATATCAAAAGATACTTCATAAATATGTACAATTATAACATGTCAATTAAAAATATAAATAAAATACTATTCAAGGGAAAAATACATTTGAAGGTTTATTTTGTAAATTCAAGTTGTTTGTTGGTAATTCATGAATCAGTCATTTTATATTTATATTAATATTATTTTGTGAAAAGGTTTGTTCCATCAAATTTAAAAACAAATTTTGTTGAACATACAGTCCTAAGAAATTGTAGGAGTACTCCTTCACCATATACCCACAAAAACCTTTCCTCTTTTTTTCCAAACACATGGAAATACTGTGGTAAAAGGGATGGGGATTGTTTTTAAAAATGGGCAAACCCAAATGCAAGAAAGAGAAATAAGGTGCTACTTCAAATCCATCCACTTACTCTATTTTTTAAATTTTCTCATTCTTCCCTATGTTTTTTCCATCTTACTGTCATATGGCTTCTCATCGTATTTTGATTTTACGGACAGCAAAATAAAACTATTACTAATAGAACAATTTGTTTTTCTTTTTATTCATGATGTGTATATGATTCAAATGGCCAGAGAAATAAAAATAGAAAATAGAAAACAAAAAGAGGACATATAAAACACATATATTTGAAAATAACCAAACATAAATTCCAAAAACAAATTAAGGAATTTAGCAAAGCTCTCAAAATATGTGATGAACCATAGATTAGATTGAACTAGAGAATTAGTGAATTAGAAGATATGTAAAGAGAAATTAAAATACGTGGTAGTATGAAAGGAGAATATTCAATGCACATACAGTGGAATCAGAGAAAAAGTGACTAGAGAGAATCTGGGAAACAATATTTGAAATGATAATGGTAGACAATGTTCCAGAATCATAGAAACACAAGAGTCCTCACTTGAAGATGCATACCAAGTTCCAATGTATAAATACTCAGAACACATAGTTATGGAAATACAGAACATGAAAGACAAAATCTTAAGAGCAGCAAAAAGAAAAGATGCATTATCCTCAAAAGATAATTACACAAAGAATATTATATATAGAATACAATGCCTTGCTGAACTTTTAATTTTGTTTCGAGACGGAGTCTCACTCTGTCGCCCAGGCCGGGATGCAGTAGTGAAATCTCAGCTCACTGCAACCTCTGTCTCTCAGGTTCAAGCAATTCTCATGCCTCAGCCTCCCGAGTCGCTGGGATTACAGGTGTGCGCCACCACCCACGGCTAATTTTTGTGTTTTCAGTAGAGACGGGATTTTACCATGTTGGCCAGTATGGTCTTGAACTCCTGGCCTCAAGTGAAGTGATCCGCCCGCCTCAGCCTCCTAAAGTGTTGGGATTACAGGCAAGAGCCACTGCGCCCGGCCCCTGCTGAACTGTTATTCAAGGGTAAGAATGAAATATAGATTTACAAAGGTACTTGTTAACATGTGTACATGGGGAAGGAGGAAATTTGAACCAGAAAGAAGAATCAGAACTCATAAGAAGAAAATAGTATTATAAATATTTTACTACCATAAAAAATGACTAATGGGAGGGGTAACAATGTATAGGAGCAAAATATCAGGCAACAATAACATGAAATATGGTAGGAGGGAAATCAGAATTTAAACATTCTACTGCTCTTGCGATGTTTAGACTAGAATGTCATTAATTATGAATGATATAAATTTAAGGATAAGGGCTCAGAAAATGTATATAGAATATATAATTCCCCAACCAGTAGAAAGACGAAAAAGAGAATAAAGAGAACATGATTATTCAAACAGGAGAACGCATTAGAAGAAAAGAATGGCGTTATAAATAAATTAAATGGCAAAATGAATAAAATTAGGTCAGTAATTAGGGATATTTTAAAGAAAAACAGACATATGAACTGAAGTTTATAAGAATTTTGCAAGTACATACTGATATTTGATAGCAGAAATTATTTTGCCCTCACCATATTAATTAAGGTGATTCATCATTGTGAATAAATGTTCTAATAAATTACTTATTACAACATATAAAAAGCATTGCTCTTCTTACACGGATATTGCAGGTCTTCATAAGGCATAATAACTATTTTAAGAAAATTGGAATCTATTCAGAACATTCACTTTAAAAATGTTTGCTAACAGAACAAAAATTCATATTATATCAGATTATATCCCTTCTATTCCAACTCTGGCTTGAAATAATCTTTTTTACAGAAAGTGGTTATAAAATAGGATATCAAAATTAAAAGATTGGAGATGTACCACTCATTAAAATATTCCATTTCCTTAAACAACCTATTGTGTATCTATTGTCCATGAACTCCACCTTGAAACTATTTATATTTTCAACCCATTCTACCGCTTATGGTAAAGAGTTTTTTAAGTTTACTACCCACTGGTTAAAACAGAATTTACTTTCATTTTGTCCTCAGAGTAATTCTTTAAAGCCTCAGGGAGTGCTTTAAAGCACTAGTTCTAGTATTTTGACTTTGGTAAATAAGAATGTGTTTGCTGAGAATGATGGTTTCCAGCTTCATCCATGTCCCTACAAAGGACATGAACTCATCCTTTTTTATGGCTGCATAGTATTCCATGGTGTATATGTGCCACATTTTCTTAATCCAGTCTATCACTGATGAACATTTGGGTTGGTTCCACATGTACCCTAGAACTTAAAGTATAATAATTTAAAAAAAGAATGGGTTGACCCTATTCATACAATTTTTGATTTTATAAGCTTTGATAATATCTTCTCTTAGGCTTCATTTTTAAAAAGTTATTTTTCTTAAAAAAAAGTTTGTCCTAGTATGAAAGTTTTCTTCCCCAACATGTTCAGTCCTCCTTATAATTTACTGGATTATTCCCAACTATGTTTTTTCTTTCAACTACACATGTAGAAATGCATTAGTTTTGTGTAATCAGTATGTTTTCCAGTTTTTAAAATATATATCACATCAAGAATTCTCTTCCTATATTGTACATACACTATATAGCACACTATTAGTCTGTTCTACTTCAAAATGTTTATGTGCACAAGGCCTTAGTCTTAAAATCATTTCTCTTTGTTTTCTGTTTTCTCCCTTAGTAATTTCATTCAGTCCCATGCTCCTACACTACATCTTTATGCTAATAACTCTGAAATGTAGATCTCCAAATTGAACTGCCCTCCTGAACTCGTTTTATGTAGCCATCTACCTATTTGACATCTACATATTAAAGACTAAATTTCATAAACCTCACATCTTTACAAAAAAATCCCTTTTATTCCCCTTCCTCTATAACTTGCTCTGCCCTACCTATTTCCTTACTAGTAAGTGGCACCATGAGCCAACAAGTCAATCAAGTTAAAAACCCATAATTCATCTTTGATTCTTCTCTATCCCACATTCTTAAGCCAATACTATAGGCTAGTGGTCCCCAGTCTTTTCCACGGCATGGAAGACTGAAGGAAACAGGGCTGCTCAAGGCTGAAGGTAATGAACGTGAGAATTTGGGCTGCCCTGGGTCCTACCCTAAAGGCTGAGATGATCAGTATCATGGTATTTCATTAACCTGTTCTGCCACCAGTTGAGAAATTCTGTAGTAAGCTTTACATGCAAAACACAACTTACCCCCCTTTCCATCTTAATTGAAATCACTCTAATAATCTCTCCATTTCAAGTATCTCAAGAAACTGAGGTAACTTGGGAACCACAAGTATCAGTGCTAAGTTGTTTCTTAGTGTGGTTGGGTATATTTACGAAAGGTGTGTGGCTCCTGGCACTCTGATCCTTTCCAAGAAGCATCCAGGTTTAATTTTCTAGTAAGCCATCTAATTGCCTTTAATAAGTCTCCTTGCGCTTATACTAACTAGAATTATTTTCCTAATATAAGGTCTCAGGTAAGAAGTCACTTACCCAAAGAGGACTTTACTGACCACACAAATCAAAGTATAAACTCAACTTAATCCAATCCATATCCATGGTTTATTTTATTTATAGAACTGATCATTACTTTATATTTTCTAATTTATGTGCTCAGCGTCCATCTCTCACCAACTAGCTTCACAAAATTAACCACCTGTTCTGCTGCGTTTATCATATCATTCCCAGTGCCTAGAATAGTTCTCTATGAATCATTGCTAAATGAATTCATAATAATCACTATTGGCATTTTGAGTATAGACACACAGGCAACCATCTTTTGAAAACGCTACCCAGAGTCACAAGGATCCTTTTCCAAAACTGCAAAAGCATCACTGTACCTTTATAGTTAAGAGCATATGCTTTGACAGGAATGTGCTTGGGTTCTCATACTGCTTATAAAATTTAAGACCTGTGTGACCTCGGGCAAATTACCTAATGTCGCTGAGCTTCAGTCTGCCCATCTTTATAGGATTGTCAGGCAGATTACATGCATTAATATAAATAAGTTTCTTAAATTAAGGCCTGGAACTTTTAACATATATTAGTTTTAATGTGTTTTTGTTAAACCCATAGTACAGACAATTAACAACTATTGATTGGTCCCTATCTCTCCGTCATAGGTGCATGGAAAGATGTAAAGACTCTTTTTACCCTTCAGGAACGTATAGCATAGATATGCGTATAAGATATACATTTTGAAAGGAAATCTGTAATGAAAGTAAGAAAGATGGAAGGACAGAAAGGAAGGCAGAAGAAGGGGAGGGAGGAAAGAAGAGAGGGAAATAAACAAAAATATAAATGATAAGGATCTAGTAAATATTTTTGATACTTAGAAGTAGCAGTTTGAGTTGAAAGTAGTCAGGTTTATTAAAAAAGGTTAGCAAATGCTCAGACTTGAATACTTGATAGGATTCACATAATTACAGGGCAAGATATTGTAGAGGCCATGAGACCAAGTGAATAGTATAGGGATTTCAGAAAATTAAAACAGTTTGGATGAAATAGAGGATTTGATTAATTAGCTTGATATAATCATTTCACAACAAACACATATATCAAAACATTATGTTGTACGCCATTAAATAAATAAATAAATAAATAAGCAAACGAATGGTTTCAGCAGGAAAAGAATCGGTGATGGAGAAGACTAGAAACATTTTGGAGTATACGGAATCACAAAGGAGTTTGTATTTTCATACTTATCCCATGGATGACGATAAACTACTCAGTTATAAAGTGAGTCAGGATTAGGTGGTAGAGGTCCAATTGGAGCATTTCTCTAATCCAGATACTGTGCAAACTATATACTTGGTTGTTCTCAATTCAACCCTAGGAGACAGACACTATTATTCACAGAGAAGTGAATAAGAAGAAAGGTCTTGTAACTAGTAAGACATAGGGCTTAGCTTTGTCTGTATGACTTCAAACAACAAATATTTTCCGTAATATTGTAAAAATTATGTTTCGGAAAAGTCATTTTAAAGATTACATGCTGGATGATTTGAAAAGAGAGACCTTAGATAAATTGAAGTGATAAGGATATGATTGTAAGATTTAAAAATACGAGGTGATAAGTGCTTAAACTAGGTTAGTATCAATAGGCACCCAGGTATAGTGGGAAGAAAACAAAATTGGGCACACAGAATCATAAATTCTACTTTGAAAATAGATGACCATTAGAGGTTATTTGAAATTCACCATTTAATTCCTTGGGCTGAGAAGAGAACGACAAATTGAGTGATATTTTGAAAGTTAAATTAAGGATAAGGAAGAATCATATGTAATCAATTATGATGCTTCATTAAGCGCATTCTTTTCAGGAATAATATTTTACAGATTACAATGTTCTTTGATGTATATAATTACATTTGGTTTCTACCAAAGCCCCAAGATATACAGATTACTATATCCATGTTATAAGAAGATGAATTGAGGTTCCTAAAGATTGAGTAATGACTGAAGAAATACTAAACCTCAAGTCTTTTGACAATGGTATGTTCTTTGCACTCTTCAAGTTGTCTCTGTCACTTAACAAATCATGCTGGTCTTACCATGTGTTATAGAATCCAGTGATTTGGCATCTATAGAAGTGAAATTATTTAACTGAACACAATCGGTCTCCTTAAGTGCCTGTTGAATACTTATATGATTAATCCACTCTTTCTTGCAATAACAGCCATTTGAAATATGCACTTTATACTTCTTGGCAAAAAATGTAAAATATTTCTGTTGTTCTTCTCCAAAAAAGACTCGGATTGACTCCACAAATTGAATCTAGAACATCCATTGTGTTTTCTACTACATAATGGAGTCCCTCTGCTTTCACTACTTAAAAATAAAAGTTTAAGGTGGAAATACAAATGTCTTCCAATGAAGACTATGGGAAATAAAAATAGGAAAATACATTTTCATCTTTGTATTCCTATTATCAATTACAATGCCTAACATATGCAGGTACTCAAAATCCATTGATTTTGTTGAACTGCAGATATATTGTCTCCTTATTTGCCAAGAGCTTGCACTAAACATAATTATTTTTAGTCTTTGGTTGCCGTCTTGTCTGGCATTAGCTTGGATAAGTCACTTAATGGATTTCAGTGCCCTTTACTGGTATTTTAATTTGTTTGGTCCATAAATCTTAGTTTGACCATTTTCGGCTAGTTGTAGGCTACCTTCTTCTGACAAGTATAGTCAGAAGGCATAGTCATTTTCCATACTGCAAAATTTTACTCTCAGATCATGTCCCAACGAGACGTTCTGCCAGTCTGCGCAGAGAACTCAAATTTCCCATTACTAACATCCAAATTAATTGTTCACTTACGCCAATCTAATTTCAGTCTGAAATTGATCAGATAAAGAATACCACTAGTTTGAAACAAAAAATATAAATCCCCTGCTTAAGAAGTAAAAATATAAATTCAGAACTATGAATGTCACAAAGAACAGAATCAAACTTTAACTAAAGAGAAATTATGAAATAGGTATTTGGAGCAAAATAGTTTGTTAATTCAAGAACTATGTTGTAAAATTATTTATTCATGCTGATAAGAAAACTAATAGATGCAGAATACTTATAGTGCAGGGTGCAAAAGAAAGAATCTATTTGCTGACAAAGGTGAGGTGAAGATCTCAGGTGAGATTAGATTTGATTGTGCCCTATTTTGTATCACAAGTTACAAATCCTCTTCGTCTTGCTTTCTCACATTCAACAAAATGAGATAAGGAATCTCTTGGAAAATGTTTTAATATAGTCTGTTTGTCCATCTAAAATATTTGCACGTACTTCAAGGTTTGTGAAGCATGTTTGGAAAATTACTTGAAGGTCTATAAACAGAGTAAACAGACACCCTACAGAATGGCAGAAAATATTTGCAAACTATCCATCTGACAAAGGTCTAATATCTAGAATCTATAAGGAATTTAAACAAATCAACAAGCAAAAATCAAACAACCTCAGTGAAAAATGGGCAAAGGATATGAACAGACACTTCTCAAAAAAAGACATACATATGGCCAACAAGCATATGAAAAAATGCTCAACATCACTAACCATTAGAGAAATGCAAAATCCAAACCACAATGAAATAACATCTCACACCCATCAGAATGACTATTACCAAAAAGTAAAAAAATAACAGATATTGTTGAGGATGTGGAGAAAAGGGAATGCTTAAACACTACTGATAGGAATGTAAATAAGTTCAGCCACTGTGGAAAGCAGTTTGGTGATTTCTCAAAAAAACTCAGAGCTATCATTCAGCCCAGCAATCTCATTACTGTATGTGTATCCAAAAGAAAAAAAACATTGTTCAATCAAACGACGGTATGTAGTCCATCATTGTGGACGACAGACCAATGTGTGTGCAAACACACACGCACTCATATGTTAACTGCAATACCATTTACAATAGCAAAGACGTGGAATCAATCTAGATGTCCATCAATGGTGGACTAGATAAAGAAAATGTGGTACATATACACCATGAAACGCCACACAGCCATAAAAAGATTGAAATCAAATCCTTGTAGCAACATGGATGCAGCTGGAGGCCATTATCCTAAGCAAATTAACACAGCAACAGTAAACCAAATATTATACATGTTCTTATAACTGGGAGCTAAACATTGAGTACACATGGACACAAAGAGAGGGACAATAGACACTGGGGCCTAGTTGAGGGTGGAGGGTGAGGATTGAAAAACTACCTATAGGGTAATAAGCTCACTACCTGGGTGACAAATCATTTTTACACCAAAATCCAGCAACACACAATTTACCCACACAACAAACCTGCACATGTACCACCTGAACCTAAAAGAAAAGTTGGAAGGAAAAAAAATAAATTTATGACATTATAGGGTTAAAAAAAGAAAATTGCTTCAAGGAACAAAATATGGCTCATATCAGAGATATTAATGATTTATAAATTTTGCCTATTAGTGAAAGATTCAGATATACACAAAGTCAAACCCTATCTCCAATCCTTCTGCTAATTCTAACTTCTGCTCATTGTCCTTCCTCATTCTCACTTAAAATTAGTTTCTTTGTCTAAAGCAGCTTAGTTTAAATTCAGTGGTTGAGACAGCAGCTTTCTTATTCTTCTCTTCAGTGACATAAGGCTGTTGACAATTTCTAAACCTACATCTCTCTTCCTTCAAAACTATTATCCTGGGTTTATTGGATTTATGATTTCTACTTGGACAGATGTCTTAGTATTTTTTGAACCAGGTAAGATTTCTACGATATTAATGAGTATGCTGTTGAAATGTTCTGTGTCACACATTCATTTAACCAAACATTATTGAGCACCAACTTTTTATGCCATAAACTATAATGAGCACTGGGAATTAAAAAAAAAAGACACTGTCCCCATCTTGGGAGTTCAGTGTCTAGGGGATATAAGAAAATTAATAATTAAAATATAGCATAATAATTGCTAAACTATCATATGGAAGCAAAGAGGTTAGGCAAAGAGAAGCTTCTATTTAGTCTGGGCAGGGAAGGAGGGGGATATCATAAAAGCCTTGGAAAGGAGATGAAGAGTGGATGAAAACTAGAAAGAGAGATAGCATATGGCCAGGGAAAAGAAGATATAAGCATTCCTGGCAGAGGAAGCACTACTGAAAGCCTCAGCTTATAGAAAGTATAAGGTACCTAAAATAAATAATCAAATTTGTCTAATGCACAGAGTGTACATTGATTTCATGGAGGCAGATTGTGTGAATTAAAATCCTGTCTCTTCTACTCTATTAGCCATGGAATTGGAGTCCAGGCACTTAGTCTCTCTGTGCCTTGATAGCCTAGTCTAGATTAATAAATGGTATCTTCCTCGTATGGTTAAGTATTAAATGAGTTAGTGGATGCAACGTGCTGGGAATAGTGCCTGGGAAATAACAAGCATTAAATATGTGTTAGCTTTTATTGTTGGTACAGAAGTGTAAAGACAGCGAGATCACTGCCTTCATGAAGCGTCATACTACTGAGACAGACAGACATCAAAAGAGTAAAGCAAAATATATAATTTCTAATTGTGGTAAGGAGGAAAATTACAGCATGATAATGATGGAAAATATAGACTCCGTGTCACCTGCTTTAGAAAGAGTGGTCAGGAAAGGAATGTCTTTCAGTGAAGGTGGCATTCAAATAGGAATTTAAAAGATTAAAAGAAAGCTGTCATGGGAAGAAATGGGAAAAGAACATTCCAGGTAGAGGGAACTACAAGTGTCAAGACCCAGAGGAGGAATGCTGTGTAGGTATCTTGGAGACATCAAATTATGAAGGGCCTTGAACACCATTTAAGACCTTTGTCTTTTTGCAAAGCTAATGGAGTGTCACCAAAGGGTATTAAATTGAGACTACAAGATGGGACATGCATTATGGAAAGATCACTTAGACAGCCAAGTAGAAGATGAGTTGGAGAAAATAATTAGGATGCTAATTAGAAAAGACTAACACTCCTGGTCAGAAATGAGAACAATTACCTAGGAATGATACAACCCACATGGAAGGACAGTAGCAAACAGATGTCATCTGCTGCCTCCTGCCATCAAGCAGATTTTTGTTTAATTCTTGGCTCCAAAACCCTTAAAAAGCACTCCTAACAACATTATCTTTCTAACTCCATCTTGCACTAACCTCCCTCTTTCTTACCCTACTGCAGCCGCACAAGCCTTCTTGGTTTTCCTTGAACCAGTATGGTGCCTGCCTTATGGCCTTTGCACCTGCATTTCTCTAGATCTAATACACACATAACTCACCCCCTCACCTTTTCCAGCATTTAGTTGAAATGACTGCTTCTCAGTGAGGTCTTCTTTTGCCACCCTAGAGAACTCCAACATCTTCCACCCAGACACCACATAACTCTCCCCCAGTTTTAATTTTTGTCCAGAGTGCTTATCATCCACTGATCTATTACAATCATCACCTACTTCTTATAAGATACATGAGGTCAGGGACTTATTTTTGTTCTCTGCTATATCACCAAAATCAGTGCATGGCCCATAATAAGCATTTAGTAAATATTTGTCAGCTAAGTAAAATAATGTTAACATGAAGTAGATTTCTAAAACTGGGCTGCTTGGGCCAAATTTTTCTGTCCTGTAGGACAATTCTAGTTCCCATAAACTAGTTTTCAATAATGTTCTAAGATTTTTTTTTTTTAAAAAAAGAGATTAGATATTTGGAAGAGTTATTTATTTGGAAACATGCAAAGAAATGTATATAATAGTGATTTTCTGGCTGCAAATTGCTATTCACTGTACCTGTGTACTTCTGCTTTAGCAATTATCTGAATGGATAATTATTTCCCTTCTTTTTTCCCCTTTTTTTTTCCTTCCCTCCCTCCCTGACTCTTTCCTTCCTTCCTTCCTTCTTTTCTACATTACATATTTTTTATTTTCTCACACTTCCACTTGAATGTGAACAGTAAGAAGCCTCGGTCATTGGTTGCCTCATTCAACTTGTATCACCAATGACTAGCAGAACGCTTAGCACTGAGGAGGCATTTGATACAGTTTTGTTGGATGAATTGTTTTATAATGAAAGAGTTGTTTATCCAAGTTTAATATTCCATATTTGTTGTGTCTTTAAGAAGTTAAAAAGATATACTAAAAAGGAAATAACATAAACCATGTAAAATCTCTATATTAAAATGTTAAAACTTTAAAACATTGGCATATAAGCCTTCTTGTAAGAAATCAAGTTTGTTGATTATTACTTTTCTATTGTTTGCTCTCTTAATATTTAGAGAAATGAAAGGACTTCAGAAGTATTCAGGGCTGGCTGAGCACAGTGGCTCATGCCTGTAATCCCAATACTTTGGGAGGCTGAGGCAGGTGGATCACTTGAACTTAGGAGTTCAAGACCAGCCTGGCCAACATGATGAAACCCCATCTCTACTAAAAATACAAAAAATTAGCTGGGCATGGTGGCAGGCACCTGTAATCCCAGCTACTCAGGAAGCTGAGGCAGGAGAATCACTTAAGTCTGGGAGGCAGAGGTTGCAGTGAGCCGAGATCGCACCACTGTCCTCCAGCCTGTGCAACAGAGTGAGACTCTATCTCAAAAAAAGAAAGAAAGAAAGAAAGAAAGAAAGAAAGAAAGAAAGAAAGAAAGAAAGAAAGAAAGAAAGAGAAAGAAAGAAAGAGAAAGGAAAGAAAGGAAGGAAGGAAGGAAGGAAGGAAGGAAGGAAGGAAGGAAGGAAGGAAGGAAGGAAGGAAGGAAAAGAAGAGAAAAGAAAAGAAACAAAACGAAAAGAAAAGAAAAGAAAAGAAAAGAAAAGAAAAGAAAAGGAAATATTCAGGGCTGAGCAGCCCCTCCAAGTCTCCTCAGTTTCTCCAAACACTCAAGTCTCCTAAGCTATTCATAACACTCATTTTTCATAACATTCAAAGAAGTTAATGGAATGAAAGAATCCATGACATTTTATAAAAACAGAGTTAAGAAAATCTACTGTTGCATATATAACACAAGACAATAAACATGCAACACACTCCTGAAGGAAAAAAAATAGTGAAAAACAAAATAAAAATATTCTCTCAAATCTATGAAACAAAATACAACCTGCAGTCTCCTAGTGTTAATACATCAAGCTTATTTTGCCTACTTTTTTATCCAGCATATGGTTTGTACTCCTGAGATACTGAATAATTGCACAGGCTGTCTTAGTAGCAATGGTTGCCATTAAGAACAATGGGGAGAGTTAAAGGTCTGTCATTACCACTGACTTTATTTGGCTTTGTAAGTTTGGAACATAAACTAAGTCATTTTAATGTTTAATGTGCATGTATTTATGCAATTGTAGAAAATTAACTGTATACATTAACAGATAAGTAGAAGAGTTTTGTAAGGCAAGAGAGAACCTTTTCATGAATATCATCTATGAGCCATCATTTTTTTTTTTTTTTGAGACAGTCTCACACTATTGCCCGGTCTGGAATACAATGGCACAACCTCGGCTCACTGCAACCTCTGCCTCCTGGGTTCAAGCAATTCTCCTGCCTCAGCCTCCCAAGTAGCTGGGATTACAGGTGCCCGCCACCACGCCTGGCTTATTTTTTGTATTTTTTAGTAGAGACGGGGTTTCACTATGTTGGCCAGGCTGGTCTCGAACTCCTGACCTTGTGATCTGCCCACCTCGGCCTCCCAAAGTGCTGAGATTACAGGTGTGAGCCACCACGCCCAGCCTGTGAGCCATCATTTTAATGAACAAGGATTGTATACATTCTAATTGACCATCACTTCTTTCCAGTTTGGTCATTTGATTCAGCAAATACTTAAATGTTTTATTGCTATATAATATCTTGAATTTAACAACAAAGCATAAAAGGACATATTATTTCATGAATAATCAATAGGTAGTATTTATAAAACCCATGAAAAATGGCTTGACATTCCACATTCCTTACCCATAAGGAAGGAAATATGAAAGGGAAAATACTTTAAATCATTAATACTAAAAAATGTCTTTTGAAGACAGTTGTATATTAGGTATTTGTTTGAAACTTTATCTTGTTTTTAAGCAATTTATCCCTAAGATTCTAATTTTTTTTTTAATTTTATACTTTTGGAGACAGGGTATTGCCCTGCTGTCCAGTCTGGAATGCAGTGGCATGATCATAGCTCAACAGCCTCGAATCCTTGGGCTCAAGCAATCTTCCTGCCTCAGGCTCCCAAGCAGCTAGGACTACGGTTGTGTGTCACTACACCCAGCTAATTTTTTTTTAAGACATGGGGTCTTGCTATGTCACCCAGGCTGGGCTTGAACTCCGGGCCTCAAGCAATCCTTCCACCTCGGCCTCCCAAAGCTCTGGGATTACAGGCATGAACCACTGCTCCTGGGTTACCACTAAGATTCTGAGGAATCTTCCTGGAAAATTATTTTTAAATTTTTTTCTGAAAAATATTCTATAGATTGGAGCGTGAACACGTACATTGCATTACCAGAAAGCATAATATGTGCTTTCTGCCCTTCAAGACTTGGCAAGCTAGTTGAAGAGACAAAACCTATTTTGAAGATTTAAAAAAAAAATACTCTATAGATTGGAGTGTGAACATGTACATTGCTTTACCAGAAGGCATAGTATGTGATTTCTGCCCTTCAAGACTTGGCAAGCTAGTTGAAGAGACAAAACAATGAAACTTAATATAAAATGTATTGGCTAAATTGTATAGTAAGAAAAATAAGTGCTATACCAATTCTAAAGAATTGGAAATCACAGTTGGCAAGAATGTCCAGAGAAGAAAAACTTCATAGGTGGTACAG
Source organism: Homo sapiens (assembly GCF_000001405.40). Lineage (NCBI taxonomy): Eukaryota > Metazoa > Chordata > Mammalia > Primates > Hominidae > Homo > Homo sapiens. The sequence goes on along the minus strand of NC_000023.11, from coordinate 28,735,073 downwards.
AACTTGATAGGAAAGTAATGTTTCATAAGATTAAGGAAACACATTCCAGATGTGGAGAGCAACACTGGATGCCACAGTAAGTAATTTTCACGTTGAGCTTGCCTGTTGTATTAGCAAACGAAAGTAGCAGATGATGTTCACTGCCTATATCATGCAGGTATCTTGCATAAGATCTGCATTTGAGGAAAACCCTTTTCAACATAATATTTGTAGGGGAGAGGAAAAAACAACAGAATACTCATTCACTCATTCATTTGACATGTATTTATTGAGTGCCTACAAAATAATAGGTACTGATCCAACCAGTAAATGAAAAATGTTCCCTGCCCATATGGAGCTTACTTTCTAGTAGAAGACTGATAAATAACAGGCATAACAAATAAGTAAATGGTACATGATGTTGGAACATATACTAAGCTCTAGAGGAGGGTAGGAGAAATGGGAAATGCCAGAGGTGACAGTCAGGAGTTAGAGAGTTATAGTTTTAAAACTAGAGGAAGAGCCACATTAAAAAAAAAAAAAAATGACACTTTGGTAAAGACCTAAAAGAAGTAAAGGAATTGTGGGATTATATATGGGAAAATGGTTTTAGGCAGAGGGAACAGCAAATGCAAATCCTTAAGGTAGGCACATGTCTAGCATGTTTCAGAAACAGTGAGGTGTCACTGTGGCTAGAGTAACACAAATTACAGGGAAAATAGGAGTAGATGACATAAGAAGAAATAATGGGGGCCACTATATAAATCCATGGAAGCCATTGTAAACACTTTTCATTTGTAATGAATGAATTGTGGTTTCACTGCAGGGTTTCAAGGTGAGGACTGACAGGATTTTACTGACATTTGACTTCTGTGTTGAGAATAGATTTGAAGAGGGGAAGAGCAGAAGCAGGCAGACCAGATGTCATCACATAAATTCAGGAGAGAAATGATAGTGACTTAAAGTAGGGTTGTAGCAGCAGAGGTGGTAAGAAATGGTCACCATCTGGATCTCTTGTGAAGGTCAAGCCAACAGAAAGTGAGAACTGTTTGATGTGGAGTATAACAAAATGAGAGGAGTGAAGGATGACTCAAAGAAATTTGTTCTGAATAACCAGACACAGGGAACTATAGCAACTGATATGGGAATGGGTGTTTGTGGAACCAGTTCTGAGGAGGATATTGGCTCTATAGCCTTTGGACATATTAAATTTTAAGTGTCTATAAGTGCTTTCAGTGAAAATCTTGAGTAAGGAGTTAGATGTACGAATCTGGAATTTGGGAGAGGAGCTGGAAACAGAAAATAAATTAGTCAAAATTGTCAACAATCAAATGATATTTAAAACCACAGTACTAGGTGAAATGACTAAGGAAGTGAATTGAGAAGAGGACCAAGGAATGAGACTGGCTTCTTCCATCATCGAGAAGTCTACGAGAGTCGACAAAATCAGAAAGAAGGCTGAGAAAGACCAACTAAATCTGAAGGTATACCAAGAGTCAATTCTGAAAGACAAGTGAAGACAGTACATCATCAAAGAAGTAGGTGATAAATTGTTGCTGATAGGTCAACTATCTGCCTTAAGGATTGAGAATTGGGTCTAATTCAGCAATGTGGAGGACATTCGGGACCTTGGTAGGAATAGTTTAGTTGGAGTGGTGGCTCCAAAACCCAGACTGGAAGAGGTCTAAGAGAAATGAGAAGAGAGCAAGCACAGGCAACTCTTCTGAGTTTTACTATAAAGGGGAGAAAAGAAATGGCAGGAGGAGCTGGGGGATGGTATACAAAAATATTGTTAAGATTAGTATTAAAATTAGGATTGGATTAATAGTATCATTACTATTTTAGAAGTATTTTAGGATACATATAATTACTGTTAACATTGCTCATAATAATCATAAATATTTGATAAGCATTTTCTCTGTTTCTGTTACTGTCCTAAGTATGTATATATATATATAACTGTGTGTGCACCTGTATATATTATATACACACACACACACACCTGTATAATAAATTGTTACAACCACTCTATGAAATAGTCACTACTATTAGCCCATTTTACAGGTGAGAGAACTGACATATAAACATTAAGATCCAATATCCTCACACGGGTAGAAAATCATAGAGCTAGGAATTAATCCAGGTAATCTGCCTCTAGAATTTATGTGTTTAACACTATACCATCCTGCTGTATTTTGAAACAAATTATTAATTATTATTATTATTTAAGACAGAGTCTCACTTTGTTGCCAGGCTGGAGTGCAGTGGCGCAAACTCGGCTCACTGCAACCTCTGCCTCCCGGGTTCAAGCAATTCTCCTGCCTCAGTCTCCTAAGTAGCTGGGACTACAGGCATGTGCCACCATGCCCAGCTAATTTTTGTATTTTTAGTAGAGATGGGTTTTACCATGTTGGCCAGGATGGTCTTGATCTCTTGACCTCGTGATCCACCCGCCTCGGCCTCCCAAAGTGCTGGGATGAAACAAACTATTAATCCAAATGAGGTAGCAGAAAGAATGCTTAAACTACTTAGGATATCAAACTATTTCAATTACCTGAATTAATCATGTTTTTATAAAATCCCTTTCACGTTCATTATTCTTATCTTTTAAAAAGCCCTCGAAGAAATAAGACAAAGGAGTTCACACAGTATGAAAGGTTAACTTGATCCTATTTATATACGGACAAGAAGCAAAATTCCAACTCTTTCAGAATGTTCGTAAATTTCGATTGTTCTTCCACTGAAGTAGTCTAAATGAAGTTGTACTACACAACATAATGCAAATTAAAATTTGATGTATGATGAACAACTCTGCTAAAAAAATGTTTAAAAATATTTAAGGAGGAAATGTTATTGCACATGACTACTTAATTTAACGATCTCATAATTTGGTATAATTACAACTTCTTGTTTAGTCAAAACAACTTCCTCTCAGACGAATGTAACCTACTCTCAGGCCTCTTGACCTACTTCCCCTCTAGTCCGAAGTCTGGCTGTTGAAAAGATCTTTTTCTAAGTAGGTCATCCTCTGCCTTAAACCTCTTAACCAGACTTGCCTTTTTTCCTGCCTCAGACTCCAGCTCCTTATGATTATCTTCAGGACCCTGGTTACCTCATCCCTGCCTGTAGCGTCGCTTTGATTCTTGCCCCAGTTTTCTGGGCTTAACTTCTAAAAAGTGCCTTTATCACTTTCCTCCACTCTGGTCTCATGCTGCCCCTGTGCCTCATTCAACAATTTCCTTTGACATCTTTCTTTAAAAACTCTATTTTCTTTGACATCTTTCTTAAAAATCTTTTCATTAGGACAGTTGTCTGGGGTTAGGAGGTAGGGGAGAAAGAAGGGAGGGAAAAAACATAGGCAGGGAATAGTCAGAAAAAGGACAAAGACTCCGTAGTATTCTGATCTTCTCAACTCCCCACTTAGCAGCCACCTCTCACTCTCTTGATCTAGGACTTTGCCTGTCTCTCCCTCAGCCAGTGACCTTTCACGCACTGATAAAAAAATGAATATGCCATAATTTAGCTTTTGCCCACCATTCAGCTTCATCACATCATCTCGGCTTTTTAACCCATCATTCAAAGTATTAGAAGTTCTTCAAAAGAGAAGAAATGTAATAGCACAATAGAAATGCCCTTCTTTTTTGTCCTTCCAGATTTCACCATCAAAGTGGGGAGAAGTTATCATGGCAACAAAAGCAGACTTTGCTGACAGCAAAGAAAATGGAAAAATACTAGCTAGCAATCATTGTCTTTTTAATACAAGCCACTTAATTTACCACACCCAGGCCTACCAACACAGTTCAGTGAGAACATTTCAAAGCATAAAGTAAAACATCAGTATGCTTCCCTTAGGATGTTTTTTTTATAATGATGAAAAAGAAAAAAAATCAAAATGAAAAAAGGACAAATGAACGTGACAGATATTCTTTTAAAAGAGTATATTTGACATAGTAATTGTATAAACTTACAAGCTTTAGAGTTGGTGATCCTATTTTGAGGCATCTTAATATAGGGATATCATTATTACATCAGCCACCCACTAGTTTATCACTAATACACCAATTAATCTTTCTAGGAGTGAGCATTCTTACATCTGAGTCACTTCCTACTTGTTGTCATTTTTCCAACCCTTAAAGTGATCTCAGTGGCCCTAAGATCAATTACACTTAAACCAATGCGTAGAGTCTGGCACATTCATTAATTAGAGTCAAATTTACACTTCTGTAATTGACACTAATTATTTGTTTGGTTTAAGTAAGTTGTTAGGCATTCATTAAAACTATTGGTCATAGGCATTAAATGAACATGGTTTCAAAGTCCATATATATGTTAAAACATCAGGTCTAGGATTTCACAGCAAGAAAAACTTTCTGAACTGGCACCTATAAATAAATCTTAGGGTCTTGCTCAAGTTAATGCATGAATGTAAAATAATGAAAATTAGGGCATGGCTTAATATTCCTTAGCATGTTCAACAAGTATATCACACATCACAGTTCAACAAGTGTAAATCATTATCAAGAAAACTGGAAAATATTATTAGTTTTTTTATTGTTCATTTTACTTATGATGTAGCTTTTTTCAGCATACATTTATTGAATAAATATGTTCATTCTATGTTAGATAATTTTGTAGAAAATATGGCCAAGTATCTATTTAGTCGTTTTTCGGAAGTGTTCCTCTGAATACATAACTGATATATACTCTTTATATTATTTATAAAAGGAAAGAAATAATTATTTAAACATGAAACAGTTTCTATAGCCCTTTCTAACTATATACAATGCTCAACGTGTAAAAAAACTATATTCAAAGATTCAGGTCATCTCAATTTTTGAGACCAATATGTGCTGGTTTAGTTAAGCAGGGGAATTTCCTATCATAAAAGTTGTCATTGTTTTCCTTCAATATTAAAGTTCTTCAAGGAATAGATGAGAGAGCAATACAAACTTCAGCAAATGGATAAGCTTTCTGAAACAGAGTTTTACTATCTTTACAAGTGTCATAATAATTATAAAACTATTTTTAATTATAATTGAAACAAATGAGGAAAACCACCTATTAGAAACTATCATAAGATAATTTCAAGTCATAATTGAAATTCAAGTCATAATTTTTTTTGTTTTGTTTTTTGTTTTGAGATGGATCTTGGCTCACTGCAAGCTCCGCCTCCTGGGTTCACGCCATTCTCCTGCCTCAGCCTCCAGAGTAGCTGGGACTACAGGCGTGCACCACCACACCCAGCTAATTTTTGTATTTTTAGTAGAAATGGGGTTTCACCATGTTGGCCAGGATGGTCTCAATCTCCTGACCTCATGATCCGCCTGCCTCGGCCTCCCAAAGTGCTGGGATTACAGGCATGAGCCACCACACCCGGCCTCATCCCTATCTTCTAACTGGAAGAAATAAGTCATCATCTAAATTTTGGATGAGCTCAGTTAGCTTCCCATTTTCAGATAATTTTCTATAACATATTTAATTGGGCAACTATATCTAGAATGCTAGAGTATTTCCAGTCCTCATTAATTATTAGGTAAAGCTTCTTTGAACTTAGCATCTTGGCATTAGACATATACTCTGTTTATAGAGCATTTACTATTAAGATCCATTTATCTTTAATAATTCATCATAAATCAATCTTTTTGGTTCTAAGTAATTTGCATTGTTTCTATGCTTTCCTCTGGATACTTTTATGCTCCTCTATATTTCATAATAGCATATATAACCTAATTTAATGAACTCTTCAAACAGATTAACTATGTTCCCTTCATGCACTAATTCTGGAGTCCTACCTAGAAAAGCTATTAAATTTGTACTTAACTGGCACTCCCTTGGCTATTACATAAGAATACTGGAATCAAACTTTTCCCAATGGGAATTTTATACATATAATTTTTTAACATAAATGTGACCCTTAAAAGCATTTTGGTCAGTCTGGGAGCTTATTTGCTAACTGCAAAATAAAAGTCAATCATTTTAAATTTGCACAAATTAAAGTTTAAAATGATATATTTATAGTCATAGTAGCATGCAAAATGTTTGATATAAGCAAATGATAATACAGAGTAACATAGCTAGAATGGGCTGTAAAGTTCCCTTTAAGTTTAAAATAACTTTTAAAGTGAAAAAGAAATACAACTTGAAAAATTTTCTTTAAGGAAAAAGACTTTTAGAGCAGCAAATATCCAAATATTTAGAATAGCCATAATATCTACAAGAAAGTAAATATAAAACACTGTGGAAGGACATGACTCCAGAGGGTTTAAATGAGTTTCCTACTTGACTTCTTTGCAACTCAGCTTCTTCATCTATATAATGAGTTTATATTCATTATAAAAAAGTGTTCTGCATTGCAATGCCGGAAGTTCCCAATAAATGTCTATTATTACCATATTTTTGGAAAATAAACATTAGTAAAGATGCTGTGTTTATGTTTTTCTGCAAATATTACAGAATATTGTTTGCTAAGTCTCCTTTATGTGCTTTGAGGTTTGAGGGTCTTTCTTAATTTTTTAGAATAAAGAAACTTCTTGGAGTTTCCCTTTCCTGGAAGATAGAACGATCTTTCCTCCTAAGAAACAATTTTTTTAGAGATACTCTCATTGTAAACAGTTTGTATTTCCAAAATGAGAAGCCTACATCTCTGGGCTGTATGTTGGACTGTTTGTGGGTGAGTAGCGGTTATCTGCAGAGAATAAATTCTTCTCTCTTGCTGAATAAAGGTATTGCCAGAACAAATGTATAAGACTTTGGATACAATTCTACATTATCTCTTGTAATTTCAAAATGGTTTAATTAACTGTTGAAAACGTAATCTTTCTGCTAATTTTGAAAGGAAAGCACCCTTGAATAGTTAAAATTTGATTTGTGGACATTTATACATAGTATAGTATTCAACAATAACTGTACAGTGTTATCTGAATTTATGAAAATATAATTCTGATATAATAAGAAATCCATCATCATAATCTCATATACACTCTAATGAAAATTATTTTTATTTTTTATTTTATTTTATTTTATTATTATACTTTAAGTTTTAGGGTACATGTGCACATTGTGCAGGTTAGTTACATATGTATACATGTGCCACGCTGGTGCGCTGCACCCACTAACTCGTCATCTAGCATTAGGTATATCTCCCAATGCTATCCCTCCCCCCTTCCCCCACCCCACAACAGTCCCCAGAGTGTGATGTTCCCCTTCCTGTGTCCATGTGATCTCATTGTTCAATTCCCACCTATGAGTGAGAATATGCGGCGTTTGGTTTTTTGTTCTTGCGATAGTTTACTGAGAATGATGATTATCTCAATAGATGCAGAAAAGGCCTTTGACAAAATTCAACAGCCCTTCATGCTAAAAACTCTCAATAAATTAGGTATTGATGGGATGTATTTCAAAATAATAAGAGCTATCTATGACAAACCCACAGCCAATATCATACTGAATGGGCAAAAACTGGAAGCATTCCCTCTGAAAACTGGCACAAGACAGGGATGCCCTCTCTCACCACTCCTATTCAACATAGTGTTGGAAGTTCTGGCCAGGGCAATTAGGCAGGAGAAGGAAATAAAGGGTATTCAATTAGGAAAAGAGGGAGTCAAATTGTCCCTCTTTGCAGACGACATGATTGTATATCTAGAAAACCCCATTGTCTCAGCCCAAAATCTCCTTAAGCTGATAAGCAACTTCAGCAAAGTCTCAGGATACAAAATCAATGTACAAAAATCACAAGCATTCTTATACACCAACAAAAGACAAACAGAGAGCCAAATCATGAGTGAACTCCCATTCACAATTGCTTCAAAGAGAATAAAATACCTAGGAATCCAACTTACAAGGGATGTGAAGGACCTCTTCAAGGAGAACTACAAACCACTGCTCAATGAAATAAAAGAGGACACAAACAAATGGAAGAACATTCCATGCTCCTGGGTAGGAAGAATCAATATCGTGAAAATGGCCATACTGCCCAAGGTAATTTACAGATTCAATGCCATCCCCATCAAGCTACCAATGCCTTTCTTCACAGAATTGGAAAATTATTTTTATTAAGAGACTGGGGTAAATGAAGAAAGTTTATCATTGGTCCCATATAAAATCCATAAAAGAATAAAACTGAGGATATAAGTCTTCTGATTACATTACTACTATGTTCACAAAGGAGTTGAGCCAGATGCATCTACAATTAGATTCCTCTGTTTCTGCAATGTATCTAAATGAAGAAGCTGTGCAATATAGTGTTTAAGCATGCAGGCACTAGAGCTCTGGGGTCAAATCACACTCTTCCATTCACCAATCTTAAAAGCTTGATCAAACTGCCTATTCTCTCTATACCTCAGTTTCCTCATCTGTAAAGTGGGGGAAATAATGACATTTACTTCATAGGAACACTATGAGGATGATATAAGTCAATTAATAACTGTAGAGTGAATTGAATAGTGCCTGGGTGTGGTAGCACTCAGTAAGTATCATTTATTATCTGCCAAGTAATAAAATTTCTTAAATAATGTTTAAATTTCAATTTATCGTATTTTTTGTGAGGGAGTTTTATAATAGGTTTTTCCTTAAAGTTTTAATTCTACCACAATCCCCACACAACAGTCACTACAAAAATATTGGTTGAATGAATGAAGGCCATCACCAAAGGAAGGTATGCTTGAATCTTAGACATTACAGCTTCCATCCAAAGCAAATGAGCTGTATTAACACTTGCGTGCAATGTTGTTAATAATCAAGTAGTGTGTGTTATTAAGTAGAACCAAATTATTATCCTTAATTCCCCCTTATCCCTATTGATTTCTTGAACATAATATCAATATGTGAAGAATGGTAAAAATTTGGAGTCACCTGAGACTCAGATTATATACCTCATTTTACACATGAGAAAAATAAAACCCATGATCACATATACCACAGTTCTATCCTCAACAGAATGATCATCAAAACTGTCTTTTTAAGTTCATTCACATGAATCCAGATACCTATCTGAAACCTATTATTAACCATGTATTCTTCACAATTTAGAAAAAAATAAATGAGTGCACTGTGATAGCTGTAGCATTAAATATTATTTCATTGTCATAAATAACTTTGAAAATAAACATAGACTTCAGAAAAACTTAACCATCCAACACTGGAAGTATCCCTCACTTTTTTTCTTCCATTTAAGTACATGATGCTTTTCTAAATACAACAAAAATGCATAAATAGTCTCGATTTTTTAAATTTGCTCTTAAAAGTGTTACAAGGGAGATTCCCAGAGTATTCCTTCAAGAGGCCTATGCCACCATCAGGTTATTTCACACCATCACAGCCATCACCATTTACTTTTGTTCATGATTTATTATTAGAATTATCCACCCCACTGCTCTGCCTTGCTCATTCTCAACATGTTAGCATTTTCACAAAGAGATTGAAATTTGCCTGATCCTATGAGTAAGAAGGTAAGAAAATTCAGAGACTTGCAAGATCTTTTATTAATTACGTTTTAAAATTGTATGAAGAACTTCTGGGTTGGTGAAAACACAGATGTGCTAAGAGGGTGGCACACAGTGGGGAGTATGGAAGCTCCATACAATCCCTATCCCATGCCTTGACCTATGCGTATTCTGAGTTATATCTATCATAATTACCCGGTAATAATAATTTTTAAAAACACACAAAATAAAATATGTAAACGAAAATTATACTCAATAAGAAAGATATACAGCAATTATCCTTTCTTGTCAAAGAAGCTTTCAGATTTTTTAAAGGTCCTCTCTAGTCCAGTGAATTCTTGTTTTTCTGAAGTAGTTCTTTGTGAATGTTTATGTGTTTGATTGTGTTTTAAAAAACACACCAAGGGCCAGGCATGGTGGCTCATGCCTGTAATCCCAGCACTTTGGGAGGCCGAGACAGGTGGATCATGAGATCTGGAGACTGAGACCATCCTTGCTAACACGGTGAAACCTCGTCTCTACTAAAAATACAAAAAATTAGCCGGGCGTGGTGCGGGCGCCTATAGTCCCAGATGCTCAGGAGGCTGAGGCAGGACAATGGCGTGAACCCGGGAGGCAGAGCTTGCAGTGAGCCGAGATTGCATCACTGCACTCCAGCCTGGGGGACAGAGTGAGACTCCGTCTCAGAAAAAAAAAAAAAAAAAACAAATTGAGTTGGAGGTAGACGTCAAGTCATGTTCCATTTACAGAAAGTCAGAAAGATATGCTAGAAGGCTTTGTATAGAATAATCAGCAGTTTACTCTCTCACATATGTTTTAATTTTTCCATAGAAACACAAAAAAGTCTCTAACAATCAGTCATTCTTGTAGGGCAGGTCTGGAGCTCCTCAAGGAAGCACTAAACATGGAAAGAAACAACCAGTACCAGCCACTGCAAAAACATGCCAAATTTTAAAGACCATCGAGGCTAGGAAGAAACCGCACCCACTAACAAGCAAAATAACCAGATAACATCATAATGACAGGACCAAATTCACACATAACAATATTAACCTTAAATGTAAATGGGCTAAATGCTCCAGTTAAAAGACACAGACTGGCAAATTGGATAAAGAGTCAAGACCCATCAGTGTGCTGTATTCAGGAGACCCATCTCACGTGCAGAGACACATATAGGCTCAAAATAAAGGGATGGAGGAAGATCTACCAAGAAAATGGAAAACAAAAAAAAGGCAGGGGTTGCAATCCTAGTCTCTGATAAAACAGACTTTAAACCAACAAAGATCAAAAGAGACAAAGAAGGCCATTACATAATGGTAAAGGGATCAATTCAACAAGAAGATCTAACTATCTTAAATATATATGCACCCAATACAGGAGCACCCAGATTCATAAAGCAAGTCCTTAGAGATCTACAAAGAGACTTAGACTCCCACTCAATAATAATGGGTGACTTTAACGCTGCACTGTCAACATTAGACGGATCAATGAGACAGAAAGTTAATAAGGATACCCAGGAATTGAACTCAGCTCTGCAACAAGCAGACCTAATAGACATCTACAGAACTCTCCACCCCATATCAACAGAATATACATTCTTCTCAGCACCACATCACACTTATTCCAAAACTGACCACATAGTTGGAAGTAAAGCTCTCCTCAGCAAATGTAAAAGAACAGAAATTATAACAAACTGTCTCTCAGACCACAGTGCAATCAAACTAGAACTCAGGATTAAGAAACTCACTCAAAATCGCCCAACTACATGGAAACTGAACAACCTGCTTCTGAATGACTACTGGGTACATAACGAAATGAAGGCAGAAATAAAGATGTTCTTTGAAACCAATGAGAACAAAGACACAACATACCAGAATCTCTGGGACACATTTAAAGCGGTGTGTAGAGGGAAATTTATGCCACTAAATGCCCACAAGAGAAAGCAGGAAAGATCTAAAATTGACACCCTAATATCACAATTAAAAGAACTAGAGAAGCAAAAGCAAACACATTCAAGAGCTAGCAGAAGGCAAGAAATAACTAAGATCAGAGCAGAACTGAAGGAGATAGAGACACAAAAAACCCTTCAAAAAATCAATGAATCCAGAAGCTGCTTTTTTGAAAAGAGCAACAAAATTGATAGACTGCTAGCAAGACTAACAAAGAAGAAAAGAGAGAAGAATCAAATAGTTGCAATAAAAAATGATAAAGGGGATATCACCACTGATCCCACAGAAATACAAACTACCACCAGAGAATACTATAAACACCTCTATGCAAATAAGCTAGAAAATCTAGAAGAAATGGATAAATTCCTGGACACACACACCCTCCCAAGACTAAACCAGGAAGAAGTTGAATCCCTGAATAGACCAATAACAGTATCTGAAATTGAGGCAATAATTAATAGCCTACCAATCAAAAAAAGTCCAGGACCAGATGGATTCACAGCCCAATTCTACCAGAGGTACAAGGAGGAGATGGAACCATACCTTCTGAAACTATTCCAATGAATAGAAAAAGAGGGAATCCTCCCTAACTCATTTTATGAGGCCAGCATCATCCTGATACCAAAGCCGGGTAGAGACACAACAAAAAAAGAGAATTTTAGACCAATATCCCTGATGAACATCGATGTAAAAATCCTCAATAAGATACTGGCAAACCGAATCCAGCAGCACATCAAAAAGCTTATCCACCATGATCAAGTGGACTTCATCCCTGGGGTGCAAGGCTGGTTCAACATACGCAAATCAATAAACGTAATCCAGCACATAAACAGAACCAAAGACAAAAACGACATGATTTTCTCAATAGATGCAGAAAAGGCCTTTGACAAAATTCAACAGCCCTTCATGCTAAAAACACTCAATAAATTAGGTATTGATGGGACGTATCTCAAAATAATTAAGAGCTATTTATGGCAAACCCACAGCCAATATCATACTGAATGGCCAAAAACTGGAAGCATTCCCTTCGAAAACTGGCATAAGACAGGGATGCCCTCTCTCACCACTCCTATTCAACATAGTGTTGGAAGTTCTGGCCAGGGCAATCGGGCAGGAGAAAGAAATAAAGGGTATTCAATTAGGAAAAGAGGAAGTCAAATTGTCCCTGTTTGCAGATGACATGATTGTATATTTAGAAAACCCCATCGTCTCAGCCCAAAATCTCCTTAAGCTGATAAGCAACTTCAGCAAAGTCTCAAGATACAAAATCAATGTGCAAAAATCACAAGCATTCTTATACACCAATAACAGACAAAGAGCCAAATCATGAGTGAACTCCCATTCACAATTGCTTCAAAGAGAATAAAATACCTAGGAATTCAACTTACAAGGGATGTGAAGGACCTCTTCAAGGAGAACTACAAACCACTGCTCAATGAAATAAAAGAGGATACAAACAAATGGAAGAACATTCCATGCTCATGGATAGGAAGAATTAATATCATGAAAATGGCCATACTGCCCAAGGTAATTTACAGATTCAATGCCATCCCCATCAAGCTACCAATGACTTTCTTCGCAGAATTAGAAAAAGCTACTTTAAAGTTCATATGGAACCAAAAAAGAGCCTGCATTGCCAAGTCAATCCTAAGCCAAAAGAACAAAGCTGGAGGCATCATGCTACCTGACTTCAAACTATACTACAAGGCTACAGTAACCAAAACAGCATGGTACTGGTACCAAAACAGAGATACAGACCAGTGGAACAGAACAGAGCCCTCAGAAATAATTCCACACATCTACAACCATCTGATCTTTGACAAACCTGACAAAAACAAGAAATGGGGAAAGGATTCCCTATTTAATAAATGGTGCTGGGAAAACTGGCTAGCCATATGTAGAAAGCTGAAACTGGATCCCTTCCTTACACCTTATACAAAAATTAATTCAAGATGGATTAAAGACTTAAATGTCAGACCTAAAACCATAAAAACCCTAGAAGAAAACCTAGGCAATACCATTCAGGACATAGGCACGGGCAAGGACTTCATGTCTAAAACACCAAAAGCAATGGCAACAAAAGCCAAAATTGACAAATGGGATCTAATTAAACTAAAGAGCTTCTGCACAGCAAAAGAAACTACCATCAGAGTGCACAGGCAACCTATAGAATGGGAGAAAATTTTTGCAATCTACTCATCTGACAAAGGGCTAATATCCAGAATCCACAAAGAACTCAAACAAATTTACAAGAAAAAAACAAACAACCCCATCAAAAAGTGGGCGAAGGATATGAACAGACACTTCTCAAAAGAAGACATTTATGCAGCCAACAGACACATGAAAAAATACTCATCGTCACTGGCCATCAGAGAAATGCAAATCAAAACCACAATGAGATATTATCTCACACCAGTTAGAATGGCGATCATTAAAAAGTCAGGAAACAACAGGTGCTGGAGAGGATGTGGAGAAATGGGAACACTTTAACACTGTTGGTGGGACTGTAAACTAGTTCAACCATTGTGGAAGCAGTGTGGTGATTCCTCAAGGATCTAGAACTAGAAATACCATTTGACCCAGCCATCCCATTACTGGGTATATACCCAAAGGATTATAAATCATGCTGCTATAAAAGCACATGCACACGTATGTTTATTGTGACACTATTCACAATAGCAAAGACTTGGAACCAACCCAAATGTCCATCAATGATAGACTGGATTAAGAAAATGTGGCACATATACACCATGGAATATAATGCAGCCATAAATGAGTTCATGTCCTTTGCAGGGACATGGATGAAGCTGGAAACCATCATTCTCAGCAAACTATCTCAAGGACAAAAAACCAAACACCACATGTTCTCACTCATAGGTGGGAATTGAACAATGAGAAAACCTGGACACAGGAAGGGGAACATCACACACCAGGGCCTGTGGTGGGGTGGGGTGAGAGGGGAGGGAAAGCATTAGGAGATATACCTAATGTAAATGACAAGTTAATGGGTGCAGCATACCCACATGGCCCATGGATACATATGTAACAAACCTGCACGTTGTGCATATGTACCCTAGAACTTAAAGTATAATAATAAAAAAAAATCAGTCATTTTGTATTTTTATATGGGTCAAGTAATATCTCAAATCAGAAATTTAAAAGTATCATTTGCAATAACAAGTAGTAGGTAATTTGATATGCTTAGAATGCCATGAACCAGGGGAAGAGTAGAGGGAAAAATACCATGTGACTGAAAGATATTACTAAATTCCAACCTTTTTTCAAAATCAGCTAACATGTATAGCTGCAACTAGTATCAGAGCTACATTGTTTCCTTGTGCCATTAATTTCACAAATAGCATTTAGTGCTGACAGACGGACACTCCCTCTCAACTATATAACAGAAATCATTAGGAGCATGTGTGAGCAAGTTGGTTATCTCAGAGATGGCCATCAGCAGCTGGGTAGGCTGGACAAGAAAATTTGATTCTGGCCTGTCTCAACTCTTCATAAATATGTATCTTACAATTATATGTCAGAGTAATTAAAAAAAGAAAGGAAAATAAAAGATAACTCCAGGTGCAGGGACTTTTTTTATTACAAATGAATATATTTCAAGAATTTGGGGGTAAGAAAAAGCATAAATTACTTGGGGATATGCAACGGTATTTGCATTTTTCTCTACGAATTTCTTTTACATCATATTTTCCAAGTAGAATATAGTCACTAAATAGGAAAAAACTCTACGGTCAAAGCTACTGAATAAACATGAGACCAAAAAAGTACCTCTAATGTTATGCTATTCTTGACTTTCATGAGAAACATAGACTAAAAATTACTCCATCCCCCATTCCTGTGTGCTGGAATGTTCCTATTAGAGAAACAGATCTTGCATGCTGTCCTGACCTTTAATCTGCTCCACTTGGCAGCAACAAGATGTAACACCTTTCTACTGTTCAAAAAGAAATAAGCTGGGAAAATTGAATTGTCTCTTGTTTTTGTTTCCTCAAAAACCTAGCAATCAATACAAACTTTATTGAAGGTCATCTACGAGCTGGTTTCTACCTAATGAACAGTATAAATGGGCTGTATACATGAAGAAATTTAGGTTCAGATTTCTTCAGGACCATTTATAATATTTATGTCACAAAAACCTCCAAAGCTTACATTTAAAAAAAAACTGTCTATTCTCATCCATACTACTGTTTTTATTTTTAGTTATTACCTCAAACATATACTCTTTAGTTCTCCAACTAGACACTACACTTGAAACCTATGCCCAATATAATATTCCATTTATTATTCCCAACCCTAACACATAATAGATGCTTAATAATAATAACAGTAATAACAAATAATTACTTTCCAATGAATCCTTACCATAAGGCAGGTTCAGTGCAGTGCTCTTTACACTTTTATTATCTTATTGATTTATAACAACCTTGTATATTAAATATTAATATCTTTATGTGACAAATGACAAAACAAAGTCAAAGAGAATTGGGTATGAGGGTCCACAATACCTAGGGACCTGTATTAAATCCAGGTTAATCTGATTCAAAGCCATTATATGACCATTTCCTAAATTCCGATGCATATATATCCTTTTTAAGAAGGAGTATTTACAATTATGTCTAACCCTACCTATATGCAAAAACAAAACAGAAACAAAAAAGAAAGTTGAGGCGATCCTTATGAAACACATATGACTATTTGCAGACTGTTCTCTGCAGACAAACATAACAACAAATACTCATCTTTATTTCAAGAAACTTCCTGAATGCAGAAAACATCCCTAAAAGCCCAACTGGTGGGACCAAATAAGAGTCAAATAAGTTAGTTTTATGTATTTATCTATATATATCCATCTATCTTATTTTTCTGTTTACAAAGAGCTACTTGCAGAAGTTTGCTTGAATCAAAAACTATTTCATGTCAGCCAGTCAACCAGAAAAGATTCTATTTCTTGTTTAGCTTGATAAAGTGTAAGATGTTACATTTGTAATATTTGTAAAATTCTAATAAATCACGTGATTTACCAATGTAAAATTTGCTTAAGTTGCATAAAAATTTTGTTTCAAATTTATTTCAGAACCTGCTTCATTTCTTCATGGCAAAAGGTTTCCCCAAAGAAATATATAATAAAGCTTTCACTTACAGAGAAGTTTCATGTATGGATGTGTCATTTTCTGTTCATCATAGTCTTTTAATTCAAATGCATTGAAAATCTCCACAGTTCATAGAAATTCACTCTTGTATTTGACAGCAAAAGAATAAAAGGAATCAATGAAATAAATCTTGTAAGAAATGATCAATATCTAATTATTTTTAACTTTACATATGAATAAAGCAAATTAGTCTGGTTTAGTTTATTTTTTAATTCATTTATAAATTTGAATGAAAAATGAATAAAGAACATTATACGATATTTTAAAAACCCATCAAACATCAGAGAGTTTTTTTCTAAATGCTGCAGAATTAAAGTCATGTATTAATGCATTTTACTGATGTATCCCAAGCACCTACAACTATACCAGGCATATAGTAGATGCTCAAAAATATTAATTGAACAGATTAAAGTAATGAATGATTTCTCATTCTCCTTGGCATTCTTGATTTGGTACTGTATTTCTAATGAAAAAGTATTGCATAATAGTAAGAACTATTTACATTTCTTTAGTGATTTTCTTAGAGTTCTAAACATATTTTGGAAGAAACTCATTAGTATTTACTTATTTATCATATGAGGTTACTAACATTTTCAGAGAAGATCAGCCTTTCAGGAAGCTCATTGTGGAAAATACTACATTAGATTATTTTGCATCTAAATGCAACAGAATACAACTTGAAAATCCTGGGAGTCTTAAGGATCAGTGATTCCAGAATATTACCAAAAAGGAGGAAGGAAGAAACGTATACCTTCTTTCAAAGTACCAGTTTCTTCTTTATCAACTCAAAAAAAGTCCTCCAGTCCCCCTCCCCACTTCGAATCTCAATCCTGAGACTCAGGTATTAAGATTTTGTAAAGACTCATGAACGATTTTTTTTATTCTTTTATTTTAAGTTCAGGAGTACATGTGTAGCTTTGTAACATAGGTAAATGTGTGTCATGGGGGTTTGTTGTACAGATTATTTCATCACTCAGGTATTAAGCCTAGTATCCATTAGTTATTTTTCCTGATCCTCTTCCTCCTCCCACCCTCTACCCTCTGGTAGGCCTCAGTGTGTGCTGTTCACCTCTATGTGTCTTATGGGTTCTCAACATTTAGCTCCCAACTAAAAGAAAATATGTGGTATTTGGTTTTCTGTTCCTGTGTTAGTTTGCTAAGGATAATGGCCTCCAGTTCCATCCATGTCCCTACAAAGGACATGATCTCATTCTTTTTTATGGCTGTATAGTATTCAATGGTATATATGTACTACATTTTCTTTATCCAGTCTATCATTGATGGGCATTTAGGTTGATTCCATATCTTTGCTATTGTGAATAGTATTGCAGTGAACATATGCATGCATCTGTCTTTGTGATAGAACAATTTATATTCCTTTGGGTATATACCCAGTAATGGGATTGCTGGATTGAATGGTATTTCTGTCTTTAGGTCTTTGAGGAATTGTCACACTCTTCCACGATGGCTGAACTAATTTACACTCCCATCAACAGTGTATAAGTGTTCTTTCTTCTCCACAACCTCACCAGTATCTGTTATTTTTTCATAGTAGCCATTCTGACTGGTGTGAGATGGTATCTCATTGTGGTTTTGACTTGCATTTTTCTAATGATCAGTGATGTTGAGCTTTTATTCACATGCATGTTGTCCATGTGTCTGCCTTCCTTTGAGAAGTGTCTGTTCATCTCCTTTGCCCACTTTTTAATGGGGTGGTGTTTTTTTCTTGTAAATTTGTTGAAGTTCCTTATAAATTAGACTTTTGTTGGAAGCATAGTTTGCAAAAATTTTTCTCTCACTCTGTAGGTTGTCTGTTGATAGTTACTTTGCTGTGCAGAAGCTCTTTATTTTAATTGGATCCCATTTGTCAATTTTTGCTTTAGTTGCAATTGCTTTTGGTGTCGTCATCATGAAATCTTTGCCCAGGCTATGTCCTGAATAGTATTGCCTAGGTTGTCTTCCAGAATTTTTATATGTTTGGGTTTTACATTTAAGTTTTTAATCCATCTTGAGTTAAATTTTGTATATGGTGTAAGGAAGGGGTCCAGTTTCAATCTTCTGCATATGGCCAGACAGTTATCCCAGCACCATTTAATGAAAAGGGAATCCTTTCCCCATTGCTTTTTTTAAACATCTTCAAAAGTGTTAGTTTGACTTCCTCTCTCCCTATTTGAATACTCTTTATTTCTTTCTCTTGCCTGACTACCCTGGCCAAAACTTCCAATACTATGTTGAATATGAGTGGTGAGAGCAGGCGTCCTTGTGCCAGTTTTCAAGGGGAATGCTTCCAGCTTTTGCCCATTCAGTACGATGTTGGCTGTGGGTTTGCCACACATGGCTCTTATTATTTTGACGTATGTTCCTTCAATACCTAGTTTATTGTGAGTTTTTAACACGAAGGGATGTTGAATTTTGTCACAAGCCTTTTCTGCATCTATTGAGATAATCATGTGTGTTTTCTCTTTAGTTCTGTTTATGTGATGAATCACATTTACTGATTTGTGTATGTTGAACCAAGCTTGCTTGCATCCCAGGGATGAAGCCTACTTGATTGTGGTGGATAAGCTTTTTGATGTGTTGCTGGATTCAGTTTGCCAGTATTTTATTGAGGATTTTTGCATCAATGTTATCAAGTAAATTGGCCTGAAGTTTTCTTTCTTTTATTGTGTCTCTGCAGGGTTTTGGTATCAAGATGATGCTGGTCTCATAGAATGAGTTAGGGAAGAGTCCCCTTTTTTCAATTTTTTGGAATAGTTTCAGTAGGAATGGTACCAGCTCTTCTTTGTACATCGGGTAGAATTCAGCTGTGAATCCATCTGGTCCTGGACTTTTTTTGATTGGTAGGCTATTTATTACTGCCTCAATTTCAGAACTCATTATTGGTCTGTTTAGGGATTCTATTTCTTCCTGGTTCAGTCTTGGGAGGGTGTCTATGTCCAGGAATTTATCCCTTTCTTCTAGATTTTCTAGTTTATGTTCATAGAGGTATTTGTAATATTTTCTGATGGTTGTTTGTATTTCTGTGGCTTGATTTTTCTCTTGGTTCTCTAGTTCTTTTAGTTGTGATGTTAGGTTGTTAACTTGAGATCTTTCTAACTTTTTGATGTGGGCATTTAGTGCTATAAATTTCTCTCTTAACACTGCCTTAGCTGTGTGCCAGAGATTCTGGTACGATGTATCTTTGTTCTCATTAGTTTCAAAGAACTTCTTGATTTCTGCCTTAATTTTATTATTTACCCAAAAGTCATTCAGGAGCAGCTTATTCAGTTTCCATGTAATTGTACGGTTTTCAGTGAATTCCTTAGTCTTTAGTTTTAATTTGACTGCACTGTGGTCCCAGAGACTGTTTTATATGGTTTCAGTTTTCTGCATTTGCTGAGGAGTGTTTTACTTCTGATTATACGATCAATTTTAGAGTAAATGCCATGTGGCAATGAGAAGAACGTATATTCTATTGTTTTTGGGTGGAGAGTTCTGTAGCTATCTATCAGATCCATTTGGTCCAGAGCTGAGCTTACATCCTGAATATCTTTGTTAATTTTCTGTCTCGATGATCTGTCTAATATTGCCAGTGGGCTGTTAAAGTATCCCACTACTATTGTGTGGGAGTCTAAGTCTTTTTGAAAGATCCATGAATGATTTTAATATGATCTAATGTTTACAACTGGCCAGTATGTAGGTATAACCATGGAAAGGACCATGCACAATACAAGGCACATTTGAAAAATGTCCTCTTCTTTCCAGAAAAGCTCAGCCATCCATACCACTAATAACTTGTCACACCTTACTCCACAAGTATGCAAAAGATATTGCTGATTTTCAGTAGATTTGATCATTGACACATTCTTCCTAAATTTTCTACTTTCAAGGCTGCTCATGGAGGGAGGCTCTTTCCTTATGTAAGATTATTTTTCTGAGCCAACTAAAACTGCCAGCTAACGTCACCACAGGTAAATGTATGCTTTCACAGTTTAGCATGTGCATGAGTTTGTGTCTTGGTCTGAGTTCCTGACTTTTAAAAGGAAATTATGATATATCATTATAAAGACATAAGGCTTGAAGTTTCCAATTTAGAGATATAATTCATATCCTTCCTTCCTGCCTTCCTTCCTTCCATTAAATTGTATATGTCTATACTTTTTCCAGCTCTCTGCATGTTTTGGGGATAGACTACTTCTGTTCTTGAGATTCACAAATAAATAATCAAATATAGAAAAAAGATTGGAGTATCTAAAATGTTAGGAAGAAGTGAATGGCTCCGCAAGATGTCTGGGCTCTAAGGAAAGAGAGATGATGCAAGGTGTAAGTTGGAAAAATGAGACAGGTTTTAAAGTAGCTAAGTAGGGATTCAAAGTTAAAACTTCTCGAGTAAAACAAGAATAAGAAAGAGCATAAAATCATCAGGAGACTTCAGTATATTCTTAGTAAAGTATTTGTAAAATAATCATAAAAATATAGCACTAAAGCAATAAAATTATACATAAATGATAACATTGACCTATTTACTTAAAACGTGTGATAATACTGTTCAGAAAGCTCTGAAAACTCATTGAAATTCACCTTTACAAGACATGTCTATTAAAACGATATTGGCAGTTCCTGCTGTGTATGTTACTCAGCTTCTTAGAAGTTGAAACTTTACATTTCAATCAAGGTTCATCTTCAAATGAGTAGAAATTTCTAGGGAACAGGCAGAACTTAAAACTCTCACAGACCTTTTTTTGTCATATTTAGTCTGTAAACAGACACAATTGGCTGCCTTCTTTCTATGTTTCTTTTATATGTCAATTGTCCTCCAGGTCCTGATGCATTTATTAACCAAAATATCATGTATGAGTTTGAAAACAGGATGCGTTTGACTCATAACTCTCCTCAGTTGCAACACATGAAAAGGGGCATTTTTTCGAAAATGAAAAATCTGAGGCAAAGTAAGGAAAATCTAGACCCAATCCTTCCTGCTGTAAGTTGCCATGAGTGACAACCCATCATATATAAGACTTTTTGGGGCTATAGGTTACTTTTCTCCCAAAGCAAAAATAACATTAGGCATAATATTAAATTGTCTTTTCAAAGACTTATGGGGCATGCATAAAAATTATTTCTGAAGCCAACATGCTTTTCCTTAATTAGGTAAAATCTCTAGATTCTTATTTAATTAAAAGTCCGGTAAAAAATAGATATAGGCCGGGCATGGTGGCTCACGCCTGTAATCCCAGCACTTTGGGAGGCCGAGGTGGGCAGATCACGAGTTCAGGAGATCGAGACCATCCTGGCTAACACAGTGAAACCCCGTCTCTACTGAAAATACAAAAAAAAATTAGCTGGGCATGGTGGCGGGCACCTGTAGTCCCAGCTACTCGGGAGGCTGAGGCAGGAGAATGGCGTGAACCAATGAGGTGGAGTTTGCAGTGAGCCGAGATCAGGCCACTGCACTCCAGCCTGGGCGACACAGTGAGACTCTGTCTCAGAAAAAAAAAATAGATATATTTTCAATAGACAACTATTTTTAAAGGCATTATAGAACAAGAAATTTTTTATCTTTTGGCATAACAGCCAATAATAAGGAACTACATTCCTAGCTAAATATTATTTAGCGATGGACATTTAATTGTAAAAACAGGTAGAATTACTCAATATGAGTATTTTTATATTATTTTGTGGGAAATTATATAAAGCATTAAGATACTATTAAAATTCTCTTTTTTTAAAAAAAATAGCCTCAAACAATACACAAAGCTAATTCTATTTAATAGTATGAATAGGATTCTGGTAATTATCACTTGGTTTGGGTTCTTATTATTGTTCCTATTAAATAACTTCAGACACATAATAGAGCCAAGGGTCAGAATTAGTTCAGAAAGTGGAGAATCTTTGCCTATACATCGCTACTGGATTAATATTCAAAGAACATGATTTTATTGGGTAAATCAAATACTACTCTTCTTCAAGACATCCAATGGTTTCCCCAATCTGTATGTAATATAAAACATAAAATTTCCTTATGCTTGCTTTCCAGAATCAACATGATTGTACTGACAACTTGCTGTTTGTTTTTGCTAAAATACAAACAAAAAAAGTTAATTTCTTGTTCACACTGTATGTCCATCACAGGTTGTCAGGGTGCTATGCTCTTCTTAGTCATTCGGGGAATTGGGTGGAGTGAGAGAAAAAAAAAAACCTGCCAACCCAGAATCTTATATCCAGTGAAAATATCCTTTAGAAACTTCTACAATCACCAAGGCAGAGAGAAAGTCAGTAGGTAGGTTTCTCTGGATTATCCCCAATCTTCCTAATGACAGCCTAGTGTACTAACTGAAGGAAAAGCCTAGGTAAGTATAAGCCACACCCCACACCCATGACTGTGGCCCTCAAGGAGCTGTACACACTCTTGCTAGCCCATACTTAACCACCCCAGCAATTCATCAGACTTTCTAGTTTAATGTTCCTCATATGGTTTCATGGCATCTGGAGGCTTCAGCCCCAGGTAAGCAAATGCTTCAGTTTATGACTTCCTGCAGGTACCTGCCTCTTTAGGTTTGCGATGAAAGTTCGCCCTGCAAATTCAGTTCTCTTATGTGTATAAGAACATCAATATCCATTGATAATTAGTTGTCAAGCTTTTCCTTGTTGTAAGGACAACAGTGATAAGTTCACAACTTCTTTATATATCTGAGCTATAGCTGTAAGTCCTCTCTGTATTGCTCACATATTTTTAAATTCCAGAACCATTATACATTTATTATAAAATTCTATTTTATATACATTTATTATATATATAATATATAAATGTATATTATATATATTTATTATTAAAAATACAGTTATATATTAAAAGTTCCCCTTCTTGGCCAGGCCCTTGAAATTCTCCTACGTAATGGTAAAAATAATCATCAATATGGTATAAATCCATCCAGACTGGTATTAGTCCCCATAGTGTTAGAGGGTTCCAAGACTCAGTCATCAGACCTCTTCTCTTCCCCATCTACCCTCAATCCCTTAATGACCTCATCCAGTCTCACAGCTTTAAATAATTTTTATTTACGCTGATAGCTCTCAAATTTGTATCTTTAGTCTAGACTTCTTTCTCAAATTTAGACTCATATATCCAACTGACAACTCAAATCTTCACTTGGGGGTATAATAGCAATCTCACACTTAAGTTTTTCCTCCAAATCTGTGCCACCTGCAGAACCACAATTTCAACTGATGGAAATTCCATCTTTCCACTTATGCCAAAAGCCTTGATATTATCCTTGACATTCCTTTTTCACCTTTCAACCTTTTTCCCCATTCAATATGTCAGTAAACTACACTGTTTCTACTTTCAAAATAAATCTACAATCTGACCAGTTCTCCCCATTTTGACTGCTAACACTTGGATCTGAGTGAGTCTCCATCATCTTTTGCCTGGATTGGCGCAACAGCCTCCTAACAGGCCTCCCTGCTTCTATGCACGATTCCCCTCTTCCTTCCAAACTTGGGCATTTCTCAACACACCAATCAGAGTGATCCATTTAAATGTACATTAGACTAAGTCACTCTTCTGCTCAAACTTCCACAATGACTATTTCACTCCACGTGGAAGCCAAATCATAACAAGTGACCTACACAACTCTATACC
This sequence comes from Homo sapiens, assembly GCF_000001405.40. Taxonomy (NCBI): domain Eukaryota; kingdom Metazoa; phylum Chordata; class Mammalia; order Primates; family Hominidae; genus Homo; species Homo sapiens. The sequence goes on along the minus strand of NC_000023.11, from coordinate 28,710,916 downwards.
TGTCGTTCAATATGATGGCCACTAGCCACTTGAGGCTATTGAGAATTTGAAATGTAGCTAGTCCAAATTTAGATGTGTGGTACATGGGAAATATTCCGCAGGTTTCAATGTCTTAGTACGAAAAGTATAAAATATCACATTAATACTTTTTTATTGATTACATGTTAAAATGATGATATTTTGAATATATTACCTTAAAATATACTATCAAAATTAATTTCACCTGGTATTCCATTTTTTCAAAGTAGCTACTAAAAAATTAAAATTATATATGAGGTTCACATAATATTTGTTTTGGACAGTCCTAACCTATATAATCCAGACCCCACAATAACTCTACAACCTCCTCTCATCTACTCTTCCCCTCACTTCTCCCACACCAGCCATACCATTTTTCTTGGTGTTCTTTGAACACCAGACATATTCCCAATTTAAGGCCTATGTTTGACCCACTGCTGTTCCTCTTGATGTTTTTCAGGCCTTTGCTAAAATCTCACCTACTCAATGAGTCTTACCCTGACTGCCCCATTTAAGACTATCTCCCACCCCACCCCCAATCAGCACCCCCAATCCTATTTACCTGATCTCCTTTTCTTTTTATTTTTTCATGCACTGATATACTTCTGTTATATAATTTACTTATTTATTCTGCTTATTGTTTCTTGTCTATCTCCCCTCAAGAATGTAAGCTCCAAGAAGTCAGAGATTTGTTTAGTATGATCTGTTTGCATGTTTGGTCCACTACAGTATCCCATATACTGGAACCAGTGCCCAGCCCATAGTGAGGCTTCCATAAGTGTTTCTTGACTTGATTAATTTTTAAAATAGAATCATATTATACATATTGTTCATCAAATCACTTTGTTCCACTGTACAATAAATTACAAGCATCTCTCGCTGTCTATAAAAATAGATGAGCCTCCATCTTTTTAAATACTTCAGAGTACACTAAAATACAATCCAACAGTTCTCCTTTTGAAGGTCATCTATGTCATTTTTTTCACTTTTAAAACAATACAGTATAAGTACGTCTGTGGAATGCATTCCTAGTTTGGGAAAGGCTGAATAAGAAGCCATGTACTTTTTAAATTTTAAGGTGTTGCAAAATTGCTTGCCTAAAAACCTGTACCAATCTACATTCCCACCTACCATCAACTAACCTCCTACATAAAATCGCCTAGGTTTGAATTGCTACTCATTCTTCCACCCACATATACACGCATATTGTGCCATTTTAATTTCCACCTTCAAGCTGCTGCTTGAAGCATTATCATTTTGTGCCACCTCCCCACAAACACATCCCCAGATCCACACACTCCCACGACCCCACCCCATTCTCTTTTCATTCATCTATAGCACACCCTTCATTCAAGGCTGAACATTTTTTTTTCCTGTTCTGATAAAACTGGCAATTCTCTTCTTTCAATACAGATTCATGTTTTGGGCACACAAACTCTGAAGTCAGATTACCTGGGTTTAAATTCCTGCTCCACTATTAAATTCAGTGACCTTGTGAAAGTTAACTAAGCTTTCTATGCCCCACCCCCGGCATTTTCCTCATTTGTAAAATAGTAATAAACAGTACATTCCACTGATTTGTAATGATGATTGACTGAATTATATAATATGTGGAACATTTGGGGCTGTCTATTTTCTATATGTGTATCCTAAATGCCCTCATTTATAACACACTTGGCATTGAGATATCATCAATTACCCTCACAGACTTTTTTTAATCTTCTCAGATAATTGCAAATTCCTCGAGGATCGAGTTTATGCATTATAATTACATGCCTGACAACAGCTAACACTGTTTACTGTACATAGAAGGCAATCAAACTGTTGACTGACTGACTTACACTGTCTTTATTTTTTAGTCTTGCCTTAAGGACTTTTTTTGCACAAATGTATGGGGGTACATGTAAAATTTTGTTACATGTATCTACGTATAGTGATTAAGTTAGGGTATTTAGTGTGTCCATCACCCAAGTAGTATATATTTTTGTGACGTATATTCACCCTACTCTGCTATCAAACACTGTATTTATTCCATTTTACTGTATATTTGTACCCTTTAACCCACTTCTCTTCATCCTCTCCCTCAAGTCACCCTTCCCAGTGTCTCTTACCTATCTTTCCATTCTCTACCTCCATGTGATCAAGTTTTTTAACTCCCACATGTAAGTGAAACCATGAGATATTTGTCTTTTTATGCCTGTCTTCTTTCACTTAATGACTTCCAGTTCCATCCATGTTGCTGCAAATGACATTATTTCATTCTTTTTTATACCTGAACAATATAGTATTCCCTTATGTGTATATATACCACATTTTCTTTATCCATTCATTTGTTCATGAACACTTATGTGGATTCCATGTGAATAGTGCTGCAATAAACATGCGAGTACAGGTATCCCTTTGATATATTGATTTACTTTCCTTTGGGTGGATATTAAGCAGCTGGATCAAATGGTAATCCTATTTTTAGTTTTCTGAGACATCTCCACAACTGTTTTCCATAGTGGCTGTACTACTATACATTCATACCAACAGTATATAAGAGTTCCAAGGACATGTTAAAGGCATTGCCCTAAGGACATCAGCAAAGCCTTTCCTATGGAAAGGCATGTCCTGTAACTAAACATGGAAATCTAGGAATTCTGAGATTTTTCTCAGCAACAAAATCAACACAATGAAAAATTATTCACTGCTAGAGTACCTCTCCCATTCTCTTTCCTGTAATTACCTTTGCACTTGTTTATAAATGCCCACAACTCCAGGGCTACTTGCCTTAATTCCTCAATGTTGCCAAATGTTTCCATTACTGTTGAAACTGGTAGGGGCCTTGCAAGCTCCCTGGGTCAATGGGCTCTCTGAACACTACTTGTTATCTTTAAAATTCCAGCTCCATTTCAAAGATTCACTGAGACATTAGGCTAAACCTTGATGCTTTGGAAAAAAAAGACACTCTGCCAACCGCACTAACACATTTATCCACACGCATCTCATTAAAGTCAATGAAAAATGTGCTACAAAATCTCTATTCATGGCACCACATTCTCCCCTCACTATGTGCATGTCATTCCTATTTATACTGAGTCAATGGAGAGGAGGAAAGACCTTTAAATATTTCTCTTTTAGTCATCAGCTCAGATTAGTAGTTTTATAAAAAGCCTTCTCTGTGACTTTGGACTAAACATGAAGCAATATATTGTAGTTAACATCATTCGGGTCAAGCTCATTCACAGCAATGTCACCATTTCTCCTTGGCAGCATTGCCACCAAAGTAGATTTTCAGGCATTTGCCCTCTGAAACTTTAATAGATGAAAAAAGAGTAGTCCGTGGTATAATATATTCTATATATTTTAGGCGACCCTATAAAAAGTTCTAAGAGCTCCTTTAAAGTGTAAGAGATGTTTCTGGAGTACTAACTTATGTGGCAATCATATGGTTGATGTGCAGACTTATTAGGTAACTACATGATATGTACTATTTGCACAAGTATGTTAGCACCATGAGCAATTAGAGCTTAATCCTGCTATGGAGCTCTGGGAGAAAATATAGAACACATCTCAGAGGTATCCCAAATGAGGGACAAAGAAACTGAACTATTTATTTACCATTTCTCATCCATCATTGCTTGAGGGCTTCTCCCAGGAATATAAATGCCTCAGCATGGAGGGCTTACCCCTTGCGTGGGCCAAGTATGTTGTAATTACCAGGAACAAAACCCCTCAGGCAGAGATTCACAGGCGTTCGAAGTAAACAGCCTTTGCTTTACACTGCCAAAGGCATGTGGATGGGCACCAAGAGCATCTGCCACACTATATATTCATGTAGTTAGTTAACAAATGCCCATAATCCCCCACTGGACTTGACAGGTTCTGTTTGCTAACTAATGTATACATTGAGGCTAACGTAGTGCCTTGTACAAACATAACAATAATATTTTTTAGATGAGCGAATTATTTATGAAGACAGTCATTTCTTTTCACTTTTACTTGTGTTATCAATCCTGATTCACATTTGTGCATCTGGCCCCCAAAAACGTACACCATATTTGCAAATCTGGTACATAATTTAAAACACTTAACAGATACTTCATGCCCATTTGGGTGGCTATTATCAAAGTACAGTCATGTGTCACTTAATGGCACATGTTGCTTACTGATGGGGATAGGTTCTAAGAAACGTGTCCTAATGGCTGGGTACAGTGGTTCACGCCTGTAATCCCAGCACTTTCAGAGGCCAAGGTGGGTGGATCACCTGAGGTCAGGAGTCCGAGACCAGCCTGGCCAACATGGCAAAACCCCATCTCTACTAAAAATACAAAAAATTAGCTGGGCATGGTGGCGTGTGCCTGTAATCCCAGTTACTTGGGAGGCTGAGGCAGGAGAATCACTTGAACCCGCGAAGCAGAGGTTGCAGTGAGCCGAGATCACACCACTGCACCCCAGTCTGGGTGACAGAGTGAGACTGTCTCAAAAAAAAAAAAGAAAAGAAAGAAAGAAAGGAAGAAAAAGAAAAAAGAAATGTATGTCCTTAGACAATTTCATTGTGTGAACAGTATTGAATGTACTTATGCAAACCTAGATGATACAGCCTATTACATACTTAGGCTATACGGTATGGCCTATTGCTCCTATGCTACAAACCTGCATAGCAAATTACTGTACTGAATACTGTAGGCAATTGCAACACAATGGTAGGTATTTATGTATCTAAACATAGAAAAGGTACAGTAAAAATACAGCATTATAATCTTATGGGACCACCATCCTACATGCGGTTCGTCATTGACTGAAACATCCTTATGTGGCTCTTGACTGTAATAGAAAATAACAAGTGTCATCAAGGACATGGAGCAATTGGAACCCTGTGCCTTGCTGGTAGCAATATAAAATGATGCAGCCACTGAGAAAAACAGTATGGCACTTTACAGGTTCAAATACATCAAAAACGTTTGACCACAGCACCTGGGCTTTTCAGAATCTTTTGCAGCCTACACAGCAAGCCACATCTCAACTCTTTCATCACTTCATTTATTAATTTATCACAATTTTACTAGTTGTAGCTACTGGATAATTCTGATATACAGCATGCCATATACGCATAGAGTGGTCCATGTTGGGCCTTTTCTTTGGAATTCATGTGCCTACAGTCATCAGTGATAAATACCGGTTTCTAGAAAGACATCCTTGAGCAGAATTTCATGAGCAATTATATCCACCCTCTGAGATGCATTGGGATGTTTGTATTGTTGTTTACATGTTGGCCACTCCACTGGAATATGAAATCCTTGAGTATGAGGAATGTACACTATATTTATATTACAACGTCTATTATGGTGCCTAATTCACATGTGCACGTTGCTAGTTTCTTTACCTATTTTGTATCTAATTATGTATTTTAGGAATGGAAAAAGAATTCCTCTTTTCAAAATATGAATAATTTGTTTTTACAGAAAAGCCTATTTAAAAGACACCGGTAGGTCTGATGGAAAGTCTTGCAGACATTTTGAAGGGGATTTATGAACAATTTTAAATGTTTTTAAGGTTGACTACACTGTTTTTTCTCTTTTTTTATGGTTAGAATTTCCACTCAGTACTTAATTTCCCAATCCCTGATTCACATTTGTCCCAGGCACTGTGGTCAGATTTGTCAAATATAATTAGGGTAATTCTATTAGATTACAAACAATGGGACTATCTGCTAGTCTCACTGCCTCTGTTGCCAAAATATATCCTGAATTTGTCAATTTCTCTTTAATTACAATGTCACCATCTTAGAACAATCCAAAAGAATTGTAACAACGTCCAACCACACATCTCACTATACCCACTATGACTTGCTACAAAACATTTTCCAAAAGCAGTCAAAGTGGCAAACTAAAATGGCAAATCAAACCATATCACACATCCTACTTACAACCTTCCAATGGATTCCTATTATATTTAGAACAAAATGCAAGTTCACTGCCAATGCCCAATATGATCTGTCCTATGACTACTTCTCCATCCCAGTATTGTCTCATTCTTACTCTTGCCTGTCATGCTCCAGTCACAGTTTTTTTTTTTTTTTTTTGTGTGTGTGTGTGTGTGTGTGTGTGTGTGTGTGTGAACTCAAACCTGCCAACTTGCCGCTGCCAGAGAGACTTTGTATTTCTTCCCTATATCTTTCCTTGTCTGATGCTTTCTTATTCAGGTCTGGGCTCAAATATGATCTCCCCAGAAAAACCTTGCCTATCTAGCCACTCTCCATTACATCACCATAATTGATGTTAATCTCCTTGTAATGTTTATTGTTAGGGCTTATCAATTGCTTTTACCTTATGATCTACTTACCCGCTTGAATATAAGTTTCATGAGAGAAGTGACCTTTATGTTGGAATTGCTTCTGGATCTCCAAAATCTACTATAGTTTTCTGATACATGAAGAAACTGTGGGTGTGTGTGCATGCGTGTGTGTGTGTGTGTGTGTGTGTGTGTGTGTGTTTGTGTGTTTTAAATGAATTAATGAATAAAAATATATGCAGATGTGGAAGTAATACTATTCTGAGGGAACGTGATGAAATTGGGAATAGAAAGAGGGAAAAGAAAAGAAAAGAAACTATGATTCCCTAAGGTTGGAGAAAAATGAAAAAAAAGGGAGATTATAATTAGATATATGTAATTCCCTGATGGAAAACAAATGTACAAGTGATATTAGTTGCCATAGTTTAATAGACTGGAGAAGGCTTAGAGCTATCTCAAGGTATAAATAAATAAGGGTTAAAACATGCAAGAATCTATATGTATGGAATATTTGATACTAGGATACTTTTCATCTGAGTGTTGCCTATTATTTCATGCAAAGAATTGATCATAATAATTGGTTTTGGATATCCAATTATATACTCCATTTCCCCACTTTTGCTATTAGGTAAGGCTTCACAGCCTCTACCACTCATAGCCTAAGGTCTTTGAAGCATGTGGAAACTCAAATGAACAGAAAAGAGAGCAAGCTAGGTAGGAAATGTGGGAGGCAGGATAGGAGGTCCTGGAAAAATAAAAATTAGAGAAAGACTAGTGGTAATGACATGTATTCATGTAGTAGACAAAAGATAGTATTCCAGAAGCACCCAGTCTTTTCTTTTGAAAAGATCAGCAAAGTGCTTTGCTTTAGAGTAGACATGTAAGGCGATTTTGATGTTTGCTCTCACTAATGGGAGAACTGTGATTTGCTAATAACAGAAAAAAGAGTGGTACAGAGGTGTTGCAATTGTTTAGCAATGATTGTGAGATTTGCTAGTAGACTGTGACCAACTTTGGGGTGATTATCACTCTGATCTCTTAAAAATCAGATATTCTTTAGGGGGTTGGGGACTTGAGAAAATAACTGCACATCCCCTACAAAAGCCTGTTCCATTAATTTTCTGTCCCAGAATCTGTAATTATACAATGGAACCTATGCTTTTTCAAGAGAGGTTAAGAATGATACTACAAGAACTGCACAGATAAAATCTTCTCTGAAATTATCATCTTCACTGCCATCATCATCATCATCAATAATCATCTATATCATCAGAATGACTGACATTTATTGAATAGTTTACTAAATGTGAGGCAGTGGATTAACCATTTTCACATGGATTCGCTCCAGAAATATTCACATCAACTTAATGATGTAGGCAATATCATTAAGCCTACTGAGGAAACTGGCCTTAAAATCTGCCAAGTAACTTGCCCAGGGCCACACAGGTAGAAAGTAAGACTTCCTAGCTTGCTTTCATAAGAACTCTATCTTCTTAACTTCCTGAAAGCTAACCACCAAAACTGAAACTAGTTGTGTACAAGTATCCAAAGTTTAGCTTGTCTGATGCAAGGGCAAGAGAATTGGGCATAAGGAAGAGACTCACAACTGATCAATGTCAATCTGCATTCTTGGACAGTCTTATTATGATAAGAACTGAGAAGATTATTCAGATACTTCAAATAATCAGCTTTGAGCCTCCACCATTAGGTAGAATAGTTTAGGTCTCAATTCCATTTTGAATGTTTGAAGCTACAGTCTTCATTTCAAGTAAAAAAAAAACACAACATGGAAGTAAAACAGTGGAAACAATAAATACAGGAAAAACATGTTAAACAATTATGTGAAATGTCACTAAATGGGTGAATGGTGTGTCTACGATCATCTTATTTTCATCAATAATACAAGTGGGAAAATATTTTTTTAAAGACTTGCTGAAATCCAACATATTTCAGCATCAAGTCAAAAGCATTCTGACTTTATTTTACATTAACAGTGACTTAGGCAACAGTTCTCTAAAAACTACACGATGAGATTATGCATTTGAAATGTTTCTTTTGTTAACACTAGCATGGAAATGATTACTTGAAAAGGTCAATGGTTTCTTGATGTATTGGAGTTTCTTCCTTTTGAAAACCTGTCAGTTGTATTGAAAGTATTCTTAAAGTTGAAAGTGCCAATTATAGTTCTTCCAATCTGTGTAATTGTGCCATCATAACCTTGAAAAACACCTTTGTAATAAATGTTTTAAGTATTTTTCAATTGTTTTCATTTTTACAATTGTATTTAAATTTCTACTAATATTATATACAATTTATGAATACAGTCTTTGCTTAAGCTGAGTTAATAACTAAATATTTGAAGATCCCATTGACCCTGAATCATAGCATTTTGTAGCATTAAAAACACAACATAACTAACAAAAAATGTTGAGGTCATGGATTCTAAACCAGTTACATAGAAGGAATGTCTAAAGGTCAACTTTTTACGTGACTTAGCAAGTATCACAAAACAAGTTACTATAGTAAAAGGAAATCTAGCACCACAGCCTCCAAACTCTCAATACAAGACTTTAGTCCATGAGCATCATTTCACTGTCAGATACGAGAGCCTGGTAAAACTCCTATAATATAGGCAGAAGTAGTATAGAATGGTTATTTGAAAATAAGTATGTCTTGCTTTATTTTATTAACCTAAAGGTATTTGATGTATAATACATGTTGTAAATTATGCCTTCATTTTAGTAAATCATTAGATTTTCTTTAATTATCTTCCCTTTCTAACCTCATTTAAATTACCCTCCTACGTTTTCTGCTGTATAACTTTTCTGTAGAAAAGTAACAAGATCACTAGACTTTGACACATGGTTCTGATCTTAAAAGCCACAGATAAAGCCGTAAGGAGGAAGTTTTTGGGTGCTGAATCTCTTCCTACATGGGCTGTAAGCAGGATGGCCAAGAGTAATAATTTCTAACTCCTGCATAAAGGATTTTTGTCTTTAGATTTACACATTTTATTTCTAAAATGGAAATCAGAGAATCAGACTCAATAAAATTTAGGTGTATAACAACTTTCTTCTGCAGTCAAGACACTTAACATATGTTGCTTTATGGAGTTTGCAAAACAGCTTTGCAGTATTCTTGTAATTTCTTACATTTTACAAAGAGTAAAATTAATCTCTCATCAGTATCATGGCAGGAAAATAACTGCCCCCTGTGGCATAACAATGCAATAACAATAGCTTCCTTACACATATATTTTACCCATTTATTCAGTTATTCTTACCTCAAAAAATGAGTTAGCAAACATATACCATGTTCCATGGATGTCACTTGAATAACTGGTCCAATTATTGGAAATAAGGTCCAAATGGGGCAAAATCACTTCACCTTTAAACTAACCGTACCCAGTTTAGAGCATAACTTAAGAGTAGAGGTTGAACGCTTTTACATTGTTGGTGGGAGTGTAAATTAGTTCAACCATTGTGGAAGACAATGTGGAGATTCCTCAAGGATCCAGAACCAGAAATACCATTTGACCCAGCAATCCTACTACTGGGTATATACCCAAAGGATTATAAAACATTCTACTATAAAGACACATGCACGCATATGTTTATTTCAGCACCACTCACAATAGCAAAGACTTGGAACCAACCCTAATGCCCATCAATGATAGACTGGATAAAGAAAATGTGGCACATATACACCATGGAAAACTATGTAGCCATAAAAAAGAATGAGTTCATGTCCTTTGCAGGGACATGGATGAAGCTGGAAACCATCATTCTTAGCAAACTAACACAGGAACAGAAAATCAAACACCGCATGTTCTCACTCGTAAGTGGGAACTGAACAATGAGAACATGTGGATACAGGGAGGGGAACATCACACACTGGGGCCTGTCGGAGGGTGGGAGGCAAAGGGGAAGAAGAGCATCAGGACAAATAACTAATGCATGCGGGGCTTAAAACCTAGATGACAGGTTGATAGGTGCAGCAAACCACCATGGCACATGTATACCTATGTAACAAACCTGCACGTTTTGCACATGTATCCCAGAACTTAAAGTAAAATTAAAAAAAAAAAAAGAGTAGAGGTTCCAGAGACAGACTGAGGTTAAAACCCTCAGCTGCGTAATCTTGAGCAAGTTACTTAATTTCTTTAGGCTACAGTTTCCCTCATCTATAAAATAAAGATAATGATAGTATCTGCTTCATAAGAATGATGAGTGGATGAAATGAGTAGGACATCCAAAATACCTAGCTATTATATTGGCAATTATCATTATTATATTACTTTAAGAGGATGTTCATTGTATATAATCTTTAATCACCTCTCTGTAAATTAAGTAGCTACTTCTTCCCCATCTCAGCTTATAGAACATCATACTCTTAACAGAAAGTAAAGGGCATCCCTGTAGAATCAAACTGCCTTTCAAAAAAAAGTCCTCCCATACTCTTCATTTGATAATGAATTTCTTCTACGTATGTTCCCTTAAATAATACTTTTAACTTTTCAAAATGGTTGAGCTTAGTGATTAATTTGCTATTATTAATTTTCTTTTCATTAATGAAACTGAAAAATCATGTCTCTGTGGGGTATTATAGCCTTCTATGTCAGGTTTTGTAAGACCTAAGACAATAATCTTTCCATTGGCATATCTGTCTTAGATCCTCAAACTGAGTGACAGAGGGTGTGTGCAGTAAAGGTATAATGATCATGACATAGTTTTAGCAACCTTTTCTTAAAATCATTTTAAGGTTCTGACTCTCAGTCCAGCAGTGAAGGCCTTTCGTTGTTTCTAAGTATTCATCTGCTACTCTGTTCACCATTTACATATGGTTCATCAACAGTTGATGGCAACTTTACCATCATTGCATATGGTCCATTAACAGTAGACAGCTGTCAGTAACACAAGACTACTCAAGCCCTTCTCCAACGATGAGGCTTCAACAAACAGAGGAGAGAGAGAGTCTGAAGCAGCCACCTGCTGAGACCATCTTAATCTGGCACTAATTAACTTCATTGGCTGGAGTCCTCTGCTACAGGAGAGACGATCCAGTTCAAAGAAAACGTCTGGCTGAAGGGTCTGCCTGAGTCAATCCAGCTACGCTATTAAGAAATATCACCCATATCCATATGTATCCATTTATCCATTTCAAAATATGTTTTGCCTGTGCATATATGCTCTTATTGTGGAAACAACTTGAAACAATGCCTTATTTTGATGAAACCTAGAATATCTAACACCCAAATTTAAAACGGCAGCAGACACACCTATTGAACACTTTCTTTGTACATAGCAGTCTGCTGAATGTGTTCAAGGTGTATTTTACACAACCAGAAAAACAGAAAGCATACTCTTTTAAAGTATTAAATAGAATACAGGGAATACTATCAAGTTAGGTTTCAGTTATCTCTGAGGTAGATAATTTCGAATGAAACCCAAATAGAAATTCATTCTCTGGCTCAAAGGATCACATGATCTAATATAAACCATCTGTTGCATGTGCATTTATGAATAGTGACTTAAGATGAAAGAATGATTCAATGGGTTGTGCTAAAGAGACACCAGACAATAAAAATGGGAGTAAAACAGTAATTACCTGAAATAATTTCATTAATGCTTTAAAACTGGTAAACTCACCGAATAAAAGAGATTGTGAGGACAGAATTTGTATTCTGACATTCCCATGAACTGTAATTTCTGTGCTTGAACTTCTTTCTGTGTAGTATTCTCTAGCTTTGCATGCCAGGCAAGCTCTTCCTTTATCTACTTGGCTATTTCAGTTTGTTTCCTTAATTCAAACATATAAGATGACCACGAATGGTCACTTATAAAAACTTCAACTTATTTTTGTATGTTGTTTCAATGGCTTTGCATGACAAAGTTCTTCCTTCATTTCAATGGCTAACTCGATTTCAAATATATGACTATGCTAGACATAAATTACAAAGAATATGTACCTGTAAAGGATTTTACACTTAACTTGTTATATACATTAAGACAGGTAGCCTATTTTTTTAAATTGTCTTCCAAAAAGAAGAAAGTTTTCACAGATTTTTATATAAAACAAAAGCACTAAAATGAATCATTGTGATTATACTGATTATTTTAATTAAAGTCGATATTATTGAGGTGATTTGAACCAGAATAATCTAACAAATTACTACTAAATTAAGAATGGCAATTTTAAAATTTGGTTAATCTACACATAATGTATATATTGTGATTAAATCCTGAATATCTCTTCAGGGGTCAAGGTGAGAGCTCAGGGAAGGTGAATGCTTAATTACCTGCAAAATGTCATGGTGCCAGTTTTCTCAAGTAATTTGTTATCTGTTTTCAGCCATGGAGTGATTCACCTCTTTCATTAAAGTGAGTTTTCAAACCCCTGTCCCATCACCATAATTCAGAGAAGGAAGATGACATAGAGCTTGATCACCAAATCACTTTCACCTTTATTTCAGATTGGCTGAGTTCAGTCTATCCAATTTACATATTCATATTCATTTATTTGTATTCATTCATTCTCTCTCAGCTATGAGCTTTTGCTTGTTTTGGCAGAAGATAACTTTAAATAGCTGGGTAGTAGAAGAGATTGAACAGCTGCTGTCATGTTTGAGGACTAGAAAAGGCTTTGGAGATCATTGGACATAACTTCCTCATTTTGTTTCAGATGAAACTAAAACCCAGCACTGTTGAGTGTCAGAAACCTGTCATACTCTTAGTGACAGAGCCATCAACAGATTTCAGCCTTTTGAGATTTCTGGACCCACCACTGTTATCAAAATTGAATGCTGTATCTCTAAAAAGCAGTGGCCATTTCAAGATTGTGCTTCCCCCACCCCTATGCTTCTTTCAGAATTCCAGGAAAACAGGAGGTACTTAATATTTGTTGAATGTATGAATGACAACTTGATCAAATATTTATATGAAGATATTTTTGTATCTATAAAAAGAGGGGGTACTTTTAATAAACAATCTTAAATTTTGTGGGAACATGATAAATTATGCTTTAAATCATTGTATCACAACTGTCCTTCCATCTGGAGGAAATTTAAAGAGTAACTCTATTTTAAATCAAGTTTTTAAAAATCCTGATCTATCAAAGGCTTACAAATTTTTAAAAATATTAAAAGATTACATATGTTTTTAAAAATTCTAGAAAACAAGACATAAAATCTAAGAGACAAGAAAATCCATCTTAAACAAGATGGTAGATGCCTAAAACAGACAAATTTACTATACAAAAATCTTTAAATGTTTATTTATGGAAAACATCATTAAAAAATTCAAGGCAATGCTAGATTTGAAAAATAATTTGAAATGCAGAAAACACATAGGGTTAATATCCACAATATATAAAATATACTTACAAATTGACAAGAGAATAAATAGTACAATAGAAAAAAACTGGCAGGATATTTAAATTGGATAATTTACAGAAGAGAAAATTTAAAAGCCAAGCAACTTATCAAAAAAAAGTCCAATGTACAAGTCATTAGGCAAATTAAAAGTAACAACAACTGATCAATCTACAACATGTGAAATGTCCGCATATACTTGTAAAAACAAAATTGAGACATCTTTTCTTCTTTTAAAGCAATCTCTCAACATCTATTTAAAATTTTAAGACTCATCTTCTTTACCCAATCATGCTCATGCTTTGGAATCTATTCCACAGATACACAATTATTTAAGGACATATATTTAAGGATGTTTACTGCAGCAATATTTGTAATGCCAAAGCCTGGGAGCAATGTGCCTGTGGCAAATAGGGTAAAACAAAATAAATTATGCCACTTCAGCTGGAATATTAGGCACCTATTAGGAAAAAGAAAACAGAGCTATGTCTGTTTAGTTAGACAGATTCAATGACTATTTTTTTTACTTATAAAATTATACTTATTTAATACAAAAGTAATGTGAAATTTTTGTATGTCTTTGTTGACATATCATAGTTGTACAGATGTCAGGGGCTACATGTGATACTTTGATACCTGTATACAATGTGTAATGATCAAATCAGGTTAATTGGAATATCCATCACCTGAAACATTTATCTTTTCTTTGTGTTGGGAGCATTATGCTCCTCCTCTTATACCTATTTTGAAATATATTATAAATTATTAACTATAATTTCCATACTCTATCAAATGCTAAAATTTATTCCTTCTAACTGTATTTTTATACCAATTAACAACTTATCTATGACTCATTATTGAGTGTTATTAATAAAAGCAAGATGCAGAAACACCAATATTGATAATTAAATTTTTCTAAGACATAATAAAACCCTGTATTTGTGTGTGTGGCTGTAATTCCTAAATAGAAATATAAGAACATAGGGAGGAAAAATGAAAGTACACACACTTTGATATTGTTGGGGGTGACTGCAAGGGATGGCTGGTTTGCATCAAGAGGGAAAGGGATGGAGAGGGAGAAGCCCAATAGGAAGCAAGAAAAGTAAAACTAGAATATTATGATTCAAGTTATATATTTATGTATAATTACATAGCGATAAATAAGCTGAATAAAATATTTAAACTGAAATTTAAATTACCTTCCAAGAAATATCATAGTATTATCTTGTTATACCCTGTTTGCAAGCATCTGATTGATGCAAGCATCTGATTGAATATTAAATCAAATTACCTACATTTTATTTTTCAACGCCATCATTTATTGAGAGCCACAGAACACATTAAACACTCTACATATATATTTCTGGTTTGTTTGTTTTTAACAGAGTTTAACTTGAAGCTCAACAAATTCCCATAAGTTGTTTCTTACTCTTCATGGCTGGGCCAATGCCCAGCTTACATGTGTAAACTCTATAGAAGAAGAGACTCCTTTTTGTTCACCATTACATCCCCAGTGCCTTCCATCATTGCTAGTATACAGTAGATACTCAGCAAACAGTTGCTGAATTTGTAGAATGAATGATTACATGTGACTATTTTAACGTATCATTAAAAATCGGACTTCTGAAGATGATAAAGGTATGTAAGGTTGTCCAAACTTTCACTATCTTATTTTTATACTCCTAAGTAAAAAATAAGCAATGACAATCCAAAACAAACAGAAAGTAAGAAATTTGTTTAAAATGTAAAGACTCCAACTTACAGTGCAAAGTTAACACCCTGAAAGTCTGAGGATATAGATTTTTGTATTTAAGAATGGATCTATGGGGTGTTAATTTAGTGTGATACAGCATCAAATATAAAGGCACATGCTAGGCAGTCAGACTGTCAGGATTCAAATTCTTACCCCTTCATTTAATAAGTATGTGGCCAGGGGAGGCAACACAGCCTCTCAGTGCCTCCTCTGTAAATGATGTGAGGCTTAAAAGAGATATGACACGTAGAACTCCCAGCACACGGTCTAATATTTGGCAAAAGCTTAGTAAAGCATTTTCTAATACTAGTAATAATGAGGTAAAAAGTAAAAATAATAACAATAGATTCTTTATCATCTGTTTGTCAAATGACAATGGCTTTTGTGTTATAAGCAGGAACACCGTGTGGAGTACTTCAGTTATTCCATACATCTCCCACCTGCAGAGCTGAAGACTGGGGTCAAGGTTGAGCCCAAGTTAGAACAGGCAGGAAGTGAGAAGACTCACAATTGAAGATCAAGTTAAAAAAAAATTAACAGGAATGAGCAGACAAGCAGACTCTGAAGACAACATGGATGGTTAAGAACCAGGAGGATCAAAGGTGGAATTCAGGAAGCAGGATACCCAGAGGACACACCAATAACTAAGGAAACTTGCTCTTGAGGAAAATCCAGGATCAGTCAGAAAGTTTGTTGCCTTTATCCTCCTAGCCAGCAAGACAGTCCAAATCTGTCAATTAAATAAGATGTGGGTGTAGCTGGATTGGTTGAGAAGTATGGGAATGAAATAAAATGAATTCAAAACTCTTATAATATGAGCTGCAACCCATTTATGCATTGCTTATCTATTTTACATTAATGTTTTATTTTGTTTTTTTGAATTGTCCTACGAAAGGTACAGCAGTGCCCTCCATATATCTTAGATAACAAGCACAACTTTCATTAACTATAGTGAATTATTCAGAGCCCAATTAATATGCTAAAAGCTCCCCAGTTCACACTGCCTATGTGTTGACCTGTGAAATCTTCATATTTCTTCAATTAGAAGGTAGCTTAGAAAGCAATATCCTCATGCCTGCCTGGCAGATTGGGCCAAAGTGAATAATATGTTAAGTCAATTTCCAGTGGAATAAAACAAGAATGATGGTTAATTTACGAAATTAGAATACCTAGTCAGGTTTGTTGAAAAATGAACATGACCAAAGCTCCCCAGGTTTATTTAGGAAGAAAGGACAAGGTAAGACCAATATAAACATACACTGCAGGATTTAAATGAGGCAGCTGATTGGCAGTGGCCTATATGAGAAGGCAAGAAAATGAAGTGAAACTAGGAAGAATGTTCTCTGGTTTCCTGGGTAGCGAGAGTCAAATACTGCAAGGAATGGAGCTGAGAAGGGTGTTTCCAGAAGAAAAGCAAGAAACACGCCACCAAAGGAGACTCTGTGCAGGAAGGTAAAGCACGTGTTCGACAAGTGTAACTGGGCAAGTACTCAACCAGAGGTAGGAAAGATGAACTAACCCAGAAGCCCTGACAAATTATTTGGAGAAATGCATTTCCTTGACAGATAGGCATGGTTACTTAACCAGCATTCCTTGTCTTATATAATTGAATATTGATTGAAAAGATGCATTTAGTGCCTTCAAAGTAAAACAGGCGGGCACCGTACACAGGGAAGGACTCATAGAGGAACCACAGAGCAGGGCTCCCTGCTGACAAATAAAGGGTCTAAAGTATCTCTTCGTCAATAACATCAGCCCTGCTGGCTCCTTCTGTAAGTCATCATTGTTATTCCAGACACTAGCCGCTCTAATAATCCTATCAAATTCACTTGAACTCAATTCAGTAGAAGAAAATTAAAAAGATTCATCCAATTTAATACTTGAAATACCTGCAAATGGGTAAAATGTGTTGTATTGCTATTCTAAAGCAGGGGCTCGTCAAATTGTGACAGAAAATAGTCATTTTATGACACAAGCATAATCAGACAATCACAACAATTTCTAATAATCAACAATTTAACCCTGGCAATTTGGATGGACAGTACATCTGCAGATGGCTTGAACGATAACACATCATTAAAGGCATATGCTTTTTAAAGTAAAGAGAAAAGGACTGTCCTGTTGATCTTCTGTTGAATGGCAATACATAGCTTTGGCAGAGCTGCCTTGTGAAGGGTTGTTTACTATTTGGAAAAGGGTTTCCTATCAGGCATGTGCTGGATATGTTGCAATCTCACAGAACAGTATCAGCCATATAGCTGCCAAAGATGACATCAGTTCTCACCCCACAAAGACAGACATTGTTGGGGGTACCAGTAAAGAGGCACAAGCTTTTTCTTTCCTCTACTTTTCCTCTATGAAGTAAGAGATCAAGGTATTCCAGTGGAATTGTCTTTCTAAAGAATTAAAAACACTTAAAAAAGTATTGAAACACAGTGTTTTAAACAACACAAAAGTTAATGAAAAAAATTGACAGCAGTGGGTGCTATTACAATACTTTCACCTAAGATATATGGACCTATCCATTACCTCAATTTGATCATTCCACATTGTATACCTACATGACAATATCACACTGTACTCCATAAAGGTATACAAGTATGATTTGTCAATTTAAATAATATTAATAGAAGAGTATACAGGTAAAAAAAGAATATATAGGCAAATAGAAACAGGCGCAGTGTGTGTATATATAGTCGTGCACCTACACACATTGTTTTCACATAGTATTTACTAAATGAACTGCATTTTAATCCTCCAAAATTGTACGTTATATTTCTTATCCATTATTTATGTTTCATTGTCTGATTCAAACATTACATATGAACACTCAGTAAAGGTTTTCCTATACACTATGCTACCTAATAGTTCTTATTAAAATCTATAATTACTTAATAATTTTTTGACAACGGCCAAAATGACTACTATTTATTGAGTGGCTTCTACATGTGAGTTTGTTTCATTAGATATATAATTACTACAATGTAATGCCCACAAGCTGGCACTGATTATCCTCTTATGTTACCAAGAAGGAAACTGAGTTCAGATAGATCATTGCAATAGCCCAGAGTGCAAAACAAGCAAGTGGCAAAGCTAGGACTCGAAACCTATTCCTTCTGATGTGAAAATCTGCACCCTCTCTCTGCTAATGATAGGCTGCCCATGACCACAAATATTTTGTCTGCTATAGTTTGGAAGTTTGTCCCCCTAAATCTCATATTTAAATTTGATCTCCAGTGTGGTGTTGTTGGGAGATGGAGCCTGATGGGAGGTGTTTGTTTCCGTCATGGGGGCAGATCCCTCATGTATGGCTTGATGTCATTCTCATGGTGGTAAGTTCTAGCTCTCATGAGACTGGATTGGCTCTTGGGTGAGAATGTCAGTTCCAGAAAAAAGGGGGTTTTTAAAAAGAGCCTCGCTCCTTCCCCCTGTCTGTCTCTTGCTTCCTCTCTCATCATGTGGTCTCTGCACATGCCAGCTCTTCTTCACCTTCAGCCATGAGGGGAAGCAGCTTGAGGCCCTCACCAGAAACAGAGCAGATACTAGTGCCATGCTTCTCATACAGCCTGCAGAATCATGAGCCAAATAAACCTATTTTCTTTATAAATTACCCAGCCTCAGGTATGCCTTTATAGCAACACAAAATTAACTTAGACACTGTCTGAATACTCTCCACATCAACCAAAGAAAGTACTGGTGAGGAATTAAAAATTATAGGTAGAAATTAACTGTTCAGTACCAGACCTGTCATTTCCTAATAGTAAATACACAATGAAAAAGGAAGGAAAGAAGGGAGGGAGAAAGAAAGAGAGAAAGACAGGATAGAAGAAGGGAGGGAAGAAGAAGAGTGCTCTCATTCATTAATTTATCAAATACTTATTAAGAGCTAGTTATGTCCCAGACACTGATAGGAGCTATGGATATAATGGTTAGCAAAATCATCCATTGTCTCTCACCTCAAAGAGTTTAAAGACAATTGTGACTGGAGGAGATTACTGCTCACCAAAGAATCACACGAAGAAATGTAAAATCACAATTCTGTTAATGCTTCCTGGCAGAGGTACATGACACAATTGAATGTGTGTAACAGGGTATTTTATGTAGTCAGGGTGGTCAGGCAAGTTTTTCCTGAGGCTATAACACTGAAGTAAATCCTTACTAAATGATGTTAACATAGAGAGTAAGGAAGAAAAGTGTTTCAGACAATGGTAACTGTATATTTAAAAGCCCGAGGTTATGTTGGGGGTTGGGAAGGACTGACACTTATAAATGACTTAAAGAAGTTGGTGAGGCCAGAATTCAGAGAGTAAGATGGCATATCAGGGGCAGGGGTGGGGAGGGAGATAAGGCTGAAGAGGAAGTTTTTGCTAGGTCTTCTAGGATTATGTTAAGGAGTATTGTTTTTCTCCTAAGAGCAATTAGAAGCCACTGAAGGTCACGACCTTCGTTCACTGAAGGTTTGAATCTTTGGAGGTCTTTAAAAATGATTGACTTTAATTTTGAGAATATAACATTGAGTACAAGGTTAAGACGTTATTGCAATCATTCAGTTGAAGGCAGGAGCTTGGAATAGGGTGATAGCAGTGGAATGTAGAGAAGTGAATAGAAGTGAGAGATATTCAGGGTATCACAGGTTACATAATTGTAAAGGTTGTGGGTTTTAATTATTGGTATGGTTATGGTTATGATTATGATTATGGTTAAAATTATGGTTGTGCAGGCTGAAAGGGAATGAAGTTGCAAGAATTAATTATGTTTGTCTCGACTAACAAAATGCATGAGGGAGGGAGCAGGAGAGGATGAGGTTTGCTGGGGGATTGAGCATGTGTTGCCACCTTGACATGCTGAGTTTACTGTGTCTCTGAAACATTCAAAAGCAGGTAGTTTATTGGATATATGTATATATACGGTCCTATAGTTTAGAGTAGAGGTCTGGCTGGAGAGAGGTAGATTGCAAGTCAGATGTAAATAGGCAGTACAGCAATCATGAGAGCTGTTCACCAAATATTTCCAGTTCTGTGTCCTCTGGGAACACGATAAGATTGAATGTCCTAATCTGGATTTATTAGTTAGGAGCTCCTCAAAAACATAAACCACATTAACATTTCAATACAGAGAATTTAATACAGGGAAATGTTTATGCATGTGTTAAAAGAGCTGAGAGGCCAAATAGAGGATGGAAAGCCACCTAGGAGTTGGTTATATCTTTAGGCGAAGAAGGTCAAAGAGAAAGTACGATTAACAGACCCCGGAAGCCATTCGTGGAAGTTGGAACTATATCAAGCTGTCAGTTGGGAGGTGAAATCACAGAGAAGCCACTGCTGCTAGAGATACTGCCCAAGGCTGAAAGAAGGAGATGAAATAATCTAATTTATCCACTACCCCCACCCCCTCTGCATTCTGCCATGAGTACCTCCCAATGGCCAAAACTACCTGGAATCCAGAGAGCAAAAAGGCCTATGAAATGCAGTTCTTGAAAACCAGGGCAAGGTTGAAAAGGGAAGGGAAAGGACCTCAGAGTAAACAGGCAAAAGACTGGAACACAGTCATCATTGACTAGTTCTGATAATGACTTGTGGAAGGAAGTAACATGGCATTTTTTGACAGAAAAATTAATTACCAATGGGAGACTCTCTAATGCTCTCTTTTTTCTGCCATAGTAACCGGTAACATTCTAGATAATGACTGCTCAGACAACCAGGGTAAGTCGTGAGTATTCTGCCTAGCAATGAAAGATAAAAATTCCTTTTAGAGTTTGATAAAGATTGTTATTAAGGTCCTCAAGTGGAGCTTGATTATGTAGCATTGAGAAAAGAAACTCTACAAATAAAATGTTTTATTTTTGGAAATATTTCCCTATTTATTTCAAAGGACGTTTTGAGTTCTCATAAGTGGATAAAATAACAATAGTAAAAATATTTTTAAATAATTTTATAGTGAGATAAATTAATGGGGTATATTAGTCTGTTCTCACACTGCTAATAAAGACATACCTGAGACTGGGTAATTTATAAAGGAAAGAGGTTTAATTGACTCACAGTTCAGCATGGCTGGGGAGGCCTCAGGAAACTTACAATCATGGCAGAAGGGGAAGCAAACATGTACTTCTTCATGTGGCAGCAGGGGAGAGAAATGCAGAGCAAAGGTAGGGAAAAGCCCCTTATAAAACCATCAGATCTCATCAGAACTCACTATCATGAGAACAGCATGGGGGAAACCACCCCCATGATTCAATTATCTTCACCTGGTCCCACCCATGACCCATGGGGATTATTACAATTCAAGGTGAGATTTTGGGTGGGGACACAGCCAAACCATAACATGGGGGCAGCAAATTTCATTCTCATATTAGGACTTATTCTTGTCTTTATGGCAAATGCATTCAAATTTACCATTTACTGAGCGAACTGACGTGAGAAAATTGGTATCTTGGTTCTATATAGGACATATTCATGATTAAAGGCCCTTATTTTCTTCCCTAACATATATAATGATATTTTAATTTAAAAATGAATCATGGCTAGAACGTGGTTCACATCCTAGCTTTGTCAATAACTCTCTCATTATGGGCAGGACTAAGAAGCATTTATAGATGCTATTTTTCTAAAGACAGCTAATTACTGGAGATACTGCCTCTGAAAATCCAAAGTTTGAAGTGCCCTCTGAATGGCTGCACAATGTTATTGTCACATGATAATGTTCATTATCATTCATTCTGTAGAGATTATATTTAATTGATAATAACAATTCCATGCACGAACCAAATAAGCAGCATGATATAAGGGAAATGGCAGCACTCATAAAATCAGAAAATGTGGATTAAAGTATTGATAAAGTTCAAATATGATTGCTTTTGACAAGCCCCAGAGCCCCTCTAAACCCTGTTTCCCTGTTTTCAAATAATAATGCCTAATTCACAGAATTGTGATGAGAATAAAATGAAAAAGTGCTCTGTAAGTGGTAATGTCTAGTTAAATAAATACATGATGTAGGTCAGGCACAGTGGCTCATGCCTATAATCCAAGTGCTTTGGGAGGCAGAGGTGGGAGGACCACTTGAGGCCAGGAGTTCAACACTACTAGCCTGGGCAACATAGGGAGACCTTGTTTCTACAAAACTAAAAAATTAACTGGGCACGGTGGTGCACACCTGTAGTCCTAGCTACTCTGGAGGCTGAGGTAGGAGGACCACTTGAGCCTCCCAAGTGGAGGACCTTGGGAGGTCAAGGCTGCAGTGAGCCATGATCACATCACTGCACTCCAGCCCAGACAACAGAGTGAGACCCTGTCTCAAAAAAAAAAATGTGATATATTATAACCTAATAGATACTTCACAAAGGGTAGTTTCTGCAACAAAGAGTGGTTCCTATATTTTCTCTTTTTTTTTTTTTTTTTTTTGAGACAGAGTCTCTCTCTGTCACCCAGGCTAGACTGCAGTGACGCAGTCTCGGCTCACTGCAACCTCCAACTCCTGGGTTCAAGTGATTCTCGTGCCTCAGCCTCCTGAGTAGCTAGGATTACTGTAGCATGTACCACCACGCCTGGATAATTTTTGTATTTTTAGTAGAGACGAAGTTTCGCCA
This sequence comes from Homo sapiens, assembly GCF_000001405.40. Classification (NCBI taxonomy): domain Eukaryota; kingdom Metazoa; phylum Chordata; class Mammalia; order Primates; family Hominidae; genus Homo; species Homo sapiens. The sequence goes on along the minus strand of NC_000023.11, from coordinate 28,687,918 downwards.
TGTTGGCCAGGCTGGTCTCTAACTCCTGACCTCAGGTGATCTGCCTGCCTCAGCCTCCCAAAGTGCTGGAATTACAGGCGTGAGCCACCGCGCACCCCCTGCCCCCATATTTTATTTTATTTTTTTTTTTTTTTTCTGAGACGGAGTCTCGCTCTGTCGCCCAGGCTGGAGTGCAGTGGTGCAATCTCCGCTCACTGCAAGCTCCGCCTCCCGGGTTCATGCCATTCTCCTGCCTCAGCCTACCGAGTAGCTGGGACTACAGGCGCCCGCCACCACGCCCAGCTAATTTTTTGTATTTTTAGAAGAGATGGGGTTTCACCGTGTTAGCCAGGATGGCCTCGATCTCCTGACCTTGTGATCCACCCGCCTCGGCCTCCCAAAGTGCTGGGATCACAGGCTTGAGCCACCGCGCCCGGCCCCATATTTTCTTCAAGTAGTTGTTCACTGGTAAAATAAAGCGTTAATTTTTTGGTCCATGCTAAAATTCACGTTGTTCTACAAAATATAAAGTAAAAATATACTAAAATCTCAACTATTCAAATAAATAAGGAAAGCTAGAAATACAAATTCAGAAAAAGTGTCCTTCCAACAAGACCTAAATTCATAATTCAGCAGATTGGCTTACCTAATAAAATTTTAATACTATTATTGTTATCATTGCCCTAAATATACGCTGAACAGGGATGGTCTTGGGGGATTAGGAGAATAATCCTGAAAGAAAAATAAAATGGAATATGGTATTCTAGCTAGTAGACAAATAATTATACTGGAAAGCAGACACAGAGGTTCATTTTAATGAAAAACATATTTGACTCAGCATCTCAAAATAGAGACATTTTGAAATACACCACTATAAAATTTAAAAGAGTATTAATACAGTAATTACCTAAAATAAACATACAAGTAAACTAGTTTCTTTATAAGCTCTAAAAATCCATTCCAAAAATTCATTTTATTTTTTGAGAAAGTGGGATTTCAGCCTGTGAATAGCTGTTTTAAGTTTGTCAGACTTCCTCATATTCTACAAACATAAATGCAAAATGTATATCATCAATTGCTCCAGATTTGTCCACAACATCTCTTACTGTCTTTTGCAAGGCCATTCAGGTGATGCAGAAGGCAGAATAGAGAGAGGTAAAAATGAGGAGAAAATCTGAGTCAAAAACCTTCTTAAATATTTTAAATAAATAATACCATTTTCATTAGATAATTAAGTGATAGAAATACATTTGAAAACCAAGAAATGAAGTAATATGCCCAATTTCCCTGAGGCTATTGAGCTGTTTATTAAAAGCTGAAAATAATTCTGACTGTTTTCTGCTATAGCAAACAGCATTAATTTTTATGTTGTCTGGAAAGTGAAAGAGTATATGGGTGTCATCTGAGACAAGAGATATGCAGCTAACCAAATGTCCAAGGGCATTTTCTTTTCCAAGTGTTCACATTATATTTTTAGTGTGTCAATCACAAATGACCACTGGTAGCTTCCATTCAGCCTTGCTTAGAAAAATCACTAGAGAAAATCGAAAGAGACAGAAGAAAATAGCTGTTTTGGGGGTCTAGAAGAAAGCTATGAAAATTAAGTGGGTGATAATCAAATTCTAGTGGTTCCCTTAATTATTTATCCTCACTTTAAAATTTTGTTTATGTTTTAAATACCTTCAGAAGTCTTCTGGGATAAAAACTTCAATCCCTGATGATGTGTTTTGTTTAATTCAACTCAATATGTTATAGACTTATTGAGGATGTATGACCCAGGCAGAGTTGATATATGGATAGAAAAAACAGTGGGCAAGATGTGCACAACACATGATCCCAAGAAAATTTAGGCCACGTAGAATCATTTAATTTGGTCACTTCAGTTCAAATAATCAATTGTTTAGGATAATGTAAGTTCACCAAGAAAATGCAGAATATAGAAGAGAAATTCCCACCACTGTTAGTGTCAAGATGCCACTGAATCTACTCAACTCTGTTAAATATAGTCCTTGAACTATGTCACATAAGCAGGTTTGTTTCCAGCTTAATTTTATTTTAAAGAGCCATACTTCAGAAAAATACATCAATGAAGAAAATCTTGAGAAGGGAGAAGTTCTAAAGCCTGCTTTGTAATCATTCCTAAAAAAGTATTATGCAAATCAGAATGCAAAAGATTCCTGCTTAGAGTCACCTAAATGACCACATTTCATGAAATCTAAGGGGCAAACCAATGAATAAAAGATGCACCGTCATCTCCTATGTACCAGTAAGAGAGAAAAAACAAAATGCTGCTAACTAAAAGATGACAAACCTTATACTATCAGATTAAACCCTGATTTCAGAGATGTTAAAAATGTGCTTAGAATTGATGAAATGTGAGTTTATTTTTGTTTGCTCACCTTCCTCATAGAGAGCATCTAAAAGTCAACCCAATGGAAATTTACAAGTTAATTTATTTAAGTATTTAAACTCAACCTGGTTCCATAAATTAGAAAACCATTAAGAAATTACTACTTTACCTATAAAATCCCAGAGAAAAGAGTATTGTTAAGTATAATCACAATTGTGTTATGATTTACAAATGTAAGTATCAGCCTAAATAGCTAAATGAAACATGGAGATTGATTTTGGTTGACTAAAATATTAAAAGATAAAGATGGCTTGAGATGGTGGGCCTCACCAGATTCAGGTGGAGCTGAGAGGCAGCTGGGGTTTCACCAAGGAAGTGAAGCAGTTAATGTTGTAATTAGGGGAAAGAAGATTGTTGATTCAGTCATTGTAGCTGATTTTTGTTAACTAGTTACAGTATTTTAAAAGCTATGCTTTCCAGTAGTACATAATTTAATTGGTAGAAGGTTAAACTAGTTTGATATTTTAAATTGTAAATTTCTTTACTCCCATCAATTCTTCAGTCTCCCAAAGTTAAAAGCTCTGCCATTATCTGTGGTTTTATTTTGGTTTGTTTTGTTGCTCATTTTAGACACAAGGAAAGAGCCTTTGGAGACTCATGAAATGACTCATTTTAAGGTTATAACGTAGTTAATAGTTACACTTATCAATGTGAGATTAATTTAAAAATTAAATTAAAACCACAAGTTTCACTTCTTTTCTAAGCTTAAGATATAATCAGCATTCAATAATTAAAAACATCACAAATTTACTAAAGCCCTATGAAATGCAAGGTACTTAGTTAATAGCTAAGAACCATAAAGTAAACAAAACACTACTCCTACCCTCAAGAAGAAGACCAAATTTATGGACTGCTGAACAACCATTCATAGAGCATGGCATACCATTCACACTGATTATTTGGCTTCTAACAACTCACAATTATGTAGACAAATATATCAGTTCCCTTGTTTTTTTCTGAATAGAAAATAGGCAAGAAAGTATAGGAATTCAAGTTAGTTTTAGAACATATTTTACAACATAAATCCAGAAGGAGCAGTGCATTCTTTGTAGGAGAGGCTTCGAGGATGTTAAACATGATGAAGAATGTCCACAAACCAACCCACATATGACATCCAAAGTCTCAAGGAATTAAGTTAGAAAGTGCTGAAAATCACTTTCATGAGATAGTGAGTAGAATGTTGTAAACACTAGACAGACTCAAATACATGGGATTCATATGCCAAGACCACTATTTGTTCTGAAAATTCACTTAAGTTTTTGAGTCTTTGTTGCCACTGTGAAAAGGGCAACAATGAAATGAAATAGCATATGCAAAAGCAGTTTGTAAATATAACAAATATAAGGTGCCATCTTTAAATGAGTGAAAATACTTGTCAATAAATAAATCTACAAAGTCCTCAGAAGAGGGGGTATATAATTTGTTTCTTTCTTTATGTTTTTCCTTAAAGAACGAGTGGTCAAGCTATGGTAAACAGAACAATGTCCTCCAAAGATGTCCATGTCCAAATCCCTGGAAACTGTGGACATGTAACCTTACATGGCAAAAGAGAATGTGCAGATGTGATTACGTTAAGGATCTTGAGTTAGGGAAATCATCCTGTGGTCTTTGGGTGGGCCCACAAGAATCCTTAAAAGTGAAAGAGAGAAGCAGAAGAGTCAGAGTCAAAGATGATGAACGGAGAGGTCAGACTGATGTGACTGCTGGCTTTGAAGACAGAAGGGCCCCAGAAGCCAAAGAATGCAGGCAGCTGCTAGAAGCTAGAAAAGGAAAGAAAATAATTCTTAACTAGAGCCTCCAGAAAATAATGCAACCCTACCAATACCTTGATTTTAGCCCGGTGAGACCTATGTCAGACTTCTCACTTCCAGAAGAGTAAAATAATAAATTTGTGTTGTTTAAGCCACTAAGTATGTAATAATTTGTTACAGCAGCCATAGGAAACTAGTAACACAAGCCACAGGAGAGTGCACAGTTGGCTTCTAGCCCGCGGGGTTATAACCACAGGGCTGGGTAACTTTAAACCAGTCTCTTTCTATTTAAAGTAAAGAAGTTGAACTAAAGTGATTCCTCAGGTCTCCTCCATTTCAAAAATATTATAATTAAGTACACTATCTTCTTTCTTTCTTTTTTCCCATCTTTCCTACCTTTCCCCTTCTTGGAAAAAAAAAAGAGATATTTCCTCTCTGTTGTATTTTATGCTTCAGGAAGAAGGTAATTCCTTGTGCTAGCTCACCTGGTAGCAACTACTGAGGGATAATGAGACTCACTTACCCTGACAAGCCATGTCAGCTGCTATACTTCACTGGCAATAAGAAGGGAACTTCTCTTGCCCACTCTAATTTCCCCTTAGTTCTATCTTGCAGGTCTCAAAATACACAGGAAGAAATTATATAGGAATCCAATATGAACTCAAGATCCCTAGAGAATAGTTTCCTGGGCAATTATATGTAAAAATGTTCTCATCATGATGATTCCTTTAAAGCCCATCCTCAGCTTCAAGATTCGAAAAAATGTGATTTGTCATCCCCAATTGTAAACTAGGGAATTTATAAGAATCTGTGGTTTCTCTGGATAAGATCACTAACACTCCTGACCTTGAATGAAATGGGTCAGCTAAATCGCATATATCAATAGCCAGGAGCTAGAAAGTATATTTGTGCTTTCTTCAACTTTAACTTGTAACAGTTTTAACAGGAGTCTCAAATTCCAGGAAGAAACGTACTAGAGGATTAAGATTTTAGATTTCTAAACATCAAAGTTCATATCAATAATAAAATTTGTGATTATTCAAATCTTTTAAAATAACTTGAATTTTCTATTTTGTAAATAGTAAGAAAATATTATATTATCAGACAATACCCACAGCCTTGTGAAAGAAGGCTACACAAGTTCTATGGATAAGATGACCCAGCAATTCCAATCTTAGTTATATACCTAAAGAATTGTGAACAGGGGCCGGGCATGGTAGCTCATGCCTGTACTCCCAGCACTTTGGGAGGACCAGCCTGGTCAACATGGTGAAACCCTGTCTCTACCAAAAATATAAAAAAATTAGCTGCGTGTGGTGGTGCACGCCTGTCATCCTGGCTACTTGGGTGGCTGAGGCAGAAGAATCGCTTGAACCCGGGAGGTGGAGGTTGCAGTGAGCCGAGGTCATGCCACTGCACTTCAGCCTGGGCGACAGAATGAGACTCCATTTCAAAAACAAAAAACAAAAAAACAAACAAAAACAATAACAAAAAAAAACAGAATTGAAAATAGGTACTTATACATTAATCTTCAGAGCAGCACTATTCCCAATAGCCAAAAAGTGGAAACAATGAATATATATATCAACAGATGAATGAATAAACAAATGTGGTATATCTATATGATGTAATATTATTCAGCCATAAAAATAAGAAAGGACTGATACATGCTACAACATAAATGAATCTCAAAAACCTGTTTGGTGAAAGAAGCCAGACACGAAAAGTCACGTATTGTATGATTCCATTTATATGACACATGTAGAATAAGTAAAACCATAGAGACGGAAAGCAGATTCATGGCTGTCAGAGGCTAGCAAGAGGGAAATGAAGACTCATTTAATACATGTGGGGCTTGATATTGGTGTAACAAGAATGTCTTGGTACTAAACAGAGGTGATGGTTGCACAACACTACAAATGTATTCAAGGCCGCTGAATAGTTTAGGATTTTTTTTCCATTTTATTGAGGGATACTCGACAAAAACAAATTGTATACATTTAAGGTATTCACCTTGATGTTTTGATATATGTATACATTCTTAAATGACTGCCAAAATCAAGTTAAGTAACATATTCATCACCTCACATAGTTACCATTTTCTTTATTTTCCTTTTTGTGGCGAGAGCACTTAAGGTCTACCCTCTTAACAAATTCCAAGTATCTTTCATTGTAGTTACCTTGCTGTACATTAGATCCCATCTCAAGAAATTATTAATCTTGCATAATTAAAACATTGTACCCTTTGAACAACATCTCTCCAATTCCTCTTTCCCCCCAACCCTGACAAACAACATTCTACTCTCTTGTTCTAGAAGTTTGCCTATTTTAGATCTCACATATAAATGAGATCATTCAGCAATGATGAGTATCTGGCTTATTTCCCTTAGCATAATTTCCTCTAGGTTCATTTATGTTTTTGAAAATGGGTTTCCTTCTTTTTAAAGGCTGAATAATATCTAATTGTATATAGACACCACAATTTCTTTATCCATTTGTCCAGAAATGAAAAAATGAGACATTGCAATGGGAACCTCAAAAATAAAAGGATCATACAGGACTATTATGAAGAATTATATGTCAAAAAACTAGATAACCTAGAGAACATAAATAAATTCTTGAATACCTACAACCTAACAAGAAGGAATTGAGAATAAAAAGAAAGCCTGAAAAGACCAATAACAAATAAGGAGATTCAATCAGTAATCAAAAACCTTCCAACAACAACAGAAAAGCCCAGAAGCAGATGCCTTCACAGGTGAATTCTACCAAACATTCAAAGAAATATTAATACCAATCCTTCTCAAACCCTTTCAAAAAACAGAAATAACTTTATGAGGCCAATATCACTCCAATATCAAAGCTAGACAAAGCCACTACAAGAAAACTACAGACAATGCAAAAATCCTCCACAAAATATCAGAAAACTAAATTTAATAACATATTAAAAGGATTATACACAATGATCAAGGGGGATTTATCCCTTAGATTCAAGGATGATTCAACATATCGATCAATGTGATATACCACATTAACAGACTCTAAGATAAAACTACATGATCATCTCAATAGATGCAAAAACAAAAAGCATATGACAAAATTTAACATCCATTCATGATTTAAGAAAAACCTCTCAACAAAATAGGTATAGAAGGAACTGACTTCAACATAATAAAGACAACATATGAAAACTCCACAGCTAATATCATAATCAATGGGGAAAAGCTGAAAGCTTTTCTGCTAAGATCTGATATAAAGCTAGGGTACCCATGCTTACCACTTCTCTTCAACACAGTATAAGAAGTCCTAGCCAGAGCAATAAGACAAGAAATAAAAGGCACTGAAATCAGAGAGGAAGAAGTAAAACTATCCCTGTTTGTAGATGACATGATCATATGTGTAAAAAACACTAATGGCAACAAAAAAACTGTTAGAATAATGAACAAATTCAGTAAAGTTGCAAGATACAAAATTAGCATACAAAAATCACTGTCATTTCTATCTACTGACAACAAACTATCCAGAAAGGAAATCAAGGAAAAAAATCCTATTTACACTAGCAATAAAAAGAATAAAATACTAGGGAATAAATTTAGCTAAAAATATGAAAGATTTTTCCACTGAAAATTTAAAACATTGATTAGGAAAATAAAAGAAAATACAGATGAAAGAAATGATGTCCTGTGTTCATTGATTAGAAAAATTAGTATTGTTAAAATATTCACACTACCCAAAATGATCTATGATCTATACACTGAATGCAATCCCTATCTAAATCCTAATGGCATTCTTTACAGAAATGTAAAAATTCTTAAAATTCATATAGAACCACAAAGACTCCAAATAGCTGAAGCAATCTTGAGCAAGAAGATTAAAACTGAAGGCATCATACTTCCTGGTTTCAAAATAATGTATTACAAAGCTACAGCAATGAAAACAGTATGGCGATGGCATAAAAACAGGCATAGAAACCAATAGAACAAAATAGCCCAGAAATAAATCCACACATTTATGGTCAACTGATGCTTAACAAAGATGCCCAGAAAATAAAATGGGGAAAAGATAGTCTCTTTAATAAATGGAGTTAAGAAAACTGGATATCTATGTGCAGAATAATAAAACTGTGCTTTTATTTCACACCACATTCAAAAATCAGTTCAAAGTGGTTAAATATTTAAATGTAAGACCTGAAACCTTATAACTATTAAAAGAAAACAGAGGAGAAGTTTCTTGATATTGCTCCTGCCAATGACTTTTTTGTAATGACACCAAGAGCTCAAGCAACAAAATCAAGGACAAGTGAGATTACATCAAGCTAAAAAGCTTCTACACAGCAAACAATTAACAAAGTAAAAAAAATAAAAACAAAAACAAAACTTACGAAGTGGGAGAAAATATGTGCAAACTATATAACTAATAAGTGGTTAATATCCAAAATATATGAGGAACTCATACAATAATGAAAACGAAATAATGGAAAAAAAACCCGAATAAAAATGGGCAAAGGATCTGAATAGATATTTCTCTAAAGAAGACATACAAATAAGACATATCTGGCCAACAGATAATATGAAAAGTTGCTCAACATCGCTAATTATGGGGAAAATGCAAATCAAAATCACAATGAGATATCACCTCACACTTGTTAGAATAGCTATTATTAAAAAGACAAAACATATCAAGTGTTGGAGAGGATGTGGAGAAAAGGGGACCCTTGCACACTGTTGTTGGGAATGTGAATTAGCACAGCCATTATGGAAAACAGTATGGAGATTCCTCAAAAAAACTACAAATAAAACTACCATATGATCCAGCCATCCCACTTCTGGGCATATATTGAAAGGAAATGAAATTTGGTTCTGGAAAAGATACCTGCACTCCCATGTTCATTGCAGCATTATTCACAATAGCCAAGACAAGGAAACACACATTGAATTGCACATTTTTAAATGGTCAATTGTATGTTATATGAATTTCACTTAAATTTTAAAACAATGTTCTACGATTAGACAGAACTATTAATAAATTCCCTTTTAGCCTTGACATTGATAATGTAGCCTTTGGCATATTATTTAAACTCTCCACTCAGCTTTCAGGGTTAACATGAAGATTAAATACTATATTTACAGTACCTAACATACAGCAGAGTATTAGAAAAAAGAAACTTTCCTTCTCTCTATTTTTCTCTCTATGGTCTATTGGGACTTTAGAATACCAATTTATAAATATAAATAAGCAGGTAACCAAGTATTTCAGCCTCAAAATGCATTTTAAAACTTTTTTCCTTTCTTGCTTTCAGCCTTGAAACATACTTTGAAACTCTGTTTCCTCCTTTCCCACCAGGCATTTCAGTGAACAGTGCTCGCTTATGTAATTATGTGCTTGCCTTAAAATTCCAGGGGCCAATTTTTAAACAAATCAGGCAGAGAGAGACCCAGAGGCAGAATCCTCCTGCTTAGGAGGAATTACAGATACAGATAGTCCACCACTACCGAGCCAAAGTCAAGGTGATGCAAACCGGATCTTCCAACGGGCGATTACTTGATAGCCATCGGAATAAAACATAGACTTGCAACCTCCTGCACCACTCTAGCATACTTCCCACACCTTTTCCCTCTCAAACTCCTTCATCCGGCCCAAAAAACTAAGATGGCTTATTTGAGGCAGAAGCCTGGCCATCTCCCATCTGCTAGCATTCAATCAATAAAGTTGCTTTCCTTTCACCATATCTCACTTCTCATGTTTTTGGCCTCTGACTGGCGAGCAGTCAGACTTGAGATAGTTACAGATAACAAAAAAAAATGGAAGGAGGAGGAAAAGAAGGAGGTGGTAGAGGCTGCAACATGACATTGCTCTGCAACTTCCTGAAATTTATCCTGAAGAAGTAATCAGGCTGGGTGTGGTGGCTTACATCTATAATCCCAACACTTTGGGAGGCTAAGAGAGGCAGATCACCTGAGGTCAGGAGTTCGAGACCAGCCTGGCCAATACAGGGAAACCCCATCTCTACTAAAAATACAAAAATTAGTTGGGCTTCGTGGTACATGCCTGTAATCCCCGCTATTCAGGAGGCTGAGGCAGGAGAATCACTTGAATCCAGGAGGCAGAGGATACAGTGAGCCAAAATCACCCCACTGCACTCCAGCCTGGGTGACACAGTGAGACTCCGTCTCAAAAAAAAAAAAGGTATCAGAAGGCTATCTTTGAAAGTATGCATGACACACACAGTCTCATAGAAAGTATACACATCTCAGAGTTGTGTTGGTATCAGAGAGAAAATGTGAAAACCAAGTGTCCACCAATAAGAGATTGGTTAAGCAAATAAACAAAGACATACGAATCAATTCAATATGCTGCTACACAGTCATTATAATCATGATGCAGATTTGTAATCAATGACTACACTGATAGATGTCTATGACATACTGTGAAAGGGGGAGTTGAAGCCAGTTTCAAAACTGTATATATCACATGATCCTTCTTATATAACACACAAACACACAGAAAAAACTATAATATGCACACAAAACATAAAGATCTTTAAATGCTGGCATTAAAGATAATATTCATAATACCTTTAGAAAAAGAAAAGTCAATAAAACTGTCTATTTTGGAAAAACTGATGTAATGAAGAAATTTTAATAACATATCTGTCTCATTATCATACAATAAAATTAGTTGACTTGTATAAGTAATATAATTTATATGTCCTCCCCTCTATAACTGATGTATAAGATTTCATAACAGAACTATTCTTTTATAAGGTAGAACTTTCCTTTGTAAAAAATAAATACACTATTTATTAGCTGTGTAGCTTCTAAAAATTAACTAACCTCTGCACATCAAAATGATGAGAAGCTGAGTTATATAATTGGTACAATAATATCAGTCTGTCACTACGTATAAGAGAAAAAGAATTGGGGTCAGGATTTTTGAGTCCTTAGACCTAGAAAATGCTAGTAAAATCCTCAAAAACAATATAAGTCCTCAAGAAAAGGCAAAATCCTAAAGAAAGCGGGTTTTGTTTTGTTGGTTTTTTTTTTTTTCAGTCAGACTCTCAGGCTGTCACCCAGGCTGGAGTGCAGTGGTGCAATCTTGACTCACTGCAACCTCTGCCTCCCTGGTTCAAGCGATTCTCCTGCCTCAGCCTCCCGAGTAGCTGAGAGGATAGGCGAGCGCCACCATGCCCAGTTAACTTTTGTATTTTTAGTAGAGACGGGGTTTCGCCACGTTGGCCAGGCTGGTCTCAAACTCCTGACCTCAGGTGATCCACCAGCCTCAGCCTCCCAAAGTGCTGGGATTACAGGCGTGAGCCACCACACCCAGCCATAAAATAAGTGTTACTAATATGCACACAGAAAATAAAAAAATATTGCATAGTGCAGCACATCCATGTGAACTTTTAAACCTCTCCTTTTCTTGGTGTTTAATCTGTGATGAAGCTGACATCCTCCAAAACACCAGGAAAGTATATTGGGATAAATATAGATGTGAATCCTTCCTTCTGTCTATTCCTGATTTTTAAATTTTCTTAAGGAATTTAAGGATGCTTTAAAATCATCTCAGTGGCTAAATTTAGAGGATGGAGCAATAAAATGATCATATCGTAGATTAAAAATTAAGTGTTGTGGTAAAAAAAAATTAAGAATAGTGAAGCTATTACCACTGAAGGTATTTCAGTAGTCAAACGTTTTCATTAACAATCATAGAGGTGAATTGTCACTGATCTCTTCTACCAAAGTATTGTGTTTAACAATGATTACCAATGATTCAAAAGGTAGTAAGACATGACACGAAGATAGCTACACTCATACAACTCATGAATGAAATGTAGTTACCCCAAACAACTGAACTCCTACAAGACTTTAGGACTTGGAGCTGCCCAGTTACATGTTCTGCATCATAAAGAGTTAAATCAGCACAACCTAAGCATCGCTGTTTGTATATTTTCCTTATATGATTTCTAATTATTTTTGTATATCACTGTTATCCTCAACAAAACTGCAGTTTACTAAGAGCAGGTCTCCTTTATACTTCTTACCAGCCTCCCATCCAATACTGCCTTCCTCATCCCACCCCCATATTTCTCCACAGTAGTTAGCAAAAGCTGGACATATGGTACATGCTCAATATATTATGCGCAATGTTATATATATTGTATTATGCTTTATGTAATGTATGCTATATTTAATACTATATGTAAAGTATTATGCTCAATGCTATCTGTATTGGCTTGGGTTAAAATATTGGGACAATATAAGCAGCAAATAGTTCTTGTAATGCAGCTTGTCTCTCAGCCTAATTGCAATGCCTACTTATACCAGCACACTGGGGCTTGGCAAACACACACAGAATGGCTGACATGCTCAAGCAACCATTACATGACAAGTTAGAGACACAGCGGGGGTTAAAAAATATGCTTCAAAGATGCCCTGGAATGTACCTTTGAACAATACTATGGAAATAAGAAGGATTAGCAGCAACAAATATTCAGTGCAAGCAACAGGAAAGATGAATGAGATTACTCATCTTAAGCATTTAAAATGTGTAAGTCTAAAAGGTAGAAACACCAAAAAACAACCATACATTGCTGCTATTGTCAGTCAGGCATTATCTACACCAAATGGTCACATAATATTATGGTTATATGTCTAGTAATTTCAGCCACATCCCATATATACTCACTACTAAAAATAATATGTCCATCTTCAAATAATTTTGAATCATTACTTATGGATTTTTCTATATACACCAACTAGGCTATTTATTCTTAGTGTTTTATTGTGCATTAAAACTAAAATCAAGAAATATTTACTTATTATTTTAAATTCATATTGCCAGGCACAGTGTCTAGAGATTTGGGTATATAAAATGTGTATGCATTGAATACATGACATAAAAATAGAGTTGGATATTTTTCAAGTTCAATTAGTTAATTTTGATCTAAAAATCCAATTATTCGTAAATCATGAATACTACATAAACTTATGTACTCTTTAACTTTACAATGGGCTAAGAGTTTTGAAATTTTCTTCTATTCAAGCTATTAAAACATAAGTCTACTTTGACTCAAGAAAAAACGTAAAAATTCTCAGGTAGTTTCTCTGAAAATAAATATATCTCCAAGAGGACCATATGTTCCAAAACCAACATTAGGACTCATAGCTTTAAATGCAGGTAAATAATTCAGACTATTTGAAAATTAGGACAGTTAAAACAAATCTAGGGTAAATGGCCATTGTACCTATTTTAACTTAGATAATGAAAATAATTGATATAAAAATATTCCTCCCTCAAAATATTTTGTTGGCACAAAATGAAGAATGAAAAAAGGAACGGTATTTCCCCAAAGTCTATCTCCATAGCTGACACAAAATAGATACTTAATTTAAATTGTTTCATTGAGTGCATAGGGAAGGGGGGTGGTGGTGCAATTGATGTGAGAGTTTTCCACATTTTCCACAATGAGAAGGAAGTACCTTGGTCAAAAGGGAGCATTTTAATGTTGTTTTGGGTTTTTTTTTTAAATCTTACTTAGCCACAGAATAATAAAGCAAATACAGTCATTAGAAAAGAAAAATGTGATGAGATAAAATATGATATAAGCTGACTATTAAGCTAAGTAAGTTTCTATTTAGTTTGAGAAGTCAATACAATTTTTAAAGTATTTAACAAAACAATCGCATTGTTTGATTACAACATGCAATTCAAAGGACAATGGTTTGGTTCAGTGTTAATCTAATACAATGCACCTTCAATACACTGAAAGAAAGCCTGTGCTTCTCAGTATGAACCTTTAGAAAAATGAAGACTCTCATTTGACTATAGAGACCCAATTAAAGATGCAGATTCATCACACATTTCAAAGCCTGTGACCATACACAGGGCTTTCACAATCCCAAACTGCTGGTGAAATAAACAACATCCATCCTTAGGGTGATGTCAATCCTAGACGATTTGTGAAATAGGTACCTTCATTTACACATTCATATATTCAACACTGAGGATCTACATTGTTGCAGGCACTCCTAGGTGTGAGGAAGACATGGGTCAACAAGGGTCATGGATCACACCCTCCGAGATTTTATATCTCAGTTAATCACATCCCACTCCATGTTTTCCCCTTTCAGAGGACCAGTGCTGCCATGCTGCTCAGCTCTTTCTAACTCCAGAGGACACTGGCCAGGGAAATGCCCTTCAAACTAAGATATTAGCCACTGAATGTGCTACCCACCTGGAAAGTAGTGACCTTTTAAGGGAAGACTTTAGTTTAATTAGATCCCATTTGTCAATTTTTGCTTTAGTTGCAATTACTTTTGGTGTCTTCATTATGAAATCTTTGCCCGTGCCTATGTCCTGAATGGTACTGCCTAGGTTGTCTTCCAGGGTTTTTATAGTTTTGGGTTTTACACTTAAGTCTTTAATCCATTTTGAGTTAACTTTTGTATATGGTGTAAGGAAGGGGTCCAGTTTCAATCTTCTGCATGTGGCTAGCCAGTTATCCCAGCACCATTCATTGAATAGATAATCCTTTTTCCATTGCTTGTTTTTGTCAGGTTTGTCAAAGATCACATAGATGTAGCTGTGCAGCCTTATTTCCGGGTCCTCTATTCTGTTCCATTGGTCTATGTGTCTGTTTTTGTACCAGTACCATGCTTTGCAGGGACATGGATGGAGCAGGAGGCCATTATCCTTAGCAAACTAACACAGGAACAGAAAACCAAATACCACATGTTCTCACGTATTAGTGGGAGCTAAATGATGAGAACACATGAACACATAGAAGGGAACAACACACACTGGGGCATTTCAGAAGGTGGAGGGTGGGAGGAGGGAGAGGATCAGGAAAAATAATTACTGGGTTCTAGGCTTAATACCTGGGTGAGGAAATAATCTGTACAACAAACTTCTATGACACAAGTTCACCTATGTAACAAACCTGCACTTGTACCCCTGAATTTAAAGGTTAAAAAAAGAAGACCTTGGAAATGAGAAAGTCAAAAGCCCACAAGAATGAATATTTTTTTTAAAGGATTGAAATAAGGCAATCCAAGCAGGACCCTGGAAATAATGGATTCCTTTCAAGTGGGGTGATGGGGCTGGCAGGTAGCTGTAATTGTTGTACTGCCACTAGAAAGCAGGTGGTAGATATGAGGAACATGACCCACAGCCAGGAAACAGAATTAATAGAAGTTAGATAGGGTGCCAGGGCCCTGATCCAGGAAGAAAACTGGACAGAAAGTAAGGCAGGTGAAACTAAGGATGAGCAGCAGTGGTAGACTCCGCTGTGAAAGGCATGGAAAGGAAGAAAAAAAGGACCCAAGCCTCCGCATGCATCACTGCTCTTAGTAGGTGGTCATTAAATTTTAGCATAAACCATTTCTTGAAGAGCAAAGATAGCAGTCCCCCTCCCCCAGCTTCTATCTTTTCATTCACTCATTTAGCAGCTTTTAACTGAGAGATCAATAAAGTTACATCTCTCAGGGTAACAAGACTCCCTTAATTTATCATGTTTAGCAGTCATATAAAAAACCCTAATTTTATTTTTTTTTTAACATTCTTTCCTTCCTTCACTAAATAAAACACACAGGAATGTGTCTGGTTTGCAACGTTCAATTATAAGGTCTGAGGGATAAATTCAGTATCATGAACATTTAAAAGTGTAATTTGTCTTTGGAATTGTTCTTAATACCATCATACCCATACAGTTACAAATGTTGATATTTAAGCCTGTAGAGATTATATTCTGTGCAGGCACAAAAACACTACTGAATATAAATTATTTTCAGTAAGAAAAAAGGGTTATAATTTTTCTTAGTTATAACAGTATATGTCAGAAGATGAAAATAGAGAAAAGCTAATCAAATTGCTTACAATTCTCACATGGAGAAAGGTGAATCAATTTAACACTATGCTCTGAATACTATAAAACTCGTTTAGGAAAGCACTGGGAAATAAATAAATACCAGTGCGGACCTACTGGTTTCAATCATATTTCATATTAAATTGGCTAGGCAGAGAAAACAGTTCAGTAACTTCAATGCTCCTTCTACTGAAAAATGCCCATATGCTAAGATCTGTGGGATGGCCCAGATTCTGGTCTAGTACCTCTGGCAGAATAAGTTACTGGAAAAAGAGGTTTTTAATCTCTCCGGCCAAAATAAATTTCTTTGCTAACCAGATGTGTTAAGCTTCCACAGTTTGTTCATGCAGTTTTCTTCTTGCTCAATAAATTCAGTCCATACAGCGCTCCTGAATGATTCTTATTATTGTGCTGCCCAGCTGGACTAGAAATCCAGACTTCTTTGTCATCATAGTTTCTTGGTAGACATCATAGCTAACTGGGAAAAACTCTAGTAATTTCATCATAGCTGATAAGTAACACATCAGCATTGGACTACTAACTCAGTCAATCTTCGGAATAGAAAAAAATGCAAAAAACAAAATGCATTACTGAATGTAATCAGTAGCATTATTTTTACTATTAAATGTACTCAGATCCATTAGCTGGCAAGTGTGTTGGAATGAATTTTATAAGTTTTGTTCAGTCTAGATACAAAAGTACAACTAGGATATTCCATTTAGCAGTTAGAAAATATGTGGGGCCCTTGAGATTAAGTTTTCATTACAATTTCAAGGCATAACTTGAAATGAACATGTCCCTTTGTTCTTTTGATTTGTTAATACCTTTTCTGGTTTTTAAATTAGTCCTTTTGAAAGACTTGAGAAAAAGAATATAACTGTAATTCATGAATAATTGAGCCAGTGTGGGCATTTTAGGAGACTACAGACTTAAACTTCAGAAGAATTTAATTTTACTTAATCAATGTTACTCACTGGAAATTGTGACCATTGAGGTGTGCTATAGATATTTATAGATATTGTCCTTTCAGTGTGTACATGGAAATTCAACTTTGGTAGTTTAGTTATTTTCACTATCACATGTTGACAACCATAATCTGAATCATTTAAATCAGCATATCACTATCATTATGGCATGACTGGTCATTAGAATAATTCGAATTTATCTCATCCTTTGAAGTTCCTAAGTCTATTTTATAAAAGTTATCATATGGAGCTGTTTCTTATAAGGAAGTTGTTATTATACACATGCCTTTGGTTGAAAGCAATAATGCTTTGAGAGTTTAAGTGACTTACTTAAGTTTATATTATTAGAGGGTGGTAGAGCTGTGGCAGGAATTTGGTTATTACCATTCCAACCCCTGTTCTGATTGCATTACTCCTTAACTGAGTGCAAGGAACAATTCTGCTATATTGTGAAAATTCTGAGAGTCCAAATAAACCTGAAACATAAAATTACAGGTGCAGACTAGAGAAAGAACACATATTTTTTTCAATATTGCAGATGAGGCTGGCTTTCTTCTTCTTAGTTTTACTTTTAGCCAAACAGCTCTATTTTCCCTAATTTATCAGCCTCAACCAACGTCTATTCTGGTTAACTATCCAGACAAAATCACAAGGGTCTGGTTTAAAACTGATGAGTCAGCAAAAGTATGTATTGATCCCCTCCAAAGCACTATACAAGGAATTACACAAAGTTCTGGGATGCATAAAGATTAAGACACAGTCTTGTCTTTGCTTTAAAGCGGGTGACCAACTTGTCCCAGTTTGCCTAGGACACTCCCAGCTTTAGCAAAGAAAGTCCTGTTTCTTGGGAAAGTCCTCAGGCTTGGGCAAATGGGATAATTGGTCATCCTACCTTCAGGATGGGAGTTGTGCATGTTTATATGCAATTAGAATAGCACCAAAGTGTTTATCATGGTGATATACTTAAAGTCAGTGGAAACAAAGCAGAGATTCTCTACATTTGCCTGAGAAAACTTTTGTATTTATCCATAAAGTCCACATAACTACAAGTCTCTTAAAGTTCTATCCTTTCCAGCCTCAGCAATGTCTCCAAGATCACCGAAATTAACTCGAATTGTTATTATTTCTCCATTCTCTTCAATTTTGGAGGGGATATATATATATACAATTTATATATGATTATATATATAAATTATATATGATATGATATAATTATAAATTATATTATAAATGATATAATTATATATAATTTATATATAAAATTATATTATATTATAAATTATATAAATAATTTATATATATAAGTTATATATATATATATAATATTTTTTGAGATAGAGCCTCTCACTCTGTCACCCAGGCTGGAGTGCAGTAGTGCAATCTCCGTTCACTGCAACCTCTGCCTCCTGGTTCAAGCGATTCTCCTGCCTCAGCTTCCTGAGTAGCCGGGATTACAGGCATGCGCCACCACAAGGGGCTAGTTTTTTTATTTTTAGTAGAAACACGGTTTCACCATGTTGGCCAGTCTGGTCTTGAACTCCTGACATCAAGTGATCCACCCGCCTCAGCTTCCCAAAGTGCTGAGATTACAGGTGTGAGCCACTGCGCCCGGCCTTGGGGCTACATTTTTAATTGTGTTGTTCTACCTGAACCATCCCCATTTCTCTTCTAGCCATCCTTAACTCTAATATGTCATATGCCCTGTTACTTTTTCTGATAAATTTCTGGTCCAGTTCATCTTAGCAAAGAGCCTGAAATAAAGTAGCACCTAAGAGACAGTTTGTTGAATGAATGACTCAGCACTTTGAATATCTATATTTATCTAAAACACGGATAAAGTATGTTGAACAAAGTCCATCTTTGTTCAACATATCAGATGAGGGCAATTTTTATAAGTTCAACATATCAGATGAGGGCAATTTTCCTGATTATCAAATACGTGTCAAACACTTAAGTTTCCTAATTTAATCCTCTTAACCACTGTGAGAAAGAATGAATATTATTATTATCCTTATTTTATTGAAATGTAAAACAGGCAAAGAGAAGTAACCAGACCATTGGTATGACACAAATTCAGTTCCAGGTCTGTTTTATGATAAATCTCATGACTATATTATGCTATCCATGGCTCACAGTACATTAAACACCTTCATAACTGGAGGATATCATGAGAGGCCATAGACAGTGGCTAAAGCAAGCGTTTTCCAACAGAAAACTTCAAGGAGGAGAAATAGGGTATCCCAAGAGTTACAGTTGAATAGATGTGGCTATTTGGAATCCAGGACTAGAAATTCATGACATTAGATCAATCATCAAAGATATTTATTTACTACAGCTATATGCTATTTATATACAAAGCTGCAGACACAAAACTAAGTAAGAAAACAATTCTTGGCCGGGTGCGGTGGCTCACGCCTATAGCCCGAGCACTTCGGGAGGCCGAGGTGGGCGGATGCAGAGGTCAGGAGTTCGAGACAAGCCTGGCCAACACGGCGTAACCCTGTCTCTACTAAAGATACAAAAAATTAGCCGGGTATGGTGGTGTGTGCCTGTAATACCAGCTACTCTGGAGGCTGAGGCAGGAGAATCACTTGAACCCAGGAGGCAGAGGTTGCAGAGAGCCGACATCACGCCATTGCACTCCAGCCTGGGCGACAGGGTGAGACTCCGTCTCAAAAAAGAAAAAAAAAACAATTCTTTTGGATTCCCAGCCTTGAATTCAGTGGCATTGCCTATGATTGGCTACAAAGAAACCTGCTCCTTCATGAATTTTTATTACTACCCCCAAGCCACCACAACTAAATATGCAACTTTTACTAAAAAAAGGGTAATTGCAATGCACACATGGCTTTAAAACAAGCTGCTTTTCTCCCATACCCAAACAGCTCAGCTCCAAGCACCGCCTAATTGCTACATAGAAATTCTAAGGCTGCCACCGCTGAAGGCTGTGATCTGCTATGGACTGAATGTTTGTGTCCCTCTAAAATTCATATGATGAAATCTGAATCCAGAATGTGATGGTATTAGAGGGTGGGGCCTTTGGGAGGTAATTAGGACATAAGGGTAGAACCCTCATGAATGGGATTAGTGCCCTTACAAAAGAGACCCCAGAGAACTTGCTCTCTGCTCTCCACCATGTGAGGATATAAGAAGATAGCATTCTGCAGACAAGAAGAGGGTTCTCACCAGAACCCCACCATGCTAGCATCCTGTTCTCTAACTTCAAGCCTACATAACTGGGAGAAATAAGTTTCTGTTGTTTACAAACCATCCAGTCTATGGCACTTTGTTATACAACAGCCTAAGACAGGTTCAGAACATCATTCACCAGGAGAGGAGGGATCAGAGCTGTAGTCATCAGAAGGGTGTTCAGAACCAGACATGTGGAAGAATGAGAAAGGGAGTTACTAGCATGAGGCGAACAGACAAAAATGTGTTCACAGTAGCAAAACAGGAGTCCAGTTACTAGGATTAGGGCACAAGATCCAAATCAGGCAGGCAGCTGTAGACAAGAATTTAAGCAAAAGACATGCGAGGCAACATGAACCTCCAAAGTGATTCGATTGACAATAAGTTTTGTTTTACTTTAGAGCTGCAGTACAAAACCATGAAACATGAAATTTATACTTAAGATTCAGGCAGACCCAGTTTGTGACCTATTTTACAAAGATTATTTTACAGGGTAACGGTGCTGTAAATCTAGGTAAGAAGCTAATTAGTCACCATAACTATCTTGGGTAGTAGGCACTGTATATTTCCCAAATGTATTTTTTAAGGTAATTCACAGCCCAAGAATGATTTCATTCACTTGCTTGGAATTTTTTTTAAATGACCATCCTGAAAATATGTACACATCTCTTCAATAAAAAATGGTTTTCTTAAGTGAATTTAAAATTAGGCCTAAAAGTAAAGTAGAATTGACATGTCATTAGAAGTAATAAATATCTCCACACTACAAGAAAACTGTCTAATTCAAGATGCAAATTGTTAATATATAGCAAATAGAAAGCCACTGCTGGATAAATTAGTAGTACTAGTAAAATTCAGCCCCCAATACGTGGTGCAATTAAGTCTACTTTCTCGAGGAAAGGTATAATGACTGAAGGAAGTCACAAATACTGTATATTTACTAATATCAATTAGCAATTTGTTATGTTTATATAGCCAACTAAGCCAGGTGACAGCAAAAATAAATCTAAGTATCATCTACTTGATAGAAAGCTTTCATTCAGAATAGCTGATTTTTCAATTATGTACCTTAAACAAACAAAGCAAAAGGACCAAAAGAAATATGGTTTTTTTGTTCTAATTAGAAAGTTTTATGTGTGTTTGTGTATTCATTCATACTTTGCTACTCTTTTTCACTTTAATATAGTCCTACTTACAGAATAATAGTTTAGTTTGTAAACAAAAAAAATTTATTCAAAAACCGCCTAGTAATGCATTTATCTTTATATTAATATTTTGGAGGTACTGGATTTAAATACCTTCTTAGAAATGCAATTCATCTTTCTTCTTTGTCCCGTTTCTTCTTGGATATCCTCTTTGACAGTCTTATAAGACCCAAAGATCTTCACTATCAGCTTTCCCATATCCATCATATTTATCACATTGTTTGTTAAATTATTTTTATTAGCTCAATCCACAAATAGGTGGGGTCCACTGTGTCTTTTAGCAAGTTCAAAATCCACACAGGTAAGGGTTGGGTTATTTGGATGTCATTTTACAGATTTTTTTCACCGGGCATCCTGCAGCAGCACAAAGGAAGCAATCCTTAGTATGTAACATCGCCTTCCGACTTCTGAGGGTACCACAGCCTAGTGGGGACCAGAAAAGGGCTGGCATTAAGAACGCTCCACCTATCCTCCAGAAAGCTGAACCATCCACTGGATAAGTGCTCTAACCTGGAGAGTGTCGGTCTGAGTGATCCTGTGTGGGTCTGTGTGGGCCTGCGTGGGCCAGTGTAGGCCAGTGCAGCGTGGGCAAGCACCAGAGTGCGCGTGCGTGCTCCATAGCTGACACCCACTCTTGAGTCTCTGTTTTTTCACATTTCCTCCCACTTCTATGACATTTAGGGATATAGGAATAATCTCATTAGTCACTAACCTCAGGAAGTGTACTGTTTCAAATGATCTTTGCTGCTTATAAAGTACCACTTATAGCCGGGCATGGTGGCTCACGCTTGTAATCCCAGCACTGTGGGAGGCTTAGGCAGGTGGATCACCTGAGGTCAGGAGTTCGAGACCAGCCTGGCCAACATGGTGAAACCCTGTCTCTACTGAAAATACAAAAATTAGCCAGGCATGGTGGTGCATGCCTGTAATCCCAGTTCCACAGGAGGCTAAGGCATGAGAATTGTTCGAACCTGGGAGGTGGAGGTTGCAGTGAGCCAAGATCACACCACTGCACTCCAGCCTGGGTGACAGGGCAAGACTCTGTCTCAAAAACAAACAAACAAAAAAAAAGTACCACTTATAAATAGAACTGCCATATTTAGTAAATAAAAATACAGGACACCCAGTGTAATTTGTATTTCAGATAAGGAGTAATTTTATTTTAATATAAATATATTTCATGTAATATTTGGGACATACTTACACTTTTTTAAATTCCTTGTTTTTATATCTGGGCGTCCTGTAACTTATCTGCCAACCCTATTTATCAAGTATGGGTCTAGATAAGGAGTCCTGATTGTATCATAATCAAACGATCTTTCCTGGGAACAGTGCCTCAGTGCCTTAGTTGACTGCATTGCCTTGCAATTTCAGTGGTCTAGTTGTTGGTCAGAGATGTCCAGCCGCAAGACTGCATTTGTAGTATACACTTGTGCAGTGAGAAAATGATACCTGTGCTTTACCGGAGTACACACATGGTTTTAAAAATTTATTGGAAATATTTGACTATGTCCAGTTCAATGGACATTATTTATTTTGTCCCCGAACTAAATGTCTCCCTCTAAAAGCAAATGGAAACAGGTACAAATTTAGAGCATATAGCTTTACCTACATGAACAAAAACAATTGGAGACCAGATTTAGAGTCTAGCAAGTAGTCTACAGTTCTGCTCTTCCCTTGCACATGAAAGGCCCCTGGAAGTTGTTTGGTTCACCTTCCAGTAACTACAATGTTGTGTAATGGCAACAAGCCTGACAAGTGCAGTTCTCTGAGTTCTGAGAAAAAGTTCATTTAGTCTTCCTGATTCCATACTGAATGTAGTAGAGTGTAGCTTAGAGGTGATCAGCATGTAGGGAAAAGAGGATTATTAGGTAGGGACAGCACAGAGCTGTGGCTGAACTCCACAGAATACAGTAGAAAAAACAAGGGAAGGCAAAGACACAAAGAACCATTGATCATACTTAAAAGATTAAGCCTCGGGAATGATTGGACAAAGTCAGCACTGTGGGATCACCTTGGAGGAGATCAAAAAAGAAATTCACTAAAGCTAAAAGAAACATGTAGGCACATGTCACCAATGCAAGCCAAGGATGGTTAGACAGAAATAGCCCCCTGCAGATATTTCTTACAGTAACTCCAAATAAAATCTTATTCTCTGAATCCACAATGCAGTCTTTACTCTCGTCATATTTTCCCAAGTCACAGTACTCACATACATATAAATATAGAAATTGAAAGTCTTTTCCTTCATGTTCAAAAAAATTTTAAAGATACATTTTTAGATGAATGACACTTCAGCTCAAATCACAATTGAATTTTCGGGGACAGTTACAATGCAAAAATCATGATGCTCCCTATGGATTTATACTTTGGTTTAAAATGTTAGTTACATTTGAATGCATTTGATTTGTTGTCTTTTTTGTTTGCGTAGAAAAAAACAGGAAAGATGACTATAATTATGCATACTTTGCAATGATTAGGCATTTAATATGCAATAAGATATTTGCTAGGGAAGTATGTCTATGGCTAGAATAGAGAACAGGCTCCAGGGTTATGTCAAGATGCAAAGTGATATGTATGCGAATGAATTCTCAGGCTCATTAATCATTTTTGTACTTGAAGTGCTAAACTGCTAATGTTACACTGAGAGTGAAAATGAAGTAATTAAGGAGTTTAACAGCTACAGTCTTTTGAGGAGAAAACAAGTTGATAATGCTTCTTTTAATATGTTACATAAATTGGATTTTTTGTTAAATTACAAAAACCAGGTTCATCTATTGTGTAGCTTCAAATGACACAAATCATTTGATTATATTTGTATATGGGGCCAATAGATCGCTATGTAAAGGCAGTTCACTAAACCATCACATTTATAAGAGAAAGTCTCTGTTACCAAGAGCACAAAAACACCTATCAGGTTCTCATCATCTTTTTTTCTTTTGATGCTCTAAAGCTTACTTCTCAAATTATCTGTGGTGAAGGGCCAGTTTTTGTTCCTTTGTTTCTGATTCATCACAGATATATTATTTCATAAAACGCAATGCCAATGACTTGAAAAATGAAACAGACATACAAAATACAATCCCGTTTTAAAATTACTGGATCCAGCAGATACAACAGTACTCAGTCAGATTCCTATAAAAGTTTCTAATAGCCTACTCTCAATTACTCCACAGACCGGAAAGAATGTGAGGATCTGCAGCAGCCCAGGTTGAAAAGCACCACTCTAAAAGCAGAAGTCTAGAGAGCAGTGGTTTGGCCATAAACTGATACCAGTTCACTTACTGGCTGCATGTTCAGGTCACCTGAAGGCTAGGGACACCTATGAGGAACTAATATTCTGTGTAAACTTCCTGCCACCTTTAGGGAGGACTATGAACTTGTCTAGGCGGGGGTAAGACCTGCTCATGGATGAGCATCTCTGCTTGGTCCCTTTCAATTGGAATTTGCTTTCTTCTTCTTTGGTCACTCTAAATACTTTTTTCTTCGTTCTTTCCCTTTTCTTTTCTTTTCTTCCCTTTCATTCTTTTTCACTCTTTTCCATTTTGGAGGTATTTTCATACAGTTAAAGACTGAGACCCTGAAGATGGACAGAAATGGATTTAAATTGTGACGCTGCCACATTCTGACTATGAGAAAGTAGGCCAGTCATTCAAACCTGGTAAGTCAGAATTCTCATCTGTGAAATGGCAACAGTACTATCCTCTGTATGGCATGAATGTGATTCCAAAATTAGTTAAAAGAGTATAATAGGTGATCATGGAATGTTATTCAGCCCCTCACCCCCTTCCTTTTCTGGTTCTTTTTTGTTGTCCGACAGAGAAAGCCGCACTATTATATGTTTAAATTAATGTATTTGCAGTTGTGCCTGCAGCTTATAAACATGGCTCTTCTCAGAAAATTAATTAAATAAAGCCAACCAATCAGCCAGCAAACCAGACAAACAAGTAACAGACACCACTACATCTTTATCCTCTCCCAGGTAATGGTACTATTTTCCACAGTGGTCCAAGCCAGAATCCTGGGAGTCAAACTCACACCCTATCCAATTCTAAAACTGTCACTGACTCTGTAAAATTATTCCTCCAAAGTAGTTCTCACATCCATTTCTTCACTTCTGCTCCCTAGCCACTACCTCAATTCTTTTCTTAGGTTTTAAAACCAATCCTCCTGAATGTTTTCTCAAACTCATGCAATCCATCATCTTCAACATTGCTACCTGAAGGCTCTTTCTAAAACAAAAACCTCCTCAAGTCAGCCTCCTGCTTGAAACCTTCCCTGGAGGCCCGCCCTCTGTGATCTATGGGGAAAAGTTCAGAAGCTTAACTTTTGGTCAGATACAGCTGCCACAGTTTTAAATACCGTAGTTAAACTCTTTCCAAATTGGTTGGTAAATAACAGCTTCTCTAGACCCAGGCCACACAGGCCACACTCAAGCCCTCCTCCAGGCCCTGCAATCAACCACCATCTAAAAAAAAAAGGTTAACACCTGAAGGAGCAAAGAAGAGGGCGCCTCCCACCCTTCAACAGAACTGTCTTGATCATCAGTGTTCCAGCCTTACCAGCTGGAGAATATTTTTAATACTTCTCCTACTTAGAAGTCTTTTACTATCCCTTTCACTGTACTTTCAGTATTTGCTACTCTTATGCAGGGACAAGCACGTAGCATAATTTAATTTAAACATGAAGCAGATGTTTGAAGGTAAGGCCAGAATTGCCACTCACCATACTCAGAAGGACACAGGCTTAACAGAGAACATTATGGAATATAGAGTGTTCTTTGAACATTATAATATTTTATTCTAATTTGTCCACTGGGTATCAAATGTGAATTGGTTTTTCTTATCAACTTATATTGTATTTTGCATACTAACACTTTTAGTAATTAATAGAGTTTCATGGTAGAAAGAATTGATCATTATATATCCTGTCTCCTAGAGTTAATACCATTTTTAAAAGGAGACAATGTTTTCACGTTTAAACACAGAATACTATAATTATAAACATCAAGCCTATTTCAAAGATTTTTTCACTGTGATTAATTTAATATAAAATATATTACTAAGCCCTCTCAGAGATCCAATCCCAAAATTATTTAACATAACAAATTCCCACTATGCAAAAATATTTAGAATAAAAATTGACCTCAATCAAATAATATATCACCAGCATTTACTTGTCAATGCACATGTATATGAGTTTTTATATGATTAGCTAGACGTTTTCATAGAAATGCTAGTTTTCTATTTTCTTTTTAATGAGACAGTAGTTACCCTCAGCTGAATTTTATTTTCATGCATCAGTTGCATATTAATCTTGAACATATGTATGGGACTAGATGTAATTAGGTAGTTTTTTAAAAATAAATGCTGGTATTTTAAATTTTATTTTAAGGACAAACTTGCCTTCCTCAATTGAATTTTATTTTTATACCTTCAATTGCACATTTCACTTGAGATCTAGATGACTAGATTTTTTTGTTAAGAAAGAAGCAGAATTAAACACAGGAAACCTAAACCAGTCTAGACTTGGAGCTGAGTATAAATCATAACACCTCTTTTGCTAATATAGAACATTTTAGGATGGAAAGAGGCCAAGGTGTACATTTAGGTCTGGCCCATCTTTGAGTTATAATTATTATTATAGCCTACTCTGCTTTCTCCCCAACCTCCTCTTGCCAAAACTATTTTTAAATTATACTTGTAATACTTTCTTCTTTTGCTGGACTTGCTGACTTATTCGATGTTTTCCATTCCCAGTGTGATGAATCTCTTCATATTTTTTGTGACTTTTCTTCGATATAAGCTGGTGGTGTCTGCTGGCAGTTGACATTTACTCAAATAGTTAGGATCACTCATCATATCTATTCCCTGAGAACTGTGCAGATAGAAAATAATCCCTTCTTAATCTCTTAATTCTCAAAGTACCTAGTTCTAAAATTTCCTGTATTTCTAAATGTGTTATTGAATGTACATATTTTTAGTCATTCCATGTCCTAGCTGTCATTTCTAAAATAACAAATTTATAATAAACAAATTTGAATTTGAGTATCCTATATCTAATAATTCATATCATATGTTACCCTTTCTGTCTTTCACTGAAGACAAAAGTTGGCTTTTTCTATTTTGGGGAAAATTGCAGGGTCTTTGTGAATAAATATCTACATATTTAATTCTTATCTAAAATACCTATTATTTAATGACTGACATTTTGACAAGAGTGGAGGATAAAAAAGAGAAGAAACAGGTGTAACAAATAACTCTTACATGTATTATAAAATCAAAACACTAATAGATTGTTTTTTAGGGGTCAAAAGTATTTCAATGCTTTTGAGACTCATTATTTATCCTGGGCATGACATGAGAAAACAGAAATAACTAGAGTCAATTAAGTTTAATGGCAACCCAGTAACTCCAACACACACACACACACACACACACACACACACACACACACACACACACACACACCATCCTCACTCTGCTTCTGCTTTGGAATCTGGAGCGGTTTATCACAAGTGAAGTGTTATAGAGTGATTTTCCCACACTCAGACATGAAAAAGTCAAGATAAAACAATGCTAGTAAGAATATTTGTTTTCCTGCCCATCTCCTTAACATTTATATCTCAAAACACTGGTCCCCAAAAGTAACTGACTTTTTAAAGGCAGATTCCTGGGCATCATCCAAAAAATTCTTGTTCATTAGATCCAGGATTAGACCCAAGAATCTACATTTTTTTTTTTTTTACCAAGAAACCCAGGTTTTCTTGAGCTAAAGTACAAAGATTAATCTCTTCATTTTTTTCTAACACGTTTTTCCTTCTCTGATTACTAAATGGTTAAATCCTTTGTTAATGCTTTAAATTATCTTTACACAACTATAGTATAACATAGGTAAGCATGGTTTAAAAAATATGCTTACAACTAATTGGAGCAATTGTGTTCGCAGCCGCCGCCGCGCCACCGCCACCGTCGCTCTCTAGCTCGCCAGCTAGCCAGTCTCTAGCTCGCCTCTAGCCAGCGCCGCCTCTAGCTCGCCGAGCTCCAGCCGAAGGAGAAGGGTGGTTAAGCAAGGAGGTCTCTATATCATGGCTCCTACAAAGCTGACTTCCCGCAAATCGACTGGTGGTAAAACACCCGGGAAGCAACTGGCTACAAAAGCCGCTTGCAAGAGTGCGCCCTCTACTGGAGGGGTGGAGAAACCTCATCGTTACAGGCCTGGTACTGTGGCACTTCGTGAAATTAGTCATCAGAAGTCCACTGAACTTCTGATTCACAAACTTCCCGTCCAGCGTTTGGTGCAAGAAATTGCTCAGGACTTTAAAACAGATCTGCGCTTCCAGAGTGCAGCTATCGGTGCTTTGCAGGAGGCAACTGAGGCCTAGCTGGTTGGCCTTTTTGAAGACACCAACCTGTGTGCTATCCATGCCAAACGTGTAACAATTATGCCAAAAGACATCAAGCTAGCAGGCTGCATACGTGGAGAACGTGCTTAAGAATCCACTATGATGGGAAACATTTCATTCTCAATAAAAAAAAAAAGTCTCTTCTTCCTGTTACTGGTAGTTCTGAACGTTAATTTTTTTCCATGGGGTCAAAATGTACCTAAGTATGTGATTGCAAGTGGAAAAATAGGGGACAGTAATTAGGTATTGGCAGTTTTTCCATTTTCATTTGTGTGTGAATTTTTAATATAAATGTGGAGTCATAAAGCATTAATGCAAGTTAAAATGTTTCAGTGAACAAGTTTCAGCGGTTCAACTTTAAAATAATTATAAATAAACCCGTTAAATTTTTCTGGACAATGCCGGCATTTGGATTTTTTCAAAACAAGTACATTTCTTATTGACGGCAACTAAATGGTGTTTGTAGCATTTTTATCATACAGTAGATTCCATCCATTCACTATACTTTTCTGACTGAGTTGTCCTACATCCAAGTACATGTTTTGAATGTTGTCTGTCTTCTGTGCTGTTCCTGTAAGTTTGCTATTAAAATACATTAAACTAAAAAAAAAAAAAGACAAAAACTAATTGGGGAGGGCCAGGCATGGTGGCTCATGCCTGTAATCCCAGCACTTTGGGAGGCCAAGGCAGGCGGATCATTTGAGGTCAGGAGTTTAAGACCAGCCTGATCACCATGGTGAAACCCCGTTTCTACTAAAACACAAAAATTAGCTAGGCGTGGTGGCAAGCACCTGTAGTCCCAGCTACTCAGGAGGCTGAGGCACAAGAATCACTTGAACCCAGGAGGCGAAGGTTGCAGTGAGCCGAGATCACACCTCTGCACTCCAGCCTGGGCAACAGAGTGAGACTCCGTCTCAAAAATAAATAAATTAATTAAATAAACTAATCAGAGAGGATAGGACAAATTTGGAGGACATGGGAATTCATTCAGCAAATATCTCTGGAGCATCTATTAAGTGTTAAGCACATTGCTCAGTGCTGGACATATGAAAATACAAAACAACCTTTTCATCATCCAAGGAACCCAGAGAGTCTTGCAAAAGAGAGACCTAAAATGGATCAATCATAACACAATGTTGTTGATTATAACAAAAACACAGGCAAAATACACTACCGCCTAATATAAAGGAGTAGATACATTTTACTTCCTTAAACTTTACACTGTGGGTTCTCTTCCCCAGAGTGCCAGACATTATAAAATCTCCAGTTAGCCTCTCGAACACCAACCTTCATTTTCTGGTCCTAAACTCCAATTCTTTAGATTTCTTAGGTGTTTCATTCTGCTCTCACCTGTGTGCTTCTAGCTGTAGCACAAGCAAGGACAGGGTTAGAGGGGGGTCTCTTTAGCCAGTGGCATTTTGGATGCACATCAAAATTGTAGGTTTCAAATGTCCAACTGCCATAATCCAACAAGCCAGAATTCTTAGCCTTTTTATGCCCCTACTGGGGTCAGACAGCCCACATGTAAAAGCACTTGACTACTTTATTAAAGGGAAAAGGTCTTTGAAAATTGAGTATCAAATATACAAATGTCCATATATTTAATACTTCTTTAATCAAATTCCCTTAGAACCTCATTTTGGCAAGATAGTTAAACCTTTTTTATCAGGAATATCTTTTCCTTCCCTTTAGTTTCTTTTCCTTCTCCCCTGTTACCAGCTTATCTACTGAAATGCTCTTAAAATAACTGGGGAAAGAAATAATGTAGGAAAGGGTTACTAAATCTGAATTTTACTGGAACTGGAAAAAAATGTGGAAAATGGTAAAAGTGAAATTTCAATATCTCTATTTGATACAGTGAAGAAAAATTAAGAGCAAACATCTTGAACCATAAACCACTGATAATTGACTTAAACCATGAGTATTTATTAGATTCAAAAGTACAAATGTTACACACCCCATATTATCAATGTATTTCACAAATGTTTATTGGCCATCTACTATACGTACAGCCCTATGAAATGAGCTACGGATATAACCTTAAGTGAAATATGGACATAGTATATGCCCCCATTACATTTATAGTCTGGTAGGGGTGTAAAATCTTTTTTTTTTTTTTTTTTTTGAGGTAGAGTCTCGATCTGTTGCCCAGGCTGGAATGCAATGGCGCGATCTCAGCTCACTGCAAGCTCCGCCTCCCGGGGTTCATGCCATTCTCCTGCCTCAGCCTCCCGAGTAGCTGGGACTACAGGCGCCCGCCACCACGCCCGGCTAATTTTTTGTATTTTTAGTAGAGAGGGGGTTTCACCGTGTTAGCCAGGATGGTCTTGATCTCCTGACCTCGTGATCCTCCCGCCTAGGCCTCCCAAAGTGCTGGGATTACAGGCGTGAGCCACCACGCCCGGCCGTAAAATCTTAATAAACAAATTTATAATTGCAAATGTGCCCAATGCTAGGTACACAACACTATCAACGCAAGGCAATTTGATCTAAATGAAGAGGTCACCGAAGGCCTCTCTGAGATGGGATGTGAAGGACACGCAGGAAATAATTAGGCAAAGAGAAGTAAGAGTAGCCCAGGCATAGGGCAAATGCTGTGATGGGGCTTTATGACAAGGATGGGGCTTTATGACAAGGATGGGGACAGAAAGAAAGCTGATGGGACTGGAATTCAGAGAAGGGCAAGACAGGTGAAGGCTAAACAACTGGGAAGGCACTGAGAATATATGAAAAAGTGAAAAACATCAATGGCACCTGGTTCCTATCCACCAGAGCTCAGAACTGAAATGCAATTTCAACGGCCACCTGAAATGCAAATTCAACAGGTGCTGTGGCAGGGCTAGAGGCAGCAAAGTGGCTCAGCACAATCAGAAGAGTAGGAGAAGAAAATACTTTGTCTGGGTGGCTGAAGTCTGAGTTGGACACTAAAGGAGGAGAATGACCAGGGAGAAATGGAAAAGCAATAGCAAGGGTGTGTGCCAGAAAGTAGAAAACACTTGACATTAGAAGCAACTGGATGACTAACTAGTTTGATATCTTATCCTACAATTTGCTTTTCTAAATTGCTATTTCTTTTTCTTTGGAGTTTTAAGAAAATCTAATTCTACATCATGGCCGTGTATCTGTT
The DNA here is from genome assembly GCF_000001405.40 of Homo sapiens. Taxonomy (NCBI): domain Eukaryota; kingdom Metazoa; phylum Chordata; class Mammalia; order Primates; family Hominidae; genus Homo; species Homo sapiens. The sequence goes on along the minus strand of NC_000023.11, from coordinate 28,656,024 downwards.
TAAAATGAAATAAGAAATTTTTTACATGATGTAATATAATAATGAAATCGATTACCTCTGGCCTTCATCTTCAAACATTCTGTCTTTTGTTTCCAATTTGCTTTTTGGTCACCTGTCTTCTTTTCTAGAAATGTTCAGCAGTCACTAGGCCTCCAGAAGCTTTCATCCCAAAGAAATTCACGTAATTTTAAAATTCCACCTTTTCTTTCATTACCTTTTTAATATAAAACATGTGTGTAATTTTGCTACTAAAAAAGAATGTTTAAAATCTCCTTTTCAGTTTTACATCCTTTATTCTGAGGCTAGTTGAGTTACCTGGACCCTTCAACCAATACTTGTTACAAATGAAGCAAATATTATGTTAGCCTTTTGTCGATCTGTCAGTTCCCATTAGAAATTTTATTTCTGAACCTCTGCTTAGCATGTATTCTGTAATTAAGATAAATGTATTTTTTTAATGATCTACTACCATGGCAAATGATTAGGACATGTTTATTTGCTTGGTGCTCTTTTTGCTGATAGGAGCATTAAAAACTTTAGTTTTTCAGCACTTAGAATAGGATATGTAATATTTGTACACCAAACCCCTGGAACATGCAATTTACCCATATAACAACCTGCACATGTATGCCTTGAACCTAAAATAAAAGTTGGAAAGAAGAAAAAAGAAATGGTTGCATACTTTGTTGATGACATTATTCTAGATCAATTTTTTTTTTTTACCATTTTTGTTCGTTTCATTTATACTACTGATAGTATTATAATATGATACACCAAAGTACCTCACTGGTATTTTTACCAACTTTTCTTACAGGAAATATGATTCCCTGGTTTCATCAGCTCTTCCTTTTCAAGGATTTCTTATATAAGTGTGTATGTCAGGTTAATTTATCTGGCTTCATTTCATGTAGACCAAGGTCATGAGTTTAATTTCTTTGGAAGCAGTTCAGTGTTTTAAATGGGAACTAAATTTGGTCCTAAACAGACCTGATTTTCCATCCCGACTCCTCCCACCCCCAACGGCACCCCTTTCCCAGGTCACAGAAGATAGAGTGCTTTATTCTATCTAGACTCAAGACCCACCCAAGTCAGATACATTTTGAAAAATATTTCTCCCTATAAACCCTTAAAACCCAATATTCAGCCAGTGGTATGGGTTTACTTGCATTTTCCTTTGGGTCAAAGTAAAGTATTTGAGCAAATTTCCCAATTTCCATGAGACTCAGTTGCTTCATCTTTAATTACAGAAAATGTTTAAAGGATCTCACAGGGTCCTTGTGACATCTAAATATGGCAAACATCAATGATGTCTGACACATAGTAGTTGCTGAACAAATGTTTATACTTTCCTTCCCTGTGCTTGATATTTTCTATCCACGTATGGACCAAATAAATTGCTAAAATCATAGATTGCTGACATAATCTTGACAAACACAAATCACATTCCATTTAGAATTGTTGTCTTCCTCCAAATAGCTTTTGTAGCCCAACTGTATTATTATCTATGAGTTACAATTATAAAAATACATATATATTTGAAATGATTCATGGATATTTAACAATAAACATTTAATCGGCCCCATTAGCTTTATGTGAATATAATAAAAGTCATTGGAGAGGTTTTTTTTATTTAAAGTAATTTTTCAATGGGGATAAGAATACCAAGCTTTTAGATTTATTGCTTAAAAAGAAATAGGTTAATAAATATAAAGCATTTGGTACAGTGTAGTGCACAAAATTAAGTCCTCAATAACAGATAACTTATTATTTTTTAAAGACCCTTAAGGTTTTGTTTGTTTGTTCGTGTGTGTTTTTTTTTTTAACCAAAGAAGTACACCAAATCATAGACTGCTAGAACAATTTAGAAAAAAAGAAAGAGCACAAACGGGGTCGGGGGTGGGTGGAGTTGCCTAAAGCAGCAACTATTCACTCCTGCCTTAGCCCCATAGTAGCTTAGTAACGTTTGGCAAGTCAACCTCTGTGACCCTCAACGCTTTCCTTTAACCCCAGGGTGATTTGTTTCAGCATTCAACAAATGTTTACTGAGCACATAAGGCAGGCCACATAGAATGAACCTTTAATATGATGGCATATATAAAAGGGTCTATACATAATCAAATGAGATCCAAATGCAGGTTCCTGTGAGCTTTGGTGAGAGATCTAATTACAAAATAAATTAACACTTTAGCTGCCTGACAGAGGAGTTGGATTTAATGTTGTGATCATCAAGATGCCATTCCTGAGAGCCCTCATGACACTAAAAGGCAGGTCTTTCCTTAAAAGCACAGGACCAAACATGGAAGTGTGCTCTGGTAGATGTAGAATAATTAATGGATTGCTATTGTCATCTTACTTAATTTTACACACTTTCTGAATCCCAAGTCATGCAGAGAGTCTATGTACCTCTAGCAATGTGAGAGCACGTCCATTTTTATATACTATATACATACATACATATATCTCAGCCTAGTATATGAGCTGCAGGGACTTTGGTGGTAAAAATGGTGTTTGCAAAGGGCAGCCTGACCCAAAGAAAGCCTTTTTTTTTTTGAGACCCAGTCTCTCTCTGTCGCCCAGGCTGGAGTGCAGTGGCATGATATCAGCTCACTGCAACCTCCGCCTCCCGGGTTCAAGTAATTCTCCTGCCTTAGCCTCCCAAGTAGCTGGGATTACAGGTGCCTGCCACCACGCCTGGCTAATTTTTGTATTTTTAGTAGAGACAGGGTTTCACCATGTTGGCCAGGCTGGTCATCAACTCCTGACCTCAGATGATCTGCCCACCTTGGCCTCCCAAAGTGCTGGGATTACAGGCATGAGCCACCACACCTGGCCAAGAAAGCTTTAAAGAAAAAAAGGTGGAGTTAAAATATTCTCCAATCTTTATTATGTTGTATTGAAAAATATACTGAAAAAATATCTGGATCAAGCTTCCTTGAGTTGAGCTAAAATACAAGTGCAAAACTTTATGTGACAGGATTAATGAGGTTCGCACAAGTGAAAAGATTGGCTCTACCTGCGCGTGTCTTCTTTTGCTAAATGTGACATACTTCTCTACGCAGGACTCATTTATTAAGTTGGTCTTCTATCTGGAACAAAAATTCACTTAGGCTAGATTTATTTGAAAATATAGTCCCCTGCCCCCACCATGAACTACTAAACCCCAGATTCAGCTAGGGTCCTGAGTTGATATATATTTTCCTCCATGTTTTTTTCTCTACTAAAAAAAAAAAAAATCACGTCACAGTTATGCAGCTATGCAGCTGTTTTACAAAGGCTGAATCCTGCTACTGTTGTGTAAATGGTATCATTTTCTTGATCAAAAATGTATTTTTATATTTACTTGCCCCCCAGAATATAGCATGAGGCTATCCTTGGAGATTCATCAGCTGGATCTACTACAATAAGGCGATTGTGGTCCCCCGTCAGCATTGCTCTTGAGGTGAAACATAATTAGCACTCCATCAAAAACCACTTTGGAGAACACAAACAGTAGTTGGCTTCCAAATCAGACTCCTGAAAAGAACGGCATTATACAGTATAAATAAAATGCTAATTTATTATCGATTGTATGAGGGTAGTGCATGCACAGAGAGGCTTGGTTGCTTTCCAATATAAAGTACATATTTGATTACATCCACCCTCCCTTCATCTTTTGTAATAAAGATGCTTGCAAAGAGGTTGGGCTGAACATTCTTCAATACACTCTGTGTGTGCTATGGGAGTTAGGAAAAAAAAGAAATCCTGCTCCTATCCGCGAGGATTTTACAGTGTGGAGGGGAGAATAGAGCATGCAACAACAGAGTAGTCTCCCAGGTCCTGCCTCTTAATCACTGCCCTTAGAAGATACCATGTCTGAGAAGCCGTGCTTGCCCAGATTTAAGACTCAGGGCTGGAATAAAAATCAAGGTTTGAGTAGCTGGAAGTACTGCCCTATTAATAAACCATTTTAAAGCCTTAAAATGGAACAACTCTAAATATACTTTTGGTCAGACATAGGCACCCAAGTTACAAATCATTTGACAGCTGATGTGCTACAAAGTGAGTATTTGGAAATGTTCTTGTGGAGGGATTTTTAAAGACTACAGTAAACCAAAACCTTTCCAGGGTACTTTAAGTATAATTCTGTCCAGAAGGAGTAGGAGAGATTAGATGGCATCTCAAGCTTCCTTACAACCCTATAACTCTGTCGTGCTAAAGTACTTACATTGCAGAGGAGCCATGCAATTTTATGCTGCCCCGTTAAAATACTATAAAAAAAGAAATGTTCAACATAACAAAGTAGAATATACCAAACGCCATTCAGAATGAAGGTGAAGGCAGATTGAAAGACATGGATTAGTTAGGTAGTGTATGTTCTCAAATGAGAAGGATTGTTGTAACATAATTAAATCGATTTTATAACATAGTGAAAGAGTCCTGGCTTGATTCAATTTGCTTTGAGAAGAATCTTACATAGCCAGTCAATATGGTTCCACAAAGATGAACAAAAATCAAATGTTGGGGGTAGAAAAGGATCCTAATAATCATCTAGGTCAGGGCTTAGCAAACTTTCCTTGTAAAGGACTAGGTAGTAAAAATTGTAGGCTTTGTGAATCATATAGTCATTGTGGTAAATAGTCAGCTCTGCTGCTGAAGCACCATAGACAATAAAAAGCAGCCATTAACAATATGTAAACAAATGGGTGTGGCTGTGTTCCAATAAGACTATATTTATGGACACTAAAATCCGAATCTCATATAATTTATGTGCATAATGGAATATAGGTTGAGTATCCCTTATCTGAAATGCTTGAGACTGTGTTTCAAATTTCTGATTTATTCTGATTTTTGAATATTTGCATTTACATAGAGAGATATCTCAGAAATGGGACTCAAGTCTAAAGAAGAAATTCCTTTATGTTTCATATACCGCTTATACACATAGCATGAGGGTAGTTTTATACAGTATTTTTAATAATTGTGTGCACAAAATGAAATTTTGACTGCATTTTCACTGAAACCCAGTCACATGAGGCCAAGTATGGAATTATCCGCTTATGAAGTCATGTTAGCACCAGGAAAGTTTTGGATTTTGGAGCATTTTAGATTTTTGGATTTTCAGATTAGGAATGCTTAATTTGTATTCCTCTTTTCTGACATTTTTAACCATCTATAAATATCAAAACCTTTGTTAGCTTGGAGACCATACAAAAAAAGACAGTGGACTCCATTTTTTAGTACAGTAGTTTTCAAACTACTTTTAGTAGCAGATGTCTTCAAGTGAAATTGCACAGGTGGGGCTAATAAAAACTACCTTTTAAGTAGGAACTTCCTCTCTTCTAATAAAGTTGCATAGAGCAAATAAGAGCAAGATTGCATTGACTTAGAGGCACTAACAGGAGTTGCCTATTTGCTGCTCCCAGAGGCCCACCTCCCTGCCTTGCCCAAACTAAAATTCCTCAATGTATGATATGGTTTGTCTGTGTCCCCACCCAAATCTCATCTTGAATTCCCACGTTGTCGGAGGGACATGGTGGGAGGTAATTGAATCATGGGGGCAGGTCTTTCCCATGCTGTTCTTGTGATAGTGAAGAAGTCTCATGAAATCTGATGGCTTTATAAGGTGGAGTTTCCCTGCACAAGCTCTCTTTTTGCCTGCTGTCATCCATGTAAAACGTGACTTGTTCCTCCTTGCCTCCCGCCATGATTGTGAGGCCTCCCCAGCCATGTGGAACTGTGAGTCCATTAAACCTTTTCCTTTTGTAATTTGCCCAGTCTCAGGTATGTCTTCATCAGCAATGTGAAAATGGACTAATACAATGTACAATTCAGAACCCATGACTATCATTCAAGCTACTCAGTTTCTTCCTGAAGAATCTGAGGCATACGAATATGAAATAATTGTTTGAAAGCATTGGTCATTTTAAGTAGACAAGCTCCAGAATATGAATCCTTCATGTGTCCTGGTTTTGACTTCCCCCAAACACAACAACATAAGTTTTTAGGGGTAAAACCCAAGTTGAAGGTACACGTGAGGGCCAAGTAAAAGAACAAAATGCTGCCTGAGTATCTAGTAGAAAACTCTTCTCTCATGGCACTCCATGTCAGAGACACGTGGGAAACTTGTGGTTAAGATTGGAGAGTGTTCACCAACTAGGGGGACATTAAACCAGACTCTCCCTCACATGTGAGTGCTTTCTGGTAGCAAACAGGGCACTTATGTGCAGTCTCTGGAGGAGCCCTAGCCCTATCAGGATGGGACTGCCTTCATCTGTGCTTCTCCCATCACCCTGAAGTGACTCAACACCAGATCACTGCCAAGGAGTCTCATTCGGCTTCCTATGATGGCATCCCTGACTTTGGATAAAACTGCTTAATACAGCATTTCCCAAAGAACATCTCAAATAACGCTAATGTTGTATTTCCAGAGATGCAAATAAGTGTTCTCAAATCAAAAAGGGGAAAAACAAGTTCCCTGATCAAACAAGTATACACACTATTTCCCATTAGTAATCAACAATGCACATTGGCAGATTAAAGGATCTGAGAAACCTTACAGGAAAGGATCTTACTTAACTTTTTAAACCAGCATTTCCCCCAATTTATTTTAGAATGTAACTGGGTTTTTTATTCTTCTGTTCTTCATTTTGTTCTCGTTTTCTGGACTCACACCTTTCAGTGGAGGTGAAAGAAACTGGGAGCTGGTTTTACACTCAAGATTCTTTTGTGATACTTAAAAGCTTATTAATTTACTCAACAAATACACTTTGTGTGATTACTGTGGGCCAAATACCGCCGCAGGCCCTTGGAATACTTTGATGAACAATAAAGGCATGTTTTTCTCTCTCGCAGAGTTTATATCCTAATTAGGGAGACAAACAGAAAACCAGTAAATAAATAAATTTATCCATTCCACAATGATTTATTGAGTACCTACTTTGTGCTAAGCAATGTTTGTGCCAGGAAATGGAGATACAGACAAATGACCACCCTTGTGGCTTCCATGACAATAATAAGTTAATGATGAAATTCACCTTACTTAAGCTCTTATTATGTGCCAGGCACTGTTCTATATGCTTTACATGCTGAGCACCAAAACCATCTACCTGTATATTCAGCTTGGATATTGAGGACTAAAGCTCCCTAACCTCATACCTCCACGATAATGTAACTTTGTATCCCACTGTCATTACTTTCCCTGAGTTTCTGGCTGAAGCAAGTGGTTTGATTGTTCGTTACAGGGACTTTCCAAAAGACCCATCTCTTCCCAACTTTTCAATAGAATCAACAGAGAACTTACAAAGTACAATTTTTTGAAATCCTGTCTCAAAATCCTGGCTTTCCTGTTTTCACCAATCCTAGACTGTTATATCCTGATTCATACCCAATCTTAATAAAATCCTCTTTTTGAAAAAACCCCACCTTAAACCAAACTTCCAATTCTCAATAAATCCCGACCTTGCCTTCACCTTTGGGAGACAAAACCAAAGTAGTTCTCCTGAGGTAGTGGTCTTCCTTATCACAGTTATTTTACCAACAAGTTGTATTGCTAATATTTAGAGAGTCAACATTTTACAAAGCTAAATTCATTTATGGCTCATGACAACCCTATGACATATGTATCATCATTGTCCTTTTTTAATGTATGAGGAAATTGAGGCACAGATAGTCAAAGTAACATAGTCATGGTTCTACTGCTAATAAGTAGCAGAAGAAAGATTTGAATAGAGGATATCAGGCTTAAAAGACCATAATTTTGTATAGGTAGGGATGAGTGCCATGAACTCTAAAGTGAAGAGATATGGGAGTCATGAGCTGATTTAGATGGGTAGCCTTAAGAAGTCTTCTCTGAAGAGATGATATTTGTGGGAGACTTCAAATGATGAAAGAGAAAGACCCATTCCAGGCAGAGGCAATTCGCAAGTGCAGGAACGAGCCTGGTTTACTCAAGGAAAGGAAAGGCTAGTGTGGCTGGAATGTGGAGAGTAAGGGGAAGAGTGGTAAGAACTGAAGTCAGTGAGGAGACAAGGGACAGCCTATTTAGGATCTTCTAATTTGAGTTTAAATTTTATTCTGATCATAGCATGAAGCTTTCCAAGGATTATAAGCAGGGATATGAAGAGATGTTTTAAGTTTAAATACCTATGAAGCATAATTTTCTCTCTCTATGAAACTAGAACCAGGCATACATTTCTGCTCCATATTAAAGAATATTTACTCCAAGCCAAAATAACCTAGATGCTTGGTCCAAGAAACACCTGCTCCTAAAAGATGACTATGAACTGACTCAGTGACATATTTGTCACAACTCATTTCAAAACCATTGTCTCACAGTACCCACCAATCCAAATCCATTCACTCAAATGTATCCGACAATTCAAAACTATGCAATGAAATTTGTCCAAACTTAACCAATCCCTGCCTAACAAGACCCACCTTGAAATAACCCAGACCAAGCTGTAAAATATAATAAATAACCTATTCTAATTTTCCCATTTTGAGATCCTACTAAGACTCTGTAGAATTATGTTTTTTTCTTACAGCAGAAGGTCCAAAAACTTAAATATGTATGATCAAAAGGTTTTTCTGTTGTTCATTTGGGGAGCCTACAGTCAACACTACTGTGTGAAGAGTGTGGATCAAAGGCCAAACAAGAGAACAGAGACCCATGAGGAAACACCTGAAGGACAGCTGAAGAGAGATGTAAACTAAGGTTGGGGGCAGCAGAAAAGGAGACAAGTGATTAGATTTGGAATATATTTTGCAGTTTGAAGTTTCTGGAAGATTGTATACTTGTAGGTAGAGGTTTAGGGAATGAGAAGAAAAATAAATGTTATCTAGATTTTTATTTATTATTAATTTTTAAAATTAGCATGATTTTCTTAACCTGGGCAGCCAACTAATGGTAGTGCCATGTACTAGGAGGAGAAGTTGAAGAAGAATCAATTCTGAGAGTAGAGGATAAACAGAAATTTCCTTTTAAGTATGTTAAATTTGAAGGGCCAATTAGCCATCAATTGGAGCTATCAAATAAGCATTTGGAATTATGCTACTGTGGAGCTATCACAGTCATTCGGCTTAGAATTCAGCCAACTTGGGTGTTTTTCAAGGCTACTGGGGAACTAAGGGAAACAAGAAGTGAGAGATAAATTTGCAAGGGCCATGCAAAGGCAGCTAAATGTTATTTTTATGTTTGAGCAAATGTTATCTTTGGGATATGAAATGGAAAGATCTGAGAATAAAAATTATGGAATGAAAGGAGTAACAGTTGGGAATACATAGAGTGCTAGTGACAAATTGAAATTGCTACTAAGAAGTGCTCTAAAATTATTACTTGTAGGATTTTCTCTTTATATCCATCTCACTTGTTTCTGTCCCACGAAGGAGAAAATCACCAATTTATCGCTTTCAGCAAGCACGTGTATATTCAGAATTGCCACACTGCTCTGCTCTTTAGAAAGATAAAATATACCACATTGCATTGAACAAATCTACAACTGGAATTTTTTTTAGAAAAGATAAGTATTTGTGCTGTGATTGCGCTATCATCTGGAATTTATTATAATGTGACAATATATTCGTAGTAAAATGATACAGTAATATATTAGCAGTAAAATGATACAAGTGCAATAATATGTCTAGAACAGGGGTCCTCAACCCCTGGGCTGCAGCCTGGGTCAGAACTGGGCTGCATAGCAGGAGATGAGTGGCTGGCCAGCCAGTATTAAGCATTACAGTCTGAGCTCCGCCTACTGTCAGATCATGGGAGGCCCTACATTCTCATAGGTGTATGAACCCTATTGTGAACTGCACATGCATGCAAGGGATCTATGTTGCATCCTCCTTACGAGAATCCAACTAACGCCTGATGTTCTGAGGTGGAACGGTTTAATCCTTAAATCACCCCCCAGACCCCGTCCATGGAAAAATTGTCTTCCACGAAACCTGTCCCGGGTGCCTAAAAGGTTGGGGACCACTGGTCTAGAAGTAACTTACATTTAGGATTCTTACTCATATTAGCTGTGCCTGGGTGAAGATCCTTTAAAAATCATTTTATAATAATTCTAAGCACAATACACTCACAGGTTATATGCATTTGCCAAGGCCACTTTAAGAGCTTCAATATTTTACCACCTTTACGAAGAGGTATGGTTAATAAAATTATCAGAATGCACCTTACAAACATTGGTGGGGTAGAAGAGGAATCAGTGATTCTATGAATTAATATAATCATCATATTTTCAAAGCATATTGCATGAAGCCTAAATTTGAGAAACTAGAAACTGCAAAGAAAAAATAGAACATTAATTTGCATTGGAATATTCATAGGCTCAATTCTTCTCTCTCATTTCTAAATTTCTGAAATTTTCCTGTTACTCTTCCTGCTTTCAATTTCTCCTTACATTAATCTTTCATATACATGGTGACCCGGGTTACCTTTCCCAAAGCAGTATTTTCATTATTATGTCACTTTAGGTCATCAATGACTGCTCATCGCCAATAGCATAAAATCCAAGCTTTGATCTGCAACTCAAGAGCCTCTAGAATCCAGAGAAACCTCCTTTTCCAGCCTTCCCTCTCACTACTTTTCCCTCTATGACATCTAGATTTATCTTTGCAATCACCTCTGAATAGACCCTTTCATTTCTACCTCCCTCTCTCTTTCTTTTCCTTTTTTTTTTTTTTTTTTTTTTTTTTGAGGCGGAATTTCACTCTTGTTGCCCAGGCTGGAGTGCAATGGCACAATCTCAGCCCACCACGACCTCCACCTCCTGGGTTCAAGCAATTCTCCTGCCTCAGCCTCCCGAGTAGCTGGGATTACAGGAGCACGCCACCATACCCGACTAATTTTGTATTTTTAGTAGAGACAGGGTCACTCCATGTAGGTCAGGCTGGTCTCGAACTCCCAACCTCAGGTGATCCACCCACCTCGGCCTCCCAAAGTGCTGGGATTACAGGTGTGAGCCACTGCGCCTGGCCCCTCTCCCTTTTATCCATACTTTTTTTCCCCAAAGAGATTATGCCACCCTCAAAAATAAATGTCTTACCGTTCTTCTTAGCTCATAATAGCCCCTTCTTGTTTTCAGCCTTTAATTACTACATAGCCAATAGAGCTCATATTTTATGGATGAGTATGAAAAGGATGAAGAGGCATAAGATGTGCTTCATTAAACCTGTCCTCTCAAAACTGGTATCAACATTCTACAGTCATAACTTGCTGGTCCCCTCTAAATAAAAGTGTGAACAGTTACAGGGCAGCGACCTCATTGATATAATTTTTAATGCCCACAAGCTTATAAGTTGAACTCAGCAAGATTTCAGTGATGATCTCCTTTGGAATTTGCCAAAAGATTTTTTTTTTCAGTTTAAGAAAATGAAGATAAGCATCAAAGTATAGTAGAGCTTATTAGTAGGGATTATGCAGGCTGACAAGCCTCTGTTCTCATTGCTCTCCTCATCCAGGGAACCTCAGTCAGTTAGAGTCAATTAACAGATATATGAACTGAATCTTCTGAGTGCAAGGCGCTAGGTGGGAGTGTGTATCAACGAGCATGACAAAGCTAGGGCCCTTATGTAGTATCCACTCATAATTGCTTGCGTCCTTCAGGGGCAAAGTTTTCTTTTCTTTTCCAGAATCAGGTGAACTGAAAAACAGAAATCATAAGAATATTTCTAAACAAGATGAGATGTAGGCTAGCTGGTTAAGAGCTCAGTGACAAAATAAGAAAGGATGTAACTAACTCAATGGCAAAAACATAAGATCTGTAACTTCAAACAGGTATAGCAACTGATCAGCAACTAACTCAATGACAAAAATGTAAGAGCTATAATTTCAAACAGGTATAGCAACCAATCAGCAAGAAACAGAAGGATCACTGTCCTCCCTGGATCTGGAAGCTAGAAGAGTATATTATATATATATATAACACTTAGGAGAAAAAAACTTATTTTCTGAACAAGAGAACATATTTGTCTCTCTCCCTCCACCTTAGGAAATAGGACTTTTTGTTGAGTAAATATCAATAAGCTACTTTGATCCCTATTTTCCATAATAGGGCAAAGATGTTTGCATTCTAAAGAAAGTGAGAATGGCCATCAGGATTTTGTTTTGCCAAGAATGTGTTTGTAAACTCAGGACCAGAGCTGAATTATTTGGCACAACAAAGGAGAGTTTTGAGGCTATGTGGGAAAGAGATAAAGAGGAATGAGACAGCTGGCAGCTGAAGAGAGGGATTTGGGAAGGGAAAGCAGGCAGATGTAAAAGAAAAATTAATTTTGTTTCTATCAAGTGATGTGTGATGTCAGTCCTCTTCTTGATCTCCTTTCTAAATATTCAGTAACATCTACATTTATTACTAGTGTGTTGAATATTTGTTTCTACTTAGCTACTTTTAATTAAGTTTTTTTTTTGAGGGGGATGTGGGAGCAACAAAGTGCTTAACAAATCCTCAGGAGACAGCAGGAGTTCTATACTTAGGATTAAGAAGAAAGGAATGGTAGTGTGGTAACCATTCTTCAAGATGGCTCCTAATGATCCTTACCACCTGCTATTCATGCCCTTATGTAGTTTTCTCACACATTGAATAGGTTTCATCTTGTAACTAATAGGATATTGTAGACGTGATGGTATGTGACTTCCAAGGCTAAGTCACAGAATGCATGGTGGCTTCCAAAAGTCCTCTCTTAACCACTCACTCTGGGGAAAAAAATCAAACAACTTCCATTTCTTGAGCATGCTCAAGCAGTACTATGGGGAGGTCCGTGTGGCAAGAAACTGAGGCTTCCTGCTAATAGCCAGCATTAATTTGCCAATGCTATGAGTGGGACACCCTGATAGGAGATCCTATAATACATACTGCCGGGTGCGGTGGCTCACACCTGTAATTCCAACATTTTGGGAGGCCAAGGCGGGCGGATCATCTTAGGTCAGGAGTTTGAGACCAGCCTGGCCAACATGGTGAAACCCCATCTCTACTAAAAATACAAAAATTAGGTGGGTATGGTGGCACACGCCTGTAATCCCAGCTACTTGGGAGGCTGAGAGAGGAGAATCACTTGAACCTGGGAGATGGAGGTTGCATTGAGCCAAGATCACACCACTGCACTCCAGCCTGGATGACAGAGTGAGACTCAGTCTAAAAAAAAAAAAATCTTTTCAAAAAACCAGCTCCTGGATTCATTGATTTTTTAAAGGGTTTTTCGTGTTTCGTGTCTCTGTCTCCTTCAGTTCTCCTCTGATCTTAGTTATTTCTTGTCTTCTGCTAGCTTTCGAATTTGTTTGCTCTTGCTTCTCTAGTTCTTTTAATTGTGATGTTAGGGTGTCAATTTTAGATCTTTCCCACTTTCTCCTGTGGACATTTAGTGCTATAAATTTCCCTCTAAACAATGCTTTAGCTGTGTCCCAGAGATTCTAGTAAGTTGTGTCTTTGTTCTCATTGGTTTCAAACAACTTATTTATTTCTGCCTTAATTTCATTATTTACCCAGTAGTCATTCAGGAGAGGATTGTTCTGCTTCCATGTAGCTATGCAGTTATGAGTGAGTTTCTTAATCCTGAGTTCTAATTTGATTGCACTGTGGTCTGAGAGACTGTTATAATTTCTGTTCTTTTGCATTTGCTGAGGAGTGTTTTACTTCCAATTATGTGGTAAATTTTAGAATAACTGCGATGTGGTACTGAGAAGAATGTATATTCTGTTGATTTGGGTTGGAGAGTTCTGTAGATGTCTATTAGGTCTGCTTGTTCCAGAGCTGAATTCAAGTCCTGAATATCCTTGTTAATTTTCCATCTCGATGATCTGTCTAATATTGACAGTGGGGTGTTAAAGTCTCCCACTACTATTGTGTGGGAGTGTAAGTCTCCTTGTAGGTCTCTAAGAACTTGCTTTATGAATCTGGGTGCTCCTGTATCGGGTGCATATATATTTAGGATAATTAGCTCTTCTTGTTGCATTGATCTCTTTACCATTATGTAATGCCCTTCTTTGTCTTTTTTTATCTTTGTTGGTTTAAAGTCTGTTTTATCAGAGACTAGGTTTGCAACTCCAGCTCTTTTTTGCTTTCCATTTGCTTGGTAAATATTCCTCCATCCCTTTATTTTGAGCCTATGTGTGTCTTTGCACATGAGATGGGTCTCCTGAATACAGCACATCGATATGAACAGACACTTCGCAAAAGAAGACATTTACGCGGCCAATAAGCATATGAAAAAAAACACTCATCATCACTGGTCATTAGAGAAGTGCAAATCAAAACCACAATGAGGTACCATCTCACACCAGTTAGAACGGCGATCATTAAAAAGTCAGGAAACAACAGATGCTGGAAAGGATATGGAGAAATAGGAATGCTTTTACACTGTTGGTGGGAGTGTAAATTAGTTCAACCAATGAGGAAGACAGTGCGGCGATTCCTCAAAGATGTAGAACCAGAAATACCATTTGACCCAGCAATCCCATTACTGAGTATATACCCAAAGGATTATAAATCATTCTACTATAAAGACACTTACACACATATGTTTATTGCAGCACGCACTATTCACACTAGCAAAGACTTGGAACCAACCCAAATGCCCATCAATGACAGACTGGATAAAGAAACTGTGGCACATACACACCATGGAATACTATGCAGCCATAAAAAAGAATGAGGTCATGTCCTTTGCAGGGACATGGATGAAGCTGGAAATCATCATTCTCAGCAAACTAACACAGGAACAGAAAACCAAACACCACATGTTCCCACTTATAAGTGGGAGTTGAACAATGAGAACATATGAACACAGGGAGGGGAACGTCACACACTGGGGCCTGTTGGGGAGTGGTGGGCTGGGGGAGGGATAGCATTAGGAGAAATACCTAATGTAGATGACAGGTTGACGGGTGCAGCAAACCACCACGGCATGTGTATACCTATGTAAGAAACCTACATGTTCTGCACATGTATCCCAGTACTTAAAGTATAATTAAAAAAAAAAAAAATCCTACATTTCTAGTCAAGCCTTCAGAGGATTGCAGCCCTAGCCAAAATCTTTATGGCCATCTTATTAGAGACACCAAGTCAGAGCTACCCAGATAAGCTGTTCTTAAATCTCTGACCCAAAGAAACTGTGAGGATGATAAATGTTTGTTGTTGTTTTAAGTTTGGGGATTTGATATGCAGCATAGATAAGTAATACTGGTAGCTTCCTAGTGTTTCACAGATTCTATTACTGCAATTAAAGGGCAAAATTTTGCTTATTGGAAGGATCTAGGGTTTTGGATTACACCAGGAATATAGTTTTAGTTTAACCACTTACTAGTTATGAGTTTTTTTTTTTTAATTTCCTGAGGCTCAGTTTCTTCATCACTAAAATGAGGCTTCTAATGTTTGATAAGATAATAAAGTATATATGGCTGGACGGGGTGGCTCATGCCTATGATCCTAGCACTTTGGGACGCCAAGGTGGGTGGATCACTTGAGGTCAGGAGTTTGAGACCAGCCTGGCCAACATGTTGACACCTCATCTCTACTAAAAAAAAAATACAAAAATTAGCCGGGTGTGGTGGTGCACACCTGTCATCCCAGCTACTCAGGAGGCTGAGGCAGGAAGATCGCATGAACCTGGGGGGCAGAGGTTGCAATGAGCCGAGATGACACCACTGCACTCCAGCCTGGGTGACAGAGCAAGACTCTGTCTCAAAAAACAAAACAAAACAAACAAACAAAAAACAGACCATAGGAAACTATATACACCATCTAATATATGGCTTGGCATATCCTATGTGTTTAATAAATGTTGGTCATCATAACAGTACTAATTGTTCATATATTTACATTATCCTTGGAAACCCTTAAGGTACAATGAAATAGCCTATTCATAGTATGCAACGTTCAGTTCAAGTAAGTCCTAAATATTTGGGCACTGTTCACTTACTAAAACAATTTACCTTACTGGGAACTAGTAATGCTATGATGGCCACTATATGTTCCTGGTTCAGAAAATGCAAGGGACCTAGAAGAGTGTACTGGACACAATTAGTGATCTGCTCCTATACCCTTCATTTCCTTTACCAGTGCTTTGTTTTATCCCATATGTTCTGTAATTCATGATAAGGGCTTACAGCAGAAACTTCTAAAACTTGACCTTGGATACTAGAGTTGTCTCACCCTAATTTAGAACCAGAAGTTCCTGAGAGTTTATGTTCCTTGGGACAGACTACAGTTCATGATTGACTAGCTCTGGATTATAAGAAGACAGTTCCTATGTCTTGAGACAAGACAAACTCAGAGGTACAATTTTTGTTCCAGGGCTCACCACAGGATCAGACTGAGTCAGAGACTTCACCTGAAATTGAACCCTTGCTTGGCTTCTTCCCTTTTTTATTCTGCTTCTTTGATCCTTCACTGGTATTTCCTGTGAGTACTTCCTTAATAAATTACTTGCGCTGGAATCCCTGGCTCAGAGTCTGCTTCTGAGATCCTTCAAGTTAAGACAGAATTTAAGCCAGGCCTGCCCTCTCACAGACACTTTTATTTTCCGTCTTTAGGAACAAATGTGACTGAGCAGCCAATTCAACTGCTGATTTGAAAATTAGCATAGAGTATGGGGGTTACATTTTTGGAATTTCAAAATTACTAGAAATGCCAATGCTTCTAACCTAGCTGAAGGTCAGGTAATTGAGTTGGAAACAACATTTGTGAAAGGAATGTTGTTTCCAGTTAAATTCAAATTATACACACCATGGCTAAACTATGTAATGCAAATAACACACTCTGATAATAAGGGGACTAATGAATGAATATATAAGCACACTGCCTTTTATACAATTCTGAAATTTCTTCTCAACTGAATTACAAACTCTAAATCACTCATTGCTCCCAGAGGGAGAATGGGAAGAAGATTAATACATAATGAGCACTTGTTTCATGCCAGGCAACATGTTAAAGTGTTTTATGTATCTTTCAATCTTTGTGCTCATGCTTCAAAGGAAAGGAGTCCCACTTTACAAAAGAATCTGAGAGTCAGAGTGTTTATGTAACTTGTCTGTGGTCACACAGCCAGCAATAAGAGAATATATTCAAGCCTATGTCTGTGTGATCATCAAAACCATAATCTTCCCACCCACAATGGTCTGACGTCAAGAAAAATGTTGATATAATTACATCAACAAATTGCGGCACAACTTACAATTTTGAGTGATTCTAATTCCTGGAGGACCCTTTTTAGTGTGCATGTTAGATAAACAAGATTTTTACATGCTTCCCATTCATTTACGACCACATAGATTCACTCTGATGAATCAGCCAATGAAATATTAAGGTACTTTATGATATGCCTATATCGAGATCATCCCTACGCTTAAATACATAATATTAATATATTAATATTTTCATCTCTCCTTCACAAGAATGTCATTTCCCATCCCTTATTGACTATCTAGTAGGTCTGAAATAAAATTAAGTGAGAAGGCAAACACATCATTAAGCATGTATTTTTCCTATTGCCCAAATTGTTTGGATTAACTCCACTAGTAGATATATTTCCACAGCAGTGAATTTTCAGTCAATAGAATTACAGAGGAACCTAATAAGGAAGTAAGTAATGTGGGAAGATCGAGATAAGACAGGGTAGGTATTTCACTTGACCAGTGAAACATGAAAATGCTCTTGGGAAGCCAGGGCAATTCTGAATTACGTTAATGGAAGACTCTATTCAATGTACTTGACTACTCTTCTTGCCCATTTTATTCTCTGACTTATGAGGATTAATTATAACTCTACTAACCTGTATTTTCTTGTTTAGCCTATTCCAGGTCCTTAATTCTGGACTAGGCATATAATTTCACAATATACACCAAAAAGGCTTTAATGAAGTATAAAGGGATGTAAAAAATTCTTCTAAATCTTCCCTTTCCCTGTAGGATATTTGTTTAAAAATCATTAAATTGTTGACCTGGAACCTTCCCCCTAAGAAGTGGGTTATTTTATGTCCTGAATAAATAGAGAAACTTCCAGTTGTGTCCCAAGAAAAATTCCAAGATATATACAACAAGAATCTTGTCTATGAATTCCTGAGCTAAATATTTTCTTAACATTTACATGGCATTAATATCCAGTTTTTAAAAAGTATGGTTTTGGGGATGAACACTAAAATAATGGCCTGGCAGTGAGAAGACAGAGGCAAAGCCTTATGTCTTACAAAATTAATCATTGACTAAAATGGGATCAAAATGTTTTCACAAGCTAGTGGTTTGTCTATTGTTCCTCATTTGATATTCACAAAAAGAGCTTGAAAATATATTTATACAGCAACAGTAGGACGCAAACACAATGTTTTACAACAAATGTTACAGTGATTTTCAATCAGCCTAGTCTTTGTCTTTTTTCCCTGAAAATATCCAATATCCTATTGACTTGATATTCTTTGATGCAATGTTCTAAGAGAGGAGAAGAAAGACTCCAGATTAGTTTCAAGCATAAATATCTCAGTGAAAATCTAACAGTGTATTGAATACTTCTTGTGCCCTGCTTCATACTGAGAGCCTACCTTTTCCTGTGCCCTTTGCTAGGATAAACAGCACCTAACTGCATTTGCTTGCATGAAGCTTACATTATTCTGGGGGTGGGGTGGAGGGCACACAATAAACATGTAGTGATAAATACTAAATTGAAAATATCACAGAAAGTGACTGGGATTTTATATCTGGTTGGACAGGGAATATCTCTCTGAGAACCTTTTTTGTTGTTGTTGTTAAGTTTAAAGTTGAGATCTGCCCATTTATTTAAAATTTGGAGGGAAGAGCATTTCTGGCAGAAAAATCAGAGATTAGAAAGGGCTATGATTAGAATAAGAAATGAAAGACACCAGTGTGGCTGTGGCACATGAAGGAGGTGGGGGACATGGCAAAAGGTGAGAATTTTTTTATCTCACCCAATTTCAACCTTAAATATTCATATCTTATCTGTATTCTACCCCATGTTTGTTTTAGGGAGAAGTTTTCCTTCAAATTTTCTAATAAGATGCTCTAAGAAGATGCTTTTTATTTATCCTGTAGCTTTAAGGATCCTTATGCCACTGTTGAGTTTGGTGGTACGGCAAACATTGTTAGTCTCTAACCAACATATCTTGTCCCATTCTTATTTAAAAAAACCTCTGATTTTGTGTAAAGTGTCCATATGCTTAGTTAAGCGTATTCACCTTCTCAAACTTCCTTGTAGCTAGGGGTGGTGATTGACCCAGTTGTGATCAGTGAGACAATGTTATATAGCATTTTGGGGAAAACTTCTGAAATTGATGTCTCAGGTTGGAAGGATTTTGACCCCAGACAATCCCCTTTTGCTCTATCCCTTATTCCTTCTTCCTCCCTTGAACATGGCCATGAGGTCCAGAGGTATATCAGCCCAATTACAATCATGAAGCTGAAAGCCACACACTAACCATGGTGGAGCAGAAAGCCAGATGGTAGTCAAGTCCCTGATGGAATCATTGCACTGCACTGCTGGACAGCCTGATTTTTTCTTATTGCTTGAAGAGAGAGAAAAGGTTTTATGGGCTTAAACTATTATTAGTTAAGGAAAAAGACACAGTTGCCTGCCTTGGAAGAATTTCCAATGAAATCAGGGAGGCAACATGAAAAATAAAAAATTATGTATCTTTAAATCCAAATAACATAGATCAAATTGAATGTATGTTGATTTATAAGATACTAACTTCCAAGATGGTATTCAAGTTCTGTGGTGGTTTGCTCACTCTGCCTGGAATTATAGTAGGCAATCAATGAATATTAGTAATATAATTATCAAAAAATAAATGCTTAATGAGTAAACTTATTTGGGATTACTCACAAAAGCCTCTGTAGAGAAAGTAAGTTTTAAAAGAAATGGAAGAAACATAGATAAAAGAAAGAGATGACATTCCAGGTGGGAAAATAATGCCACATCTAAACATAAGTTGGTCAACAGTGCTTTGTGGGTAAGAATGGCTATGCTGATGCTTTTGGAGATATGGAAAAATACGGATAGACCAATAGACTAGATAAATATACAAAAAATAATAGGTTTGCTTTTTAAAATGAATCTGCTAAGCCTTATAATGAGACCTGACAATGAAAGGAGAGTAAAAAGTTCTTGGAGGAAGACAAGAAAACACTGTACTTGTGAAGGAAACTTGCCTATGTAATATGAAAAATAAGAGCAATTATAATACAAGACAAAGTATTCAGTGGATGGCCATGCCTGCCGGGCTACACATACACACACACACACGCCATGATAAAGTTACGATGGGGTAAAAGTAATCCAAAAGCTTTAGCCGCAAACTCCAACCATGTTTAACTCATGTATAACTCAACTTACAATGGGGTTGTGTCCCAATAAACTCATTGTAAGTTGAAAATATAGTAAGTCAAAAATATATTTAATACACCTAACCTACCAAACATCATAGCTTAGCCTAGCCTATCTTAAACATGCTTAGAACACATTAGCCTACAGTTGGGCAAAATAATCTGACACAAAGCCTATTTTATATATAAAAAAATAGTGTTGACTATCTCATGCAACTTATTGATTACCTCATGTACTGAAAGCGAAGGATAGAATGGTTGTATGGGTACTTGAAGTACAGTTTCTACTGAATGTGTGGCACTTTCACACCATGGTAAAGTAAAAACATCGAAGTTGAACCATCATAAGTCAAAGATCAAATCATCGTAAGTCATTGATGTCTATAACAAAATCTGAGATTGTACCCTACTTGCAAGGTAATGGGTTAGCCTGCCACAGTTTCATGGATGCCAACAGAAGACATGAAACTCTTGAGTCAGAAACAAAAAATGGCTTAAACATTACTCACAGCAAAAACAGTAGCCAGAGTACTCACATTTTGTGCCAGTTTCCCAAGGTCTAATTCCTACAGGTTGACATGAAGAGAGATGGATGATATTTGCACATGCAATAGGTACATTATAGGAGAGAAACTTTGATCTTAGAGAACTCAAATCTTTCACAGTAAACAATAAACATGTCTTCCTCTTGCTCCAAAGGGAGATATTATTTCTATCTCCCAAGATAGTGCAAAGAGTTCATAAAAAAGGCATTCGGTGCCTCTTCTAACAAGACATACAGAAAAGCTAAGCCATATGGAGAATTGTCTCCAAATATCATTTGAAAATATCTGAGAAAAGTAGGTATAAATGATATAATTAAAATAATTGTAAAACCAGGAACAAATATTAATTAAAAAGTAAAGAACGTGATTTCAGAAAGTTTGAGTCCAAAGTGATTGATAAGAGGTTAAAAAAAATAGAAAGAATAAAAGTAAGAGAAAAACGTGATAAAATGAGGGGAAAATAAAACAAAAGAAGGACTAAAAAATTAGAAAGACAGGGAATATGGTAGAATCATTGTGACACAAAATAATAATTACATATATTCTATTAAACTTAATTTCAAAATTACTTATTAAGCATCAACTCTGAAATTCAACCTGGCAGGAGTTGGGGAAAATAAAAACAGTATTTATGACTTATTTCTGTGCTTGAGGAGCTCATATATATATACACATATATATACATATATACACACATATATACATATATACACATATATACATATATAAATACGTGTATATATACATACGTATATATGTATACATACGTGTATACGTATATACGTGTACATACGTGTATATGTATATATACACATATATACATATACACACACACACACACACACATATATATATAAATAACCAAAACCAGACCTGGCGTGGTGGCTCATGCCTGTAATCCCGGCATGTTAAGAGGCCTAGGCAGGCAGATGGCTTGAGGTTGCAGGAGTTCAAGACCAGCCTGGCCAACATGATCTCTACTAAAAATACAAAAACTAGCCAGGCATTGTGGTGCACACCTGTGGTCCCAGCTACTAGGGAAGCTGAGGCAGGAGAATCTCTTGAACCTGGGAGGTGAAGGTTGCAATGAGCCCAGATAGATAGCACCACTGCGCTCCAGCCAGGGAGACAGAATGAGATTGCGTCTCAGTTAAAAAAAAAAATTCTATGATATAATCAATCTTTAAATATTTAGTATTTTTAGTAAAAGCAATTAAGTGTTGGGAACTTTTTTATCAGCTATTGAAATGTGGCCTAATGTGGTCATTAAAATAACATTGCATCCCATAAATATACACAATTATTTTTCGATTAAAAATAAAATAAAACTTTAACAAATTAAATTGTCATCTTCAAAAGAGTAAATGAATGGTCTGTTTTACATAATGGTAAAAAATAAATGTTCAATACAGTTGGCTCCCAACTTTTTGACCATTAGGATGAAGTTCACTTCAAAGATGTAATAATATTCATAGGCTGAATTTCTTTAGTAGCAAAACAGATATGTTACAGCAGCAGTTTTCAAGAAAACACATTATTTGAACCAGTTCACTGAAGGATTGCCCAACAGATATCACAAAAATAGTTCTGTCTCATTCTCATTGTGGACAATGAAGAAGTATAAAGTGAAAAATATCATCAAATATAACTTGCAAGTGAAATCCATCTGTATGCCATGGTTTGGTATTTCTCTGCAAGTGGAAAAAAGTCAATATTTACTATTATTAGCACAAAACACTAAAATGTGGTATTGAACTTAAAGGAGTTGGGGAGCCTTTCAAAAGTAGGATGCCAAAATTACAAACCTCATTGAT
The DNA here is from genome assembly GCF_000001405.40 of Homo sapiens. NCBI lineage: Eukaryota > Metazoa > Chordata > Mammalia > Primates > Hominidae > Homo > Homo sapiens. The sequence goes on along the minus strand of NC_000023.11, from coordinate 28,633,357 downwards.
TTGGGAGTGTTCTTAAGCTTTAAGGCAGTGGTTCTCAAATGTGTGCTACAGGGACCACCAATGGTCCTCAGGAGATTTTGGAGGCTCTGCAAAGTCTGTACTATTTTCATAATAATACCAAAATGCTATTTGCCTTTTTTGCTCTCATTCTTTCAAAAGAGTACAGTGTAGCAAAGTGTGGTGGTTCATGCCTGTAATCCCAGCACTTTGAGAGGTCAAGGTGGGCACGACACCTGAGGCCAGGAGTTCGAGACCATTCTGGCCAACATGGCGAAAACCCGTCTCTACTAAAAATACAAAAATTAGCCAGGTGTGGTGGCGGGCACCTGTAGTCCCAGCTACTCAAGAGGTTGAGGCAGGAGAATCACTTGAACCCAGGAGGCGAAGGCTGCAGTGAGCAGACAATGCACCACCACACTCCAGCCTGGTTGACAGAGTGAGACTCCGTCAAAAAAAAAAAAAAAAAAAAAAGCATACAGTGAAGTTTTCTAGAGGTTACATTTCATGAGGTATCATAACAAGTTGGCTATAGTTGCAGATATGCAAATTCAGCAGCTTGTATAAAGATAGATATTAAAGAGATTTACAAAACTGGAAAACAATGCCACTCTTCACTAAATTTATTTTGTTTTGGAAAATGTAGTTATTTTCCCTAAAATAATGTTAATTTGTAATGGGAGGTCTTATTGGTATTTTCAAATAAATAAATACATATATTTTAAATTTCTCAATTTTAATGTTTGACATGGTAAATATCGATAGATATAACCCACATAAACAAAAGCTTTTTGGCATTTTCAAGAATTTTTGGAAGTATAACAGGAATCCTGAGACTAAAAAGTTTTTAAAAGCCCCCTTCTAGGAAATGACATTTTCATGTAAAAATTACACCACTTGCTGTTATTGACTAAATTGTGGGCCCATAATAATCACATGTTGAAGCCCTACCCACCAATGTAACTGTATTTGGAAACAGGGCTTTTAAAGAGGTAATTAAGGTTAAATGAGGTTGTAAGGGTGAAGATCTAATACAATAGGACTGATGTCCTTATAAGAGGAGGAAGAGATACCAAAGGATGCACACACACAGTAAAGATCATATAAAGACACAGTGAGAAGGCAGATAGATATCCACTAACCAGGAAGTGAGGCCTCACCAGAAACCACCATTAACGACACCTTGATTGTGGGTTTCTAGACTCCAAAACTGTACAGAAATAAATTTCTGATGCTTAAACTACCCATTCTGTGGTATTTTATTATGGCAGCCCTAGTAAATTAATACATTTGCTAATAAGTGAGATTATACCATATGCCTGGCATTTTTCTATAAGTTTTATCTGTGTTTCCTTACTTAATCACCTTTTAACCTATGCGAGCAAGTGATAATGTTATTCCCCTTTCACAAATAAGGAATTCAGATACAAAGAGGTATAGCTCATGAGTCTTGCCAATATTAAATCGGAGTCTTTTGAGCACAGGCTCTTGACCTCTCAACTATATTACATTTTTTCCACTTAACGTTAAACAAAGCTAGGAGTACTTATGTCTCCCAATAAGGTTTTCAATGTAGTAGTTTGGGGAGGTATTAGGATAGTCAGAAGTCCTTTGTCTAAAATAGTGTTGAAACCTTCTTAATCTTTGGAAGAAAATCTACTTTGGAGAAAAGCTTAAAGATTTGGGGGATTTGACGTTTACCTAGGAACAGGATAGCTAAATAGTAAAATTAAAAATGGGCTTTAATCTTCAACACATTTTACTTAGTAGCACTACAAACATTTGGTCATGTCAAGGAACCATGACGGTTTGAAGGAATTTTTCACCCCTATGGTCTATACCACTATTTTGGATTGTGTTGTGCATATGCTCTCCTGGTACCCTTTACCCTAGAGCACTTATTACAGTGTGCAATTAGATATTTATTTTATTTTATTGCTCTTTGTATCGGACACCTCTTGAGCCCTTTCTTATATCTTCTTCATTTACCTTTATATTCCAGCTGTTGGTGCAACCATCAGCTTTGTGCAGATTATTCTGAAAATGTCTCTCCTCACCTATACTATTTATTTCTCTGCCATATCTTAGTGGGACAATTTCAGGAACCAACTGACACATTCCAAAAAGCACAGGCACAAGACAGTGAACCATGTGTGGGGCAGCCTGTGACCAATGGGGGATGGAGCCAATAGGTATCTGTGGCAGACAAGCCCACTGTACACTCTGTATGGCTTCTCAAGAGGCTCCTGATGGGATTGAGTCTAGCTCAGTGACATACCCTTCCTTCCTTCTGTTTCTCTCACTGTTATCCATCTTCTACTCCTGATCCTTTGGTTTCTTTTCCCAATATAAACCTGCATCTAAAGCCTTGTCTTAGCGCTGCTTATTACAGGGAAATCCAGGCTAAGACACTACCTATCTTGCCCATTTGAATGTAAGCTCCATGAGAAGAGGTGGGAAAGGGAATATGTTTGGCTTCTTCACCGTTAGCAATGAGTTAGGCATTTAATGAACATTTCTGAATGAATTAATTCATAGAGGCACCCATGATCCCCACATAATATATCGATGTATATTTTCACTAGGAATTTCTTCACATTTAATAAATCATTTTATAACACACCTCCTATACATCTGAAATCATTCACTCTCAGCCTAGTATGAATTATTTCACTCAAGAATTATTTTTATCCTCCTTAAAATTGCTAGAAAATATCAGTTGCAGTAGACGAATAGAAAACCTGAATTAGGAAAGCATGAAGGATGAAAACAGGTGGATGAAATAGAAGCAGGGACAGCTGAAGAAGCTCAACCAAGGTGGCCTGAAGGGGAAGAAGGCAGACGGGTTGAGTAAAAGTGCAGCTGGGAGTCTGCAGGGGAATGATAATGGAGTCTTGTGAATTTGTGCACAACCTGCTTCACCCTTTTGTTTAGCCCAGCTCTAAGGATAGACAATTATCTTCTTGATGATGATCAAATAAGCCCCTTGGAACAAACTGAACAGAAGTGTCCTGATTGGATTGCTGTGAAAGGCACTTCAGTGAGAGAATGATAAAGTGTGAATTAGGGCTTGGGAAAAGGAAATAGTTATTATCTGGGAAGAAAGCTAGGGAAAATTGAAACAAAAATAAAGCCCAGATTAGTGAAAGGAAGAGGACAAATGAAACAAACAAAAAAAAAGTCGATCTATCACTGACTGCAAATCAACAGTGAAAAGGAAGATAGAAAAGTGTGCCTTGAAACCTATCTTTATGGCTTTTCTCCTGCAGTTTTTTATATTGTTATCATTGTTCTTTTAAACTTCCTTGGTATGGCTCCCCGCTATGACAATAATTTCCCAGGAATTGACAAACTGAGTTTTGTATATTTTTAACATATCAGGAGGCAAGTTGCTGAGAAGAATAAAGTTTATTTGTAATATTAAAATAATAATTCATGATGCTGTTTCAAAGCTGCCACAAGTTGAATAGGATGACTGCAAAGGAAGCACTTTTCGCCAATTTTAAGCCTCTCTTTGCCGTGCTTGCCTATTGTTAAATAGCTTCTTGGCATTTGCTCACTCGAGGCCCAGGTAGTGTTTCTGTAATGGGCCAGGAATGGAATTTGATCTCTGAAAATGGATGTAGATTTAAGTCATTGACCACCATGGATACACAGAATGTTCTGACATGCTCCCGGTAATCATGCTTATTAGATAGTCCCAATTTCAGTAGACAGCATCTACCATCTTTAGCTCTTCCATCTCCACTATCCTACCTATTTAGAGAATTATCAAGTTCTGACTAGTAAACTGGATAATAAATTCACTTTCCGTTTGGTCCCCAAGGTAAGTGTGTATTATATTTTGGTACATAGCATATTTTGCTGTGATACTTTCCATGTCCATCTCTTTAATAGATCATGTCTTTCATGAAGATAAAAACAATGACACATAGTAAGGTCCCCCAGTGATGACCACCCAATCGTCCACTTAGATAAATGGACTTTGCTTCTTTAGGTATAGTGAGTTTCCCATCATTAGAAGTTTTAGCAGGAATAAACCATGAAATAATTAAGGTCCCTTCAAGCCACAAACTTTATATTTCTATACTAAAGCAAAGTCAAGAAACAAGGGCGCCTTTTCTTTGCATAAATGTCTCCTACTCACACTATTTATTCTCCTACTTTCCAATTGTGTACTATGCAAGGTACCCTCATGTGATATGCCCCCTAAGTGTGTTATGAGAGAATTCTGTCTCATTGGCAAAATCATCGTCCCTCAAACTATGAACTTGCTATTTAGTAGTCTCATGTAAAACATTTTGATTTTGCAAAATGATAATACATATTATTTAATATCCACATTTATTTTGCTGGTCTTCTTCCTAGGATAAAATGAAGAAATGGAATCGGCTAGCAAAGCCCTAAAAAAGTTTTAATGAGTTAGAGAATAAGAATTAAAAAGAAAAGCTAAAATGTTTTAGATGAGATAATGCAAGGCTAAACTGCAACTTAATCACAGTAGATAAAAAATAAAACCCGTCAACCGTAAGGAACTGTTTGCATAGCTATGAATTCAGAGAAACGATGTGTGTATAATCTGTGCTCCATATCAGGGTATTTATTTTGTCCACACATGATACAGAGTAACCAAATGCATCACAATTTTAGTGCAGTTTCATGCATTTGACTTGGAGTTGCTTTCATCTGGTGAAAACAAGACTACAGTTGATGCTTGGAAGAATAAAAATGCTTCACTTAAGAACATAAAGGGCTCAGCTGCTTAAAGCTCATCTGCTTAAGGCTTCAGCATTTCTTATTCTCATGACCACCTATGATGCCTAAATAATCCTTTCTGTGCTGCAATTTTCTTCAGAGTATGATGGATCAATATTTCCTGTATATCAAAACAGCTGCTCCCAGAAGGGAAATTACTTGAGACAACTATGTCATGGGAGAAGGTTAAGTGCAAGAGGCAGATGGCAAAAACACCACAATTCTTTGCCCCTCCCTGTGTCCACACACTTTGCAATGTGATTTTGAAATTCTTCTCACTAAAGAGGCAGAGTCCATTTCCCCTGCCCTTACATCTGTACTGGCCTTGTGACTTCTTTTGGTTAATAGATTGCAGCAGACATCACAATCTGCCAGTCCTGAGCCTACCCTTTAAGAGACCTTTCATGTTTCTTCTTCTCTCACTCAGAACATTGTGACCATCAGATAAAAGCAAACCCAGGCTGACCTGCTGGATTATCAGAGCTACATGACCCAGGTGACAGCCAGATGAGCCAGCCCGCAGCCCCTCTATAACTGACTACAGACACTTGGACATGCTCCAGCGAGATCCAGTTTAGCCCAGCCCAAATCAGAAGAACTGCTCAGACGGGCGACCTTATTGTTTTATCCACTACATTTTGTGATGGTTTGCTTCACAGCAGTAGCTAACCTTGTAAGTGACAATTGTCTGAAAGAGGATTGCTTAAAATAAACAACAAAGAAAATGATGTCAAAAAAAAAAAGAAAGAAAATGATGTGACCCAATAAAGTAAGAGTACTGGAGGAGATTTTTGAATGCCAACATTCATTAAGGAATCCCAATTTTTCAGATGTGCACCTGATCCCAGAAATTAGGTACACATACTGCAGATATTTATAAAAGGAACTAGCACAGAAATTATTATAGACAAGGAAATTATTAAATGTCTGAAGTATCAGCAACAGAAAGATTGGTAGAAAACAGAAGCTGCTAAAGCTGTGACTGTCGCCTGGTAAATATTGATTAAGGAAAATGAAAACTAAAAGTGTAAAAAGCACAGAGTGAGCATAGGTGTTGACTGTGGGCCGTGCTCCTACCCCAGAGATTACTGCTCACTTTGTAGCACTGTAGTCAGGATGAAAATGGCAGATTCCGTAAAGCTGTTAAAGCAATTTCTTAATGTTTTTGCTTCCTAAGCAGTGAGAGCTTTCTATTTAAATTTCTATCCTTCAGAAGAGCTGCATTAGCGAGCGACAGAGGAGGAGAACCACCACATAAACTTGAATTTACTCCCCACCCTCCCGTTTAATCCTTTAAAAGTTGGGTTTTCAAGACTCAAAATTATAAGTCCTAAACCTACCTTCATTAAATCTTTATCTTTAATGCTAGATTGAACAGTCAAGGCCATTTTCTTTAGCATTTGCCTCACTTTCCTTACCTGTTTTCTCAATTTAGTTAAAGGGAGCCATGAACTGAGAACTGTTTAAAATGCACAGTTCATAAATCTTTTGATGTGGGAACAATTCAATACCCAAACCACATAGCTGCCAACTTCCACTTCTTCACTTTTGTTCTATATTTTGATTTGGGAAGACACAAAGCTAAGAGAACATGATGTATCCCAGGGAGTGGGGAGAGTATAGCATCAGTTACAAAATAGGGATAGCCAAAAGTCTGATTTTAAGCCAGTTATTAATCTACCTTACCTCATTTTATTAAATTATTCTGTAGATCCAGGACCCAAGAGATGAGAAGAGTCAATCAAGCTATTCATGATAGGATGCTAAAAAGAAAAAGGCACAGAGCAAAATGAATGATCACATCAGGGCGGCTCAGAACAAAAGGCGAAGGTCTGAATGACAGTGGTGCATGGTTTCAGGTAGGTCATAAACAGCTCTTGCACTTTGAAACTGTTATGCTAGATAGAGATTGCTGCCCTTTAGACAACCCCAGATATCCTTCCCAAGGGGGAAAGTATTTGCACACCAGTGACACCAGAGGAGGAGACAATTAAATTTGACACTCAGTAGAGTAGTACTGTTCTGATTTGCCCCTTTGTGAAAAACCTAAGACAGGAGATGGTCCTTGGACTTAAGAAAGAAATTCACTCCTAAGAGTTAGCAACCTTATATGTAATAATTATATAAGAAACACAGTGGCATAAAGAGGGGATGGAGAGGGAGGCTTTAGCTGTATCTTTAACATTCATTTGCTTTAAAAAAAGAGAGAAAAAGAAAGTTGGAGAAGATTTGACAACACATTAACATATGCTAAATCTGGGTGTTGAAATGATTTTGTCATATTTTTCTAGCTTTTCTTTATGTTTAAAATAGTTCATAATAATACACATATAATAAAAAAGAAACAAAAATGTAATGGCAGAATTTATGTCAGCCCACCACAGAGCTTGCTGCCTCCTAGGAGATGTTTAATGATAATACAAAAAGAGATATCTGTGTAGATAGCTAGGCCTATTTTCTGGCCTACTTCTGAATGTCAGGTTTCAATGAGATTTAGAAAGAGACCTTTATCTGGCAGGACAGTGAGTCTCCCAACTCTAACTCATATTTTCTGTATCTTCCTGGTGTTTGTATGTTTCCCCATGGAATGGGTACAAGAAAAATAAATTATTACAGCAACAATAGAGCATAAACTATTCTCTGTGGACTTAATAAAGTTATTATGGGCTTAAAAGCTAAGAAAATAATCCCAATTTCTCTATCCAATATAGTTATAACCTTGGTGAAATAAATAAACTGATTCCCTTATCAAAATAAGCTTGGCAGTATGACTTAGTAGAATTTGAACAGATATTAATAAAGGCATAAGAAAGCACCTATATAGATTCTTGGTAAAACACACACACACACACACACACACACACACACGCATTTTGATTAGCTCCTTTGGGTTCTTAGTCTACTGGCATTTTACACATCTGTCACTTGGAAAATGACCACATACTAAGTCAAATTTGATCCCCTTGCCCCTGAAGGATCTCCTCCCATGACCACATCCCCTAGGTGCATTCAGCACACCTGGCTCTCTGCCCACTGGGCTGTGAGGGATTGCTTCCGAAGAACAACAAGAGACAAGTTAGACAGCAGGGAAGAGCTGCCCTTCCCATGTGTTTGCTAAATACAAAAGGGCAGGTGAGGAGCATACAGTTCTGTGAGCAGGAGGCCTTCTGCCTTACAAATATGTAGTTTGAAGCATTCGAAGGAACAAGGGCCCAGTAGGTGGCTGATCTGCTGCCTCTCTACTCTGTGTGGGCCCTTAAATCCTTTCCTTTGAGCTCCCTAATATAGCTCTTCTAAGGGATAACTATTTAAATAGAAAGCTCCCACTGTTTGGCAAGTCAAAAAGCATCAGTTCACTGTTCTAACAGCTCTACAGCAGCTCTGAAAACACAGAGGAGATGGGTGAGCAGGAATCCCCAAAATAGTCTATTTGATCTACCAGAAGTCACTTAGTTACAGTGCTGCAATTGAGAAGCGAAAAGTCTTTCCTCTGGCCACTCCTTTTTATCATTAATATCCTCAGAGATATCCAAGTAACAGGTTACCTTGTAGAGACTCTGCTCCTTGCTCACATGCAAGTAGGACTTTGCAGTGATCCCATCCTATAATTCAGGGCATTTCTTTATGATCCAACTAAAGTACTATGCAAAGCTCCATGGAGAAGGTGAGGAACCTTAATTCACTTATGGTGACATAATTATCCTAAAGAAAGCTTTGAAAGTGTGCAGAAATTGATCCTTAAATAGGGTATTCATATTTAAAAACTAACTGCTGTCGGTTCAGAGTCATTGGGGACTACAAAAAATGTGTGAGGAATTACAGGGGAAATCAACATACACAAAACAGCTAAAAGGATAACAAAAACAAGTACATAGTTTGATACTCTGTGCCGTGTTGCAGATTATAGATTCCGAGTTCAGATAAGAGAGAGATTACTGACAGGCAGATTGATAAAAGCTTCACGGAGTTGTTGACAAAGATAAAGGACTTGAGGTTTGATGGAAAAGGTTCAGTAACATGGAAACAGGTCTAATAATGGGAATAAAGTAAGCTATAAGAAGAAAAGGCCGTGACCAACAGGTAGAGAAAATGAAATAAGTTTGATCTGTGGGGTGCATACGCATGTGTACGTGTGTCTAGTCGGTAGTTGGATAGAAGAGGAGTGAAGATTGATGTCATCTGAGGGTCGACGTGACTCAGTTATAGTTTGTCTAAAGAAGTTTTGGCTAAAATACAGCAGGATTTCATCAAAAGTAATGCTGTGGGACATAAGATGTTGCCAGTTTTCAGAGTGTTTTTACCTCTTGGTAAATAAAATGGATATTTGAAAGGAGCAGAAATCAAACACATCGTGTGTGGTTTGAAGTCTGCTTTCCCCCATTTGTCTCAGGTGTGACGATGGAAAAGAAAAGTAAGAGAATTATTTTATCTCTAACCATACTGTAAACATTCACAATTAACTAAAAACTACTAAAGGAAAACAAATTTGAAGATAGAAAAAGGCAAGGAGGAGAAGCAACTGACGTGCACATTTGAAAAATGTGACCCTATTTTCTAAACTCTTCCTAAAATATATGAAATGTTCAAATTAATTTTTTTCCTTCCCACAGTTGAAGGGAAACAGCTTAAGCCTGTGACTTTGTGTAAGAGGGTATAGCAGCAAGAAATGAAAGAAATACCAAATGTCCCCAGTGCCAGATGACACTGAAGAATTTCTAAAATGCAGCCTCAAAGAGTTTTTTTTTTCTGTTTTGCTTTTGGTACTGCTTGTTAAATTAAAGGACATATAAAATCATTCCAGCCACTGATAAACAATCCATGACAATGAAATAGATATATATTCAGGACTTGTCTGAACACAGGACTTTGCAATTGCTCTTCTGTTGTGTCATTCAGACACAGGGCTCAATTTCACAAAGCCAGATGTTCAAGGTTTAAGATAAAACTTATGAAGGAAAGAATAAAATGCCATTCCTTAACCAATAATCCAATGTTCTGTTTTTCTTCCATTCTCATTTCTACCAGCACAGTGCCACGTATGCAGGTAATAAAGCTACACTTTAAACATCGCTGCTGTTTGAGAAGGTTTTAGCCTTCTCAACACCTTCAGCCTGAATCTGCCTGTCCTGCTGCAAGAGACACCCTAAGTAACATAAATTGATTTGCTGACAATGGCTTCTGACCTAGTGCCAAGCCATTATGGAATACCCGTTGCGATAAATTCCCTGAGTTTGGTCGCTAGTACAAAACAATTCATAACTTTATACATACATAACAATTCTCTCCTTGATCTGTACAAAGAGGTTGAATGAAAACATTATGATGTGACAAGGACGAAGGATGCACAGACAGTATAACGGCTCTCTCAGAGAGTCTCACCTGAGCAGCCCTCAAATGGATATTTTTATGGCATGACCCATATAAGGAAACCCAGAGGATAACTTTAGCATAAGTGCCACAACCCAAAAAGCAAAGGTATATATAGAGAGATATATAGATATATATCTCCCTAAGTAACTAATTAATTTCACTTGAAGTTAGAGATGTGTTTGTTTCTGAAATAGTAAAGGAATGAAAGCAAGCAAATAGCTAGCTTTTCTGCCATTTTCCATGAAGTGAAAATTCAATCACTGTATATCCTATTTTTTTCTACACACAATTATTTAACTCTCAGTGCTAAGATATGAACCCACTACACAGCAGATATTGGCTTTGGGGAGATATTAAATATTTGTTTCTTTAAGAAACTGAGAGTCAGAGTAGAAAATTAAACGTGACAAAATAAATGAATATCCAGTAGCGTTCTTAAATTTGATCTTCAACCACAAATGGGATTTTATTGTTTAAAAGTCTTTGGTTGGTGATTGAGTTTTCTTGGTGATTTAATTCACAGAAAACAGCTGTGATTAGAATCAATTCACTTGACAACACAATAGCATTTTATACCCCAAGTAATGTTAACTGAAAACATGAAAAAATGCATAGGTTCCATGGCTGCTTTTAGAACTTTGTGATAGAGCTATAACCCACTTTTGCTGACAGCATTACTTCTCTCACTGATTAATAAAAAGCATAAATGAATTTTATGATCACATAGATAAAATTTTACTGGAAAATATATATTGCTGTTGTTGGATTCCATTTATCTTCTTTTTTTAAAAAAACAATTCACTAATAAAACCTTTGTATATTAGAGGAATAAATGTGCTACAAGTTTAATCTAACCAGAGAAGGTCATTTCATTTTTTTATTTGGTGCAATTTGGTAATGTTTGAATTTGTGACCACAAACATAAATTTCTTAAGCAATAATAACTTGAAATGATACTGTATCTGAAAAAAGGCCAAAACAGATACTATATGCAAAATATGTTAGGGAGATTGGTTTTATTCTAGATCATCAAAATCATACATCTTAATTTTAAAATATTGAGAGAAGAATATTCAAGAAGACGATTTGCCCATGGTTTATATTTTTTTCTCTTTATTTTCTCAACTAGGTTTAGTATTCTTATAGTACTTTTCTAGCTTAACGTTGTATATTTAGATGTGAAGGGAAAGGCACAATAGGAAGCAAGACTGGCAAAAGAAAGCACATTAAAGCAAGAAGGGGGTAAGGGAGTATGGGATAGGGATCTGCCACCTGCCTCTTCCTTCCTAATTCCAATAATATATTAAACAATACAAGTGGCTCATCTAAGATCGTAAATTAATACTGATGCTGTGTTTTCAGTATACATTGTCTATCTATGGACATGCATGCATTTATTGAACCACTGAAATATGGTAAGTTCAAGAAATGTGTTGTGTGCTATTAAAAATAAATAAATAATGGACATGGTATGCCTCCTTCCCTAAAGACATTCCTAGTCTGCTTAAGGACTTAATATTAATCCACAATGAACAATAAGAAACTAAAGATTTAGTTGGCAATTTTGCTAACATTGAAACAGTAAAGCAGAGAAGTGAGTGACAGGATTAAGATACAGGTGTCAAAGAAGAATTTACAGAAAGGTTTTTGCCATAGAATTTGTACTTTTAAGTTTGCAAAAGAATGCGGTCTCCAAGGTAGCATAATACAAAGAGACATAAAAGACTAAGTCAGAGCCTCAAAAGTGCCACAGAATTTGAGGTAAGAAAGAGGAAGGTGCATTGCCATGTCAAATGTGGCATAGAGTGGTCAGGAGTAGAGGGAGGAGATTGAAACAATGCAACGAATGCCTCCAAAGAGCGACTGAAATTTTCAGTAAAAAAAGGCCAAGAAATAACCAAGGAAGTAACAGACATGAAAAGTCAAATATTCAATCATTCATTCAGCAATTATCTATGTAGCCTGTGGTATTTTCCTGGCACTGTATTAGGTACTGGGGAAGCAATGGAGAAGGAGAAAGATAGTGTCCGAGCTTTTACGGAACTTTGATTCTTGATGGAAGAAACAAACAGATAAACAAATAATAAAATACCAAATAACAATAGGTGCTCTGCAGAGAATTAAGAGAATTAAGATGTCATGTGAGGGACTAGTCAGATACTTTAGTCTGGTAGTTAGAGAAGACTTCTCCAAGGAAGAAACACTTAATGAGGCCTTGTATTTCAAGGGACAGCCAATGTGAAGAGCAGGGAAGATGCAGAGAGGACAGCTAGGGAAAAGGCCCAAAAGCAGAAAGTGGATTAAAGACTGGTCTGGATGGAGATTAATAGGCAAAGAGGAGAGTGATATACAATGATATGAGATAGATAGACTGGGCCCAAGATAAAATAATGTAAGAGCAAAAGGTAAATGAAGTTGATGCCTTTTCAACTATATCATGGTCTAAATATTTTCAGACTCTTTTCATATGGGAATTTGTTTTTCTTTTCCTCTGTACTAGATTGGAAAGATGGAATGAAAATCTGCTTTCTCACCTTCTTGGAGCATTGAAGGATTAAGCCCTCTATGAATACAAACCAAAAGGGGATAAATCAGGCTCTGGGTTTAATGAGCCATCAAAATCCGTGGTGAAAGAAATAGAGGAAAAGTCTGAAGGAAGACGCAGAATATCTTAGAAAAGTAAGAATGCCAATGGGCTTGAGACTCACAGAGCCTCATCACGTCCCAATTCTTCCTCACCATCGCCCAGAGGAGAAAGAGATTACCCTGACATGAGGGGCTTGAGGGGTGTAAAATCTGGCAAGACCAGAGATGGGGGCCTAATTCTTGGAAAGAAACCAGGACTCCAGAGAGGAAGACTGTCTGGTGACTATACTGGGGAGACAAGAGGCATTCCCATGTGAGATATTGACATGCAATGGAAAACGTTTATTTAACAGAGAAATGTAATATATTTCTGGCAAACCTTAGTTTATGTTCTTAGATTTATTTCTGTAAAAATACTTAGGCAATTTGAAGTGTATATGATCTTACTGGATGTCTAAGATGGCATTTCCCAAAGTTCAGTAGGATATAACAAAGCATTATGGAAAGAGAGTGCCTATGGTCAAATGTGTCTACAAAATCCTGGGTTAAAACACTTTAGTGTTTTTTTTTTTAAACTGCAGGACTTCTCAGAGCCTTTGGTTATACTTATCATTGTGAATATCCATGTAAGAGACATAGAAGCAGCATGTTCCAAAGTTATTTCATCAAAGAACCTTCTTTATGCCCCCCTTAGAATATTTCATACAACTAATCTCCCAAGCAAAATGCATTTGGATAGAAATGCAAAACTACATGGTATCATCTACTAAAATATGACTTAGGAAATGGAGACAGTGAACAAATGCAATGTAAGTTAACTTGGAGACTCAGATAACCACTGCATAAGAAAACTTCAAAATGTTAAACTTAATTTAGCTCACCATGGTAGTTCTTATTGTAAATTATGCATGAATCATGTAAAGAGAAGCAAACGTACACAATCAAAATCATTCTGTAAGTATTATGACACACTCAACCATTGGTATTTGTGCGGCACAACTCAGTTAAACAATTTTTTTTATCTTTTTTTTTTTTTTTTTTTGGAGACGGGGTCTCACTCTGTTGCCCAGGCTGGAATGCAGTGTCGTGATCTCAGCCCACTGCAATCTCTGCCTCCTGGGCTCCAGCAATCCTCCCATCTCAACCTCCCAAGTAGCTGGGACTGCAAGCATGTGCCACTATGCCGGCTAATTTTTGTTTGTTTGTTTGTTTGTTTTTGTAGAGATGGGGTTTCACCATGTTACCCAGGCTGGTCTTGAACTCCTGGACTCAAGCGATCCACTCGTCTCGGCCTCCCAAAGTGCTGGGGTTACAGGCGTGAGCCACCATGCCTGGCCTTCAGGTAAACAATTTTATAGATGCACTAATCAACCATCTCCTATTCTAACCTCTTTAAAAGAGATAAGAGTTGACATTTTACATCATGTTCTGTATTTTCCACCACCATTTTTATAAATTTCTAAATGTATAGAATAATGTAAAGGATAAGAGGGACATATGGTAAAGATTAATGTAAATAACTTTTATTGCATCTGTTAAAATTGGATACATAAATCCTTTAACTTAGTGAGTAAAATAACTATTGAGTCTACAAATGAACCTGCAAACTTCTTTGAGTAGATCCTGGAGTCACATACCACTGGCACTGGCCCTTCTCAGCCACTTCACCCCTTCTTGCTTTGTTGGAATTCCCTGTGAGGAAAAGAAGGTGCAGCCAGCAGGATTACATTCTTGCTGAGTCCGTGACTCCACACACTGTAAGTACCCTCCCCTTCACCACCCACAATATTATCTCAAACTATCTTCAGAAACATGGGAGCTCCTCCACCTCCTGCTGTAGTCCACCCACAGAATATTTAAGTGGCTTAATGTGGAATCTGGCTTCTCAACACCCTGTTAATAAGAAATTGAAAAGTTAACTTTATAATCTCAGAATAGGAAATAAAATATAATTTATAAAAATATGTTTACAATTACATTTCCCTAGTAATTTTGAAAAAAATGCTGAAAATTAAAGTTGTTCTTGATCAAATATTCACTTGGTCCAATCCAATAAGAATAATTTTTGTTACCCAGATGGTCAGAAAGTACAATTAAACCAAAGTCATGTTAGAGCAATACATAATGGTTATTGTTGTAAAGATAAGATAACTTCCCTACACTGTGACTCTCCTAAGAGCTTTATTGTTAAAATATGTATTACTGCACTATAAGATATTGAAAATGTAATAACTTTAGTAATCCACGTATTGTGTATATTAACTTAACCCAAATATTCAATTTTCATTCTTCTAAGATAAAAGCAGGAGGCAAGAGTACCATATTGCTTCAGTTTAGAATTATTGTGTATCAGTAGAACACTGAAAAATCAGATATCGTTTTATGTTTCACACCTTGAACAAGTAAGATGTAACTATCCCAAAAGAAATTCACTTTCAAGTCTAAAGCAGAAAGCAAAGTCCTGATAAAATCATGTTTGCAGAAACTATACCACTGAAATGTCACAAAGAGATAAGCAGAATCATACACTTGAAGAGACAGGTGTGAAAAAAAGATATCTATTCTCTCAATATTGTCATGCAGTGCTCACTTACCCCTGTAGGTTCAAGAAAAATGGAGATGTCAAAGACATGGGAGGATGACACAAACCATTCTTTAATCTAGCATCTTTTAAGTAGCCTTACAAGTGGACTGGAAGGTTGAATGGGATAAGAAAAAATGTTAGTGATATAGGGATGTGTATAAAGAACTGATGAAGATAAGGCTAATCAGGCTTCCTACTTTGAGAATATTAAAATGCTTTGAAAAATTTCAAGACTGGAAAAAATAATAATAATTTCTCTCCTGCCTCTTTCCCATTCAAATTACTTGAATCTATCAACATATGAAATTCCAAAATATTAGTCTATTTCTGTAACTATTCTAAACAAAGCCAAGGAAAGGCTGTGCCTATAATCATTTGTATTTCCTAGGTTCAATTGGATAGTAAGATCCCATATCTGGTTAAACTACAGTTTAAAAATAAGTGATTCCATTGAATGAGCTTTATCAATGAGGATTGCCATTTATCAAGCATGCTCTATGAGCTAGCCTCTGCTTGCTAAAGGCTATATTTGAGGTCCCATATTTGGGTTGACTCTTTTAATTCTCAAAGCATGCCTTGATGCCAGTATTATTATCATCCTCATTTTAAAGATAAGGCCATATTGATAATACATGGCAGAGCTGAAATATTTCAAGAATAAAAATATTAACAGAATTATCATACAATCCTTCATTTTAATAGAATTTAGAAACTGTAGAGAACAGTATGGCGAAAGTAGGGACTTGTCAATGACAGCCTCTTCCCCAAAAAGACTAGTGATAGGAATGGCATGGGGGTGGGAAGGGGTAGTAAGGGGCTTACTCCCAAATCCACATAAGATTTTATAATAGGAGACTACAGATGAATCAGCCATTGTAGCACCTAAGGATGTTAACATCTTTTTCTTTTTGCTCCTATTCTCTGTTCCTTTCCACTGCCTCCTCCTCCAACATTATTACTGTTGGTTTTGTTTTTATTCCCCAGGTATTTAAAACATTATTGAAAGTTTTAAAGTTCTCTGAAACATCTCTTGAAATCCCTTGTGGAGGAAAGCAACACAAATTTGAAGCCAAGATATGAAAAACAAACTTGTAAAGTTTCACAATTTTTGAATACTTCCCTGTGACTGATGTAGTTCTGTATTCTTTAGCTCTCTATGCATTCTCATTAGTTGTCTTCCACTGTGGATTTAGTTATGGATATCTCCTTTTTTGCTGCAATTGTTTAATTTACACTGAAATTCATTCCAATTAAAGTTAGATATTGTTCTAAACTGATGAATGAGTAAGGGATTATGAAAAATACCCAAATACAAATAGAAAAATGCCTTTTCTGGCCGGGCGCGGTGGCTCACGCCTGTAATCCCAGCACTTTGGGAGGCCAAGGTGGGTGGATCATGAGGTCAGGAGTTTGAGTCAAGCCTGGCCAAGATGGTGAAACCCCGTCTCTACTAAAAATACAAAAATTAGCCAGGCATGGTGGCGTACGCCTGTAGTCCCCGCTACTTGGGAGGCTGAGGCAGGAGACTCCCTTGAACCTGGGAGGTGGAGGTTGCAGTGAGCCGAGATCGTGCCATTGCACTCCAGCCCGGGTGACAAGAGTGAAACGCCATCTAAAAAAAAAAAAAAGAAAGAAAAATGCCTTTTCTACAAATAGAAACCTTCACGCTTTTAAATGTAAATTCTAGAAAATAACAAATCAGCCAGGATGCTTTGATCTGTACATAAATCCAGGAACAAATAGTCGTTTTCTAAGCACGTACCAGAAAACAGAAGTGGTGAGAAGTCTCCATGGAGCCTGTAAGAAGTCTACATATTCAGACCCTTTCAACTTCATTTTATGACAAAATGATAGGCCTGAAAGACATCAGGAAAACTACAAATGTAATCTGTCCAAGAGCCCTTAGTCCTTCTGATATGTTTTCATATGACATGCTAATCAACCATTTTGAACTACATATGTGAATCTGTCAAATCCCCTGGGGGAGTGCCTTTCTCAAATAATAAAAACGAGGAATTGGATGAAGCAATGAACTCAGGAGCTCCACTTCTGTAAAGATCTAAATCAATAAAGGACCACTGATCAGTGAATATGGCCTTAAACACAATTATTATTATTACTATTATTTAAGTATTTTTGACATTTTAGTTTAATGCAGCTTGAATGCTGGTGGTAGAAGGGGCCTCGCTTGGGTCTCCCAGTCAAGTTTCTATTACTAAGAGGTGATGTTTGTGTGACTCTCCATTCTTCCTTTCATTAAGCAGCTTTGGGTATGATTATTGGCATGACTTCCTTTATCATATCATCAATGTTCCAAATGTAGAAGACGTCTGGTACCTCACAGAAATAGATGCAGCCACAGATCTAAGCGACTCGCATTTAAGAGTTAAATCTGCAGGTGACCCCTACACGCAGTGTCTGACCTTCAAGCTTCCATGGCCTTTGAGGGGCTGGCTGAGCTGTTGGCTTCACAGGGAAACTCAGCAGGACAAGGGCCTGTTGATGGCTTTTATCATCCATTGAGAACTTGGAAGCATGTTTATTATTTATAGGGCTATGTTTCAAAAATGCCATTATACTTATTTTTAAACTGACTTTTACAAATTAATGTATATGTTTATATACACAATCGAGCTATAGTATTTCAACTAAAGGAATACATCCTTTGGCAATTGGTTTTTAGAAGAAAAATTATGAAACTATAATATATTGCTAATACCTAACTCTTATTAACTACTTGCACTATACTACACTGTACTAAGCTCTTTACATATGTGATCTCTCTTAATATTAATATCAACCCTATGAGTAATTTCATTCAATTTGTAGGTAAAAAAAAAAAAAAAAAAAAAAAAAAAAAAAAAAACAGACAACAGTTGGCCAGGCGCAGTGCCTCATACCTGTAATCTCAGCACTTTAGGAGGCCAAGGCGGGCAGATCACGAGGTCAGGAGGTCGAGACCATCCTGGCTAACACAGTGAAACCCCGTCTCTACTAAAAATACAAAAAAGTAGCCGGGCGTGGTGGCGGGCACCTGTAGTCCCAGCTACTCCGGAGGCTGAGGCAGAAGAATGGAGTGAAGCCGGGAGGCGGAGCTTGCAGTGAGCCACGATCTCCCAACTGCACTCCAGCCTGGGTGACAGAGCAAGACTGTGTCCCGAAAAAAAACAAAAAACAAAAACAGACGACAGTTTATGTAAGTCACCAAAGGTCATAAAGCCGGGATGTGAACTGTAACACAAGCAATGGCCTCTAGTACTCTTATCCTCACTAGTTCAATACTAGTATTGTACAACTGGCATTGAAATGTAACTTAGGGAGGTCAATATTCGAAGCACTAAAAATTCCTATCTTATCACAGATTTGTTAGTATTAGTAATTTATTAAATTATTGGTATTTTGAAACACTACTGTGTATCGTCGTGTAGGTCATATGTGGCCCATCATCACCAGTATTTTAACTTTCATCTCCTATTTCTCAATATTATTGTAGAACACACTTGCACTGAACATGACTGCCACTGAAAATCACCACATTAACAAAAATCCATATTCTAATCAGAAATACAAAAATTATTAATGCCCTATAATGAAAGTTAATAAGGTATCATTTTAATTTCTCTATTTGAAAAGGTCTTATCAACATTTAAATTGTGTGGTGTTTTAATGAAATATCTGCTAAAGGTAGGAATTGTGTGAATATGTGTGTGCTCTCTTTAGTTCCAGGAAAAAAAAAACTATTACACATGGAACCGTGCAGTGTTTTTACCTCCAAGTTTTTTCATTTGGTCAAATCTCAGCACTTTGGTTTTGTGGAAATTAATTTTTAAATGCATTTCATATTTCTTTAAGCTAAGTTTTTCACCCAAGAAAACATAAAAAAACAAGAACGAAAGCTTATGGTCTGCCCAAGAGCCTAAGACATATAGCCTATTCTTTCCATTAATTTTCCATGTAATTGTTTAGGAGAAACATGCTCATAGATGACCTGTTTCCAGCAGGTTAAGTACTGCCTTCTCTGTTTCAGTGATCAAAGGAAGACAAAAACATAAAAATGACCAGGAGAAAGTATGAGTAGCATAAATTAGTGGCAGCTCAAAGTTTGGGAGCTAAAGAAAATTTCTGAGGACCTAATGCTTCTGTGATGTTCTGTGCCAGCCTATATTTAACTTGTGTTGAAAAGCCCATGTTCTCTCAGAGTTAAAATTAATCTGTCTCCATGGTGAGTTCCAACAAAACTGTGGCTGGTTAGCTCAGCAAGTTAAAGTATGGCAATGATAAAATCTGATAAGGTCAGAAAACTGCCTTCTGTCCCGTGGCTGGAGGTGACTCCTTAACTTTAGTCTCATATATGGGCACTCCATAGACCTCAGAGGAACTGGGCAAGAGAATGTGGATGGTTCAGCCAAAGACAGTCACCTTCCCTGGAGAAATAACTCAGGTCTTTCACAGACTAAAGGCTCTTCAGTACAGAGCTTCTGTCCAAAAGGAAAGAAAGCACATTCTAAACCACTGCTTTTCAACATGAGTCCCAAGGACTACCTTTATCCAAATTTCTACCGATGTTTTTAAAATGCAGCTTCCCAGGCCTCAGGCCGTCCTTCTGAATCAGAGTCCCTCACCTTTGGTTAAGGGATTAGCACTTTAGAAAACTCACCAGGGGATTACTGTTTTCACCAAGATTTGAAAACCACTGGTCTAATACATGCCCTGTTTCCCACAGGCTAATAGATTTTGTATCCAGTCCCATGTTGCTGATTATCAAATCTGATACACAGGACAAACAACAGGGCCCAAAGTCAAGAGGACCAGGACTATTTGCTAATTCCAGCTCAGCCACTAATTAACAGAAGATTTTTAGTTTAAGTCTAATCTTAAAATAAAGGCAACCTGAGCCATTATCTCAGCTGAGCACTGGTTCTCAACTTACAGCTGGGTTTTCTTTCTCTTCTCTCCCAAATCACACTGAAACACTTTTAAAGCACACAACAAATTCCTAGTATTTACAGTGATACCCTCCACACAGTTAATCATCATAGATCTATATGACAAGAGTCCCTAATCTTCCAAACTGATAGGCAGAAATGTTACGAGATTTGCCCAAGATATTTTTGATAGCATTGCCATTCAAACAAGCATTCAGGTTTCCAGGTTCTAATTTTAACTAATATATGGTTCAATTTCTCCCCACTGAAGAGAAAAGTTTCCATACTAGCCATTAGAGCCTGTTGCAAAGATAAAATGATATAGTATATATTTTCACAGGTGTAAAAATCCATCTTTTATAGCCATTCTCTACTAGTGTTTAAAGCTTTTTCATCTCTATGACTTTGCTCATAAAGTTTCCTCTCCTTAGAATACCTCTCTTCACCATTTGTGCACAACAGTGTTCTCATAATCATCAAGCACTAGCTAAAAGCTGTTTGTAATAATAGTGTCCTTGCCTAGCCAATTTAAACAGGACTCCTTAACAATATCACCCTCATACTCAGGCAGAGAAACCTGTTTCCTGCCCCTCCCTTTAGGGGGTGCTACTCTGGCCCTATTCCTGCCATGCCTTAGCCATGGGACAAGGAGTCTAGGGGAACCAAGGAGGTGTGCCTGCCCAAAGCCATTGTCCTTTATCTTTCAGAACACTATCTGCCACCCCAAAATTTAAAACGCCCCGCCCGGGGTCCCTGGGACCACTTCTAGGGCCTCTATGGGCCTCTTCCATTGGTTTACTTTCTGAGGGCAGACACCAATGTTTGTGTGTGCACCCCTTTCTTTGAAAGAAGGTCAAGATACAGGTGTTTGTGAAGCAGGAGTGTGAGGATAGTAGATGGAACTTACATATAAGTAGGGTGTATTTGAGACCTCTCGCAGTGCAGGACAGAGCCAGGGTGAGAACAGCAGAGTGGCGGGTCATAGTTGGAAGGTATCTTTTTGTTTTCTTGCCCTGACCCCACAAATATTAGAAAGCCTGCTTCTTAGACTCTAAGGCATAGCTTTTAGGTTCTGCAAGCCATATATGGTTTCTGGTGCAATTCCTCAACTCTGCAGTTGTAGCATGAAGGCAGCCATAGATAATACCTAAATGAATGGCCATGGCTGTGTTCCAATAAAACTTTATTTAAAAAAACAGGTGGCTGGCTGGATTTGGGTCATGGGTAGTAGTTTATTGATACCTACGTTATCTGTGTTTCAGTGTCCTGGCCCTCATCATATTTTATCTTGTGTTCTACAGTTATCTGTTCCCCTCTGTCATCTCTCCTATGAGAAGCTTGGCTACATGGACAAATTGGGTGGTTATCCAAAGAACATATAAATTTACACCAAGAAACAAAATTAAAACTCTGGGATGCCCTTTGCAGTTTGAAAAACAGAGTACTAGTGGTGCTAATACAGCATTTGCCCAACGGCACATTTTGTGTTTAAAGCAGTATTAGGAAGCTCTGATTTACAGAATGGAAATGGCATGCAATTGTCACTTGTAACTATACTAACCATGTCATAATTTGTGGCATGATTTAGCCTTAAAATACACTCTTCTTATGCTGTGGTTTAGCAACATTTTAGTTAATAGGCAGTTATTAATTTTACACTTTGGGAAATATAAAGTCAAATAAGACACACCTTTATCCTCAAAATTTGAACCTTTAATGGAGTCAATTGTAAACTCCCTCGGGCAAGAGATTATGTGTGATGCCTCTTTGTACCTCCAGCACCTAACAAACAGTGCCCACATATAGCAGGAACTCAATAAATGATGGCTCTCCTACCGCGCTCTTGAAGTTTAGGTGAAAAAAGAACCTGGTGAAAATTCACTGAACCCTTAAGTCCTTGGGAACTGAACTTAACTTCCTCTGCAGCTAAGAAGTTTAAACCTTAAGATACTGATTTGCTCTTTTAATGTGTTAAATCATTTTCAACAAAGATTTGGTGGGGAAGCCAACCTCTTCCCTTCTCCACAAAGAATCTAAATGAGCTCTGTGGGAGGGAGAACACTAACTCAGGGATGCTTCCACCACCGTCAGTAACATTCTGAACTAACATGCAGTGGTGATGAGGGAACTGATTTATTTTGTGTTTTGGCATGCTCTGTCATCCTGTGGCATTGTTGAGGCACTCAAGATGTAGAGGGTACGCGCATTAGCTGGCACTGCTTGTCAAAGAGCTCACTCTGCCCTCTACATCCTGCTGCTCAATGTGAATTTTTCAGACCAACAATATCAACATCATGGTATCACCAGAGAGCTTATTAGAAATGCAGAATCTTGGCTCCACCGCAGACCTACTGAATTAAAATCCCTTAATGATCCATGTGCAATTCAAGTTTGAGCAACAGTGACTTCTAGGACTGTATACCTAATTCAGTTTCCTGTCTCGGAGCTGAGCTAGGCAGCAAATGCAACAAGGGTACAGAACTTTCTACGAACATCAGATTCTTACTAGGCAATTAAGGTAAAAAAATATTGGTGTTCTTTCATCTAGAACTATAAGGGACAAAATGATGCTAACTGCTACCGATATACTTTCCATGTATAAACTCCTCCTTTACTAGAAAGCACTGACAAAGTCAATTCTGCATGGATTTACTTCCATGCCTTAGCCCTTATTGGCACCGGAATGCATTCACCTTCACTGCTAGCCATGGCAGCATGCCCAGGTTCACCACTTATATGCCTACAGTAATACAGGATCACCAGCAACAAGATGCTGGAAATTGGCCAGTCTCCCAGCCTTTCCTCACAAAGTTACTTGGATGGGCGAGGTACAGGAGGGGAATGGGTAACAACAGGATGTCCCAGAAGCCTGCTGTACAGAAACTGAGAGAATGAAGTCGAGTAGGGGAAAAAAACCCAGACATGGTGAAAAACAATTTTGAACACTGTAATCAAGCCAAGTACTGTTGGGTAAAATCCTATCAGTGGGGAATGTACAACAACCAAGAATGTGCTGGCAGAACATAAAACTGACTGGCAGAGCTACAAACAGCTTCCAACTCTGCACATTGAGTTGGCACCCACAACTGTAGGTTGTGCAAAATCCACAAGTGAAGATCCGTTCATTCAGTCAATCAACTATTCATTAGGACTTATTATGACAAGACTTGTATGCAAGGCTAGTTTTTTCAGAGCTAAATAAATAGCATCTCAGGCCTTATGAAGATTCCATTCTAAAAAGTGAGAGAGACAAATGAAATAATTTCAGTAAAATAGGTGATTTAACAGGAATATGTTCTCTGATCATTGGGGTTGAGTGGGGTCGGGGGACAGGGAGGGTTATTGGATAACACATTCTACCAGAGACATTAAGGAAGGGTTAAAACAAGAGATATATCTGAGATGGGTATTAGAGGATGAGTAAGAGTTTTCTAGGCAGAAATTAATAGGAAGCATATATCAGAGAGGTAGGTATGTTGTGTGTGTGTGTGTGTGTGTGTGTGTGTGTGTGTAAGAACATGCATGCTGAGAAGTCATTTTGATCAAAGTGAGAAATGAAGCCAAAAAAGAACTCTGTTGAATCTGATTGTAAAAAAAAAAAAAATGCCTGCCAGGCTAACCCTCTTACAGATAATCCTGTAAGGACCAAAGATTTATGGGAAGATTTTAAACAAAAGAACAACAGGATCAGGTATAAATTTAGTCAAAGATTGATAGAGATCATTTTACATAGGTAACAGTAGTTGTCAGTGGTATAACCTCTGGGTCAAAAAACAACACCAATGATAATAACAACAGTGATCTTGGGGCTTTTTGTGGAACTTGGAGAGTTAGAAAGAAACAAGAGGGTAAAGGGAAAATGTATAATCAAATACGCCTCTCAAAGGGATATTGGATATTCCCGTATTCAAGCAGCTACTTTGTGCTAGACACTCAATAGCTTTTCTTGAAGCAATAATAAAGGAAGCCTTGTTCATCATTGCAGCTGGCTAGAGCTGCCCAAGTTACAATTCCCCCAAACTCAATCACTACATTTTTCCCTTTTTCTACATTAAGGGCTATTGCAATTTGCATTTTATATTAGATTCAAATTTTCAAATTAAAATATGTCACTTATTTAAAACATTCACATCTTAATGCCAGTCTGAATTTAATACCGTCCATTACATGTAACTTTATTTCATTCTTTAAAGAACAGGAGAAAAAAAACATTTATAGAAGTTGCATCATGCTAAATATCTTTTTTTTCCAAATCATTTAGCATTTTCTCTTTCTTCATTAAAATGCACATCTAAATTATGTCCATTTTTGGTCCTTTTAAATTTTGGTCTTAAAACTTGCCAATAAAATGAAAGTAAAATGTTATTTTAAAATGGGCTGTCTATCTCAAATTATTTAGACCTTTAATTGTCCTCATATGTTACATTTTTTAATAATTATGACACAATATATGTAATTTGACCACTGGTGTTCTGCCTGCAAAACTTAGAATTCAGCTGTACACATGTTGCAGCTACCCAAATCTCATGCTTTGATAGTAGCATTGCTGCAATAAAGTGGGTAATGAACATCAATGACTACTCAATCTCTGAAGATTAAGGTAAGTGGTAAAGATTAAGGTAAGGCATTTTCTTCAGTATAGAAAAGAAAGAAATGAGAACACAATGATTTAGAATTTATTGTAATCCAAATATCACATTAAGTGAAGTGGTCTTTCAAGAACAATCATCTAAAATAGTCTATAGTTTGAAAGGCCTGTCATTTCCCGTGGTCTGGCCATACAGAAAGTATCTCTAAATTTATGGCACTTTCAATGTGTACATTGCATCACTGGCTGCTACCAGCTCTGTACTCAAATATATATATAAAAGAACTGGATTTCAAATCAAAGAAGAGAATTCACTCACTTGGCATCTAAGTAGATCATGTGATTACCCTTACCACAGCTACCCACAATTTAAAGCCAGTCAACCTAAACGTTTTACATCTGTAGTCAAAGCAATGTACACAAGGCACTAAAGCTGTGTGTTATGATCCACTATAGTGGGAAAGCTAAGTCTTGACAGGTTCATAGCATCTTACACTTGTATAGACCAGTAGGCATCCAGGTCCATGTCATGCCCTCAGGAAAGAAACCTTGTCTATCCATCAAGTCACAAAATTTAATTTGGGAGATTAGAGCCTCTGCGTGCAAACTCTATAGGAAGCCAAAACTCCCGTGGAATTCTTTTCAGATACCCTCAGTTTCTGTACAGATGGACTCTGCTATGTGCGTGGTGAACATAGCTATTAAATATTACTCACTCTTAGGATTTTAATAGAAGGATCACTATCTATATAAACATGGCTTTTTCCTCAACCCACTAGAGATTCTTGAACCCACCCACCAGTAACTATTCTGAAATAGTCAAATTCCATCCACCCACAAGCAGCAGAGGAGTAACAAAGTAAAGTAGGCACGAGTGGCAATAAAAATGCTTGAAAAAAAGTGATTCTTTCTAAAATGTTAGAGGAAAACTTACAACATTTAGATCTAAGGTAGCATTCAGGCAATTACGTGGAGTTTGCCATTCTTCTCTTTTCCTCTCCTTCTTTCATTCCTCACCTTTTTTTCTGGTGGTTGAAAAATTAACGAACTTTAGTGGGAAGTGGTGACTACCTGACCATCCCAAACATGGAGAAAGGAAATTAAGCTGCATGATGAACATATGAGAGAACAAAAGAGCAATTTTAAAAAATGGCAATATATTTATTCACAAATTACCTGTTTAGTGAATTCTAGAATCTATATCTTTAAAATATTTTTAGTAGAAGAAGAAAATAATATAAGCTTATCATTCACCCCAAATGTAATGTAAGCCTCTGCATCTACAGTCAGATCTACAGAATAAACTATGGGCACATTCTGTCGTCGACTTTAATTACCCAAGGTTTGGCATGCAGTAAAACATTCGTAAATTCTCTGGAAAAGACTAAGCTATGCGAATGAAACATAGAAGAATAAATGTATTTGATTAGACTAAGCAACTAGATGATCAGGCAATAGACAAGATGAGAACATCTATTCAGTATTCAGAAATAATACTTTTTGTTTTGATTTACAAAAGACTTTCCGTTATAACTATTTTTCAGTATTTTCACAAATGAAGATGGAAAAAGAAAGTATTTATTTTCTATTGAATCCCGCACACTAAAACCTACATTTGTGATGCACATAAGAATACCTCATTACAATCATTTTTATTTTTTTCTATTTATAAAACATGGAAAAGAATCAAAAATGTTAAACATGTTGAACTCTCCAAGTTGTCATTGAAATCTACAAAAAGAAGAAAATTGGTTGTTCATTAAAATGCATAATGGGAATATCATTTTTTTGTTAGCTCTTTAATTCTTAGGGAGCTCTCAGGAATCTTATAAATCATCTTATTGTGATATTTTAAAAATTATCCTTATTAGAGAATATCATCTTATAGTGATATTTTTAAAATTATCCTTATTAGAGAATATTTGTCACCAACTTTTTAAATTATATGAAGTTTAATTGGTATAAAGTAAAAAAGAACAGTGTCAATTTATTTCACTGACATATGTGAACTGTCAGCTACTGCTGAATGCTAGCATATCTTTATCTTTACTAGATGAGCATGAAACAATAAGATATGCTTGTGTATACCTAGAGAAGATATTATATGCCTGTGGTATTGGTAAAACTTCAATGTGAGAAAAAGGGTTCATGCTGTAATACTTTTGATTTTTGGTGTATACCATGTGTGTTTACGCCATGAGACACTTCATAATGGCGACCATTTATTAAGCCCTTAATTTATGTCAGGCCCTGTGAAAAAATGCTCTAACTGCATTATCTTATTTAAACCTTCACAATAGTAACACTAGGTAAGAAAATTATCTTTATTTTACAACAATATTTATTTTACCAAATTTACATATAGCATTCTCAGTGCTTGGGATACTTCAGTGAACTAAAAGGACAAAGATCTTTGCTCTTGTGGAGCTTAAACTCTAGCAATAATCAATAAGAATAATAAATAACTTATAAAAAAGTTACATGGTAAGAAGTACCTAAAAGAATTAGAAAGTAGAACCAGATAAGGAGATCAGGAGTGTGGAGGTGAGTGTATTGAAATTTTAGAGGGTGTGGTCGGGGTAGGTCTCATGGAGAAGATGACAGGTAAGCCAAAAATGATGGAAGTGAGGAAGTTAGCCTTGAGACTTCTGGGTAAATAATGCTCCAAACAAAGAGAACAGCCAGTGAAAAGGTCCTATGGCAAGAACTTACCTGTCACCTTCAAAGAACAGCAAGTTGAGAGTGGTGAGAAATGAGAGAGCTAGAAAAGAGAGAATGAGTCGGGGAAATGAAATCAAGGAAGTAATGTAGGCGAATTTCCTTAGGCCATTATAAGAACTTTACTTTTACTCCAAGTAAAATCAGCAACCTTTGCAGGGATTTGAAAAGTAGAGTGACACAACCTGTCCATTTTCAAAAGGCAACCGTAGCTGCTATATTGAGAGCAGACTGTAGAAAACAATAACAGAGGCATAGAGTCAGTTTGGCGGTTTGCAGTAATTTAGAAAAGAGATGATGGAGGGTTCCACAGGATAATAGCAGTAGAGGTGATGAGAAGTGGTTAAATTCTAGATCTGGGTAAAGATAGTACCAACAAGGCTTGATGACTGGATGTGGTTTGTGAGAGAGGGAGAGAAATGATGAGTGATTTCAAGGTTTTGGGTCTGAACAAATACAAGGATGAAACTGACATCAATCGAGATGGGAAAATTGCGAACAAAGTAGATTTGGGAGGGAAAAAAGAAGTTTAGTTTTGGACAAAGTAAGTGACAAATGTCAAATAGCTGATGATGTCAAATAAGTGGTTAGATATATGTGTTTGGAAATCAGAAAAGTTACCAAGGTAGATATAAATTTAAGAGGTGGTGACAAAAAGGATACTGATAGCCATGAGAGTGAGTGAATGAAATCACTAAGGGGTGAGTGTAGACTGAGAAGACAGCCAAGAGTTAAACCATGGAGCATTTTCCCAGCAAAGAATTAAAAGGAGCAAAAAAGTTAAACCAAGAGATTGTGCTGTCCCCAAAGCCAGGTAAAGAAAATGTACTGAGGAGGAGTGATCCATTGTGTAAGTGTTGCCCACAAGTCAAGTATGATCCAAATAAACAAGGACAAGGACTGATCCATTGTGCAATTGTTACCCACAGGTCAAGTATGATAAAGATGGAATATTGACCATTGGGTACAGGGAGAAAACTAAAGAATATTCCTGTTATATTTTAATATAACATGTTAAAATATTAAAATAAGGATTAGCATTTATTATGTAGCTATGATTTGTCAAGCACTGCACGATATGCTTAACAAATACCTTTTTTTTTTTTTTTTTTTTTGAGTCTCGCTCTGTCGCCAACCTGGAGTGCAATGGTGCAATCTCGGCTCACTGCAACCTCCGCCTCCCGGGTTCAAGTGATTCTCCTGCCTCAGCCTCCCAAGTAGCTGGGACTACAGGTGCGTGCCACCACACCCAGCACATTTTTGTATTTTTAGCAGAGACAGGGTTTCACCATGTTGGCCAGGATGGTCTCGATCTCTTGACCTCGTGATCCACCCGCCTCGGCCTCCCAAAGTGCTGGGATTACAGGTATGAGCCACCACACCTGGCCTACAAATACAATTTTTACTTTTTCCAGTAATCCTAAAGGTAGGTATTCTTTTCTCTCCAGAGATCTGGAAACTGAAACTCTGAAACATAAGTAACCTATCCAAGGTTACACAGCTAGTAAATGTCAAAGCCAAAATTGGAACTCACACTTGCCTTGATCCAAATGTGAATTCTAGTATAACATGATGTCTTCTGCAATTGGGAGAAGGTATATTGATACTATGAAAGAGATAAAAATGAAATTAGTGTTTTTTTAAAGCTTCTTCTTAATGGATACTTATATATAGGGAAAAGTAGGGAAAAAAGCTAAGAAGCTAAAACAATGAGAACTTTTATCACCTTGTAATTTATAAAATATATAGTGCCATCTAACTGTAGGCTTCAGTCTATCTTGGCATTGCTCACCTTAAAAACATACTGTCAGAATAATGGTCCTTAAGACATCGCTTTCTGCATTATTGATGCAACCAAAATCTTTGGCTATAGGTTCTAAGCTATCAGCTTGGCATTCTGGCATTCTGTCAACAGACCTGGCAATTTAGAGCATGTGATATACCTGTACCCATCCCCATGAGGGATGGAATAAACGCTAACTTTACTATACCAGTAACATTGCATCATGAACAACACCTTTACAATGCAAATGTCATATATCTACCAAGCTAGGCTTAGTGTGTTTTTAAATCAAACTCTCTTTTCTCCTATTATCTTGCTTAGACCAGGACACCTCGGGAGATTCTTCTTTCTTTTCTTTCTTTCTCCCTTTCTTCTTCCTTTCTTTCCTTCCTTTGATAATTATTGAACTAAATTGCACAATGTGACAGGCACTCTCCTGGGCACCAAAGATATGTGGTGAACCAGATAAATGAGGTCATATCCTCTCAGCCTTATACTAAAGTTAGGAAGACACAAAGAAATACATTTAAAAATAATAAATTTGATGAGAAAAATACATAGCTAGTGGTAGCTTGGGAGCATATATTTTTAAGAAAACAGTCTTCTCTGTGACAGAATACTCTTAGCATTCAGAAACTAAAGTTATTCACGTGAGCATTTGGGATTCAAACGAAGTGGGAGTTGCTGAAACTGAACACAGAAGTATGTCACAGGCAAAATTCATTTACCTCACAGTATTTCCGCAAGCCACATAATCCTTGGTTCAAGCTCATTATATTCAATAGTCAGGGTCCTGTCCTATATAGTTCTTTTTTGATTGTATAATGAACACTTTTAAAATTAATACCAGCTTGTTGATAATGATTATGATGGAGACAATGGTGATGATATTAGTCACACAAATATGTTGCCTACAACTCCAGTATGATCCAAATAAACAAGGACTCACACAAATATGTTTTCTAAGAGACTGTCCTCAGGTATGAAATTATTTCCAATTACCTTTCAATAGTCTCAAAAAGTAAATTTGTGTGTATACAAATTGCACATTTCTGGTACTGTAATTCTTGGAGTGGAAAGGATTTAATCATAATAACTAAGTCTGCTTAACATCTTTGACTTAAGTAATGATTCAATGAAGCAATACTAAACCTTTAATTTTCATAATATCTTTCAGGTTCCCAAAACTAGACTGAAGCCACATGATGAGGCTTTATTAAATATATTATTTTTATACTTTTGTAATCATAGCCAATAGTAACATTAACACTAATATTAAAAATAATAAGATTGGGCTAGCAGGAGTACCCAAATTAATAAAAGATGAATTTAGACTTACTAATATTTGAATCTTTGCTACCAAAACATTGGAAGAGTCCAAAGAAGATGCTTAGAACAATAACCCACATCTTCTCTGATTACAAATTTAAGAAATTAAAACTAATTTTCACTTTGGAAACAGGAAATAGTAACTCTTAACTTGCACATATAGATGAGGTTTAAATAGCGTCTGATGCACAGTCTGTTCCAATAGCCGCCACTCATCTCCCATACCACCTACATAGCTCTTGAGTAAAAAATGCAAAAGAACATAACTTACCTACTGTCAGGGATGTGGCATTGTGTGGCAGAGTAAAAAAACCATTGCTTCAAATCTATGCGGACAAAAATAAAAGTGTGCTGTGCACAAATAGCATGATGCAATCAGTAAAAATGGAACAATTTTTGAGCCTGGAGCCTTGAAGTTATATTTAATGAAAAAACAGCTAGTGAATATATAGAAATGTTGGACTCTCCTTAATAAGCTTCACAATTTGTATTTGAAACAATAAAATATATAGGTCCATACACACAAGTAGAGTATTGTGATGGAAAAGGAGTGTCACCTTGATTGAATTCTTGGTCTTTTAAAAATACCATGAACCTTTCTTTTTTTTTTTTTTTTTTGAGATGGAGTCTCGTTCTGTTGCCCAGGCTGGAGTGCAGTGGTGCAATTTCGGCTCACTGTAACCTCCGCCTCCCAGGTTCAAGCGATTCTCCTGCCTCAGCCTCCCAAGTAGCTGGGATTACAGGCGTGCGCCACCACGTCTGGCTAATTTTTATATTTTTAGTAGAGACGGGGTTTCACCATGTTGACCAGGCTGATCTCGAACTTCTGACCTTAGGTGATCCACTCACCTTGGCCTCCCAAAGTGCTGGGATTCCAGGCATGAACCACCATACCTGGCCAACTTTTTTTTTTATTATTATTATTCCAAAAAAACCAAGCCAAAGCCAGAGAAGGAATCTAACAAATGCTTTTAAAGCAAGCTAGGTGCTGGTAGCAAAGATTACTATTTTTTTTTAAGACAGATCTTTTAAAATGCTTAACAATGTGCATCCTCAGTTGCTGTGGCAATGAGTAAATTCCTCATTCTAGCTTTGTGCTTGAATTAAGCATGGAGTAGGTGGATCATCTGGAAGTATTTGTTGAACTGAATTGAGTTGACCATCTAGTCAATGTTAGGTCAAGTGAGGGAAAAAATTGCCAAAGTGGTTATTTATTAAAGTGAATATCAGTTAATGGATAATTTTTTGGTAGTTGAGAGATTTTTTGTTTGCTTGTATGTTTTGTTTTGTTTTGTTTTGAGATGGAGTCTTGCTCTGTCACTCAGGCTAGAGTGCAGTGGCATGATCTCAGCTCACTGCAACCTCTGCCTCCCAGGTTCAAGCAATTCTCCTGCCTCAGCCTCTAGTTAGAGTAGCTGGTACTACAGGCACGCGCCACCACGCCCAGCTAATTATTGTATTTTTTTAGTAAAGACAGGGTTTCACCATGTTGGCCAGGATGGTCTCGATCTCTTTACCTCATGATCCGCCCACCTCAGCCTCCCAAAGTGCTGGGATTACAGGCATGAGCCACCGTGCCTGGCCGAGAGATGTTTATATCTGTAAAGGTATGTACTTAGTTCATCCCTATTCAATTTTTCTATGATTTAATGAATGGTTGCCCATTTAGACACAGCCAGTACTTTAAAAACTTACTGGCAAAATTAAGTGTCAGTGTATTTAACTTGATTGAAAATCTTTATAGGATAAAAATAGAAGGTGCTCCTATTACCTCACTAGGGTTGAAGAAAGCATTTTAAAAATCTAAGTAATGTCACTTCCCTTGCATTAAGGAAGGAAATTAATATTTCCACATAATATAAAAGTGAATAGTGTTATATGAAATGCTTCCTTTCAGTGAAAATTGAACTCTAGGATATATTATTTCGATGATTTCAAATTCATCGTATTCAAAACTAGTTCCCCTCCAGTCCAAATCATAGACTGGCTAATGCTAATGAAACACTGCTTTCACTGTCTGTTCTGTACCAGTAAATCTACATTCGACTTATTCCACTACCACTCAGTTCATCAAGTCTGTGCCTTCCGCCAACTTTCAATATTCCTCTGTAGCCTGGTCCTGTACAACCCAAACAATTGTCTTATTATCCTTGGAATTCAGAAAACTTGGCCCCACTCTACTCTGTTCCATTTCCTTGCCCCTTCCTTGACCCCCACCCCCAAATCCCCTCCTTAAACTCAAAATCAGGCACATGAACCACCGAGGAAAAAAAAAAAGGTCCTATGTAAATTCTCCAGGCATGAATTTTCCACTTTTTCCTCTCTCTCTCTGGAAGTCCAGGACACATAGAACGTGCTCATTAGATATTTGTGGCCTGGTAACTTACAACAGAGTAACTATAATGTGACTTGAACTACATTCCTGAGAAAATCACATTCTCTGAAGCAAAACTACATAGAGCAAGGCCTTATACTCCATTGTATTTAGTTTCTTTATCTCTTTAAACAAATGTTTACGATTTCACAGCATTTCCTCAGTAATTTCATATGGTATTATTGCATCATGCCTCAAGGGGTGAGAGAAAAAATACGATCTTGTCAGAGACTCCAAATAACTTTCATTCCCCTCTTAATGGCCTGTATACCCATCCTGCCGTTGGTGGCTCACAGCCGAGTCCCTCATCGGGATTTACCCTCAGCTGCAAGTAACTGTCTTCCCAACATTATGCTCCTTCCTGTGGGGCAGCCCCCCGCCAGTCACTGCCTGACGTGAAAACAGAAAGCCCCAACCCCCTTGACTCAATGTGAGACAATTTTGAAGGACCATCAAATCTTTAGAACTTCTCATTGGAACTGCTGGGGCCCCAGCTGCAACCACATTGCAGTCAGTTTCTCTGCCTCAGAAACAACTAAAACTTTTGTATGCAATTCTTCATCTCGGAGTCTGTTTCCAGGGAGCCCAATTGAACACATATGCCTTTCCCACTGGTCCATAAGCTTTAGATGGCAAGAACTGTCTTGAGCATCTACAGCCTGTGTTAAGCACCATTCTTACAACAGATAGGGCCCTCAAGTAGTATTTCTCATTCACTCACATGAAGGAGTTCATTAAAATACATATGGGAAGGGGCAATTCTGATCACGTAATAGGACTGAAGGACAGTGGTTAGTAGGGACCCACAATGAGCCACAATTGCTGCATGATAATCAACTGAGACAGTGGCAGTGTGAGGATTTCAGCATAGTAGGGGCCTACCCTGTGCCATTGTGGTTGGAAATGACTTATTACTTGAAAGTTGAAGCTGAGTTGGAGGGGCACTTTGGAAAACATCAAGAAAGCATCCAATATCCATTGTAACTTATGACGCCAGGAGGAAAGTAATACTGACAGAGACTGAGAGGTTTCTGCTGAAGCCCTCCCAAGGAACATCTTGGTGATCCTACTGACCTCAATTTTTTTTTTTTTTTTTTGAGATGGAGTCTCGCTCTGTCACCCAGGCTGGAGTGCAATGGTGCATGGTGCAATCTCGGCTCACTGCAACCTCCACCTCCCAGGTTCAAGCGATTCTCCTGCCTCAGCCTCCCGAGTAGCCGGCTGGGATCACAAGAACCTGCCAATGTGCCCAGCTAATTTTTGTATTTTTAGTAGAGACGGGATTTCTCCATGTTGGCCAGGCTGGTCTTGAACTGCTGAACTCAGGCTGTTTCCCTTGCCTCGGCCTCCCAAAGTGCTGGGGTTACAGGCATGAGCCACCATGCCTGGCCCTCAAATGTTTTTGAAAGTACAAATTTCTCGGCTGGGTGCGGTGGCTCATGCCTGTAATCCCAGCACTTTGGGAGGCCAAGGTGGGTGGATCTCCTGAAGTCAGGAGTTTGAGACCAGCCTGGCCGACATGGTGAAACCCCGTCTCTACTAAAAATACAAAATTAGCCGGGTGTGGTGGCGCACACCTGTAATCCCAGCTACTCGGGAGGCTGAGGGAGGAGATTTGCTTGAACCCGGGAGGCAGAGGTTGCAGTGAGCCAAGATTGCACCATTGCACTCCAGCCTGGGCAAAAAAGAGCGAAACTCCATCTCAAAAAAAAAAAAAAAAACCTACAAATTTCTATACTGCATTCCAAACACCGAATCAGGATCCTCAGGGATAGGGGAGTGAGTTTTGACAACAGCTAGACTGTGAGACTTGTTCTTTCACCTGAATCCTAAGGATGATGTACATAACATTTAGTTTGTGCCTAAGTAAATTGCATTTTTTCTCATTTTGTCTTCAACGTTTGGCTATTTTCCAGCTTACTACATCTTCCAATATAGAATGATCAGATACAGTATGGGAAAAAAAACTATACCTACTGGTTTCTTTTCTTCCACTTATTAGAAGTGTAGATAAAGTATTTGATAAGAAAAATAATTTAAACTAAACTAGCATGGGGATTTTTTATTACTAGGAGGCTCACTTTCCAATTTCCAGCTACAATTCAAAATTGTTATAATTATTGGTAGTTAGCAAAAGAGTTCACACTTGTTAGAAATAAATCCTATTATCTTATTACTGAATGTACATTCTACTCGAAAGCAATATTCTTATTCCATATGATCTTACTATAAAACCATTTTGAAATCTATATTTCCACCTTGGCATTACATTATATAAAGCACTTTCCTTTTTTCTTTTTTCCCAGTTGCTTCCTTCAACTTCTTTCTTCCAGATGAATTGTCACTTTAGAGTCACTTTGCTGTTGCCATCACAGTAAAGAAATAAACTTTAAACATTATCCAGTGTACTCATTAAAGAGTTACTTAAATCTTAGCATTGTTGCTACAGTGTGTGGCAACTTTCTAATACTACCAAGCAAGGATAGTTTGAATGGATCAGCCCCATTACAGAATCTTGCCTTCTGCTTGAAAAAAGTAAAAGCTAATGTTAAACTCTGGCTTCTGTATTTATCCAGCACTGGTAGCAGTGGTTTGTTTGCTTATTTATTTATTTATTTGAACAGAGTTTCACTCTTGTTGCCCAGGCTTAAGTGCAATGGTGTGATCTCGGCTCATTGCAGCCTCTGCCTCCCAGGTTCAAGCAATTCTCCTGCCTCAGCCTCCTAAGTAGCTGGGATTACAGACATGTGCCACCATGCCCGGCTAATTTTGTATTTTTAGTAGAGACGGGGTTTCACCATGCTGGTCAGGCTGGTCTCGAACTCCTGACCTCCGGTGATCCGCCTGCCTCCGCCTCCCAAAGTGCTGGGATTACAGGCGTGAAGCCACTGCACCCAGCAGTTTCTTCTTTGAAAGGAAGAAAGAAAGAGGAAAATGAAGAGAGCCAGTGATGCCTGTTTGAGGCCTGGGGTTCTACATGAGAAAATTGGAATAAGCGTGAAACTCAGGAGTCACTGGGAAATTCACACAACTTGAAATCAATGGTAACCTGGAGATACACACTCTTAATTCATCCCCCTTCTTCCTAAAGCATAAATCTGAGCGGGTCATGAAATGTTCTGTTTTCCTTAAGCTCATGCAATACCATTCCATTGGCTCCTGCTTGCCAGACATGAAGGCTCAGGGCTCCAGCCTTATCTTCTTACATTTCATATCATATACCCCCTTCTCTGGGGAAACAAGAACATTGGATCTTCCTTAACCATGCTCCATTTGGTCCTCCTTACAGTATATTTTTGATCTCCCCTCTATTTAGAAGGTCACATCTCCATACCCATGTTAACTCCTTCAAAGTCCAATACAAAGGCTGCCTCCTTCAGCAAGCCTCACCTAATCCCTCTACGTGCATGTGTCCTGAACGTTTCTTGAGCCCATAGCATACTTGGCATCTCTCTTAGAAGTATGTATGGTAGACTATCTTGAATTATAATAACAGGTGGCCTTCCATATCTGTGGATCCAAGCAACCATGGATCAGGAATATTTTTTAAAAACAATTTAAAAAGAACAACAAAATAATTAAAAATAATACAAATAAAAATACAATGTAACAACTATTTACATAGCATTTACACTGTATTAGGTATAAGTAATCTTCAGATAATTTATACAGGAGGATGTACATAGGTCATATGCAAATACGAGACCATTTTATATTAGGGACTCGAGCATCTGTGGATTTTGGTGTCCACAAGGGGTCCTGGAACCAATCCCCATGGACACCAAGGGATGTCGGTATATGTGATTTTGTTTAGTAGTCATATCCCTAACTAAACCATTTTTGGGCCCAGACACATGACATCAGTCATCTCTGTAGGGAGGGACCTTTGCAGTCCCTCTTGCATCCCCTTGAACAGTGAAGGCACTTAAATACCTATGATAGAGGTGGAAGGAAGGGGGAGGAAAGGAAGAAGAAGGGGAGGGAGGGAAGGAAGGAAGGGAGGGAGGGAGACAGGCAGGCAGGTGATTTCTTCTCCTTCAGTTCATTTGTAGGTTTTAAACTACCTAATATTAATTCTCTCTCCTTTATTACTCAATTTTCCTTTTTTTACTTTTTTAAATCAGAAGCTTTTGTCTCTACGTATAATGTAGCATGAGTTTTGGAGAACACAGATCTAAAACTGACCTGTTATCCGTAAGTGTTTAAGCGTTTGCTTGTGTAATGATTTACTGATGACCTACTATATGCTGTGCACAATGTTGGGCCCTGGAAATACAAGACCAGCAGGCACTTGCCTCCTAGAGCTAAGCTAAACCATTCACTCATTGAGAAGAGCACACCCACTGACATAAGCGGCTTGCTCTGTGGCTGTGTTATTAAGGGCCCTGTAGGAGAACCTCGACAAGAAAAAACAGCAGAGTCAAAAACCCCTAGAGATCCCTTGAATGCATTTACTCTGCACACTGTGGAGCTGGGTGCCTCTTGAGTACCATTCAGGAGTTCTGTCATGGTGAGAACAATTAGGAGCTTTAATAGGGGTATCCAAAAACCAAACACTGAGAGCTACCAGATCCATTTGTTACATTCAAATTTTCTCCCTTGGCCACATGAAGCTTTGTTTACACAAAATACTTGATACCATTCTAACTCTCTCAGTTTTTCCATTTTTACCACTGTATTTAGCTCTCCTGACTGTGTCTCTTCTGAAATAAAGTTGGCAGAGAGGTTGTAAGCATCATAGTGTTCATAGCCAGTGTCATTTCTTCATACAGGTATGCTACCAGCTCCCTACCCAGTAACTCTAGAGGGCACTGCGGGATTCAGCCTGAACAAAAGTATGTCCTCCACAGCCCTGTCTCCACCTTATCATCTAAAATGCAGTCCTTTCAAGCTATTTTTCGGGGTCAGAAGTTAATGGCATCTTTTCTAGAAATGTCACTATTATAATACAAAGGGATAAAGCCTGTTATTCCAAACTTTCCTCTTTAGCATATTAACGATGATTCATTTGTCAAACATTTCAACAAAAATCATGTATGTGTGTGGATACACATATTAATGCAGTCATTAGGATATGAGGATACACACACACACACCAGCTGTATCTTGTTCATTTAGTAGTAGTTATATGATTGTAGCTTGGCAAACTTGATAAAATATTACTGTCTTCATTATTCCAAAATTGGTTCACTATTGTTTATGTAAGCAGACTGACCCTGTTGATGAAGAAATGAAATATGAAATTCAATATCGTCAAAGTGGGATAAAGTGTAGCTAGAAGATATTTTGATAGGACCCCTTAGTGGAATCCCCTGGAAGCAAGAAGGTAGCATGCAGCACTGAGACAAAGATGGCCAGGGATGTTCAGGAAAGTCCAGAAAGTGGAGAGGCTCCAAAGAAGAGCAATTCCCTGCAGGTGGAAAGATACAAAGCTAATGGGAAAAGCACAGTATGGAAAAGACAAGAAGACCCACCAGTGACCTATGTTCTCAACTCTCCTTTGTATTGTGTCTCCAGGGATCAAATGAGGTCAAAAATCAGGTGTGCGTAAAGGAAAAATAAAGTCCACAGATTCTGAGTGCAGAAGTCAGACGACTGATCACAAATCGGTAAAGTAAGCTAGAGGCCAAAGGATTCGATATGCCAACATTAGCTGTACTAATAAAAAATAATGCTGTATGCCAGGACATATTGCTATATAACTAGAACACCCAGCTGAGGGCTTATATGAAGGAACTGAAATCATGCATCATGAGAGAGCCAACAAATTGTAAGATCTTGGAAACTTCACTTCATTTCTCTGGTTTGCAAATTCCTTGTTTAAAATCACATAATGGGGCATCCCTTACTCCTATAATGCATATAATTCTATTAGGTTTTTATGAGATTTTGATCACCTTTGGCTTTTATAATAATTCATTTTTATTTTGGCTACAATAAAAACAATGTTTATTTTTTAAAAAAGCAATTATTTTCCAAAATCAACCAATTTTAAATTACAACTGTTGAATCCTAAAACTCGAATGGGAATATTTTGGAACTCTAAATGTACATCCTCAGAAAATTATATACTCTTAAGTCCATCTATACCGAAATTCAACTCCTTTGATCCACAAACCACCACCATACGCACTTACCTTTCATTTTCTCTGTAAGATGAACATGATTAATATGTATATGTAATGCAAGTATTTTGCCTCTAGACATATGGATCTTTTATTTACTACAGCTGCAGGAGTTACTCCAAGGAATCTAGAATCTATATAAACACCAAACTTTCTATGTAGATAGAATAAACCATGCATTTCAAAGATATAAGTAGACTCTGTTGTGACTATACATAAATTCATTTTTAAAGAGTTATTATATTCATAATAATTTACTATTATTATCATGCATTTTCTCAATTAATGGATACTGAAAGTATAACTATGACTAAGTGGACTTCCAGTGAATTTTTTTAATTAAAAAGGGAACTTTGCACCAGAAAATGATGAAGATCACTATACCAAGTCATACATATTAATCTAAAACATCGATAAGGTAACTCGTTTTGATTAGGTCATAAGAAGATAAACTACTATGAATAATTTTATGATTATCCATATGCTGATTTATTATAATTATAATTCAAATAAAGTATAAGATACCTAATAAACATCGAAAGAGTAAAAGTCTATAATTATATGATTACAATCCACAATCCATTTCAATTTTTCAGTAAGTCCAAATTCTACACACAATATCCTGACGTAGTGTTACAACGTACAATCTAGTTTAACTCTTAAATTTATGTTCACAGAGGTGTAGCTCCTGTAAGAACAAAGCAGCTCATTTAGTGCCATTTATCGTATTTGATATATATGAGCATAGTAACTATAACAAACCATTTGAATAGCTTGTGATAAAAAAGATTGCTTTTAATATTGTGATATTAAAATGGGAAAGAGCAAAATTTTCAGAAGTAAAATTTTCTTTTAGTTCTCTTTCTTTTCTTTCTCCCTTTGCTTTATTCACAGTTCAGTGCCTGGGATTTTCAGATCATGTGATAAGAAAGCAACATCAAGCCACCTAGTCATCCCTTCTCTGTAGCTAAAAGACAGGAGTTTTAGAGTTTGGGCACCTGAATATTGTGTCTACACAAGGATACCAAAAAGCATGTCAATTAAGGATCTTTCCTAGTAAACCAATGGTCAGGATAAGCATACTTAATGGATAAGTATGTCCACTGAGCCATGTGGTTGGACTGTAATAGAATGTTATATGCAGTATAAGACACTCCAGGGTGGCATTTTCTGGGTGAAAATTAAAAGCATATTTGTAAGGTGATTAGCTGAATTTGTCAAATAAACAAGCCTGTCTACATTCATACAATATTCTTTCATAAATCTGCCAGAGCAAATCTAAAGTATTGCCATAAGACATAAAGAACATGCATTTTTTAAATATAGGAAACCAAGAAAATGCTTGCTATTAATAGGCATCAATGAAGTCAGATAAACATGCATAATGAAATTCATCTGAAACAAAAATATATTGGGAATCCTTGAAAAGAAAAGCAAGACACTGGGAAGTTACGAAGAGGAGGTTGCTCTACAACATGAAAATTCTTTATTTTAAGCCCAGGACTACTAATTTATTACAGGGTTAATTTTGCACTTTCCAATTCTATTTTAACCAAAATACAAAAACTTACTCTGTAACCTGATTATTCAGTCACTGAAAAACATACATGGAAGCTCATATCACTAAACTATCCTCTTTGCATATATGTAAATATCATTCTGTTAAGATACAAGAACATTAAAGAGATGCAGTTTTAGTAGTGACACATGGGGGATTGCCTCCCCCTAAAGAAAGTTAGTAATTATTACAACTAGAAAATTCCAAACAGACCGGGTATCTTTATATTCTCATTTTCTCTATTACACTTGGTATTCAAACTCATTATGCTTTTGTTAATATACTGAAAGACAAGAGTCACTTTCTGGTCAATGTACTCAGTCTGTGAAGTAGCATCAAGTTTGTGTACATTTGTTTGTGTGCTCTTGGTAGCAGAAACAGAAACTCCTAAGTACTCAGAAGCATTTTTTAAAAAGCAATCTGCAGAAAACACTCTCACACATAAAACCCTTAGTTACCACTGTTTGAATGTTATTCAAAAGCAACTATTTTTTTAATTACTTAAGACAACTATATTCCCATATGAGTACTTCTGGAAAAAACTGAGTACTGAGTGAAAGTTAACCAACAAAGCTTTTAATTTGTCTTTGTTGGTTAATCACTGAACAGTATTATGTACAGCTAACTGTAATTGCTACTAGAAAGCACCTATTCAGATTTACAATAAGGGTGTAAAAAACATGCACAGCTAAATTAATAAGACTTAAGGGAATCCTTAATAATAATTCCATATATTTCTAAGGCATAGGATGGTGGTAAGTACTTAGACACATATTATCTCCTTTCTGTAGAGCAATGTGCAACTATTTATTTTTTTAAAAAATGATTCTCTGGAACACTGAGAAATCAAATGTGGTGTCAGAGGTCACAAGGCTAGTAATTGACAGAGCCGGAAGTACAGTTTCGAGCCCTCTGACTCAGCCCGGAATTCTACAATGCCTTGATGTCTCACAGAACTGGACTCTCCTCTTTGAGATTCCCGATAAACCTAATGGAAATAGGGTTGGAATTTAGTAATAAAAAGGCTGACGCGACCTTACCTATAGCTGCCCAACCGGTACAATTATAATTATGCTTTATAACTTGAGCATCACCAGAAAACTTGCTACTTTTAAATCTCAATAATCAACACTTGTTTTGTTGCTACAAATTATAGAGTAGTCTGCTTTATAAAAACACAAGATTTGCCAAACACCAAACATCATATCTGTTGTAAGTCAAAGTACATCCCAAACATTTCAGTGTGTAACAAACTAACAAATTCTGAAATATAAATCTTCAAAGTTCAACTGTTCTTTAAAATGTTTTATCTAATAGCCATTTTAAAAGTAATACTGATTTGTTCACATATGTTGCAAACATAATGAAAATTCAATTTAAAATTTTCTCTAGTTTTAGGAATACCGTGATTACTTATCTGCTAAATCTCCTTACTTTGCTGAAGCAACTGGTCAGGAAGCAAAATTGATAGCTTTCATATTCATAAATGGTATTTCTTTTTTTCCCAAATATTTTCTAACCTAACTACATGACTGCGGCTGACAAAATGGAAATAAAATAGAAAATAGATGTTACATTTCAAATTACCCACTGCCATCATGTTTAAATGCTTTCCTATTAGACAAAGCTTTTTATTACTAATGTGTAGGATACTTAAGAAAAATGCCATAACCTGCCTTAGTTACATAATCTTCCTAAAGAAAGTAACAGCTTATAAAGTGCCATTAACATGATTGAAACTATCTTTCCTAATAGAAGTATATGCAGTCTTCAAGTAAGGAGTTAGCAATTACATATGTATATTTGCTTCACAACCAGTGTCTTTTTGTACAGAATCTTTTTCCATCCTGCTATTATTTCCATCTCCTACTGAGCTTAGAAAACCTATGCCCTGCTTGGTAACATATGTGTGGCTTACGTCAGAAAACAACTGAGGAAGTCATTTATAAAATATTGAAAGAAGGAGTAGGAAAAATCATTACAGACTATATTTGTGCACATAGTTGGAAACCAACAGCCTGGAAGCAGCTGTTGTGCTACCCTGACCCCTGAAGGAAGGAATCAGGAGTTAAATTCACATTCAATTTCCTACACAATATGAACGCCAAACCTCCCAATCCACTGGCACAATACATCAATGTTTGTGCATGTCCTGCAGAAGTATGAAAGTCACCTCAAATATCAGACCTTAGAATTTCATTCCCCAATCCCACCATTCTGACTCAGGGTGAGCAAATCTTTTCAAAGTTACTTAGAGGGTGTCTAGATTCTGCATCTTACTCCTTAGGACTGGAAGGAAATGGAATATGAGAAATAAAAGAAAAACAGAAAAAAATCATCTCATCTCCCTGACAGAAAAGTCGTTTAGCCCTCTTTGTAAAATAAATGTAAAGAGAAATAGGAAATAGCACAACTAGATAATAAGGTGATTCAACTGAACAGGGTTAGGATTTCAGAAGTTTCATTTTTTGTGAATATGTGATCTATTGAGGAGAAAACAGATCCTAAAACAGTAGAAGGCCAAAAGGACCTGATGTGTATCTTCTTTAAAAAAAATCACAACTCCAGATAAAACATGAGGGAAAATGACATTTTATTCTGCAGTATTCCCTTCTCTGCACAGTGAGCACAGTACATTTATCTCATATGATGGTAAAAGTCTTTGGCAGCTGCAACCTGTCTTTTAAGCCATTCAATAAGTGAAACTTGAACATGGATTGCTCTTTTTTTCTGGGATTTGTGTTAATAATGAATCCAGTGCCATTTAATTTGTAATTTAACAGGGTACTGTTACCTTTGAATGCTTTTACTTCTCTTTTCCCAGAAGGTTAAAATGGCCCAGAAAGAGATTGTCATGGTTAAGATAAAGGGACAAAACAGTCATTTCT
Organism: Homo sapiens; assembly: GCF_000001405.40. Taxonomy (NCBI): domain Eukaryota; kingdom Metazoa; phylum Chordata; class Mammalia; order Primates; family Hominidae; genus Homo; species Homo sapiens. Next base: position 28,589,777 of record NC_000023.11, on the reverse strand, counting down.
GACACGCTGTGGAAGCAATCATCATTTTTATGAGGGAACCACCAGGCTGAAATCTGCATCAAGCTCTACCAGGAAAAATGCAAGAAAGGACCCTAAATATTCATTCCGTTCACAGTCATCATTTCAATGAATTTAACTTTCCATTCAGTTGGGGTCATATATTTCAATCCTAGGGTAAAGAACTATGACCTTGGCTGGAATCATCAGTCCCAGTTACTCAATGGGGCACTTCTGAAACATCGCAGACTCATTTTGACTCTCCACGGGTGTGGCTAAAATTGGTCCTGTCCAGCCCTAAAGCTTATATGATCTGATGTCCCTCCGAAACTCACTATGAGAAAACTCATGCAAAATTTGCCATAGAGATCAAGGTTTACAGGACCCTTGGAGCTAATCTCTCTCTGCCCTCCTCCTCTGTTAGCTGTTACAAGCCTTCAAAAGTTAACAGGGTGATGGAGCCTCTCTCTATACAATCATCTCATCTCACTATCGTTGACTGAAACTCGCTGATGTAATGAAGTTACATAATCACCGATTATGCACGACTTCCATCCATCTTCCTACATATCCACATATCTTCTCCCCTCCCCTTTGGATCAATCTACCAGGTGAGATTTATAACATATGTAAATGCTCCACTCTCTCATCACAGGCACTGAATATGGAACTTTAGCATTGCAGTACAGTGCACTGAACCACGTCATCAATATTGATTTCTTTATCCCATTTCCCAGGCAGAATATGCTTAAACATCCTTAGTGTTCTAGTCTCTAACTTTTTACCGAAAGGGTAAAATAGATGTAGCAGACAGGACACATCTTCAACTTAAGGTTAGGGGAAGTATGTAATTAATTGCCTGCATTTCCCAAGCTGGCTGCATTGCAATAAAAGGACGGTCTCTGCTTTCAGACCTTCGACTCCCCTGCACGTGGGTCTCAGCTTCAGCTATTTAGGATATTGGGTAAATAATTATATTATTGGGCAATTGAACTTGAGAAAGAAAGCACTGTGGTGATATTTAAGATAATGTTGCCTTATTCTTCTCTATGTTAGCCATCATTTTTAGCTTTTTCTTTTCTTTTCCTTTTTTCACTCTGAGTGATAATCCAGTAGATAAAAAAGTAGCCCAGGGCGCTTAATAATCTCCAGTAACCACAACCTAGAGAACAATTAACGATGATTATCACCTTAAAGTTTAAGAACTTGACAAGTGGGATGTCCCTGGTCCCATTGCGGCTGTGAAATGCAGCAGAATGCTGCACTGAGTTGAAAACATATTTCTTTTAATGCATAGAGAGTAGCTCGTTTCATTTTAAATGGGGCTCTTCACTAAGTGTTTCTTTTACTGCTGCTACCCCTTCCAGAACGCAGGGGCCACAAATATTACATTCAAACAAAGAGTGTCTACCCAGAATTAATTCAAGACACTCTTCCATATCAAAATAATTGGGGGAGAGAGTGATACTTTGATTTTCAATTGCACTCAGAATACGGGCACACATACATATACACACACACGCACACACACATACACACACACACACACACACACACACACACACACACACACATATCAACACACCCAACTGCAGTTATTCCATTCAGTGCCAATAACGGCCACATCACAGCCATCAATGCGATGCAGCAATCATTCAAGTCACCCATTCCCATTACAAATGCCCAAGTTTGCTCATGCCACTGATGGGTTTGCATATATAAAATGACCTTACCCACAACAGTCTTCCAAATTATTCTCCTCTGGATATTAGTCGGTAAGGTAATTGCTGGTCATCACAATGCGTATTCAGAAAAATCCACGTTTTACTCCTGTGTTCTTTTTCTTGTTTTTGCTAGCAATTAATATTGTGAACAAGATTCCCATTCACAAATGCCAAGTTCACCATAAAAGCAGATAATTCCATACAGATCTTCCCTACAAGACTGTCTCCAGTTAGTTCTCAAAGTGCCCGATTGTTTGCTGAAGATACAATCCAGGTGCAGAGCAGGAAAAAAAAAAACAGACTAGGAGAAAAATGAAGAGGCAGATAGAAAAGGAGAGACTGAGAGAGGAGAGAGCAGAAAAAGAGAGGGGAAAATAAGAATAATTCTTAAAAAATAAGGAAGGAAAAAAGCCGATAAGTGAGAAGTCTGCGAGCTCTATGACAAGAATTGGAGTGTTGCTTGCAAATCTTCTGAGTACATGCAGCCTTTCAAATCCTCCTGGTCCCCAAGTAAAATTTCCAGATCCGGGATGCAGCCATAAGAAAGAATCCTATGTATATTTCACAAGTATCCCGCAATAACAGATCCGACGGGGTTTTCCTTGTACAGTACTGCTATGTGAAAGCACACAACCCCTGCTGTTTGGGAAGGTGTCTCCTGGGTCCTAGCTCTCCTCAGCAGCCCCCAAAAATGATTTTTCAAAAAAGAGTCGGGGGGGGGGGTGGGAAAAGCAGCTTTGCGTTTGCCTTGAATGATGCTAATCCTGAGCGAAAACCACAAGCAAAACACGAATAGCACGAGATCTTGATTAATAGCCACAATCCACTCAAAATATCCCAGGGAAGAAGGAGCGAAAACAAGAAAGAGAAACTGCAACGCATAAATGATTCCAGTGTTTCTACAAGATCGGTTCATTTGATTGAATGCATTCTCTGGTTTGCTGCAAGTCATAAAGAGGATAGTATTACTGCCACCCAATGGATATTTTAGTACTAGCCAATCCACAGACAGCCACCGCTTTGCGAGTTTGAGTTCTCAGAAGACCGAAGTGGAAGGAAGGTAGCCTGGGAATCTTTTGGAAAGGACCCTGGGAGGCTTCAAATAACGGAAATCTGTTCTTCCAGGCAAAAGCAGACTGGCAAATTTGGATGCTTATACAGTCTTGCCTTAGCCACCTTAGAATTATGGTTCCATTTCTCTAGGAAGCAGAAAGATACAGAGAGTGATGCCTAAGCCGACACACTCTTGATAACCTCCTTTTCATCTCTTCTCTTTGAAGCAGATTTATTATTGCGCGCGACCCTCCCACCCCCATCACTGTCTCCCCAACGCCCCCATTCTCCGTATCACTTTAAGATGGATTACAAGAGAGAAGGGGTGCGGGGGCTGCTCCAAACAAACCTCAGGTGCTAAGATGATAATTGTTTCTAAAGGGCAGTTTTGCAAAAGTGCCTCTGTCTGTATTGATATGCAAACTGTGAGTCCTTCAAGCAGTAACCCTCCTCACAGCCGCGCTTTCAGTTTGGGGGAGGAGCAAAATCTTCCCTAAGTGAGTGGGGCTTGGGAGAAGGGTGCCTGTGGAAGGCTCTCTGGGAGTGCGGGGTGGGGGTGGGGAGTGGGAGGAGGAGCGGAGGGGAGGGTATTGAAGAGGATCCTCCTCCCATCCACCGCGTAATTGAGTTCCCTGCAAAAGAGTTCGCTGCTGGTTTCTGAGATGAATTTGTGATGAAGAAAGAGGGTCAAAGTAGGTACGGGTAAATACATTAGGTTATTTGCTCAATTTAAGGTCCTTGACCATTTACATTGGGATAGTATAACACTCACATGTGATTCCGTGATTCTCAAACTTTGATGTACACACCGTCACCTGGGTGTCTTGTTAAAATGCAGATTCGGATTCGGTACATCTGGAGTGAGGCCTGAGACCCTGCGTTTCTAATAAGCTCGCCCGTGGCCCATAATAATGTTGCTGGGCTGTGGACCACATTTGGAGTAGCAAGACCCTTAAAAAATGTTAATGTTTACACTGCAGCAACAGTGTCAGTTTCCGGCAGCTGAGTAGGCTGGATGATTAAAAGGCAGCGAGCCGCTTTTCTAGTTACTTCTCTCCCTCTCCCCACCCTGCAACCTTTCCCATTCAACACCGGCAGCCCATGTACTTAAAAACCTTAACCCATTTTGTAATGTATCCCACAAGCTTTTGTAATGGCAGGCTTAACCGGATAAACCAAAAATAGAATAAATAGGTAAAGTAGCCTTGGCCCTTCAGAACTGTTTTAATTTGGGGAGTAAAACACGCATCAAGATAAAGAAAACACTTTAAAAATTAGGTAAAATGTGAGCTAAACGAATACAAACTAAGCGCGCAGGTGAGAATAACAGCAGGCAGGGAGACTAGACAGGGAGGTAAAACTGTATTTCGAAAAAAGGAGCAGTACACTGAAATTTCCAACCTAAGCAGAGGGAAAATGTGGTTAAAGTCGGTAGGCAAGTCTTACAAGGTTTCTTTGAAGCTAACTCACCCATGTTCACATCTTCTGTGCCAGTGTTTTTCTTCCCTCTGCTTCTTCCCCACATGCTATAATTCAGCCTAAACTGAAGATTAGAAGTGAAGAGGAAATATATTCCCCTCCTTTCAACGTGAGTGATCTAGATTTTCTATACCTTCCATCACAGTCCTCTAGTTGACCCAGTTGAATGTGAATAGACCTCAAGCAGACCTGGAGGGGGGCACAAGTAACAAGTGTAAATGTAATTGCTTCAAGCAAAATTTAAAAGTAAACGTCTTGACCGTAGGCTCCAATCCTAGATTTGAGTCTAAATTCTACTCCTAAGTAGCCATAATTACCCAAGGGAATCACTTTAATTTCTCTTGGCCTCAGTTTCCTTGTCTATAAAATGACAGGTTGAAATTAACCAGTTGCCAACGTGCTGTCCAGCTCCATATGGTACAAAAATCACGTCCTCTCTTTGAAATGTTCTGCAAGTCAGTTTGTTACTGTACACAGAGAAGGAGTTATGATTATTACCTTGACATGGGCTGCAGAGAGCATCTAGAAGCTTTGAAAAGCATCTCGAGGACACAGGTGAACATTTGACCACTTCAATCCTATTTCAAGAGATGATTTAAAGTGCTTTCATTTCAAATGAAATGATCAGATCCAGGAAAGGAAGTGTTTGTTTGAATCTGAGGTGAAGCATTGTCTATTCCTGGATCCTACAGAGCCAACTGTGGGCCTCGCTGTTTGTTGCCATGGGATCCTCTTTGTGCGAACTATCTTGAACTGTGTGGGAACATTTTCCTCTTGCCTCCCTTCAGTTCTCTAACTCTTCTGAAGATATGTGTCAGAACAAAATGTAGCTGCATTATTGCCAATTAAGACTAACGGCAGCTGCAAGGTGCATCTAATTAAGAATTTTAATTACTTCACTGAATTCTCATTTGCAGATGTTTAGAGCATTCAACAATGTATTGTGATTTTTATTTTAAAATCTGAATAAAGCTGACCTCCCTCCAAAGGAGGGTGGAAAACTACACAACCCAATGATGGATATTTTTAAAAAAGAGTCTTTGACATGGAAAGTATATACCTTGATATATCATTTGAGAATATGCGACATTATATTGAGGATGAGGAAATAGAGTGCATATCCATAAATATGCCTTTTTTACTAAAGGAAAAGGCAAGCAAATCACAAAATACTGGAAACAAATTGATAATTTACTATTCAAGTAGAATCCTTGCATGCTACATAGTTCTCAAATATTCTGTTCTTTTTCTTTCCAGTAATATGATGGTTAACTGTAGGTTTGGCACTGCAGTATGGGGATTGTAGGCTATAATGCAAAGCATTATGGGGTTTGTAGTAAAAACTGGCTGCAGATCAATTCCATGCTTCTAGCTTTTCTCAGTTGAAGAAACTGCTGTTTTATTTTCTAGTAATAAAGAAGAATGTCAAGATACTGTACATTAGATTCATTTTAATGAAACAAGGTTGGTATTAATGGGAGTATGAAATTAAAGGTTAGCTACAGAAATATTCTGACTTGGGAGATGGAGAATATAACCCCACTTTACAAACCCCAAAATAAACTGAGTGAGCTATTTCCTAATATTACTATCCTATAGTTAAGGTTTCAAAAATCACTTTCATTGTTTTAGTAGTAAAACGTGAGAAAATATCAAATTTGGTATTTACGAAAGAGAATGATCAACACCTGAAATGAACTCAAGTTCTTATTGATTCTGTCTTTAACTATTGGTAGTTGAAATTTAATTCTTCACATTTCACGTCATTGAAGGCTATAATAATAGTTTGCTTTAGCGCAGCTTTTTGTGGATGGAGGCTTCTTTAAAGAGAGAAAGAGAGCCTACTCAGCTGCCAGCCACTCAGTGAAGTGAACAAGAGTTTTATTTAATCTACCTTTTTAGATACTTTTTATATAAAATTACTCTGAATATTCAGAGTAGCTTCTCTTTTTAATAAAATCCTTAAGGCTAGAATATCCTTAAGGTTAGGAAATATGTCTGAATTGGGTTATTTTATTCAGTTTAAATTTAATTATGGAAATGTATAAATTAAGAAGTTATAATTCAGTTCATTTTTGTGTGCAGATGATTCTATGTAGATAAATACATAATTTACAGAGGTTTTGATTTAATTCTGTTGGCAGTTTATTTCAAAGTTCACTAAACATTTTCCATATGATATGAATTCAAAGTCTAGCTCCCCACAATGCTCTATGAAATCAGCCCCCCTTTTGTTTTGAAGGCTAAAATACGTCTCTTCAAAGCCTCTTCCATCTGTGAAAGTTTCGATTATCATGCTAAGTTACTTAGAAGGTATTTTATACCTGAGGTTGCTTCTTTTTCTCTTTCTCTCCTTAAAGAAGCCTCCATCCACAAAAAGCTGCGCTAAAGCAAACTATTATTATAGCCTTGAATAAATGCAAAATCAAGTACTCTTCATTTTCAGGCCTTTTGCCAGCAATATTCATTTGAACCCACCACCACATATTCTCAAATGAGGTACAGACAAAGACTTGAGCATTTCAGCAAAATTCCACCATAAAGTTCAGGAATAATAAAGAATGCTATGAAAAAGCAAACAGCAACAGGAAAGAAAAATGCCATGCCTGCTTTTCTTTCAGATTTCTAAGTTTTGAATCATAAAAATATATAAATATATATCTTCTTGAATGCAGTTTACATTATTGTTCATACTGTGAATATTTCTTTTATGGTCATAAAAATAAAAGCAATGCCCCAAATGAAACACTGTGTACATAAGCGATGCAAATGCATCCCCGGTGGAAAGCCGGCTGGCTGCTGGTGGGAGGGTATATTTATACAGTGCCTTTCATTTGGAAGGTTCCCAAAATGATTTGCAAACTGTATATAGAGGAATGGCTCACCATGGAAATTCACCCACTTCCAGGAGAGAATGCAGAAGTCATTCCATGCTGACAGCCAGTTTAAATAAAACCGCAGAACAATATTTCAGGTGGGTGAAATATTAAAATTGTAATTGATTCAGGAAATGTGCCCTGGAAACCCACTATGTGCCAGGCATGGTTCAAAGTACTGAGGGTATCATTATGGATATATCTAGTTCAGTTTCCTGCTCTCCTAAAGCTTACATTTTATTAAAATCTAACCAGAACTTGGGAGTTACAAAGACCTATTTCCTGGTGAATTTCTGATCTCTGCATAGAGTTCTGCTGAAATAGACCACTTGCACTTTTTATATGTATTTATATCAGACTTCATGATATCCAGGACACAGAACCTGTGGCATATCTTCTACTTCAAATTGAACGCACAAAAAAATAGCTTCAGATATTGTGGTTGAAGCAGGTAAAATAATAATATTTCCTGCATTGAATGCTTTGGGGGTGGTAGGGCAGAATTCATACTCTTCTGGGTTTGGGAAAATAAATGAAACGGTATTGATGTAAATATATGGAAGATCACTTCCTCTGAAATGATTCAGGGCATTTCACGGTAATTACAGCGTATAAAATAGGTTTGATGAAGGAAGAGAACAGTGTGAGCTAATGTTTCCAAGTATAAAATATGGAATCAAATTTCAGTATCACTCAAATTACCTAGATTAATAATATTTTTCAGAGGAAAATAGATTGGGAAAAGAAGGTAAGGCAGGGGCTGTGAAAGTTCAGCCCAGACTAGCTCTGTGTACTCACAGCCATCACCCTCTTCTCTGTAGTTTGCTTCTAAAGGCCAGCACCCATACCCTCTTTAACAATTGCTCTTGGGCTACTAGCACTGTGTGTCATGCCTGTGATGAGAACAGGAAGTACCTGGAATTTGAAACCCTCTTCCACCTTACCCAAGAACTGACTGATGTGGAAGTATGAAACCCTGGCTCTTTTTACTATAGTTTGAAAAAACTCTGTGGTGCAATTTATACTCCAAGCTCTCCCTCCTGTGGAGAGCTGAGGCTGGGACTGTGCTTATAGTCACACTCTTGCTTGGTTTCTGGGAATGAAAGATAGAGGGTAACTAGAAATAATCATAGAGGTCCCACTTCTGGCTTTCAAATATTCAGCCTATGTGACTGGAGATAGTAATATTTGTTCACCTATTCATTTGTCTATCATTTATTAATTACATGCTATGTGACAGACAGTGCAGGGTGTTGAGGCTCTAGGGATGTGTAAGGCACAGTCCTTGTCTTTAAGGAGCTCATGTCTAGCAATAGAGTGACCCACAAACAGCACATGTAATACATGCTGTGGTAAGTACTCTAGGAGAGATCTGAATTCAGCCTAAAAGAATCAGGGAAGACTGAACAGAGAAGGTGTTATTTCGGTGACCTTGAGGTTTATCGATAAAGCAAGATAAAAATCACAAAAGAGTGAAGACCAGTAATAAAGAGCAACATCTAAGTAGGCCAATTTTCTTGTACCTAGAAGGAAATAACATTGGTTCTGGTAGTAGAACTCAAAAGTGTTTAAAATCATAGAATCAGTTTTTGAAGGGGGCTCTAGAGACAACCTTGAATAATCTCTTTATTTTAGACAGAGGAAATTGAGTCTCACCCAGGAAAGTGACATAGTTATTCAAGCTTACATAGCTAGGAAGTTTTAGGAGTTCTTTTCTGGCATGACTCAGCCATATCGCCTGTCAGCCTTTTATTTAAAAAGATAAGTTGAGGACATAATGGAGATATCTGATATAATATGATCTGGTTTGAATCCTATCACCATATGGCCTTGAGAAAATTCCTTACCTTTTCTGAGTCTGAATGTCCTCCTGTAAAAAAATGAAGTTAATGGGATTACCTCCTCCTGGGGATGTTGTAGTATGTATACTCCATAGAGTACCTAGAACATAGTATGTGTTTGAGAGAGGAGTGCTTTGTTTCATTTTAGCTTTTAAAATTTGTTTTCATTTCTTTTCTTTTCTGATCAGAGAATATTATAGTGGTGTAAGGAGTCATCGCCATTTTATTTTTGTTTTGTGTTTTGTTTTTATTTTTGTTATACTGGCTACAGAGTTGAAGGGAACTAGACATTCAGGATAGCTTCTTCTTTTCTTTTTTTTTTTAATAAGCTGGTAGTGTTTGGGGTTAGAATAACCTTGTCTGACTACAACTCATGGGTATTACTGACAGTTCATCTGAGGACCAGTCTAACTTTGTTCAGTACAAGCCAAGTAGGTGAATCTGCTTTGTCTAACCAGCTAGTTATAATAATAATGAACAAAATACTGAAACATATATTTACCAATTGAAGAAGTCTATTTTACTCACATTACAAAGGAGGATAGCCAAATGGCAAATGAATGCATCAAAAGGTAAGTGACTTAATTAGACATAAGGGTGATATAAATTTAAAGCATAGTGCAACATCATGACACATTCCCCAAAATGTTTAAAATGAAATCATGGGCAACGGAAAATGTGGGTGAAGAGTTGAAGCAACTGGAACTCACGTCTACTCATGGTGAAAGATAAAATTGTTTCAACAACCTTGGAAGACTTTTCAGCAGTGCCTATTAAATCTAAACATATGCATAACCTATGATGTCAGCAATCCCATTCTTAGGTATATACTCAACACAAATTCAGACATATGTTCACCAAAAACACGTATTAGAAAGTTCAGAGCAGTTTTATTCCAAAAAAGTTGCAAACTGGAAACTACCCAAATGCTCATCAGGAGTAAAATGGATGAATAAACTGTGGTATATCTAGACTGTTGGCTGCCATAAAGGAATAAGAACTAACAAGCTACAGTTATCCACAACAATATTATTGAATCTCACAAACAAAATGTTGAGCAAAATAAACCAGACACAGAAGAGTACATACTGTAAGACTGCATTTATAGAAAGGACAAAACTAACCAAATCTACACTTCAACACATAAGGATAGGAGTTATCCTTGGTGGAAGTAATGACTAGAAGGAAGCATAAAAAGAGTTTCAGGGATGCTATAATGTTCTGGTTTTTTCTGATCCTGGTGTTCGTTAATTGGGTATATTCATACTGTGAAAATTCACTGACCTGTATGCTTATAATGTATGCACTTGTGCATATATTTCATATTTTAATAACAAAGTTTTACCAAAAAGAAGTTTATTTTAGGCCGAGCGCGGTGGCTTATGTCTGTAATCCCAGCACTTTGGGAGGCCAAGGTGGGCGGATCACGAGGTCAGGAGTTCGAGACTAGCTTGGCCAACATAGTGAAACCCTGTCTCTACTAAAAATACAAAAATTAGCCAGGTGTGGTCGCACGCACCTGTAGTCCCAGCTACTCAGGAGACTGAGGCAGGAGAATCGCTTGAACCCGGGAGGTGGAGGTTGCAGTGAGCCGAGATGGCGCCATTGCACTCCAGCCTGGGTGACAGAGCAATTTCTGTCTCCAAAAAAAAAACAGAAGTTTGTTTTAATATCAGAAGAAAAACATCTAACTCCTACATTAATTATAGATTATTAAAAATAATAAAAACTAAAGTGTAGGCAGATGTTTGTGAAAGTTAAATATTGTATCATATTTGAACACAAAGGTCTTCCTGTGAAATGGATATGAAAAGGCAGGATTTGTTTATTTTAAAAAATGTTTTCAGGAAATAAATGGGGTTTTCTTTTGGAATTGTAATTAATTTAGTATAATTTAACATAGAAAAGAAACTGGATAATGAAGATAATCATGTCTTTGACTTTTTAGTGTCAATCAAAGCTTTGTTAAATTCTTTTGTGAAATGATAATAGCTAGCATTTATTCAGTACTTATTATGTGCCAGGCACCACTGGAGGCATCTTATACCTGCTAATTCATTTAATCTTCAAAATAAATCAGTACTGTTGTTATGGCCAATTTACAGATGAGGAAATCAAGGCTTGTTCAATGTCTCACAGTGGCAAACTTGGAAATTGTACCTTTTCTTAATTTCTACCCTTATCTGCCACGCTTAGCATTTGATTATTTTCTCTATGTTACATTTAGCTAAAATCATCAACTTTGTCTTTGGCTTGTATGTTGCCTTTTTGTCTTGATATTGCTAGTACATCAAGCTGTAAACTAAAGAGTCAGTAGCAATTCAGCAAAATTTCTAGTGCACTATTTTCTCCAGCAGTCTCTTAGTTTCGATTTGGGGTATCTCTTTGCTGTTTATCTTTTTCCTATAGGAGCTCTAAGTGAATTACTATGTTTCTGTTGAATGAGAGAAATGTGATGAAATTATGGCTTTCAGGGCAAAAACATTAATATTTCAACTTTTAAAACACCTAAGAATAGTATGATGAAGGATGTGTTAATGTTATGTAAATACCAGTATGGCTTTCTGAACTAATTTTTACACTGAGGAAAACAACTCTTTTAGTAAATCATACAGGAGACCAGAGAGATATCATGGATGATGTTTAATAACTAGATATCTATATTCAATTTGTGTGTGTTTATCAGATATTAGAGGAATATTATACTAGAATGTGATTATTGTATAGCAGATACTATGTACAAAAGGGAGATTATAGCATAGCAGAATAGAGGCAGTAACTTAAACCTTGAATATTGAATATCATTATGGTAAAAGTGTCTTGTGACAGAGACAATACTATGTGTTCACCAAACTTTTAAAATTTCCTTCTTTTTTTTTTTTTTTTTTTTTGAGACAGAGTCTCGCTCTGTCGCCAGGCTGGAGTGCAGTGGTGGGATCTCAGCTCACTGCAACCTCCGCCTCCCTGGTTCAAGTGATTCTCCTGCCTCAGCCTCCCCAGTAGCTGGGACTACAGGTGCGTGCCACCACGCCCAGCTAATTTTTTATTTTTAGTAGAGACTCGGTTTCACCATGTTGGCCAGGATACTCTCGATCTCTTGACCTCGTGATCTGCCCACCTTGGCCTCCCAAAGTTCTGGGATTACAGGCATGAGCCACCATGCCCGAGCATAACAATTTCCTTCTTAAGCACTCAAAACACTATGTTGCCGGGTCCTTTTACATCTAGGTGGGTCCACAGTGGATTGTGGACAGATGAGTTACATACGTCTTCTGGACCTGATTCCTAAAATCTCCAGAGAGATCTCCCCTCTGTCTTTATTCTCATGCTTATTTTCTTCTTATGTATGGCTTGAAGGAAAGGGCTTCAAGATGATGGAGTCATGTGATAGATGAACCCTAATTCCTAAGTCATTGCTAAAAGGAGAGTTATGTAGCCAGTAGCATCAGACTTGGGCTTTGTGTGACTAGGAAACAAACATTCATTATACTAAGTGACTGAGATTTCAGGTTCATTTGTTGGTACAACAGAGCTTAAATGACCCTGATTTATAACCTCTCACCTCTAACCTCTCAAAGGCAAGAAGAAAACATTTTTCTTCTATTTTTTCCTCTATTGATTTATTATTTTGTATTCAGGTGTACAAAATTGTACCGATCACTATTCTTGATTAATAGTCTTTTTCATTGGTCTATGTGCAGCCTAGTTTTATTTATGTATTTATTTAGTTTTCAAGAGGTTATGAATGCTTGAGAAAGCGCCACCCAAAACAAAAGCAAGTATCTTAATAATGATCTATATCAAACAAATGGAATGGTACCCCTGCCAACCTATACACCTGCCTTCCTTCATCTAGAGAAACCATTATCCTGAATCTCACGTGCATTTTTTGTTTGACTTCTTTTTCATATAACTTTGTTGCATCTATGATATCCCTAAAGAATATAAATATTTTACATTTCAATTTTTTTAACTTCATAAAATAGTATCGGCTCCAATTCTGGATAAAATGCAGTAAGTACACTTTATTCTTTCTTTTCCTGTTGAACACAACTTTAAAACCTGCACAGAATGTATGAAGCAACTATTTGAAAACTCTGAAAAGTAAATAGTAGTAGGTAGATCAGGACAGAACACCAGAATTTGAAGTGAATTTTGTGAATTTGTACTAAGTTGACCTTTTTATTTTCCCTTTGACATCTCCCAATCTAAAGTCAAAACAAGTGGTAAGTTGGAAATGAGCTCTGTGGCACAGAAAGAGAAAGCTCCAGGAGAGACCATCTTCCCCTGGCTCAAGGACTGGGAAAGGAAACTCCTAATGCTAAGAGAGAGTGGAGAACTCTCTCCCACCTTTCTCTTTATTTCTCCATTCTGTTGTGCCTCAGTTTCCAGGCAATCTTGTGGTGTTGGTGGAGATGGCAGCTGCAGTTACTGGAACCAGTAAGAATGAAAACTCTGAGGGAGGAGTCTTCTCTGTTCTATACAGCTTGCAGTTTCAAGAGGGTAGGACAAACTCTCTTTGTTTTCCTGGTTGATTGTCGTATTTTGTTTTGTTTTTTTTATTGCCCGTCTTCCTCCACTTGAGCCAGAACATGAATCTCATCACAGCAGTCCACAACAGAGCCTGCCAGTATCGGGGTAATTAGAGCCCCAAGTTTCTGACTAGGGAACCAAAAAGGGTGAAGGCAGAGAATTGAAACATACCAGACAGATTTCAGGGAGGAAGAACTGAGGAAATTGACCCCACAAATTTGTTTATGAACGCCAAGGCTCACCCTCAGGTGGCACATATCAGTATTTTCTTTGTCTGCAATTATATCCTGCATACTAATCGTGATACATTTTGTTGACTTTCCAATTATACTTTTGTCTCGTATTTTTATTTCTGCTATGCTTTTGATATTTGTTGACTTCTACTTTCTTTGATTTATTCTGTCAATCATACTCTATCATCTTAAGATGAATATTTAAATCATTAATTTTAAGAATTTCTTCTTTTTTAATATGAGGCTTGTGGCTGTAAATCTTCCTTAAAGCATTTTTGCCATATCTCACAGTTCCTAATATCTAGTGTTTCTTTATAATTCTGTGTTTGTCATTGTTAAATTTCACTATGATGTTTTTCTTTAACCTAAGAGTTACATAGTGTTGTGTATGTGTGTGTATGTGTGTGTGTTTTAAATTTCCATATGATCAGGGATATTTTTATTTTTTAAATTATCTTCTAGCATAATTTTATTATGGTTAGATATTGTAAGATCTCAAATTTTTGAGGATTTAATAGATTATATATGATCAACTTTTCTAAAACGTCTCACATGTGCATGAGACAATTGTATATTTCCTAATGCATGCATAATCATACCCCCCTCCCCCAATTAACAATCAAGCTTAATTGTGTTGCTTGTTAAATGTGTTGTTTTAATTTTTTTTTTCTTTTAAGACATAGTCTTAAAATGTCATCCCGGCTGGAGTGCAGTGGCGCGATCTCAGCTCACTGCAACCTCCGCCTCCCGGGTTCAAGTGATTCTTCTGCTTCAGCCTCCCAAGTAGCTGGGACTACAGGTGCATGCCACCACACCTGGCTAATTTTTGTATTTTTAGTATAGACAGGGTTTCACCATATTGGCCAGGCTGATTTTGAACTCTGCCCGCCTTGGCCTCCCAAAATGCTGGGATTACAGGCATAAGCCACTGTGCCTGGCCTGTTTTACTTATTTTTCTTCTGTGTCTTTACTGATTTGTTTATTGTGTAACCTGTAAATAACAGTGATGTGTTGAAATTTCCCACTATGATAGCACATTTATCATTATAGAAATAACAATTTTTTGCTGCATATATTTTGAGGCTATTTTACTGGTGTCTACTTGTTTAAAATTGCTATACTTCCTTGATAAATTCAATCTTTTTAAGTCATGGCTCTCTCCATCCCAAATATTTTTTGTCTTAAAGTGTATTTAATTTAATATAACATAGTTATCAATATTATTTTGATTATTGTATTCCTGATAGGTCTTGTTTTTACTATACTTTCACTTCAAACTTTCTTTTTTTTTTTTTTTTGAGACGGAGTCTGGCTCTGTTACCCAGGCTGGAGTGTAGTGGTGTGATCTCAGCTCACTGCAACCTCCGCCTCCCAGGTTCAAGGGAGTCTCCTGCCTCTGCCTCCCAAGCAGCTGGGATTACAGGCTCGTGCCACTGCACTGGGTTAATTTGGTATTTTTAGTAGAGACAGGGTTTTGCCATGTTGGCCAGGCTAGTCTCGAACTCCTGACCTCACATGATCCACCTGCCTTGGCCTCCCAAAGTGCTGGGATTACAGGCGTGAACCACCACGCCCAGCCTTACTTCAAACTTTTGCATAACCAAATTCTTAAAGTGTTTCTCACAGAAACCGTTTACATCTGGATTTGAGCTTTTATTTATACATCTGTATCTTTAAACCATTAGATTTCCTTTATTCATATTTATTGTAATTATTGATATCTTTGTTATTGTTACTACCATCTTAATTTCTTATTTCAATGTGTTCCTCTTTTTCTACATTTCTTTTTACTCCTGTCTTACTTATCTTTTAATTGAAGCTGTGTCTTACCCTGAATAAAGCAAGGACTCTCTCATCCCTTGTCTCCTCTTCCTTCCAGCACCTATCATGTTGATCTAAACAATACCCTGTTTTTTTCTTAAAATGTGGTCCAAGGAGTAGCAACATCAGCAACAACTGGGAACTTATTGATTAGAATTGCAGAACTTTGGACCCCATTTCAGATCTACTGAATCAGAATTCTCATGTAAACAAGCACTCCAGATGTTCATATGTACAATAAACTTTGAGAATCACTAAACTAGACTTTAAATTCTTGGTTGTTATTGATGTATTTTCTCTTCTCTTTTTTTGTCTTTATTATTTTTAAACCACAGTAACCAATGCTGAAGTATTTATTTGATCACCTTTACTTCATTCATCTCTTGGAACATCTCCAGATTTGTCTTTCTTTTTCTTTTAAATACTTATCCAAAAGCATTTTTAAATGTATCTTTGTGGAGCAAACTTTTAAAATATTTTATGCCTGAGAATATTTTTATCATGTCCTCACATTTGAATGACATTTTGCTGGATGTAAAATTCAAAGGTAATTTTCCTTCAGTCCTTTGAAAATGTCCATCTGGGCCAGGCGCGGTGGCTCATGCCTGTAATCCCAGCACTTTGGGAGGCCGAGGCGGGTGGATCATGAGGTCAGGAGATCGAGACCATCCTGGCTAACACGGTGAAACCCTGTCTCTACTAAAAAATACAAAAAATTAGCCGGGCGTGGTGGCGGGCGCCTGTAGTCCCAGCTGCTCAGGAGGCTGAAGCAGGAGAATGGCGTGAACCTGGGAGGCAGAGCTTGCAGTGAGCCGAGATCTCGCCACTGCACTCCAGCCTGGGCGACAGAGCGAGACTCCATTTCAAGGAAGAAAAAAAAGGAAAAGAAAAGAAAATGTCCATCTATAACCACTGTTATTGAAAAATCTGACGTCAATCTGAGTCTTCTTCCTCTCTATATCATCTGCTGTTTTGTTTTCTGGTTTTGAATTTTGTCTATGTCTTTGTATTCTTACATTTCACTATAATATTCACTATAATATATTCAGAATATATAATATATAATATATTCACTATTATATAATATATATAATATAATATATAATATATTCACTATTATATGTTATATATAATATATTCACTATAATATATAATATATTCACTTACAAATATAATATAATATTTGTAAGATTCTCCTCTTTGGCACTTTCTGGGCCCTTTCAATCTAAAGTCTTCAAATTCATCAATTTCATGAATTTATTTCTGTTTGTATTCACCGCTTCACCCCATCCCCTCTGTTTCAAACATCTTTTTTTTTTTTTTTTTTTTTTTTTTTTTTTTTTTTTGAGACGGAGTCTCGCTCTGTTGCCCAGGCTGGAGTGCAGTGGCGCGATCTCGGCTGACTGCAAGCTCCGCCTCCCAGGTTCATGCCATTCTCGTGCCTCAGCCTCCGGAGTAGCTGGGACTACAAGGCGCCCGCCACCACGCCCGGCTAATTTTTTTGTATTTTCAGTAGAGACGGGGTTTCACCGTGTTAGCCAGGATGGTTTCGATCTCCTGACCTCATGATCCGCCCGCCTCGGCCTCCCAAAGTCCTGGGATTACAGGCATGAGCCACCGTGCCCGGCCTTTCAAACATCCTTTTTTTATACACAAAATTTTTAGAATAATTTAAAAGTCCTGCTGTGTTTATTCTCTAATGCTTTTTGCTTCTAGTGGAAGCTGTAATCCAGGATATGTTTTCCTTTAGAAATAGCTGTGCTTCTCAGAATATCTTGTTATTTTGGTTTGGGAATCTATCCCTGGCCCCCTCTCCTCTCCAGGGTACCAACTACCCCGTTAGGCCATGCATTAGGAGAGGGCCATCACCCAATTTATTTAGCCCCATTGAGTTTAGTGGTGAGGAGTGGATAAGCCCTAAGGCAGATGGCAGCAGGCATCTCCAAACTGCAGCCAAGGCCAGTCACTCCTTGTTCCCTGAGGTCTTGGCTTCAATTTGCATCCCCTCCACCCACTCAGGGAGAGGTAGCAGTAGGAGGAGACACTCCTTAGATTGTAAAGTTCAAGCCTGGGTGTTTGAAGAAGGGGTACGGAAAAGCGAATACCAAAAGTTTAATGATTTTCTCATTGCTCCAACAGCACAGCGCTTCTGAGGGGCCCTGATTTTACTGCCGTGGATAGTGAGAACTGCAACAACTGTCACCGGGAACGACTCCATCCAAATCCCAGCACTAAAAGACTTGATCAATGACTTCTAGCTGCCTAAGGCCATATTCCTGGGAAGACCAAAGTCCCACCTGAGTTCCCATCTGGAAAAGCTTAAGCGTGCCAAAAGAATTTACTGTTGTTAACAACAAACACCTGAGATAGGCCCTTCACCTCTGTTTCTTAGAGTATTTGTTAAGGAAAAAAAAAGCTTACAAATCTAAATATTTCCTTTGTCCCTGTGAGATGCATATGTATTTCCTACAACCCTTGGAGTGTCTTTCTCAAAGACCTGAGACCTTTGAAATGTAATCATGTAATTTTTAGAAAAGGATAGGGTCCCAGTCTCTCATTGCCTTTAGGAAGCCTAACTTCGATAAATGCCAGTAGCAGACACTGGCAGCCTAATCCATTTTCATTGACCCACCCTCTTAGCCACTTTTTGTAATTTTTCACATCTCTGACTCTGCTCTATCTACCACTGGCTTCCCCTCCTGCTCCCTCATTCCTCCTTGAAAATGCCAAAATCACCTCTGAACATACTGGAATTGAGCCCAGCTCCTTGCCCTACTACATTAGTTATTGAATAAAATTTGTTTTTACTGCTTTATTACCAGTTTTGTGTATCTATGAATTTGATGAAGTTAAAAATTCAAAGTTTCTGCTAATAACTTTTTTTAATCTGAAAACTCAAGCTCTGAATTTCCAAAAATGTGGAGAAGCCACAGGTAAGAGCAAAGAAAAATCAGGAATAGTATTCCTACAGCACTCCCTCCCCATACATGCCATCACATTTTTTGTCCACAAGTCCAGTGGCTTCCTGCCCCAGGCCAAACCCTAATTCCCCGCACCCCAACTCTTACCGGTTCAAAAGCATCTGCTCCTCCAATTATCACCACAAGGAGTTTTCACATGTTTTTTTCTTGTTTTGCTAGTTACCCAGGGCTTCTCCCTGGGACAGCTCTCTGGGGAGCCAGCAGGAGTACCACTTCAGCATCTTGCTAGAAACAGAACAATGATGAATGGAAATGTTTCCTGTCTCTTCTCTCTCCAGTTCCACATTCTTCTGCCAACACCTTTTGGTTCTTTCTTCCTTTACAACATTTTCTCCCTACTGTCTAAAAATTTTCAACTCCTAATTCTCTTTTACTTCTTATCTGGAAACAGTTAGCTCTCCACTCCTAACGTAAACTATGATTATAGCTTACATTGATATATTCCACGACAACTTAATCTGTAAAACAAAGGCCAATTTACTCCAGATCTCTTTTAGGATTAAAAAAAAGTTATTTGAATTTTTGACTTCATCAAATTTATAGGCAGGACTCCCTTTCCTATCCCAGAGCACGCCTCACCTACCCCTCTTCCAAGGATGATTCTGTGGCTTGCTTTTAAAAATCTGGCTTCTTCCTCACCTATAAAAATATTTTCAGACAATGTAAATGACTGTGGCTCTCCTTTTTTCTCTAGCCAATTATGAAGAAACATATATTTCTGATCCTTCCCTTTTGGGTACTAACCAGTCCTCCTCACCTTTGTTATTTATCATTCAGTCCTCAGGTAACTAAGCCAGGTAAAGAAGTCCTTGCACCAAAAGTAGTATCTAGAACATTGCTGCTCAAATATTGGCCAAGGGTTCAGCAAGATTGGCATCACCTGTTAGATTGTTAGATAAGCAGAATCTCAGGTCCCTTCCAGTCCAACTGCACCAGAATCTGCATTTAGGGACTAAGCAAATCTCCCTGGCTTGAGGAATGCAGCCTGGTAGTCTACAGCTTTCGTTTTAAAAAGATTTTCTCAAGGTGAATTGCTTTCAAGAATTCATGAAAACACCAGTCTCCTCCAACTAAAACAAAAAAAACCTCTATAACATATCTTGGATTGCTAATAGTTTAAACATTTTTCCACATTTCTCACCAGTAACAGAGTCTATTTTTTAACTCAATAACTTTGTGGAGCACTTGATTATCATGTATTACTTGTGAATATCATCTGTATTAAATTCCAACTATTTTATTTAAATTAACACTAAAATGTTAACAGGAGCTCCTGTTTTAACACAATTTCAAGCAGAGACAATTGTTTAACTGGGTAAATTGAAACTGGTTTTTACGGTTTATTCTGTTTTTGTGTAAGTTTGTGTTGGGACTCAGAAAATGGTACTCCAAAGTATGGCGCTTTGGCATGCTGAGTACTTTGAAGGAGATTAGATGGCCTCAGAAAGGGCCTCAGAAGCAAAGTCTGTCTCTGACCTTCTCTTGCCCTTCTGTCTCCCACTCCCTTTTCTCCCTCTGAAGCAATTTATAAAAAACAGAATTCCTCTTCATTAAGGCAGGTCAAAAAACTAGAACTCCTCTTCCTCAAAGCCAGCCATAAAACCTAGAAATATTATTCTAATCTTCCCCTGCCTTTCTGTGTTGGAGCTGGCCATAAAGAAATTCGCAGACCCACCTTATCTAATAATAGGTAATAAGACTTCAGAGGGGTCCTATCTCATACCTATGAGGAAAGAATGATACATACAGAGGCCAGAAAGAATTTGAACAGACAGCCCTTGCCAGGTTTCACCCATCAGTCTATTACCATGAGAACATTCACTTTTATCCAATCACATTTCTATTGGGCTAGCCATTCTTTGTCAAACCTAAGCCTAAAAACAGACAGTTTTCCCTGGGTCTTTAGATTTTCATTTCTGAAGGCTCCCATGTTACTAAAACTTTGATTAAATAAATTTATGTTTTTCTCTTGTTAACCCATCTTTTTTTTTGTAGGAGTGTCGGTCGTGACCCTTATGATAGATGAGAAAAGGTATTACATCTTTTTGCCCCTGCATTTGCAAAGCTCTGTAATTTTCTAAAAATTTTAAAATCATCTTCATAACTATTTTGAGTTTAATAAAAATTTCTGTAACCTGGTTGTGCACTTATTTTGGTTTTATTTTATTTTATTTTATTGAAACGAAGTTTCACTCTTGTCGCCCAGGCTGGTGTGCAATGGCATGGTCTCAGCTCACAGCAACCTCTGATTCCTGGGTTCAAGAGTTTTTCCTGCCTCAGCCTCTGGAGTAGCTGGGATTACAGGCGCCCGTCACCATGCTCAGCT
The DNA here is from genome assembly GCF_000001405.40 of Homo sapiens. Taxonomy (NCBI): domain Eukaryota; kingdom Metazoa; phylum Chordata; class Mammalia; order Primates; family Hominidae; genus Homo; species Homo sapiens. Next base: position 28,568,913 of record NC_000023.11, on the reverse strand, counting down.
AATTTTTGTATTTTCAGTAGAGACGGGGTTTCACCATGTTAGCCAGGCTGGTCTCGAACTCCTGACCTCAGATGATCCATCCACTTCGACCTCCCAAAGTGCTAGGATTACAGGAGTGAGCCACCACGCCCGGCCATTTTGGTTTTAATATATCAAACACCTGTACCAACTGATAGCCTTTTTCACTATTACATGGAAGCAATCAACAGTTTCCTAGAAAAGTAAGTTGGGCAGCGTGGCAGCACTGAAGTCATAAGGCTGATTGGCAAATGTAAAAAACAAAGTAGAGGAGCAGTGAAGACAGATGAATCAGGGAAAGGTGGAAGGCAAGGAGGATGAAGATCAGAGGAGAACATAGGAGCCTTGAAATAAAGGTGAAAAGACAAGAATTCTGATTAAGAACACATGTTTATTCTTTTTGTAGGACACCATACTGGTACAAACAGTATTCATGCTCAGCTGTAATAACATGGCCATAGGGTCAAATTCTATCTTGAGATAAAGGATCCAAGTCCAAAATTTTTAGGTTTCACAACTATATTCCCTTAGTCATGAACTATACAAGCATATATTTAATTCTCACCAGATACATGGAGGTAATTCCCTATGTGTACTATGTAATCTTTTGAGACTTTGTTTACCTTGTATATGTCTCCTAAAAGATTCAGCATGGAGAGGAAATATATTTTTGTGGTTAAGCGCATAGGATCTAGAGTCAGACTTCCCAGGTTCAAATATCAGCTGTGGTTTGTGAAGGTATATGGCTCTGTACCTCAGTTTCTTCATCTGTAAAATGGTAATAATTAGAAAAACCTACCTCATTGAGTTGTTAGGAGGATTCAATGTCAAGCATTTACCACAGTGCCTGGCAAAAAGCTTAGTGCACAGTAAATGTTTAATATTCAAATGAATTTTAAAATATGCACATTGGCTTGTAAATACAAAATTTCTCTCTGGAGAATACAACAAACTGATGAGGTTCGTTGCATGGGGAAAGAAGCTAGGTGGCTAGGGATGTATGTGGGAAAGAGATATTTCACACTGTATAATCTTTCATATCTTTGGAATTTTAAACCATGTAAATGTATTGCACATGCAATGAAGCATTAAATAAGTAAATAAAGTAAAATAAAAGACATTCTGCTTCACTTAAAACTTTCTCTTTACAGCTTTAAAAAGCTTGTACTTGGAGGTTTCCTATGGAATTTTGTTAAGCTTCAGTGACAATTGGTGGTAAATTCATCAACAAATATTATTTATTGGGAGCTTGGCATATGATGAATAAAGCACGGTCCCTCTCCCAAGGACCATGCGGTCCACTTATTAAGACAACACAAATATTCCAAGAAAAAGGGCCAATACAAACAAGAGTATAATTTAGAACTAAACCGCAAGGAACACGCCTACATACTCCGATGTTTAAGGGCTATGGCAGACTGGCATATACAAAACATGTTTGGAGGAGGGACTAGGTCTTTAGTAGGGTTTTCAAGAATAGGTAGATATTGTCATTGCTGTTGAGAGTGTTTTCTTTCTTTTAAAAATTTTTTTATTGATCCATAATAATTGTACCTATTTATAGGGTTCCTGTGATATTTTGAAATATGCATTAAATGCATAATGATCAAATCAGGATAATTGGGATATCTATCACCTCAAACATGTATTATTTCTTTATGTTGAGAACATTCTAAATCTTCCAGCTATTTTTGAAATATACTATAAACCATTGATAACTATAGTCCCCTAATGTGCTATCAAACACTAGAACCTATTCCTTCTATCCAACTTTATTTCTGTATCTTTATTTTTATTTTTATTTATTTATTTTTTTGAGATGGAGTCTCGCTGTCTCCCAGGCTAGAGTGCAGTGGCGCGATCTCGGCTCACTGCAAGCTCCGCCCCCCGGGTTCATGCCATTCTCCTGCCTTAGCCTCCCTAGTAGCCGGGACTACAGGCGCTCGCCACCATGCCCGTCTAATTTTTTTTTTTTTGCATTTTTAGTAGAGACGGGGTTTCACCGTGTTAGCCAGGATGGTCTCGATCTCCTGACCTCGTGATCTGCCCGCCTTGGCCTCCCAAAGTGCTGGGATTACAGGCGTGAGCCACGGTGCCCGGCCATTTCTGTATCTATTAACCAATCTCTCTCCCTGCTACACCCTTTACAGCCCCTGCAACTGCCATTCCCTTCTCCACCTCCTTGAGACTAACTCGGTAGCTCCCACAGATGAATGAGAAGATGAGATGTCTGTCTTTCTGTGGTCGGCTTATTTCACTTAACCTAATGTACTCCAGGCTCATCTATGTTGCTGCAAATGCCAGTATTTTATTATTTTATGGCTGAATAATATTCCACTGTGTATATACAAGATTTTCTTTATCCATTCATCCATTGATGGACACAGATTGATTCCATACTTTGGCTATTGTGAATAATGCTGCAATAAACATGAGAGTGCAGATATCTCTTCAGTATACTGACTTCTTTTCTGTGGGTTATATACCAAGAAGTGGGATTCCTGGATTATATGTCAACTCTATTTTTAATTTTTTGAGGAGTCTCCATGCTTTTTCCCATAAAGAGTGTACGAATATACATTCCTACCAACAGTGTGTGAGAGTTCTCAGAATGAGAGAGTTTTCTGATGGGAGATGAGGAATGATGTGATAGAAGGCCAATGAGGTGTAACCTCAAGTCACTACATAAAGCTTCTCCCAAAACTAATTTATCTGGTTAAAATTAATAATAATAAAAGTCAGAAAAAGCACAGATAGAAATGGCAGGCACATTTTGCTCATCACTTTTACTGTCTTTTTTCTCCAAAATTCACACAACCATACCTAGAAGTGGAACCACCATACTGCCACTTTTAGCACCAAAGACATGTGCTATGGAGTTGGAGCCAGAAGCTTGAAGGAGCCTCATTGTTTCATTTCCTTGAGCAAATGCACACTCTCTGTATTGCTTACTTTCCATCTTGTTATATGAGAGAAATAAGCTCTTACTTTATTACCTTTATAGCCTGGTTTCTCATCATGCACTGAAACACAATCCAAACAAATACAACTACACTATTGTTAATAAAAAGCCTGTATCCAGAAACTTTAAGTTTTCAAGGTTTTTTGGTTTTGTTTGTTTGTTTTGGTTTTGGTTTGTTTTTTGAGATGGAGTGTCACTCTATCACCCAAGCTGGAGTGCATGGCATGATCTCGGCTCACCCCAACCTCTGCCGCCGGGGTTCAGGCAATTCTCCTGCCTCAGCCTCCCAAGTAGCTGGGATTACAGGCGCCTGCCACCATGCCTGGCTGGTTTTTGTCTTTTTAGTAGAGACGGGGTTTCACCACCTTGGCCAGGCTGGTCTTGAACTCCTGACCTCATGATCCACCCGCCTCGGCCTCCCAAAGTGCTGGGATTACAGGCGTGAGCCACTGTGCCCGGCCAGTTTTCAAGTTCTTTACATGTAAGTTTGCCAGATAAAATACAAGATACCAAATTACATTTGAATTTCAGATAAACAACAAAAAACTGTTTTAGTGTAACTATGTCTTATAAAATATCTTGAATATGCTTATACTAAAAATCACTGTTTTTCTGAAATTCAAATGTAACTGGGCATCCAGCTTTTTATTTGTAAATTATGGCATTATTCATATGTCATACAAAACTTGTTCTTGGCCAGGCTGCTCCTATCAGCCAGAGTCTTGGACACATTGCCCACCCCAACTCCCAAACAAAAGGAAGTTCTTTTAGTAAGTTAAAGGGGGAGAATGGATAGGTAATTAGCAGTGCCTGTCACAACAGAGAAGTGGGATTTACCTTTTGGTCTTCAGAGAGGATAATGCAATAAGGTGGAAATCACACGCACTCCTCTCTGAGAGCATTTATTTTTCTCCCTCTTTATTTTATAATACTTTCATTTATATTCTTCTTATAAAAACACTAGTAGTTCTACCATTTAACACATTCAATCACTTTAGTTCATTTCCTACAATTTTCCCTTCAATTATAGTATCATCTGTTCCATATAGCAGTGATCATAATGGATAAAAAATTCTGAGTCCTATTTTTCCCTTTATAATAGTCTCAAAAATATTCACCATTTCATTGCATGATCTTTCTAATTTTAATTTTAATTTTTCTATAATTTTAATAGTTACTGAATATCCCATTGACATGATTTTCTGCAGTTTATACTTTTTGCAATGTTGATATTTTATTATTTTAAACATTTTTATTTGTTTTAGTTTTTAATGCTAACATAATTATAGGTCAGCATCTTTGTTGCCATTATTTTATTTTTTGTGGGTTGAAATTTTGAATTATATATAAAGAACCATATATTTGATTTGGAATTACTCTGTCAAATAATACGATTATTTTTAGTCTTGATATATATTTTTAGTTTTAATAGTTCCTGCTTCCAAGGTTAGCCTTTAGCAAAATTATGAAATTGGGTGACTTTAAATTGTCTTTGTTTCTGTAACCTTCTATTCTGCAGATCATTTATTTTTGGTGAATCCCAAATTCCTTCCCATTTTCAAATATCCAGTGCTTTTCTCCTCCTTTACCCCATTTATAATCAGCTTTCAAAAACGGATCCAATTTTAATCATTGATGTCACTTTAATATTAAAGCAATATTTCCTGGATCCCAGGGAATATTTAGAGAGATAAGGTACATCAGTTACAGACTTAGTTTAAATATCAAGTTGTTTGTCCGTCACTTGCTTTTTGACTTGAAGTCCTTTACATCTCTGAGACTGATTTTCTCATTAATGAAATGAACATATTAGTACCCTCAAGTCAGGGTGGTTACGAGGTTAAATAAGATAATTATGTCAAGATCTTAGTACACTGCTAGGCTAATAGTAAGTATTTAATAAATTCTAGATACTATTAGTGATAATTATCATCTTCACTTTTACTTTATTTATAATTGTGGAATGAAAATATTATTACCCCTAAAGGAAGTTCAGGAATTCACCTCAACTTGAATATCATACAATATCCCACACCCAGTAAATATTCCAAATATTTTTGATGAGTTTTTTTCTCCCACCGTCTATTAGAGATTTTTCTGTAATAGTCCTAGAAAGTATATAATGGGAATTCTATCAACGACTCCTGTGGGAAAGGTGGCCACTCATGCCAGGCTAAAGTCCTTAAAACATTTTTACTCATAAAAATATTGATACAACATTAAATTTTGAATATTACGTAAAAGCAAACATTTTTTTTGAGACTGAATCTCACTCTGTTGCTCAGGCTGGAGTGCAATGGCACAATCTCGGCTCACTGCAACCTCCGCCTCCTGGGTTCAAGCAATTATCCTGCCTCAGCCTCCCAAGCAGCTGGGATTACAGGCCCCTGCCACTATGCCTGGCTAATTTTTGTATTTTTAGTTGAGACGGGGTTTCACCATGTTAGTCAGGCTGATCTCGAACTCCTGACCTTAGGTGATCCACCCGCCTCGGCCTCCCAAAGTGCTGGGATTACAGGCATGAGCCACCACGTCCAGCTTTTTTTTGTTAATTGCAAATTGTAGTGAAAAATATTTCCATTTTTAGATGTAACATGAATTGAAACAAAGAAATGGTGACATTGGCAGGTTTGTCCCCAGTTAAAAATTTATTTACTACTTCCACTTCTTTTGGTTAATTCATGGATGCCTGTATCCTAAGATGTAAGTTTTTTTTACAATTACAGCAAATAAATTTTTAACAGTAATGAATTAAAAAAGTGTTAATTTTGGGGGATATTAAAAAGAATTAATCATGACTATTATAACCATCAACTTGCTTTGCCCTTTACTTAATTCAAAAATGGAGACTCTGGCTTTCTTCACATGCTTCTTCAGAATGAACAAACAAATAGTACAAAACATTAACATACAGAAATTCAGTTAATTCCAGCAAATATCAATATTTCCCTCAACAATCTTAGAGGGTTAACACATATCTCTAATCCAAGCCACCCCTTTTTAAAAAGGCAGTAAGCAAGAGTGAAAAAGCAAAGCAAAGCAAATGCTGCTGGCTTGTATATTTAGAGGGCCAAGGGAAAAGGGAATGAGCAAAGGTTGAAGAAGGGAGCAAAGCTAGACAAAAAAGAAAGCATTTTTTTATGGTCATGTCAGTATTTTCTACTATAGATATTGAATATCTGGAGGTTTATAACTTTGTTCTAATAATTCACTCTGCAAGTGGCAAAGAGGGTGGCAGCATGGGAATAAAAATTGTGCGCATGTTTTTGCAGAAAGATTTCTAACTGCTGAATTGAAAATCACTTAGTTATTTAAGTTACAAAAGTCAGAGCAAAATGAAATTCATGCTTGTGTTCAAAACCTCTGAATGGTTTGCTGTTTTGTGAATCCTTATAAAGAGAAAAAAGTTAAGCATGGTAGAAGAGAAATTGTTTAGTATTTCCTTTTGCCATCTCCTTTGTTTTATAATTTCACTTAATGAACAAATTCAATAGGGGACTTTTAAGTTTTTTCCTTCCCAATTAAAGTTTTCCAATGGTTATGAGTTCAGAGACATTGGAAGTCTGAAAAATGACTGCCATTCCTAACACTGAGCTTTACTAACATTGAACTCAACATTTGTTAACACTTTCTCAAGCCACTCCTAAAATGTAGACATTCCTCTGTCAGTAGGCTTAGCCCTTCCTGCACATCATATCCCCCTCCCACTTTGGAAATTGCATCTACTTCATGATATCAGCTACCAGGGTGAATGGCTCCATTTCTGAATCCTTGTTGGAATTCCCCCCCAGCAGAATGAATCTATTTTCTCACAGCATTTTGAATATCCCAATTAGAACCCATCTTACTCCTTTAGCTTTCCAGTACATTCCAACAATGTCTTCTTGCAAGCACCTGTGGCTCTCAGCCTGAGGCACGATCTCTGCTCATACATGCAAGGGGCTGGTTGGGAGTGCTGGGTCTCTAAAATCCTCACCCAGTGATGGATAGGAGTTGGAAGACAGATACTCCAGCTTCCTCAGCTCTTAAGGGATTGCACAAATCTGTTTAATACTCCCTCCCAGTGATCCTTTCCAGGATTGAGCAATGTTGCCACACTGGCTATCTGCATGCGTACGCTCCTTTCATTGGCTTTCTTCCTCCCCCTTTTCCTTTCTTATTATGTTGGTGTTTCCTGGAAATCATCTTCCAAATAAATAACTTTCTCTCAAACTTTTGTCTCAGCATCTGCTTCTGGAAAATCCCAAGTTAAGATAGTTGGTATCAAAAGTGGTCCTAGGAAGCAGAACCGTAGGATGGGATGCTCACATTAGATCACTTCCTAGCTAAATAGTAACAAAGTTCCACTGATGGTGGTGAGCAGGGTATTGTCGATAAGCCTGGGCATGTTCTAGCATCACAATTACTAATTATTTTACATGTGGTGAACTGGGATGGGATATAGGCACAATAGCTCCAGCACACTAGAGAAATAAGAGCAAAGGGAATTATAAGGTTTGTATATTTGGCCAGCTGTTTTTTAACTGTGATTGGAATCCTAAAGAAAAAGTCTACAGACTGAGGTCAGCCAACTATCAGCTCAAGGCATGGTGTTGAAGTCAGAAGGCTACTTGGCAGCTTGTAAGGAGGTTCTGATATCCTAGAGCAGAATATGCTGAGAATGACTACCAAGATTTGGTTGTAAAAGTAGTCCTAAAGGTAAGCCCTGATAAAGTGTAGGACCCTAAGATATGGGAATGGGACACTTGAATGGAAGAACTTGAAAAACGTGAACCCACGGATCTGCTCTCTTTTTCCCTCTTTGCTTCTACCAATAACTAAGGATAAATCTCAGCATGATCCAGGCAGGAGAGTTCTATTCCTGCCAAATCAGGCAAATATGTTCCTTTAGGAAATGGGAAAACATGCCGGGAAAGGATCTTGTCGGTGCTGGACTGGGATAAAGGTCACTGAACTTAAGGCTGGATAGAGGAGATTTTATTGAGGCACTCTCCTGAATCAGATTTAACATCCTGGCAGGAACACTAGAACCAATCTTAAAGTTCAGGTCAGATGGTTCTTTGAAACTTGGAAACAATAGGTTCTAGAAAGCAAGGTAACGTTACTGAAAAGAACTTGGTAGAATATTGAAAGTGTCATGAAAAGGCTTACAGAAGTGGGCCTCTTTAAGTAAACTCATTATATAAAACAGAATTCTCTAGTTCAGGATGTTTCTCACTAAGGTATCCATAAGTTACATAAACAAGTAGTCTGAATCCCCAGGTCACCTACCTCTGTTGCTGACATTTCTGCTTTTAAAACTATGGCCTCATGGAGTGTTCCCAATGATGACCTGATGAAGAAGGAAAAAATCAGTCCTTGTACATGGTATAGCTCAATACGTCAGTGCAAGCTGAAATGGACTGCTGCTACATCAAAGTCCCACATAGGAGTGGCCTTAAGTGACAGTGGTAAGGGTAAATTATTCCAGTGGGCAGAGCTTTGAGCAATACACATGCTCATCAACTTGTATGGAGGGATACGAAGTCTCGGCTAAGACTATATGGATTTCTTGGCAATGGTAAATGGCTTGACTGGTTGGCCAAGGCTTCTAGAAGGAATGAAATGGAAAGAATAGAGTCAAAGAGGTCAGGTGAAAAGGCATGTAGATGTGTCTATGAGAGTGGACATATACAAACTGTATGATTATTTGGTTAGCATGTCAATACCTACCAGATATTATCTACCACAGAAAAGACAGTGAAGTATTAGGTGAACAGGATGACTGTCCAGAGGACATCAGCCAGCCTCTATCCTCTGATCATTGGTGGTTTTACAATGGAGCGATGGCTCCATGAATGCTATAGAAATGGTGTCAGTGTTGAAGACTACTTGTGGGTGCGGGAACATGAATCTCTCTCGTCTGAGTTGATCTAGCTACTGCCATTTCTGAACATCTAACTTGTCAGAAGCAGAGAACAATGATGAGCTCTTAATGTGGTATTGATATGGTTTGGTATCCCCACCCAAATCTCATCTTGAATTGTAATCCCCATAATCCCCACATGTCGAGGGAGAGACCTGCTAGGAGGTGACTGAATCATGGGCACGCTTTCCCCCATGCTATTCTTGCGATAGTGAGTTCTCATGAGATCTGGTTGTTTGATAAGTGTCTGGCACTTCCTCCTTCTCTCTCTCTCACCTGCCACCATGTAAGACATGCCTTCTTCCCCTTTGCCTTCTGCCACAATTGTAAGTTTTCTGAGGCTTCCCAGCCATGTGGAACTGTGAGCCAATTAAACCTCTTTTCTTTATAAATGAGCCAGTCTTGGGCAGTTCTTTATAACAGTGTGAAAATGGACTGGTACAGTAAATTGGTACTGGGAGTGGGACACTGCTATAAAGATAACCTGAAAATGTGGAAGCAACTTTGGAACTGGGTAATGGGCAAAGGTTGGAACAGTTTGGAGGGCTCAGAAGTAGGCAGGAAGATGTGGGAAACTTCCTAGAGACTTGTTGAATGGTTTTGACCAAAATGCTGATAGTGATATGGACAATGAAGTCCAGGATAAGATGGTCTCAGATGAAGATGAGGAACTCATTGGCAACTAGCGCAAAGATCATTCTTGCTATGGTTTAGCAAAGCGACTATCAGCGTTTTGCCCCTGCCCTAGAAATCCATGAAGCTTTGAACTTGAAAGAGATGATTTAGTGTATCTAGCAGAAGAAATTTCTAAGCAGCAAAGCATCCAAGAGATGACAGAGCATAAAAGTTTGGAAAATTTACAGCCTGATGTTGTGATAGAAAAGAAAACCCCAGACGGACATGGTGGCTCACGCCTGTAATCCCAGCACTTTGAGAGGCTGAGGCAGGTGGATTGCCTGAGCTCAGGAGTTCGAGACCAGTCTGGGTAACATGGTGAAACCCCGTCTCTACTAAAATACAAAAAATTAGCCGGGCGTGGCAGCATGCACCTGTAATCCCAGCTACTCAGGAGGCTGAGGCAGGAGAATTGCTTGAACCTGGAAGGCAGAGGTTACAGTGAGCCAAGATTGCGCCACTGCACTCCAGCCTAGGTGACAGAGCTAGACTCTGTCTCAAAAAAAAAAAAAAAAAAGAAAGAAAAGAAAAGAAAACCCAATTTTCTGGGGAGAAATTCAAGTCTGCTGTAGAAATTTGCATAAGTAACCAGGAGCTGAATGTTAATAGCCAAGACAATGGGAAAAATGTCTCCAGGGCATGTCAGAGATCTTGGCAGCCCCTCCCATCACAGGCCTGGATACTTAGGAGTTAAAAATGGTTTCCTGGGCTGGGCTCAGGGCCCAGCTGCTGTGTTCAGCCTCAGGACTTGGTGCCCTACATCCCAGCTGCTCCAGCTCCAGCTGTGGCTAAAAGGGGACAAAGTACAGCTTGGGCCATTGCTTTAGAGGGTGCAAGCCCCAAGCCTTGGCAGCTTCCAGGTAGTATTTGGCCTGGGGGTACACAGAAGTCAAGAATTGAGGTTTGGGTTGGGCATGGTGGCTCACACCTATAATCTCAGCACTTTGGGAGGCCAAGGCAGGTGGATCATTTGAGGTCAGGAGTTCGAGACCAGCCTGGCCAACATGGTGAAACTCCATCTCTACTAAAAATACAAAAATTAGCCGGATGGTAGTGGCGTGTGCCTGTAATCCCAGCTACTTGGGAGGCTGAGGCAGGAGAATCCCTTGAGCCTGGGAGGCAGAGGTGGCAGTGAGCCAAGATCAGGCCACCAGTCTGGGCGAGAGAGTGAGACCCTGTATTAAAAAAAAAAAAAATTGAAGTTTGGGAATCTCCGCCTAGATTCCAGAGGATGTATGAAAATGCCTGTATGTCCAGGCAGAAGTCTGCTACAGGCGTGGAGCCCTCATGGAGAACCTCTGCTAGGGCAGTGTGGAAGGGAAATGTGGGGTTGGAGCCCCCACACAGAGTCCCCACTGGAGCAGTGCCTAGTGGAGCTGTGAGAAGAGGGCCACCATCCTCCAGACCTCAGAATTGTAGATCCACTGATAGCTTGCACTGTGTGCCTGGAAAAGCCACAGGCACTCAACACCAGCCTGTGAAGGGGCTGCCCAAGGCCGTGGGATCCCACCCCTTGCATCAGCATGTACTGAATATGAGACATAGAGTCAAATGAGATTATTTCAGAGCTTTAAGATTTAATAACTGCCCTGCTAGGTTTCAGACTTGCATGGGGCCGATAGCCCCTTTGTTTTTCCAATTTATCCCATGTGGAATGGGACCATTTATCCAATGCCTGTTCCCCCATTTTATATTGGAAGTAACTAACTTGCTTTTGAATTTATAGACTCCTAGGTGGAAGGGACTTGCCTTGTCTCAGATGAGACTTTGGACTTGGACTTTTGAGTTAATGCTGGAATGAGTTAAGACTTTGGCGGATTGTTGGGAAGGCATAATTGGTTTTGAAATGTAAAAAGAATGTGAGCTTTGGGAGGGGCCAGGGGCAGAATGATATGGTTTGGCTCTGTGTTCCCACCCAAATCTCATCTCGAATTGTAATCCCCTTAATCCCCATGTGTCAAAGAAAGGACCTGGTGGGAGGTGATTGGATCATGGGGGTGCTTTCCCCCACACTGTTCTCATGATAATGAGTGAGTTCTCATGAGATCTGATGGTTTCAAAAGTGGCAGTTTCCCCTGCACGCCCTCTCTCTTCTGCCACCACATAAGATGTGCCTTATGTATGATTGTAAGTTACCTGAGGCCTCCCCAGCCATGCAGAACTATGAGTCACTTAAACCTCTTTCTTTATAAATTACCCAGTCTCAGGCAGTTCTTTATAGCAGTGTGAAAATGGACTGACACAGGTACCTTACTTGAAGGGGCATAACCAGCCACTTAGTGGCAAGTAGATTACATTACACCCCTCTAATTAGTTTCTTATGACTGCTTTAACAAATAACCAGTCACATTTGGTGAGTTAAAACAACAAATATTTATTCTCTCACAGTTTTGGAGGCCAGATATCTGACATCAGTACCATTGAGCCAAATCCAACGTGTCAACAGGGCTGTGCTCCCTCCAGAGGTTCTAGAGGAGAATTCTTTCCTTGCCTCTTACAGCTTCTAGTGGCTTCCAGCATTCCTTGGTTTGTGGCCACATCACTCCAAACACAATGCCTTCTCTTCTTCTGTCTGTGTCAAATGTCCCTCTGTCTCTGTCTTATCAGGTGTGATTGCATTTAGGGGGCCACCTGAATAAGTCAAGATTGTCTCCCCATCTCAATATCCTTACTTAATCACATCTACAAAGACCCTTTTTATAATATAACATTTACAGTTCACAGGGATTCGGACCTGATATCTTTGGGGGCCATTATTCAGCTCACTCACAACCCTTTCCATCCAAGAGAAGGCAGAAATATGTTCTTGTTTGGTCTGACACATATTTATGGTATAAGTTTGGCTTTACTGCCTACAGTACCACTGCCAATATGAATATCTGAATGCCCACAGAGTGAGTATCTGTCTGACTTACTGTTTTTTGTTTTTTGTTTTTGTTTTAATTTTGGGGAGTGGGAGGTGATTTGAGACAAGGTCTGTCTCTGTCACCCAGGCAGGAGTACAGTGGTGCAATCATGGCTCACTGCAGCCTCCAACTCCTGAGCTCACGTGATCCTCCTACCTCAGCCTCCTAAGTAGCTGGAACTACAGGTGTGTGCCACCATGCCAAGCTAATTTTTTAAATCAATTTTTTTGTAGAGATGGGTTCTCCCTATGTTGCCCAGGCTGGTCTTGAACTCCTGGGCTCAAGCAATCCTCCCACCTCATCTTCTCAAACTGCTGGGATTATAGGTGTGAGCCACCACACTCAGCCTGAATTACTGATATGGAATGCCAACTAACACAGCCTCAGACCCAGGGATTCACCTTCTGGTGAAACTGCAAGGCGTGGGGCGTGGGTTGATGGGATCTCCTGATCCTACCATATATATCATTATTTGGTCTATTTGAATGTTGAAATGGTTAAAGGGGAGCTTAAATATGCTATTTTACAGGAGCTTAAATATGCTATTTTGGGATACTGTTCAACTTGAAAAATAATGTGAATCAAAAGAAAGTCAAAGTTGGAGTTAACTTTCTCATTCTTCTTCCCAAGGACCCACTTTGGGAATTTGTGCTTCCTATCTCTTCAAATTTAGGTTGGGCTGAACTAAAAATCTTGGCTCCTAGGTGTGGATGTCAGCTCTAGCAGGGAACACAGCACAATGTTATTAAAGCTAAGGCTACTGGCCGGCCATTTTGAGTTTCTCATACCAGTAGACCAGCACAAAAAGAGGATTTACTATATTGCCATGAGTTACTGACCCTGATGAACATGAAGATATAGAGTTTTTGCTACATAATGGAAGCAAGAAGGAGTATTTCTGGAATTCCTGTTCCAGTGAGTAGACTCACTGGTTTTTTTGGTGCTTCCATGCCTGGTGGCAACTTTGAACAAGTAGTTGTCTCAACCATGACCTGAAAAGGGTCTGGTAATCAGGCTCCCAGATCCCATAGGGCAGGAAGCCTAAATCAGCACAGGTGCTGGGCAATGGGAATCTGAAATGGCTGATGGAGGAGGAAAACAAAGAATGTTGATTCTGGCTTCAAAATCAACTGCAGCAGTATGATATACCTGTTAAAAACTTTATTTCTATTTTTTAAAAGGAATGATTACTGGCCACTTTCTTGAAGAAGCAATGCCAGGAAAGAATAAACTTAATGGAGGCACATGTGCATCGGAGTGGTACAAGGAGTACATTAGAGCAGATACTCTCAGTGCCCCACTCCTATTCCCTTGTCAAGAACATTTGCTTGAATGTTCCACATCAAAGGTATGAGAGACATTATTCCATGGTTCAATACACAAATGATTACCAAACTGCTTTGTAATGTAATAGATACTCAGTAAATGTTTGCTGAATGAATAAATAATTACATGAATACATTTTTATACAGAAGACTGCTGTGGTAAGCAGAACTATAAGATGGTTCCCCTTATCTCTACCCACTCTCCTCATGTTACAGCCATGATTATGTTAGGTTACATAGCAAAAGAGATTTTGTGGATGTAATTAGGGTTACTAATGAGTTGACCTTAAAATAGGGAGATTATCTGGATGGGCCTGGGCTAGTCACTTGAACCCATTAAAAGCAGAGAGTTTTCTCTGGGTGGTAGCAGTAAAGAAGTCCGAGAAATTTAAAATGTGAGAAGAATTCAATGTGAGGGAGGAAAATGGAAACTTCAGTCCTATAAGAAATTGTATTCTGCCAACAACATGAAGGATGTTGGAAGCAGATTCTTCCCTGGAGCCTCCAGAAAATACCCCCCTTTGATTTCGGCCTTCTAAAAACCCCAGCAGAAAAGTCCATCTGGACTCCTGACATTCAGAACTGTGAGGTAATAAATTTGTGTAGATTCTAGCTGCTAACTGTGCAGTAATTTGTTATCTAGCAATAGAAAATGAATACAGACCTATACGCTTAGTTCAGATCTAGGTTCAAATGTCCATCTTGAATGTACCACTGGATGCCAGACCTCTTGAGGATATTTTACTTGCATCTGGCATTTACAATTTAACATGCATAAAGCAAAATCTGTCATAGTCTATGACCTCCTAACTTATCCAGAGACCCAGTCTCCTGGGGATCACTAAGTGACCACACAGTCTTTTCAGTAAGAGTGATTCAAAACCTCTCAGCTTTCACTCAATTCCAGGTGGCTTTTGTAACTTACCATAATATTGTCAAACTGTAGTCTTCTATCACCTTCTACATTTTTGCTACATATTCAAATTAACTACATTGTTACATCTTTAATGTTTCCTTTAAATCCACTCACTCTTTTACTTAAATAAATGTATCATAAAAGTTGAGGATATGTCACTACCGTAAGTGGGTACACTAGTATCATTGACCATAAATAGAGGGTAACTGTAAAAATAAATTCAATGAAAATAAACTTTTAAATTTCAGCTAGATATTGCTGGCTGCCGAAGGCTCTGAACATAAGGCCTGCTCACTCTTTGTTTAAAAAAAGGAGATTAGCAAATGTTAGAGAGGTGTTAAGTCAAAATAGCTCAAATAGCTCAAATTGAGAATTTCTTCTTGACATAATTAAAAGGACTGAAAGAGATTTAAAATGGGAACAGCTTTTTTTTCTATGTCATAGTTATATTCTTCAATGCCCTTTACAGTACAATTTAAAATTATCTTGACTATCACCCAAAATCATATTGGATACTTTGTAATGAGAGTCCCACACTCTGCAGAAATTCTCAAAGTGATTAAAAATTAACTTTCCATCAAGGACACCTGTGTAATCTTGGGCATGTACTGAGTAAATGCTCAAGACAAGTCATTATTGTTATTAGCATCAATATCATCACATCATCATCATAGTTGCCTCCACCCTCCTCCATATTCTTTTATTAAATCATTTTATCCACAGAACATGTCACTGTTTTCTTTCACAACAATTGCTTCTGTTCATTCACCTTCCAAAGCTTCATTTTGGCTGATCTTTACTTTTTTCCTAATCAATACTGTTGCCTAATAATCCTCTGTTTTACCACTATTTATTTTTCCAAAACTTATGTTTGATCACTTTCATTCTCTGAGTAACACAGGATCAGAATGTTATATTGGGAATATCATGATCCATTGAGTAAGGCAAACTCTTCCACATGATGCCCAGCAATTCCCAATCATATTAGTTTGTTTTACTCTACTTCAGGCCATTTATCATCATGTATAAATTTTCTTATTTATCTTTTGGTGGTTTTGTGTAAAGTTGGTCTCACTCAACTAGATCATAAGCTCAGGGAGTATGAGGAACTTGTATGTCTTGCTGACTAATTTATTTGCAGCATCTTGAACAGTGCTTGTGACATACCATGTGGTTCTCAATGACCTTAGGCAAGTTACCAGACTTGTTCTCTCTAACCTTGGTTTCAAAATCTGCAAAATGGAGATGATAATGCCCACCTAACAGGGTGGTTGTGAAGATGAAATAAATTATATGACGATTCTGGTATAACAACAGAAGCTATTATTAGTATATCTTCCTGTTATTGTTAGAGAGTTAGATCAATTTTAGACTAGTATTCAAAGACTTCTGGATTTATGTCATCAAATTTTCTTTCTATTTCTAAACCCATTTTTGTACATTATCCTAATACCTCAGCTCCTGTAATATTTATTGAGTGTTTGCCTTAGGATAGATTTTAGGCATACAAAATAAAAAGACCTGGTTCTAGCCCACATGGAGCTGTTAGACTAATAAAGAAAAAAAATCATGTGATAATAACGATAATGAAATAATGCACAGTATGTGGTGCAAATACTAGAGAAATAGTTTCCTGGGCTACTTGCCTAGGAATGGGCCAAAGGTGAGGACAGCAGAAGGAGAGAAGCAAAATGAGTAAGCCATGGCTCACCATTCCTACAACTTTCTTGGCACTGTTCCATAATTTGGGCTTTCCCTGAACTCTGGGATGCCTTTGCACCCTACTTAAATTCACTTTCTGTGTGAAGTTTCTACATGAATTTGTGAAGCTCCCTATCAGAATTAATGCTTACTTTTCCTTTACTCCTCTACTCTTCAGTTCATACCTCTTTGATGCACTCCTCCCAGACTCCAGGCTCTCATATTTATTTTTACATTTTTTTCCATCCATTTCACAAGATCGAAGGTTCCAAAGCATGGCACATGCTTTTTCTTTGTTCATCTCTACAGACTCGATGGTTCCTTCAGAACTTTCTTTCTACAACTAGTATCTCTACTTTTTCTTGAGGTCTGTAGGGCCCAAATCTATCTCTTCAGTTTACTGTAAACAATCTGTATTTTTGCCTAAGAGTATGTACATTCTTATAAAAATTAATTGTATATAAGTAGCCATCTATAACTCCCTTTATGATGTGTTAGAAAGAGGATTTGAAACACTGAATAAGTCAATAGGCATGACCTAGTGAAAACTCTAAAATGGTACTCAAGTTTAAATGAGACTGAACACGGGCAGAAGAATAAATGTGGGAAAAAGTTGAAGTGAGTGAAAAATGGCTGTGGCAAAATTACCAGCTGTTATTTATAGTATGTGCCAAGTATAAATATGTCCTTGCGAAACTTGAAGAGATGAGTCCTCAGTTATTTCAAGACAAATTTCTGACTTGCTGTGTATTATTTAAGAATATTTTATGGAGACAGTATTAAAAATTCTATATATGGACGGCCAAATGGACGGAGGGACATTATGATATGACCGGTGGACCTCGACTGGAGTCTAAACTTGTGGTCACCAAACTTTTTTTATTTCACATACCTATCTAATTCTTTTCTGAAATAATACATAAATGAATATATTGGAGTTTGTAGTAGCCATATAGCCCTATAGCTCAATTCCAGTCTAGGAGGCTAATTTCAGTAAGCTGGTGGTCTGTAGCTTTTCAAAGGTAAGATCAAAGCAAAGGACTTTCTGCCTTAAATACGTGGTTTTCAGCCACTATATATATTTTGTTTTGTGGTTGCTATTTCTTTTTTGTCCCTAATAGAGATTGCACAAATTTGTTTAATGTGGGAGACACAAGAGGCATGAACTCCCAGCAAAACCTATAATATCCTTCTGCTCTCCCTATTCATTCAACAATGTCTATTATATGTAAGGAGCTCTGCTACAGCCTGGGACAAACAAAATGGAATACAGCAAAATCTGTCCCTTT
The DNA here is from genome assembly GCF_000001405.40 of Homo sapiens. Classification (NCBI taxonomy): domain Eukaryota; kingdom Metazoa; phylum Chordata; class Mammalia; order Primates; family Hominidae; genus Homo; species Homo sapiens. Next base: position 28,551,216 of record NC_000023.11, on the reverse strand, counting down.
GAGGAGTTGATTCAATATAGAAAATAGAAAAGCAGAGCAGTAAATACTTGACAATATGATAAGTGGAATTCAAGAAGTGAGTATGCTCAGGGTCTTCATGGGTTCATAGGGCAGGAAGTGCTTCCTTCAGTGTGAGGCAGTTGGGGAAGATTTTACCAAAGAATCTTAATATATGAGAATAAGAAATTGATGGAAAAATTAGGGAAAGAAATGCCTCCCAAGCACAAAAACTCATATAATTAAATTCTACATGTGCTGGATATAGTGTTAGGCACTAGAGTTATAAAGACAAAGATATCACAATTTAAGATATGCACACTCTGGTAAGGTTAGGGATAAAGGTATATATATTAACAAATCCCTATAATCTGGTAAGAATAGCCCAGCCATCTTGTCTAGGCCTAAGAGTGAATATGAAGACAGTGGGCTAGGAAGCCAAAGAACAGGATGGGGCCTAGGAAGAGAAAGTTTGTAGACAAATTTTGGGGGTGAAGAGGAGTGAGGCTAGGGTCATATACACAGTTATCATTTAGTTTTGGCTCCCCTAGAGGCCGAACCTGGAATAAGGATTTAATTGCAAATAGTGTATCTTCGGGGTGACCCCAGGTGATGTAAAGGGGAAGATGAAATGGGGAAGGGAAGGTAGCCAATAAAAGATATGTTGTCAGGCAAGTACCACTGTGACTAAACAGGGATTAATCATGCTGAGGAATTCTGAGAACCAGCGTCTAATGGGTTTCTGTTTAGACTTAATAATCAATGTAAATATTATAACTGTGATGTATCAATGGTGTATTTTCAAAATAGCTGTGCTTTGGTTTAAGAAAATTCGTATCAGGTGGGCGCGGTGGCACACGCCTGTAATCCCAACACTTTGGGAGACCGAGGCGGGTGGATCACCTGAGGTCAGGAATTCGAGAGCAGCCTGGCCAACGTGGTGAAACCCTGTCTCTACTAAAAATACGAAAAATAGCTGGATGTGGTGGCGAGTATTATTTCAACTCAAGGGCAAGGGATAGTTAATGCATCCAAGGGGTAGAGGAGCTGAAGTATTTATATACTAACTCTTATCAGTTATAAATTGAAGATTTCAGAGTGTATGCTAATTTTCAACTGCTTCTCACCCAGAGTGGACTCTAGCAGCCAAAGAAAGCCCTCGGGCAAGGAAATGCAGATACTGGCAGTTGGTAGGTCAGGCCTGGGTGCACCTCCCTGGGAAGGCCTGAGGGGATATAGGCAAATTAGCAACACTGTCTGCTACATACCAAATCAGAGTTTCTTGTGGTCTAGATGGTGCTTTACAAATGCTCATCTCTTTGTCTAGCTTATTGTCTTTACCATACAGAATTCGGCTTGTTTCACGTGGTTTTTATTATTAAAAATAAGGGCTGTTAGTGGCCATCCATCCAAATCACTCATTGTTATAGAAAACAAGCTCTCCCAAAGTTTAAACTGCTAGTTAACGGTTCAGTAAGCCTTAGAACCCAGGTCTCTTAATTCATAGACAGAATGCTACTACTTTAGCCACCATCATCCTCATCCACAACCCTTTGAAGGACTCCAGCAAAGAATTCTTAATGGACTGGCTGATGTCAGTATTTGAAATGCTTGAAAAAAGATAATCAGACTCACCAAGTTTCATATCTATTATTGTTTATCATCCACTGACTAGTACAAAAGGATATGTTGAACCAACTTTAAATTCTATTTTAAAAGTATAGATAACTGAATCTCAGTTGATACAATAAACATAATCAGATTTTAGCAAAAACAAATATTTTTAAAATGCATCAAGAAAGCATATTATTTAAGGAGGCCAGTGGTAAAATCATTTTCTGAAATTATTACTAGTTATCTAATTTATATACTATAAATAATTTATTATTATTATTATGGGCTTTGTTTTTATTTATGGATACGAATTTTTTTCCTTCTTCTTTTTTGGAGATGGAGTCTTACTCTGTCGCACAGGCTAGAGTGCAGTGGCACGATCTTGGCTCACTGCACTCTCCGCCTCCCGGGTTCAAGCGATTCTCCCACCTCAACTTCCCAAGTAGCTGGGATTACAGGTGCCTGCCACCACACCCGGCTATTTTTTGTATTTTTAGTAGAGACAAGGGTTCACCATGTTGGCCAGGCTGGTCTTGAACTCCCGACCTCAGGTGATCTGCCCACCCCGGCCTTCCAAACTGCTGGGGTTACAGGTGTGAGCCACCACGGCCGGCTGATACTAATTTTCTTAAAGTAAAGCACAGCTATTTTAAAAATATACCATTGATACATCACAGTTATAATATTTACATTGATTATTAAGCCTAAACAGAAAAATAAAATATATTTCATCTCTTGTAAAGAAAGTAATTGTGTTAACCTTGTATTTTATTCCTATAATCTTTGTGAACTGTTATTAAATATTAAATTGCATTCTAAATTGTGATCTTTGGTCACATTTTTATACCACCTTGGTTTAGAGGTTTATGATTCCCCTGACCGCTAGAAATTCTAGCATGTCTTTAAATTCTCTCTTACTCTAGGGAAAGTCGTTAATTGTAAGTTGGATTGTCATTTCTGAAAATAGGGTTAAGGAAAATACTGTAGTACTGTAACTCTACTTGAGTTGTTGCATTTTTCTCTATTTTCACAAGTCTGAGAGTCTGAGATGTAAGAACGTATGAATCATAAGGATGTCTTATAGTTAGTGTCTCTTAGTAATTTATATATTGGTGTTAATTGGTTAATAAAGTCTCACTCCTCCTTGTCTTGATAAGATTAGCCACATGGGAGCAGAATTTGGATTGAGGAGGTGGATGACTTTGGAACTAGAACATGCTGGAATTTAAGGAAGGCCTGGGTAGATTGTTAAATGGGGATGGTAAAATTATACTTACAGTAACAGCAAGATAATGTGTCCCTAAAAGATAAAGAATGATGATACTAATGATAGAAAGAGCTACATTTGTTTAATGCTTACACTGTGACTGACATTTCCTTTCTCTTTTTTTATGGAGACAGGGTCTCACTATGTTGCCCAGGCTAGTCTCACTGGAATTCCTGGCTTCAAGGGATCCTCTCACCTCCCAAAGTGTCAGTATTACAGGTATGAGCCACTGCACTCAACCTGACACATTTGTAAGCACTTTATATGTATTAACTCATTTAATCCTCCTAACAACCTGTGAGGTAGGTACTATCAGTATCACCATTTTACAGATGAGGAAACTGAGCATTATGACCTGACAAAAGTCCATTTGTTCATACCAAACTTTAAGTTCTTTAAGGTAGATATTTGTTGTCGCCATTAGTTAAAGATGAAGGCAATAGACTTTTCCCTCACAGCCTATCAGGAACTTTACCTTAAAAACAAATTTGATGCTTGTACATCAATGTTCATAACAGAATTATTTACAACAGCCAAAAGGTGGAAATAACCCAAGTGTCTGTCACCAGATGAATGGATAAACAAAATGTGGTATAGAGAATATTATTCAGCTCTAAAAAGAATTCTGGGGCTGGAGGTGGTGGCTCATGCCTGTAATCCTAGCACTTTGGAAGGCTAAGGCAGGAGGATTTCTTGAGACCAGCAGTTCGAGACCAGCATGGGCAACACAGTGAGACCCCGTGTATATAATTTTTTTTTTAATTAGTTGGACATGGTATGTGCCTGTTGTTCCAGCTACTTGGGATGCTGAACTGGGAGGATCATTTGAGCCTGGGAGGTGGAGGCGAGAGTGAAATATGATCATGTCACTGCACTCTAGCCTGGAAGACAGAGTGAGACCCCATCCTGGAAAAAACAAAAAGAATTGTGATACATGCTACAATAGATAAACCTTGAAAACATCATGCAAAGTGAAATAAGGCAAACACAGAAGGACAAATTTTGTGAGATTCCTCTTATGTGAGGTACCTATAATTGGCAAATTCATAAAGACTAGAAAGTAGAATAGAGGCCACCAGGAATGTGGGAGGAGGGGATAAGCAATTATTATTATTATGAGATGGAGTTTCACTCTTGTTGCAAAGGCTGGAGTGCAATGGCGTGATCTCGGCTCACTGCAACCTCCACCTCCCAGGTTTGAGCAATTCTCCTGCTTCAGCCTCCCGAGTACCTGGGACTACATGCACGCGTCACCACACCCGGCTAATTTTTGTGTATTTTAGGAGAGACTGGCTTTCACCATGTTGGCCAGGCCGGTCTTGAACTCCTCACCTCAGGCAATCCACTTGCCTCGACCTCCCTAAGTGTTGGGATTACAGGCGTGAGCCCCGTGCCCGGCCAAGCAATTATTACTTAATGGTTACAGAGTTTCTTTTTGGGATGATGAAAAAGTTCAGGAAACAGATGATGGTGATGGTTACATAACATTGTGAATGTAACAATGCTACTGAATTACATAACTAAAAATGGTGAATTTCATGTTATGTATATTTTACCACAATATTTTTAAAAAACAAGTTTGAGGATGAATTCAACAAACATCAAACATTAGTAAGCAAACATTTATTAGTCAGCAGACATGAAAATAGTTCAGACAGTCTGTTCTGTAATCTCAGTAAAGGCTCAGGTCTCAGGCCTTTGGGGTGTTCCTACCACACCTTACACAAAAGCTTCAAAGGAGGAAGACAACAACAGCTTAGAGGAGGGTTTAAATAAATGTATGGTCAGCATCAGATACAGAAAATGCTCTATATATTTCTAAGTGCAGTGGCTCACACCTGTAATCCCAGCACTTTGAGAGGCTGAGCCAGGCAGATCACTTGAGCCCAGGAGTTCAAGACCAGCCTGGGCAACATGGTGAGACCCCCATCTCTACAAAAAGCAAACCCACAAAAATTAGCCAGGCGTGGTGGTGCAAGCCTGTAGTCCCAGTTACTTGGGAGGGCTGAGGTGGGAGGATCACTTGAACCTTGGAGGTGGAGGTTGCAGTGAGCTGAGATGGGGCCACTGCACTCCAGCCTGGGCAACAGAGCGAGACCCTGTTTTGACCGGCCAAACCATTTTTTTTTTGGCTCAACTGAACTATATATGAAATTTGAAATAAGCCTGTTAATAAGATTGATCCTGATATTTCACCTTTTACAGCAGTTCAGGGTTCTTACCACCATTCAACTTAAGGGAAGCATTGTTATCAAAGGAATTAGGCATTTCTTTTTCCTGAAAGATTTTTTTTTCTTCTGTTTTGGTAGGAATGACAGGAAGGGAAAATGTCATTCCATCTTGCTTCTTCTAGGATCTATTACCTAACTCTGATCATTCCTGTACAGAGTTTACTGTTAGCACTGATGCTGTCAGCTTCTACTTTATAAAGATGTACTTTGCTGATGTTAGGCTTTGTAAGTGTTGTTTAGTACTTTTCTTATGTGTGTGTGTGTTCTGCTTCCCCAAGTAGGTAGTTGGATCCTTGAGGGGATGTGTCTCTTATTTTGCATTCTCATACAGTTTTGCAAGCAGTCAGTTCTCAGTAAGTGCTGGTACACTAAACTCTGAGGTTCCAAATGCACTGAAAGCAGACACACATTCATAGATACCTTCATTTTAGCCAGAGAAAGAAAGGAGCGACTAAACTTCCAAGCAGGGATTACAAGTGTCCCCACCCTTGCATCTGAGATCCTGAGCCTTCACTAAAGAGAGTTAGAGGAAAGGAAGGATTTGTTTGTGTTTGGCCCTGACCATTATTTTAGTTGGTTGTAGGACAGCTCATGGGCATCATGCTTGCCTTAGGGGCTGAGCACAGGGAAGACAAGGCCACGAAATTTCTGCACATTCTTTGGGGTCGAATGGAAAGGAGAAGTGGGAATCAACTATATATTTATAGTGTTTAATATCTCTTCTCCTGTGAAACATTCTACTTTTTGGATGATTGGGAAAAGAAGGGAAGATGTAGGAGTAGATGGAATACTATAGGTGTCAGAAAACTATTATCAGTGAGCTAAATCCAGCTCACAGCCTATTTTTGTAAATAAAGTTTTAATGCGACACAGCCATGCCCATTCATTTACATATCATCTATAGCTTCTTTGGAGTTATCATGCTTAGGTGAATAGTTGTGACAGAGATTGTATAGCCCACAGTGCTTTACCTATTTACTATATGACTCTTAACAGAAAGTTTCCTGCCTCCTGGAAAACTACATCCATGGATTTTTTTTTTTTTTTGCAATAATGCTGACTTTAAAGTACTGTTTTAAATAACAATAAATAAAAATATTTTAATATTTATTTATATATTTAAATAAGACAATATATATGTATTAAATAAAATATATAAATAAATACAAGTTCAAATAATTAGTTCCTAGTATACTAGAAGTAAGGAAAATTCTCTTGAGTTCATGATTCCTTTTGTGGTATGATTTGAGGCACACACTTGTCCCCAAAGAAATGTCTCCTTTCCTGATAGAAATTGAGGAACCTACCACTAATACAGGCTTGCCCAATTTAGGCACAATCTTTTAAAATGCAAATGCACTTGAGGGAAGATGCCCATTAATCTATATGTCTCTGTGTGTGTGTGTGTGTGTGTGTGTGTGTGTGTGTGTGCGTGTGTTTAAGAAGGGAGAATAAAAAGGGACAGTAACAAAGTAATCAATAGAAGAGTTCAAGGTTGGTCTCAAAATATGGAGGGAACAACAAAGAAGGAATGGAACTGATGTCATGTGTATTATCTCACTGGACCTCACAGCAATCCTGTGATGTTTGCAAGATATAATTACCCCATCCTTAAATAAAAGGAAGCTGAATCACAAAGAAGCTAAGTGAATTTCTAAGGTTAAGACAGAGCAGCAACAGTCTTTTAATTCGCCCTTTACATTCTGAGAGTTTTTTCCCCCATTATACTTCATTGCCTCTTCAACATCTTTGCTATTGCCCTAGAGGATATTATGCTAAAAACATATAATTTTGTTTCTCCTAGAAATATAATTCTGCCTTCTGGAACTTAGAACCATTCCCATTAGAGTTGTTGCTGTAACTTGGTCCCACATAAAATCCCCAAATTAAAATCAAATCTCCTAAATTTAAAGATGCTTCTCAATTTCAGTTGAGATATCCATTAGCTAATAGCAGATAATAATCACTCCGTTTTATCAAAAGTGAAATAGGACACTGATCGCTGTTAAATTACAGGTGTTACAAATCTTGAATTAAAATCAGGCAAACCATCCTTTTCATGTAACTAAGTCTCCCAATTAAGAATGTATAATAATTAGTTTTAAATTGGAGTAAATCATCAAAGAAAGTTAGGTATCCTGGGAGTTATTTACATGCGAACAGATGCCTATGGAAGTTAAATGGAGTGTGGAAATTTCACAGCATGCTGTAGGAGGGGAGATAAATTAATAAAATGATCACATCTCCAAGTTGTGTCTGGTATGAAATAGAATTTTTTATATATTTTCAAAGATTCCTATTTTTAGTAGTAGAAGACAAGAGAAAGTTCACAGTAGTCATTTTGATAAATACGATCACAAAGAATACCAACAAAAATAGATATATTTAACCACAGTAGCAAACAAGACAATATACATACATAGGACAAAAATCAATGACAATAATTTTAAAATATCCAAAAATGGTTACTGCACACACATCATCAATAAGCTACTTCTAAAACTGGAAGGATGTTCCACAGGACATTGAGCCCCTACTTCCAGGTGGGATCTCATACATACATTGAAGCAGATGTATGTAATGGTAGCAGACATAAGAGCCTATCAGACACTTCTTTGATTTGACTAAATTTATGAAATTTCAGCTTAAGCCCATTCCTCTGCTGTTTTCAGAGAACTGGAGTCAGCTAGAAAAAGCTACCATCTTACACCCTTGGGTCAGGCCTGCTATATTGTCTCTAGTTTACTTTCTAATACCTTGGGGTGATATTTAATCCTATACTGTTGGTTAACTTCGTAATGCTCTAATTAGGCATTCATACTTCAGGTGTTGTTAATTAGCATTTGAATGGTCTAATGAGTATGCTTTTCTGTTTTAGTTTCATTGTTGTCTCATGTCAGAACAACACAAGAAGATTTAATAATTTATACATTACCTATTTGAAATTATTTTTCAATGGTGAAATGAATGGTAATTTAATACATAGACACTGGTGGGAAGGAATAAACAAGCACCTCTGGCCCAGCATGAGCAGGTGAAACCCTCTGGTCATCTTCTCCCAGCGCTTTGTTTGGACAAGTGTGCTGCCTTTAATAAACATTTGGAGGTCTCATTCCCAAGGTTAGCTGAACCTGGCACTAAAATGTAGTTCATGCGTATCAAGTTAATCTTTCATGCAGTGAATCTTTCTTGCCAGAGAGACTAAAAAGGCAGAGAGCTAGAACTTCATGAATTTACAAGTATGGGCTATGTTTATTTGCTACTAAATATTTGCATGTTTGGCAGAATTGGGCTTTAAACATAGGGCAGAAAGGCCAGGTGCAGTGGCTCACGGCTGTAATCCCAGGACTTTGGGAGGCCAAGGCAGGCGGATCACCTGAGGTCAGGAGTTTGAGACCAGTCTGGCCAACATGGTGAAACCCCGTCTCTACTGAAAATACAAAAATTCGCTGGGCGTGGTGGCACAAGCCTGTAGTCCTAGCTACTCGGGAGGTTGAGGCAGGAGAATCGTGTGAACCCAGGAGGCGGAGGTTGCAGTGAGCTGAGATCATGCCACTGGACTCCAGCCTGGGTGATAGAGTGAGACTCTGTCTCGGAAAAAAAAAAAAAAGAAAGAAATGTAGGGAAGGAAAACTTCCCTCTATCCTCTTAGATTCTGTAGCTGGGCCTAAGAATTAAACTCACAGAAGATAAATTAACGGGAGAAAAGTATAAAAATTTTATGATATTTTTACGTGCACACAGGAGTTTTCACAAGAAAAACGAAGAACCAAAGAAGCAGTTAAGACTGGGAGCTTATATACTTTTTAAACAAAAAAAATGATACATTTGTGGAGAAGTGAAAAGACAAAGAGTTTGGAGTAGGAGCAGTAAATTGTGGATAAGTGACTAGAAAATAATATGGAGGGAACTAATGGAAGATAAGAGATTTTTAGTAGGTTGGTTTGCACAGATCCATTTCAGCGTGGACTTCCATTCTCTGGTGGTAAGACTGTTCTCTTCTTGATACAAGGTGAATACCTTTCTCATGGGAAATTTCATGACCTGCTTTCAGGTAGAAAGCGGGAGGTCGGAGAGCCCTTCCTGCGTCTGCTGTTTTTCAAGTGCCTTCAGCTCAAAATAATCAGTATGCCAGAGCAACATTTTTGGGGGAGGCATGTTCTGAACCCATTCAGAAATTTTATTGTGATATACCACCTGGGAGATGGGATGTGGAGGAGGAAGGATGAACATAATCTTTCCATTTTTAACAGACTTTGGATTTCAAATATCATTAACAGGTTGATATAAACTTTACCAAAAAACCCCACACATAACAACAAGAATCTAAATAAAAGTAACATGAAATCACTAATTTTTAAAAAATCTGATAGTATATGAGGCTACCTATTTCTGGTAAAAATACCTACAATTAAAAAAAACCTCACTAAATTGGTTTAAGTCCGTTTGTAACAATGCCCTAATTGACTGTGGTGTATTCTAATTTTCGTAGTCTCTTAAGTGGTATCCTCACCTCTAGCTTTTCTACATTTTATTTTCTTTTTTAAAAGTTTTTAATTTTTGTGTACATAGTAGGTGTATATATTTATGGGGTGCAGAAGGTATTTTGATACAGGCATGCAATGTGAAATAAGCACATCATGTAAAATGGGGTTTCCATCCCCTCAAGCATTTATCTGTTGTGTCACAAACTATTCAATTATACTTCTAGTTATTTTTAAATGTACAATTAAATTATTATTGTCTATAGTCACCCTGTTGTGCTATCAAATACTGGGACATTCTTTCTAACTACTTTTTTTTGTAACTATTAACCATCCCCACCTCCCCTCCACCACCACTCCTCCCCTACTATTCATCCCAGCCTCTGGTAATCATCTTTTTATTCTCTATCTCCATGAATTCAGTTGTTTTGATTTTTTAGATCCCACAAATAAGTGAGAACAAGTGATGGTTGTCTTTCTGTGCCTAGCTTATTTCACTTAGCGTAATGGCCTTCATTTGTTGTTGCAAATGACAGGATCTCATTCTTTTTTATAGCTGAATAGTACTCTATGGTGTATATATACCACATTTTTTTTATCCATTCACCTGTTGATGGACACTTAGGTTACATCCAATTTTGGCTATTGTGAACAGTGCTGCAATGAACATGGGAGTGCAGATATCTCTTCAATGTACTGATGTCCTTTCTTTTGGTATAGACCCAGCAGTAGGATTCCTGGATCACATGGTAGCTCTATTTTTAGTTTTTTTGAGGAACCTCCAAACTATTCTCCATAGTGGTTGTACTAATTTACATTTCCACCAACAGTGTATCCGGGTTCCCTTTTCTCCACATCCTCACCAGCATTTTTTTATTGCCTTTTGGAAATAAGCTATTTTAACTGGGGTGAGATAATATCTCATTGTAGTTTTGATTTGCGTTTCTCTGATGATCAATGATGTTGAGCATCTTTTCATATGCCCGTTTGCCATTTGTATGTCTTCTTTTGAGAATTGTCTATTCAAATCTTTTGACCAGTTTTAATTAGATTATTAGATGTTTTTCTATAGAGTTGTTTGAGCTCCTTATATATTAGGTCTTCTCCATTTTAATCCATAATATTCTAACTGATAATCCCTGAATGCTAACTTATTTTCCTCAGATAAGTCCTCATTGATAGAGGTGACTGTCTTAATTTCCCAGGGCTGCTGTAACAAAGTGCAGCCATGCTTTATGTAACAACAAAATATGTTCTGAGAAATGTGTTGTCAGGTGATTTTGTTGTTGTGCTATCATAGAGTGTACTTATACAAAGCTAGATGGCATATATTATTATTTATTCATATATGTGTTTTTCTTACGGAAAACTAAGTGTCCCAGCACTGTTACTGAATATCACTCATTTCCCCTACTTGATCAACAATGCCAATATGGAGTGCCATATACCAGGTTTCTGTATATGCCTCCATTATAATCTGATAAAGCCACCATCGTATATGCAGTCTGTGGTTGACCGAAATATCATTATGCAGTGCATGACTGTACTACAGACTGGTTGATTTAAAACAGCAAAAATGCATTCTTTCACAGTTATGGGAGTAGAAGTTTGAAATGAAGATAGCAGCAGAACCATACTTCTTCTGAAGGCTTTAGGGAAGAATCCTTTCTCATTTCTTCTAGCCTTGGTGTTTACAGAAATCCTTGGTGCTCCTTTTCTTGTAGATGCATCACTCCAGTCTCTGTTTCTGTCATCACATGGCCATCTTCCTTCTGTGTCTGCATCTCTGTGTCATCACATAGTACTCTTTTCACTGTGTGTGTCTGTGTCCAATTTTCCCTCTTCTTTTAAGGACATCAGTCATATTGGATTACAGGTTACCTTAATGACCTCGTCTTATTTTGATTATATCTGCAAAGATCCTACTTCTAGCTAAGGTCACATTCACAGGTGCTGGGGATATGGAACTCAGTATATCTTTTGGAGGAACAAAATTCAACCCATAACAGTGACTATATCATTTATTGTTCAATGGAGGGCACTTTTAGGATTAAAAGTGTAAATATCAACTAGTAGGTGTGCTGGAATAATAAATGTAAACTGGCACTATCCCAGGCACACTGGGATCTATCAGCTTATCCCTAATACAACCTGGTCTCTCTCTTCAACTTTTATCTCCATGTTGCCTACACATTTCCTAACCCCCAGTCTGACTGTGCCCTAGTCCGCAGGTTGTCATTTTTTCTGTAAATGACTAGATAGTAAATATTTTGGGTATCACGGGCCGCACAGCTTCTGTTTAAACTATAGTACTCTGCTCTAGACAATACATGAGCAAATGGGTGTGGCTGTGTCCAATTAAATGTTATTTGCAAAAACAGTTCCCGGGTGAATTTGGCCTGAAGGTCATAGTTGGCAATGATTACTGCAGACCATGTAAGGGGAGGGAAAAGAGGATGCTCTGTGAATTCCTGGGAGGTTCTTTGTATATAACCAAGATTAATCCTTTCTTTGTGTTATGGGCTGAATTTTGTCCTTCTACAATTTCTATATTGAGGTCCTAACTCCCAGTATGTCAGAAGGTGACTGTATTTGGAGATGGGCTAAAAGAAGTAATTAAGGTAAAATGAGGTACTATGGGTGGGCCCCAATCCAATATGACTGGTGTCCTTATAAGAAAAAGAGATTAGAACATAGACAACACACAGAGTTGAACATATGAGGAAACAAGAAGGTAGACATCTGTGAGCCAAGGAGAGAGACCTCGAAAGACACTAAACCAGCCGATAACTTCATCTTGCATTTCTATCCTCTAGAACTATAAAAATTAAATTCCTGTTGTTTTAAGCTACCCAGTCTATGGTACTTTGTTACGACAACCCTGGCAAACTAATACACTTTGTGATCTAAGATGCAAGTATTCTCTACCTTTAAATTAATCAATTGATTTCGTTTTTGCGAGGCAGAAGTTTTGATTTCTACAGCATGAAATACGTCCATCATTTCTGCATATTATCTTATAGTTACAAAATCTCTCTGTGTGTTTGGATTCAATGAAGGGTTATCCCATATTTCCTTCTGTAATTTTATGCTGTCGTGGTGTGTTGCATATCTAAATTTTAATCTGTTTGCAATTCAACTTTATGGGAAGTACAAACTGCGAATGCAACTTTTTGTTTCCCCCCGGTTGCTATCTAGTTTTCCCAACACCATTCTTTGAATAGTTTATTTTTCTCGTCATTGGTTTATAATGCCACCCTTTTTATATCATAAGTTCTGTATGCATAGTGTCTATCTCTAATATTCCTATTTTATTCTTTCTAGTCCTATGGCAGTAATACATAGTTTAAATTACCGAGTCTTTTTGGTATATCTCTAGTAGAACTAGTTTCCCCACATTGCTTTTATTTTTCAGTTTTTTCTAGATTTTTAAAATTTATATTGTATTAAATTTGTCTTGTCCCTCACCACCCCAAAAATCATACTGAATTCTCTTATTATTTTCACTAGTTTTAAAATGGTTTCTTTTAGACATTCCAGACATAACATTGTATCATCTGCAAAAGGTAATAATTTTACCTAAACCTTTATTTGTCTTGCCGACAACTGTGGTCTACAGTAATCATTCTTAAACTATGACCTTAGGCCAAATCCACCCAGGACCTGGTTTTACAAATAACATTTAATTGGAACACAGTCACACCCATTTGCTCATGTATTGTCTAGAGTAGAGTTTAAACAGAGGCTACGTGGCCCATGATCCCTAAAATATTTACTATTTGCATGGGTGACTATCTCCATAGAGTGTTAAATACAAAAGGTAAAAGCAAACATCTTTACCTTGATCTGGAATTTAATGTGAATGCCTTTAGTGTCTCTTCACTGATGAACATGGTAGGCTGAGAGAAATAAATATTTTCATGTTAAAGACATATCCATTGTATAACATCACCTCTTTGTTGAGCACCTGCTGTATACTAGGAGATGTTCAAAGTATTTGAGATTCTTTAAAGAACCAAAAGTACAAAATCCCTGTACTTGTAGTACCTATATTCCAGTAGAGTCTTGAGGTAGACATCTATTGTTCTCTCTTTCCTAGGCGCAAGTGAAGGCTGTATTTCCCTGTATTCTTACAGGTAGGCACGGGCATCAGCTGAATTGCAGACAATGGAATGTGAGCAGAAATGAAATATGTCATTTGTAACCTGAAGAAATTAAGAGGTGACCACCTACTCTCTTTCTGTCTGTTAATTGGAGGACCAGATAGAGGGGATTCAGAAGAGATTTCAAAGTTGCCCTGGGGGAAATCAGTTTTACAAAGGGAAGATGCCCAGATGCTTGCTCAGCACTTGGAGGTGGAAAGTAAAAATAAATATATCGAAATCTATGGCTTTTATAGAATGTATGAAAACAATACATTTAAAAATGCAATGGTAGAAATGATCTCATTTATAGTAGTGTCAAAAAAGAAAAATGACCTAGGAATAAACTTAATGAAAAATGTTCAAGACCAATATGAAAAAATACCTTGAGGCATACTTGAAGGACAAAAAAGAAGTATATGAACAAATAGAGAAGCCTATCATGTACCTGGGTAAAAAACCCAAATTCATAAAATATCAATCCTCTGAAAAGATGTGTGCACATGGTAGGGTAGCCAACTTTCCCTGGCTTGTTCAGAATTTTGCTGGCATTAGCATTTAAAGTCCTGCATCTTGGGAAACCCATCAGTCGCAGGCAAACTGAGAGGATTAGTTGTCATAGCATAAAGGTATTTAATGTAGTACTCTTTGTCATAGAAAAAGACCAAGATCACCCAAAAGCCCACCAAAAGTGCCCTGTTTCAATAAACATGGCACATTTATACAATGGCGTGCTCTGTAGCATGGTGGGGAGATGAAGTGTGTGAGGGGAGAAATAATAAGTTTGATTGCTATGCATTTCTATGGAGTGATTTATTAAATTTGTTGTATGAAAGAAAAGGGAAGGAAGGAAGGAAGGAAAAAAGAGAATTAGAGAATTTTCACCATATAAATAATGTTTTATAAGAAATTGATTGAAGTATGAATACTTACATATTTACTTTTTTTAAATAAGCAATTGTTTGATAAACAATTGATGACCATAAAAAGGAGAATTATAAAGTGGGTGAAAAGACAGGAATAGGAGCTAGACCTATCTGAATCTACAACATTTTATCATTTGGACTCAGAAACCATGTAAATTTTAAAACAATATTAAATCAAAAAGTAAAAATAAATTACAGAAATAAAAAAGAAATGGAAACAAGTGCTCTGTGTATCAAGTTGGTGGCGTAACCACAGAAAGAGGAATTATTTCAAGTAACTTTGAAACACAGTATTTTGACTGAACCTCCCTAGTGGGATTTATTCCAAAGACAAAAAGAACATCAAAGTCATCTTAAATTTCTTTCCGTAGAGTCGTTATTAGCAATAAAAGTTATATTCTTATTTTGAAATTACACATGCAGACACACACACACACACAAACTATGCACACACACCACTACATACATATACACACATATGGTTGGACAATATAAAATCACTAATATTCTGTAATAAATGTTTTAAGAACATTTTATGATTTTAAGAATGGGTATTTGAAAAACATATTGTTTTTCCAGTGATACAGTATTTGGTTTACTTTTTAAAACAAAACATTTTAATATACACAAAAATGTGAATTTAAAATGGTTCAGCCTAATATAGATAGATTAGAATTAAGAAAATGATGATAACGTTAAGAATCAAGACTATGGCCTAATATTATAGAACTATCCTATAAATCAATTTGAATGGAAATTTCAGAGTCAAATCACTATTCATTTGTCTCTTTCTAAAAGCGTGTGTTTTCCTAGCTCTGCCCAATAAAAAATACAGAATTAATTACAACCCGGTAGCCACTAGTATCCCTAGCATCCAAATTATATTCTCTGAATTTCATTTCCCCAGAAAAGAATTAGGGCTGCTTAGAGAAAGGCAATTCCACATCTGAGAAACAGATCTCGCATGATAAACTTGAGATTTCTTGTACAAAGCGGAGAGACATCAAAATGACCCATGGGCTGACTCTGAATGTTTCCCACTGATAAAGAAAGAATGATTTAGGTATTAAAAGGAACAATGTCTATAATGCATTAAAATACACCAAAATATGTTAACATTCATAAGTTAATAATAGTTCTTAGAAAAAAAGAATGGTCTTCTCTGGAGATTGCTTAAATATGACCTAATTATTCTGAAAATTGATAAGAAGAAGAGGAAGAGGAGGAGGAAGTGGAAGGAGGAGAAAACAGGAGGAAGAAATCTCTGTAGTTAAGTCAGTTAAGAACTGATATTTGACCACTGGTTTTAGATACATGGAGGTCGCTGAGGAACTTGACAAATATGTTTTTGGTGAAGTGGTGGAGATATAAGAGCAAATGAATTAGTTTTAAGAGAAAATGGGAGGAGAGGTAAGTGTTATACAATAATTACAGGCAATTTTTTTTGCAGAAGTTCTGCTTCCAAAGGAAGCACAGAAATGGGGCAGTAGCTACTATGGGAGGGGGCAGGGAAATATTTCATAAAATGGGAGATACTACAGTATGTTTGTATACTGATCAGAATGATCTAGTAAAGAGAGAAAAAGTGGTGATGTAGGCTACATTGAAGATACATTTCAGAAAAATGTTTTTCAGTAGGTGAGAGTTATACTAGAAACGGGTCATTTCTGGCAGTTGTGGGACCCCTCTAACAGGCAACCTCTGCTTGATTTCCCAATTAAGCCGGCTGAGACACTCTCAGAACTGCACTCCAGTCTGAAGCTCCTTCCTACTCAATTTTTCTTCCTGCTCTCTCCACTTTTGGAGGTGTCAGGCCTGCACTGTCGTCTGAAGGCTCTCATTCCCCTGCTCAGTCACACTCTGTCCTTTACAGGTGATTCTCCAATAGATTTTATACACTTCAGATCCTCTCTTGACATGTTCTTCTTGGAGGACTCAGGTTAATTTACCCTGTAGAAATATCTTCAATTGTGCTTCATGAGGAAATAGCCATAGAATAAAAATTAAGCTAAGTCTTTTACGGAAATAAAGATTTTACATGTTTTCTTTCTTTTTGTTTGGTAAGGTACATTGTCCTGGAAAATTGTGTATTTCATCACAGATTTTGAATTTATTTATGTGTAGCTTAGCAAAACAGGCTCTTACGATTCTCCTACTTACCTTGATTATTTCTTATTTTGCTTATTGTGCTTTCCCCCTATTCTTCATTTGGTTAACTCAAAGATTATCCATTTCATTATTAATAAAGAGATAATAATTATTATTCATTCTACCAATATCTGCTTTTATCTTTATTTTCTTCTTTCCTTTTATGATTCTTTTCCTATATTTAAGTAAAATAAGTTAAATACTTCAATTATTTATTTTTATTCTTTCCAGTTATACCCCATAAGTCTTGATATGATACATAATTTTAAAATAATTATTTTTTAGATATTCTGCAATTTTGGTTAGTATTTCCTCTTTGTCTCAACTGGTGTATGCAATCATTTAAAAAACTTTTGGTAGGTAAGGGCCTTTTCTTTCTTGGTTTTCTTATTAATGTTTAGATGTATTCTTATCTGAGAATGTTATATTACTTATACTATGTCTACATTTTGCATGTTGCTGAAGTTTACTTTGTGACTAACATATTGTTGATTTTTAAAGAACATTTAAAGATTTTAAAGAATGGGTATTTGAAAAGCATTTGTATTCTTTTTCTAGTGATGTAGTATTGGTTTACTTTATATACTTTAAAAAATATCCCATTTTAATTGTGCCATTTCACTCCAGCCTGGGCAATAGAGCGAGACTCTGTCTCAAAAAAAAAAAAAATCCCATTTTCATATGCTGTTTCCTTAGACATTGTTTTGGTCCACTTGATCTATTTTGGACCACAAGAGGTAAATTAATGTCTCCCATCACCACTGTTATTCTCTTTCTTCTTTAATGATTTGAAGTGTCGGCTTCACGAATGTCAATGCTATGTTATCTGATGCACAGATATTCATAAATATTTTATCTTCCTCATGAATTTTATCATTTAATTTTATAAAGTGTCTTTCTTTGTCTCCTTTCAACTTATGACCTGAATTCCACTTAAGCTAATATTGATTAGTATCCTGATTCCTTTTTTGTTTGCATTTACTTATGTAATTTATCATCCATTTGTTAGTTAATTAATTTTGGGCAACCTCAGTTGAACAGAATGATTAAACACAATTATTGGTTTATGATGCATTATCATCACTGATCCATGCTGGTTATAGTTTAGAGTGGTACTTAGATGAACTCCACTATTCACCAGTGATAGCAAGGACAAATATTGTTTCGAGCCTTTGTGCCTTGTCATCCTCTGCTATTGGTTAATTTGTAAATGACTGTTACTGAGTCAGATGTTCATCTCTAGTTCAATCAGCCCAAGTCAGCCTAGAGGGCCATTTGAATAGATAATTGTGTGTGGTGGGATGACAATTGGAGTCATTAACCAGTATTAATTTCCCTCTTCCCTTCCACCCTTCTTCCCCTCCCATTGAGTCCAGTGACTTTAGGGAGGCACTTAATTATTTACCCTAGGGAAGTTAGGGCATAGAGATCTTACAAACAATCAAAGAATCAATTGAATTTCTAAACAGATATTTAAAAACTCATTAACAGATGTGGAATTTTAAAGTCACAGACTCATGATTTTCAAGACCTGAGGTTGAGAGAGAAAAAGAGGATGTTTTTGTTGTTGTTAATATGCTTTGTTTTGTTTTAGATCCAGAATCTAAATAAATAAGGACCTACATTTATTTTAGCCTCATGGATAAAAGTAAAGATGAAGAGCTAGGCTACTTTATCCTCAGAAGGAAGGCTGAGATCCAAGTGGGGGAAAGGTTAGGGTGAGGATATAAATGTTTTAAGGGGAATATTAGTGGGGTTCCAGATAAGAGGTCCCCTCACATAGCAGGGGGCAGAGCTGGCATTTGCAGACTCTCTATCCTACCCCAAGAGACGGCTCCACTCTGCTAGGATAGGCAAGAGGCAGGTCTCCATTCAAAGGAGCATCTCCATTAAGGTGCTCCAATTTCTGTTCTCTCAGTTGTAGCTCATCTAATCCCTCTCCTCATGATCACACACCTACCGCAGCTAGCCAAGCATTGGTCAGGCCCAGGAGGGCATCCTCCCTGTTAGTGTTGTAGGAACAGTTTAGCATGGGGCCAAAATATCCAGAGAAGCCCTTCTCTCATTTGTACTGGAAGGCTCTGAGGGGAAGAGGGCTGTGCTTTCCTGAGATGACCAAGAGAATGGTGAAACTCTATAACAAATGACAACAGCAGTAGATCTGTATGGGATGGACTTTGAGGTACTGTAGATGCCTCTCCAACAACCAGAACCACCCCATCTGACATCCTTAGCATGATACTTAGGCCTCTAGACCCTGGGTTTTTTCAAATATAATATATAATGTATAATGTACATAAATATGCTTACCTTCCATTTTTTGGTTATATTTGAATTATACAGAACTGGTCCAGGCACAAGGAAAATATTTTACAAGTAAGTCATTTTTAACTTGCTGACTATTCTTTGTTACTTGCTTGTAACTCACTAGAGACACTTCACTTTTAAAATAAAATATTAGGTTGGTACAAAAGTAATTGCAGCTTTGGCCATTACTTTCAATGGCAAAAACCTCAATTATTTTTGCACCAAGATAATACATCTTAGAATTTGTATATTGTTTTGCACTTAGATGATTTTTAACTGTGCAGGTCATAACATTTGGCAATAATTGGTTTTGTGTGAAGACTGCTGGAAAAGCGCAATCTCCAACTGCTCTATACATTTTATTGGTAAACTGATTTTCCCTCTCCCACAGAATTTATATAGGATTGTTCAATATATGAAATCAGAAATACTGATAGAACTCTCATAATATAGATGTTTTCATGGAGATATAAAAAGCATACCAATGTACGTATTCAATTAAAGTATATAAAGTCTCCATATTTGACAGAATTGGTAGTAGCAATAAAATCATTCTGTTTTTTCATGAATTCTATTAATAGAGCGCAAAATAGTCCACACCTCACAACACCTATGAACTGTTTTCCCCCGTGTACTCATTGAAATAGGCTGCTAAATTGTGCACAACTTACAAAATCCAACTTAAAAAGGAAATGTTGGGCCGGTCGTGGTGGCTCATGCCTGTAATCCCTGCACTTTGGGAGGCCGAGGCAGGCAGATCACCTGAGGTCAGGAGTTCAAGACCAGCCTGGCCAACATGGTGAAACCCCGTCTCTACTAAAAGTACAAAAATTAGCTGGGTGTGGTGGCGGGTGCCTATAATCCCAGCTACTTGGGAGGCTGAGGCAGGAGAATCGCTTGAACCTGGGAAGCAGAGGTTGCAATGAGCCAAGATTGGGCCATTGCACTCCACCCTGGGTGACAAGAGTGAAACTCTGTCAGACAAAAAGAAAAAGAAAAGAAAAGAAAAAAGAAATGTTTAAAAATCCGCTTAAATAAAATATATGATTAATCCATATAATAAAATCAGGATATTTTAATGTTACAGTATATTCTTAATTATCACCAGAAATTACCTTTTAAAAAAATAACTGACATGAACATGATATTGTGCCACAGGCATAACTAGGTTTAGTTAAACTCTTTCTTCTTAACCTAATAAACTTATAATTCTCGAATGTCCAATCAAATCAAATCTGTTGGTGAGGGGTGGGGGATGAAACAGTATAGTGCAAGAGATCTGTATGACTGTTTGTTCTGATGACCCTATGGAGGGGTCCAAAAGAGGAACAAAAACCATACTGAGAAAGAATGGTAAAGTGGTAAAGAGAAAGAGAAGGAAAAAGAGAAAGCACAAGACTGAGGCCAATAGGGGAAGAAATATTATGAGAAGGTGTAGGGTGGGGGTGGCTGGATGGCTGGGGGACTGAGGAAAGAAGGGGAATAAACTAATACAAAATTATAATGAATTTTTTTCATTGATACAGGGCTTTGTCATTTTCATAGTAATTCTTTAAAACAAACTGTGGAGCTCTAATTGTTCCATTTTGTAGATGAGGCAACTGAAGTCATAGAGAAACTGTGTGATGGCAGTAATGCTGGAGCTGGGACTAAAAGCAGGAGCAATAGATTCCTAGGTTAGTATTGTGGGAGGAAGGATTTTTTCCCCCTTACGGACTGCAGTATAAACCATCTTGTCCAATTGCACTCACAATATTTGCAGTCAAACTGAAAGGTGAGACTTGTGAGTTGGCATACATTAAAAGAGAAAAAGCGATATCTCCACATATTGAAAAAATTTAGAATAAGAAAAAAAAATGCCATAAGAGTACTTTCCAAGACCTTATTTTCTACAATACAGCAAAGTGTACAACTTGACAAATTCTGGAGACCAATGGAGTGGTCTGTGTATGTTCCAAATTAGAGGATGTAGATTTTAAGAGTGCCCATGCAAGAAAAGATTATGAGTGCCTTTGTTGTCTCCATGCTCATTGAAGAGGCAAAAAAAAATTTTTTTTTAGATGGAGTCTCACTCTATTGCCCAGGCTGGAGTGCAATGGTGTGATCTCTGGTCACTGCAACCTCCGCTTCCCAGGTTCAAGCCATTCTCCTGCCTCAGCCTCCCGAGTAGCTGGGATTACAGGCACGTACCACCACGCTCGGCTGTTTTTTGTATTTTTAGTTGAGACGGGGTTTCACCATGTTGGCCAGGCTGATCTCGAACTCCTGACCTCAAGTGATCCACCCACCTTGGCCTCCCAAAGTGCTGGGATTACAGGCGTGAACCACCGCACCCAGCATGATTGTGGGAATGCTCTGGTGTTTTAATGTTCCCTGAGGCACTGGAAAGTTAGATGTTTCTGATGAAAAGCATTAAGCATTTCACTGGTAAAACCTTGAAGTTGCAGGGGGAGAAAAGTTGAATATTTCAGAAATTAAACCACTTTTTTTTTTCACCTATCAAACGATAGTGTTAAAAATGGTTCATTTGGTCAAATTCATTCCTATCATTCCTATCAAGTGCAAACTAATCCAGCAGTACTAATTTGGAGCTGAATTCAAGAGATAAAAATACTATTACGTAACTATTTTCAGTTTATTTATAATAAAATTCCTTAGTAATGCAAGAATAAGGGTTCATTACATAATATATATGATGTATATAGAGAAGTAATCCTAAATATTTGATAAACATACCATCCTTGGAATACATCTAGATTATCCATAGAGCCAATTTTCTCCTGCATAGAGTAGACCACTAAAGAGGAGGGTCTCTAGAGTTTTAAAACATTTCCTAATTTTTTTTTTTCAGTAAATAACTATGCAACCTAATAACCTGGGCTTTGAGGGGCATGGTGGTGACCAAAAAAAGATTCTTGCCCTTAAAATCCTGTTTGCTTTCATTGTTGAGCATCAGGATTCTTCTCAAGTATTGTATAAGAGAAGGGAAAGAGGGCAAGGCAACTTGACCTATAGCCAAATCCTTTTTCTCTTTTTCTCTCTCCCTCCCTCCCTCCCTCTTTCATTTTCTCCCTTCTATCCATTTCAATGATAGCTTTAAGGAAAACAGAACAGACATTTTTGAAAAGGAAAATCACCCACATTCTTGGGTTCAACTACTTACTAGGAATGACTAAGAAATGTACTTAATTTCTCTGATCCTAAGTAACTTTTGTCAAATGGAGATAGTAACAGCACTCATGTCATGAACCAGTTGTGAGAACTGAAGGAAATAATGCAAGTAAAGTGCTTACCACAGTGCCTGGGGTATAGTAAACTCACAATAAACCTCTACCATTCTTTTTTTTTTTTTCTTTTTTTCTGAGACAGAGTCTCACTGTCACCCAGGCTGGAGTGCAGTGGTGCGATCTCAGATCTCGGCTCACTGCAACCTCTGCTTCCTGGGTTCAAGTGATTCTCCTGCCTCAGCCACCTGAGTAGCTGGGACTAGAGGCACCCGCCACCAAGTCTGACTAAGTTTTGTATTTTTAGTAGAGACAGGGTTTCACTATGTTGGCCAGGCTGGTCTCAAACTCCTGACCTCAAGTGACCTCCCAAAGTGCTGGGGTTACAGGCGTGAGCCACCGTGCTGGGCCAACCATTCTTACTGGGGAAAGGCCATTGTCAATCACCCAAATTATGCTTAGTTGGGGATTTAATTGATCTGCCCTGCTTATGAGCTTCAAAGCAATCCCTGCAAAAAAATGCACTATTTTGTTTTTCTGCTGCATAAAAGTAGTGGGAAATGAAAAAGTAAAAAAAAAAAAAAAAAATTAAGTAATGGGAAATGAAAGTTGAAACTGGAATTAATTTCAGATGAAAATGTGTTCTTAGAGTGGTCCCACACTGAAGTGGCTTCTGACATAAAGAAGAGGTCAACAGCAGAGGCCAGTTCAGCCTATGATCACTTGAAGAACACAGTTGAATCTACTGTGGGCTCAAGGTCTACTATTGAAAGTGGCCACTGAGGGATTCTACAATGCCAAAGACTGTGGTCTACCATTGACAGGAACCTGAGAATAGGACCTCAGATGTTTTCAACAATGGTATAACTTTGTATTACAACCAAATACCTAGGGGAGAACTTGGGGTCAGCTGGTTTCCAGTAGAATCTAATTAATACATCCAAAGAAGTATGGCACATTTGGGCTAGATTTAAATAAATTCTGAAATGAATACTCAGGAAAACATTATTCTCACTTAATTTAGATTTCTGTTGGATTTTGGTGAATTTTGGCTCACTAGTGTGCTGGGTGCATTAAATCAAGACACTGTAGTCTGAAATTCATATGCTACAAATAGATAATTATCTTCTTTTGAAGAAAAAGTGCATTTAGTTATGACTCTAATAGTCTTTTCTTTTTTTTAAAAAAAATGGAACCAGTTTGCTAACTTTTTTACCTGAGGGTTCTGATTTCTATTTGAATTCAATTCCAAGTTGTCTAGACATCAGCAGCTTAACCCTGGAGCTTAATCCCACCACTTTCTGAAATTCTTATTGCTGAGGTCAAAATAACTTAGAAAAGTAGCTTTTATGAAAAGTCTAATAAAAAACCAACATTATCTTTATCCTTTAAGTAAGATTCTGTATTTATCTGAAGATCCATATTGTCAAATCACTGGGAAAAGGTATTTAAGAAACTTGGCTGAATTTTGTTTCCTTTATTTGCATTTCTGCCTCCAACCTCCAGCCCCAGCTCTGATTAAATTCATTTTCCTATTCTGATAGATGAGAAGGAAAGTATATATATTTCTCAACTGATAAGATTTTTTTCCATACACATTTCCTTTTACTAAGTTCCAACGATTTCCCTCTACTTATACTTAAAACAAGGCTTCACAGATAACTAAAAAGGCACTTGCTGTTCTTAGAGATGCTCTCATGCAGCTTTTCTTTTTGGTTCACACGAGAAAGCAAATGAGAAACCATTATTATATGATAACCACTATAAAGAAAATAATTACCAATTCTCCTGGGTTTTAGGGTCCATTTTTACTGTATGTAGGGGTAGATGGAGGTGGAAGTGGAGAACTTCATAGGGAGAACACTCAAGTCGACAAAAAGATAAAAATAACCTTAGTGTGAAATTATAATAGCCTTCTTATCATTTCGGTCAAACTGGAACTCAAATTTTCTATGTATTTGTGTGGTTTAGGGAATTAAGGATAATAAAGGGAGAGATATCACTGTATCAATCCAGCTGGGGGCAAAACTACTGTCTTGTAGGATTTTAGTTCCACATACTTTGAATTAAAGTATGTGAATGGGTATTTATTATCAGATGAATACCATTTAATGACAACTATGTTATTAAATTCATACTCAAATATACTTTATTAAATAAATTTGTAAAGTGTTCCATTCAAATTTGTATTTGCATAACAGATTTATATTTATTCTAAGAGTTTGTTTTTAGACTTTAGTTCAGTTATAAAACACTTTTTTCTATTTAAGATTGAATCTGGCCGGGCGCGGTGACTCACACCTGTAATCCCAGCACTTTGGGAGGCCGAGGCCGGCGGATCACGAGGTCAAGAGTTCGAGACCATCCTGGCTAACATGGTGAAACCCTGTCTCTACTAAAAATACAAAAATTAGCCGGGCGTGGTGGTGGGTGCCTGTAGTCCCAGCTACTGGTGAGGCTGAGGCAGGAGAATGGCGTGAACCCAAGAGGTGGAGCTTGCAGTGAGCCGAGATCTCGCCACTGCTCTCCAGCCTGGGCGACAGTGCGAGACTCCATCTAAAAAAAAAAAAAAATAATAGATTGACTCTAAGGACTGGGTATCAATGAAAAAAGGTTTAAATGCCTGAAAAGATGCCTTTTTCTCTTTTGGCGCCTTCTCTATTGTATTAATTCCAATTTCTATATGAGCATTTAGAGACACTAATAATGTTGATATTGAATGAATTCATATGTTCTTTGCATGTTCTCATTTTTTTGTTCCAATTAGTATAAGATTAGGGATACTTTCAAAGGTAGTGGTCTGAAAATACTGATTCAATTTTGATATTTGCCTGCACACTTTTAAAAGTAACATATTTTTGGTAAAATGTAATCTGCTTTTCACTCGTCTAATAATAACTTTATTTTTGCTTAGAACTTAACTATTGTGTCAGGCTAGGCTAAACCTCGGGTAGGTCTCAATATTCAATATTTTATATTTTAGTCAGGCATGGCGGCTCATGCCTGTAATCTCAGCACTTTGGGAGGCCAAGGCAGGAGGATCAGTTGAGCCCTGGGGTTTGAGACCAGCCTGGGCAACATAGCGAGACCCTGTCTCTACAAAAAAATACAAAAATTAGCTGGGCATGGTGGCGTGTGCCTATAGTCCAAGCTGCTCGGAAAGCTGGGGTGGGAGGATTGCTCGAGCCTGGGAGGTTGAGGCTGCAGTGAGCTGTGATCACACCACTGCACTCCAGCCTGGGCGACAGAGGAAGACCCTGTCTCAAAAAAAAAAAAAAAAACATATGTTACATTTAATCACATTATCTTTAATGGTTGTAGTTCACCAATTCCCCCAAAATAATTTAATAGCATTTTTCTGCTTGCCCCAAAATTAAGGCCTCATTCACTCATTGTTTCATTGTGATTTGATGTTAGAAGAAGTTGCGTGTTTTCACTGACTTTAAGTGTGATGGACATCTCAAAACCTTATTTTAACTATTTTTTTCCAATAAAATAATGACACCAAAATTTGTTTGTCAATGTAGAGTTTTGTGTGTAACTTTCAACAGACAATTGATTACTCATTCATTCCCAACCCTTGTGTTGTTTGTTGGCTACCTGAGATAGTTAAATTGAATAGTGCAAAGAAAGAAGCAATGGCCCCTGATCTGCCTGCTTATTCTTAACAAGCTGTTTGGATATCTAGGAAATGATTTCACTCAAATTCTCTCACTTCACTTCAAATTGCCTTTCCTATAAATACTTTGTTGCCTAAAGTATCCTAATAAGTTCTTACTAACTCTAGATCCACAGAACAGTGGCTCTCGGAATGTGCTCCCTAGGCTAGCAGTATCCACATCATCTAGGAATTCACCTGAAATGCAAACTCTAAGGCTCTTCCCTGAAATTCTTGAAACAGAAACTCCAGGGGAAGGGTTTGGCAATTTGAGTTTTAATAAGCCATCCATGTTTGAGAATCACTATCAGACCTTATGCCTCTTATTATCTATATTGCATAGCATGGTCTCTATAGAGGAAAGGAACTCAATATCTCACACAGTGAGAAATTGTACTAATGAATTCAATTCTTATATTCATTATTTTTTTGCCACAAGACTTTGCAGTTCCTCTTATTAAAGAGGTATACTTTATTTTCCCACCCCTTCGATTGGTACTGGTCTTATGACTTGCTTTTGGCTTACGGTATATGGTGAAAATGATTGTGTACCAGTCCTGAGCTTAGACCTCAAGAGCCCTGGCATATTTCCACTTGCTTTCTTTTGTACCTTAGCCATTACTATAAGAATATGCCTGGATTAACCTTCTGCATTATGAGAAACACAGACCTAAGCCAAGTTGCTCCAATCGTCCAAGCTGAGGACAGCTTATATCAACCAACAGACAGCTGATCCTCTGACAATGTCAGGATAAATGGGTTCTTGCACTTTTTCCCCCAACGGGGACAAGATCAGCAGGTAACTCTAGACACGTGAGCAATCAACACTTAATTGTTGTAGGCCACTGAGGTTTTGCGTTGTTATGAAGTGTTATTGTGGTAAGAGTTAACTGTTACGTACAATGAATTGAGAAATCTAAACTTCTACCCTTTGTCTGGCCCAGTCTTCCCCAGACTTGGTCCAAACACCTGCTCCTTACTCCCCTCAGCTAACAGGGTCTGACCTAACCTTGCATGCTAGATTCACAGATAATTTTTTTTGCAATACCCTTCCAGGAACATCCTGGACACAATTTTTATTTTTATTTTCCAGAGTGAGATAGATGTCAGTTGATTGCCATTGTGGAGAACCGGATGTTTTAAACTCATGAAAGACATGAAGAAAGTGCATCTAACTCAATATTATTTTGACACTTTCAGTGATCTAAAAATATCAGAACATAATTCATGAAGAAGCAATACAAGCCAAGCACCATGGAATAGAGACTTCCTTACTTAAGTTTACATTAATCAAAATGGCTCCCATATTGTGACGATTCCCTGGTCTAACTTTTTGTTGAGAGGCAAATTGAGATTTGGCTATAACTCTTTAGCTAATTTTCAAGATACGTGATAATTTTTAAGTTTTGATCACTGTGACTTAGCTTTTTTCCATTCAGCTTTCTTGGTCTTCTGACAGTCAAATCTGCTGAACTGAAATCTGTCTTCTTCCTGAATAATACTTTTCAAATTATAACAATGACATATCTTGAATAGTACCTTATGAGGCAGACAGAAATGCATTTTATCCAGCTTTCACCTCACATTCAGAGAGACATCTATTTTCTAATTAAACTCTACATTTATCTTTTCTAAGATTGACAGAGCTCGTCATTACAGATTGAATATTTATTATGAAATTGTATCAATTTCTGCAGTTTTTAGAGCACCAGGTACAGGGCACTGCACAGAAGTATGTTTTGATGATAATTTAAATCCCATTGTTCTTTTTTCTTAAGTTTGAATTACTCGCTAAATGGTATGCTAATTGCCTTAACGAGTTCTTGGAGTTTCTAAAGGCACAGAACTTTCTTCTAAGTTGCAGTGGAAACCCTAGAAAAATTAAGTTCATTGTAAGGCAATAGTTCTTAGCCTTTTGAGATGAACAGCAGTCACTCAGATGGCTAAAAGTTCAGATGTCTTGGCTCCACTTCCGGAGATTCTGATTTAGTAGGTTTTGAGGTAGGTTCAGAAATCTGCTTTGCAATCATCAACCCAGGTATGTGTTACATATTAAAGTTTTAAAACACTTATTCATAGGGTTCTGATATATCTGTTCCATGATCCATACTTAAAAAAAAATACTAGTATATCGCAAGTAGCTATTCAGAACCTAACATTTTATAAAAGAATAATCATATGCTTTTTTAAAAAAATCAAATCATCTTCTTAACAATGTGGTGTAGTACCTTATGTAACACAAATAATATAAATGAGATCATCAACAATTTTAGGAAGGTCAGGTCTATGTTGGGAGACACTGAGGCTAGGAAGGTGATGCAATTCACAATGTATTTACAATTTTATGTCTCAGAGCACATATGCCTGATGAGTAATATATGTAAAAACACTTTTAAGTTTTAAAATACTTTAGAAATATAAGAAATATTCTTTTGAATATATAGAACAGGAACTTAGAAGTAATTTCTTTATCATTAAAATTTTTTATCTGTGGGTGCCCTTGATATGGACAAGGCAAAGGTGGTGCCGATGGTGAGTGAGATATTAAACAACAATAATTATTGAGAAATAGAACTGAATGTCTTTCTAAGTTATGTGCCAGTATGGATCTAAGATAGCTGTGAAATGATGAATAGTCTGAGGCACTTACTTTCAAAAAAAAATTCTGCAAACATCATACCAAATATTGTTGAGAATCCTTGATACCCAGATATCTATTGGATGACAAGGACGGAACTGTCTATAAAGAACCTCAGGAGAAAAGATGATATAACACATGAAAAGAAAGTCTACAGAAATAAATTTCATATTAGGTGGCTATTATAAACCAAGTTTGAGATGATGGACATGAAAATGCTTTGATCACTATGTAGTACTACAAAAATTGGGGATGGCTCTAATGATAAATTATAACATTCAAAAACTTCGCCTAAGATTTGTACTTAACTTGCCGTTATAGTGTTCATTGATATCCAACGGAGCCACCCTATCATTGACAACGGTGGCATTCTGGAAAGTTTGCCCCTTCAGAATGATTTCCTTTTATTTATAGGAATATACCATTGTACTGTATTGAGGCTGATTCTTAGTACACTCTTAAAGTGTGCCTGAATATCCAATGTGTGCCAAATCTCAGAATAACAGGAATAAGGAGGCAATTATCTATTTGGGGTCATGGCTCACACTTTTCTCTTGGGCCCATACCCTATCGGATTGGGTAGAAGAGAGCACTAGGTGAAATCAGAATAATGGATTTTAAGGAGCAGTAATGCTTCTACTTCTTTATAATTCTCCAATTCTAGCAGCAAGCACGCATATTTTAAAAAATCTGAAATATGAAGATTTTAACATTTCACTTCCTTACATTGATGCTTAATGTCACCAGAATGTTAAGATAAACCTTTGAAGTAATGAAAACAGAGAAAAGAAGCCTCTGTATGGTTTTGGGGAATTGTTTCCTAAATGAGATTGTATTATTTGATAAAATGCAGCCAAAATGTGAATAATTAAAATCTTATCATTAAGGTAATTATAATAAAACTAAGAAAATATTGCCAGCACAAAACGGAAGGGTACAAAAATGTGTCAGGTATACTGGATTACCAAGGATTTCTTTTCAGTCTTTAACTCATGAAGTAAACAGGAACAATGTGCATTTGACGTAAGCATGGGGCATAGGCTTAAACTAGATCATTCTTTAATAGATGAAACTAGACCCCCTTTTGTTCTCCTTCAATTTTTCTGTAAAGCCATTCACTTAGTTATCCATTTGGCGCCTACTATGTGCCAAGCACTAGTCTAAGTGCTAGGGATACAACTGAGAACTAGACTAGCACTAGCAGGTGGCACTGACATGAGGAATTACACTCTAATACATTCTTTTGCATTGGATGCTAAAGAATAACTATGGTAGTTGTGGAGATATACACTGGCAACACCAGAATTTTTGGTATGACTATGTAATACCCAGGATTGAGGCGTCAGTATTGTAGCAAAAGTGTACTAGCATACATTGACTCTGGGCTTGGCCATATGACTTGCCTATTCAATGGGATATTAACAAACAGAACACAAGCAGAGGTTTGAAAGGTGTATTTTTATTTGAGCTTGCCTTCTGCTGTTCTTGGAACCTGAGTCTACCATGTGAAGAAGTCTAGGCTAGTATATTGAAAGATGAATCACCACATGGAAAAGTCTGTTGCAGAGATGAGCCATCGCAGCTGAGGTGCACTAGATGAACTAGCCTGACAACCACCAGACACATGTGTGAGGCCATCCTAGGACATTCAGCTTCAACAAAGCCTCCAGCTAATTGCAGAGATCTGGCAAGACAGCTAGGATCAGAACTGCCCAGAAGCCTCACAGACTTGTGAGGAAAAAAATACATGCTTATTGTTTTAAGCCACTAAGTTTTCATCATGCATCGAAAGCTGACACGGGATATCCATATGCAAAGGAATGAAGTTGAAACATTAAACATGCCATATACAAAAATTAACTCAATATGGATCATAGACCTAAATGGAAGAGCTGAAACTTTAAACTCTTAGAATTAAAAATAGATATAAATCTTTGTGACTTTGGATTGGGCAATGATTTCTTAGATATGACATCAAAAGCATAAGCAACATAAGAAAAAAATAGAAAAAACTTGGTATCCTTAATATAAGGAGATGTGCTTCTTTGGGGGACCATTACTACAGAATCTAGCCCACTCACTTTCTAGTTATGTGACATTAGGCAAGTCACTTACCTCACTGAGCTTCATTTTCTTTATCAGTAAAACACAGATACCTTTATATCATAAGGTTCTTGTAAAGATTAATGATTATATTTTAAATTCTTAACATGTACAGCCAGCCCTCCATATCCATGAGTTCCACATCCATGGATTCAAATAAGCATGGATCGAAAATATTTGAAAAGAAAAAGGATAGTTGCATTTGTACTGAATATATACAGACGTTTCTTTCCTTGTCATTACTTCCTAAACAATGCAGCATAACAACTATTTATGTGGCATATACATTATATTAGTAAATTAGAGACGATTTCAGGTATATACAAGAGGATGTGTTCAGGTTAGATGCAAATACTACACCACGTTACATCAGGGACTTAAGCGTCTGAGGATTTTGGTATTTATAGAGCGTCCTGGAACTAATGCCCCATAAATTCAGAAGGACAAATTAAGCTTATATTACTGCCTATAAAATAACTGTATGTTCTTCTTTCATAGTTTGTGCTCAGTCCACATTCTCCATAAATTTCATGGATATACTACGTATTAGTCTGTTCTCACACTGCTAATAAAGGCATACCCAAGACTGGGTAATTTATAAAGGAAAGAGATTTAATTGACTCACAGTTCAGCATGGCTGGGGAGGCCTCAGGAAACTTACAATCATGGCAGAAGGGGAAGCAAACATGTCCTTCTTCACATGGTGGCATCAACGAGAAGTGCAGAGTGAAGGGGGGAAAAGCCCCTTATAAAACCATCAGATCTCATGAGAACTCAATCACTATCATGAGAACAGCATGGAGGTAACCGCCTCTATGATTCAATTACCTCCCACTGGGTCCCTCCCACAACACGTGGGGATTTGGGGAACTACAGTTCAAGATGAGATTTGGGTGGGGACACAGCCAAACCATATTATACTAGTACCTGTGTATTATCTTCAGAATTGAAGGAGTAAGGGCTAATCTATATATAGTTATTATTTATAGTTGTCAACAATGGTTATGCTAGGATACTTAACAGTATCATTGATGCCTGAGTTACAATATATCTGTGAATTGATAGCACTAAGCAAGTTCATTAAAAAGCTTCTAGGTTTGTAAATATGTAAATATCGCAAAATGAGAACTATTGATTTCTTTCCGGCATCTTATTTACTTTTGATAATGAATTTGTGAAACAAGATCAGAAAATTAATATCAATTTTTCTATAAATAGCATGAAATTCATTTAATTCATTAGCATGAGAAGAAACTAATGTGTGCTTTTTTAAGACCTTGTTTACTATGTTAGAGTGAATAAAAAAGGTGATGATGTTTAAATGAGCTGAGTTGGAAAGGCCAGTTTCAGAAATTACAAAGCCAGTTGAGGGAAAGAGGAGCCAGTTATCTGATAGCTTCAACAAAAACAAAGGAGTCAGAGAATATCCTTACCCATAGATTGAATTATAATACTTAAATCTTGGAAAAGGATGCTTCCAGGAGCAGACCATATAGAAGTGGATAATTCAAGGAACTTCAGTTGCTGTATGGATTGGTGGGTGATATTGAGTGACACAGTATGTTTTCGAGTTCCTACTCTTTTGGTTGAACAGATTAGTCATGAGAAATTTCAATGATGATGAGGGTGTGAGAGAAAGCTTTGGATAAATACATTTTCTTGCCTTAGAGGGTAGGTGATTTTCATTTGGATTCAATTGTGCACGATATATTGGATATAAACTGTCTCAAGTGGAGACATAGCATAACAGTTGCTAATTTATTTGGACACTTGACACCTCGCTGGATCCACACTCTGATGCTTTGCCCTGAAACAGCTAGGCCAGCAGGGGATCACAACAGTTGGAGCAAGAAGAATCTTTAATAATTGCAGAGATGAGGGGAAGATTGATCTAAATCAAAACAGGTAACAATTTACCATAAAGACAGCACAAGAAAAAACACTTCAGCATTTTCTGGTGTTTCCCATTCATTAAGTTCTTATTTAAGTTGGTATATTTATCAAAGGTATCCGTGATAAGAAGACATAATTTTTTTTTTAAGTTTTAATTGTTTAGAAAAGGAAAAAAGCAAAGGCACTGGAGGTTGTATTAGGTCTTCTAGGTCTTTACTACTTGAGGAAAGGGTGACACTTAGCTGTAGTGGCCTTAAATTTCAGAAGCAGGACCCCAAGTCTCTGAGGGAGGGCTGCTAGAGATTTCACAGTTTTGATGCTGTCAACTCTTGCCTGGAATCAGCACAAAAGAGAAACACTCTGAACGCATTAGAATCACACAGTACTGTATTTTTCAGAGAAAAGAGTTTAGTATGAGTAGGTCTTTTTTGGCTTCTATCCGCATCAGATTGGTTGAATTGCCATAGTCACCAAAGACTACCATTTAAAGACTATTTCTCTGTAAAGACGTATGACATTAAAGAGAATATTTAGAATAAACCTCTAAAGAGAAAATTCTAGGAAGGTTTTGGAAGATTCAATAACGAGTGTTCAGTGAATTGCAGAAGCTATTTGTAAAGCGGTTAGAATATTGTAGCTCTAATATTGGGAGAGATTAGACACTTTTTATCTGGTGCTGACAACCAAACCTCTTAATCAGCCACTAGTGAGTCATAGTAAGTTTTACAGTTGTTTCATTAAAGGTTAAACATAATTGGTTACAGTCTAACTTTCTTATCCATTACAGTAGCTTCTGTTATAACTTTAGCTATAACAGAGCCTTTTGAGTTCATGATCTTCAGCTCTTATTTAGTGTTTCAATGGATAATTTCAGGTTATTATGAATAAAAATGTTAATGTGTCTATAAAATTTTCTCAAAGAAGAAATATTACCCGAGAGGGTCACAGTACAATTAACTAAATATGCGTAGTCAGTACATAGTTAATTTTAGTACTATTAATTATGAAGAATCCTTCTCTCAGGAACACAAAGTTTTTTGGCGGCTGAATCCTGCTATGCTTCTCTTGTTCTTGAGGTTATGGATCTGACCGTATGAACCCTGTGGGTAGGACTGATTACTGGAGTTCGTCATTTGTTGTTCATGGCATTTGTAGGTTGCTCTGGACTTTTGATCAAAAAGGGCTGCTTGCTTGTTGTCTTCATCAGCTGTGGTAGCTACTGCTGCCTCCAAGAGCCAAGAGTTATTATTTTTCATCTCTAGAACATTATACAGAGCACTTTAAATAATTGTCAAAGCTTATAAAATGTCTGGTCTTGAGTGTCCTATGATTTAATGTAGGCATGTAAAATGCAGGTCAGAGGTTTTCTCTTACTTCTGTGCCCTTACACGATTTTGCCTCAGGACCTCACACCCTGGGACATGATGTAGTACGATGAAAGTATGGTTATCTAACACCAACTGTTGAGCAAGTCTATGGGATGGGGTAGGGGAGTTTCTGGAAAAAGACCCAATAGGCGAGGGAGATCTGCCATATATAGAAGGTATGGCTCTTTGTCATATGAAAATGTGTCAATTTCACACATAAGAAGTGAAATACAAATTCAAATTACAATAGTTGTTTTCTAATTTATCAGTTTGGCAAAGATAAAATGATTTGATTTGTGTTGCTAAGGGTGTAGATAATCAGGTACTCCTTCACATTTTTGTGATAGTTTCAATTGTCTAATTTTTGTGCATGAAAATTTCAAAAATCTATCAAAGTGAAAAATGCAAGAATCCTGGGAACTAGCAATATCCCTTCTAGGAATATATTCTACAGATACACGCAAAAATATATCAAATGATAGTCATTGCAGTATTGGCTAAAATGGTAAAAGACTGGAAACAAACTAAATGCCCACCAGTAGAGAATTTGTTAAATAAATCATCATCTGTTTATTTTATGTAATACTCAACAGCTGTATTAAATGAAATGAAGGAAATCTATATCTACTGAAAAGGAATACTTTTGTAACTGAACTCAGATTTGGCTGCTTGTGTTCAAAAAGTCAGACACATGAGAAGTGAGGTTGGGTGGAAGCAAAGCAGGTTTATTCAAGTGCCAGCAGCTTGGGAGCTGGCCAGACTAGTCTCAAAAAGCCATTGCAAATCCTCAAGCTATCTAAAGGGGTTTTAAGAGGAAAGGTGTCATGGAAACTATGCATAGGAGTGGCGTAGGGTGCAGGTCTGCTTGTCATTTTCCAATGGCTGTCTTGACTAATGGACCATCCAGAGGCCTGGTTGGCATCATTTCAGTGGGGGTCGAGTTATGGATTAACTGTGCACCAAGGGAGAAAATTGCAACAACCACCTCTGCTTTATTTCTGGATCGTTTCAAAATTAGCTTTTGGAATTCTCAAGCAAACAGGTAATTAGATACATATGCAGCAAGGAACGAAGGGAGGAAGGAGCTACTTTTAGAGTAAGCTAGCAAACTGGCTATATCAGTTACATACTCACTGAGATATATCATTAAGTGGGAGGTAGGGTCAAGGTATACAGTATAATACCGTTGGGTATTAAAATATTTATCTGTGAGTATACTTATATTTGCATATAACTTTTCTGGATGAATAACAAGAAATGAGTGACAGTTCTTATATTCAGAGGTGAACTCTATGACTGGGAAACAAAGTGGATTAGATTATTATTCAGCAAATATTCATTCCCATGCCCTCTCCCCTCAAAGGTAGAATATAATTTCCTGCCCTGGTGACTAGATCTTGGCCATGTGACTTATTTTGGCAATAGGATATAGCAGATACCACACAAGTAAGGATCATAAATGTGCGTTAGCAGTTCTGACTTGGCCATGCACCTCTGTGATTGCCATGGGAACAATATGCTCCCAGGAGCCATAGCCCCTTCAGCCTGGCCCCCAGAATGACATAAGTGGATTATCCCCAAGCTTTACTCAAAGCCTAGATCCAAACCCACACAGCCCACAGTCTGAAGCAGAGGTGCCCATGGCAATTTTTAGACTTGTGAGTGAGAGAAGTAAATGATTGCTGCTGTGAGTCACTAAGTTCTGGCATGGTTTGTTACATGGCAATACTGCAGCAATAGCTGATTAATACAACTGTAGACTTACTTATGTATAGCCTTTTGTACCATTTAAATGTTGTATAACGTACATGTATGATCAAGTTTAAAAGGTACATTAAAAGAATCTGTTTACCTCTACCTCCTGAAAACCAATCCAAAAGATGCACACAAAATAAGAAATAACTTTAAAAGAACAGTGCTGAAGTCCATGCCTCAGTCATATTTTGAACTGTTCAGCTGACATGGTTATTGGTGGTTTGAGATTCATGCTTTCATCTTTAATCTGGCCATCCACTGAGGCATCATTCAGTCTTTTTTTTTTCTGAGACAGAGTCTCGCTCTATTGCCCAGGCTGGAATGCAGTGACACAATCTTGGCTCACTGCAACCTCCACCTCCCAGGTTCAAGCAATTATCCTGCCTCAGCCTCCTGAGTAACTGGGACTACAGGCGCGTGCCACCAAGCCTGACTAATTTTTTGTGTTTTTGGTAGAGATGGAGTTTCACCATGTTGGCCAAGCTGGTCTCAAAGTTCTAACCTCAGGTGATCTGCCTGCCTTGGCTTCTGAAAGTGTTGGGATTACGGGCGTGAGCCACCGCACCCGGCCCATCAATTAGTCTTATAAAGCAAACTTACTAAGGTGGAAAGGAAGAAATGTGTTTGCATACATTGAAAGAATAATTGCTGTCTTTGGCTAGAAGATGATGAAATACTGATGGATGTTTTCATTGATTTTAAATATTTTTGGTGTTTTGCTGATCTAATCTGTGTATACCTGAATAAAAGCAGAAGTGCTTCAATAGTATTTTGTTTTTAGACAGCGGATGTTCCTGGAATACCTAGGTTTTAATGAAGCATGAAAGCTTCGAAGAAGAATACATTTCCCATAGATATAGGAGATGGTAGATAAATGACTTTGTTTTGAGATTATACTGTGTCACTGAAACTCAATTTTTAACTCAGTTATTATATTAAACCAGATTAAATGTGATTTACCAAAGTATATTTTTGGAGAGGACTCTATCAACCATGAGCATTCATGCTAACCAGATTCTCTTTGAGAAAGCTGATCATCTATCTACTCCATAATTTATTGAAAAAAGATCAGGATCATGAGTGAGAAAGCCAGAAAAAGTACTTTGTACAGCATGAATATTTTATAAGGGAGAGTGACTGTCTATAAACATGAAATCATCACTCTTAGAATTTGCGTGACATGAAGACATGGGAGTTGGCAGTGGGAAGAAAATGTAAAAATGCCTGAAACACAAGATGCCATGACATAGAAAGAAGAGTGGAAGAGGGTAATTGGGAATGGAAAGAGCAGAAGTAGCATAAGCAGTAGTTGGATCACCATCATGGCAGATCACCTGAGTAAGGAGGATTGCAGACCTGCCATAGAACTGCCAAAAGGTGGCCAGGTGCGCTGGCTTATGCCTGTAATCCTAGTACTTTGGGAGGCTGAGGCAGGCGGATTGCCTGAGCTCAGGAGTTCGAGACCAGCCTGGGCAACATGGTGAAACCCTGTCTCTACTAAAATACAAAAGAAATTAGCCAGGTGTGGCGGCATGCGCCTGTAATCCCAGCTACTCGGGAGGCTGAGGCAGGAGAATTGCTTGAACTTGGGAGGCGGAAGTTGCAGTGATCCGAGATCATGCCACTACACTCCAGCACTCCAGCCTGGGTGACGGAGCGAGACTCTGTCTCAAAAAAAACAAAAACAAAAACAAAAACCTGCCAAAAACTGTCCCAGCCTCTGGATTTTCCTTGTATGCTAAATGATGGTCGTAAAGAAGGCTTCAGTTCCCTTCAGGCCTGGCTCTGAGATGGCATCTAATTTTACCATCTTCCCTGTACATTCTTTTTGTTAAAATTTTATTTCATTTTTAATTGACCCATAATAATTGTACAGACTTATGGGGTAAAGTGTGATGTTTTGATGCATATATATATATATTACATAATGATTAAATCAAGGTAATTAGCAAATTCATCACCTCACACATTCATCATTTATTTGTGGTGACAACAATCAAAATCCTTTCCTCTAGCTATTGTGAAATATACAATACATTATTGTTAACTATAGTCACTCTACTGTGCAATAGATCACCAGAACTTATTCCTCCTATCTAATTGTAAACTTTTACCCATTGACCAACCCTCCCCATTCCACCCTGTACATAAATACATGAGTATATCTTCGTTCTTGCAACGATGTAAAAAAAGTTCAACAGACACGACAGTCAGGCTCAAAGCTTCTAATTATTTCCAGGTAGAGAAACACTCTGTTTTGTAGTGACTGATAATATCACTAACTCCACGAATCACACTTTAGTTGTAATAAATCAAGACTTTAAGGATGGCTCCATAGAAATGTGTTGCCATTTTTGGAAAAGGGAAAAACCTTCAAATATATAATTCTATAATTTGTTTTCTTATTAGTGCATCACCTGTATCTTCATGTAACCATGAAGATAATAATTCTCAATAAAGTCTTTCTACCTGAGAATGACAACTTTTGGGAATGATGAGTTGCCACTGAATTCGAAAATCAGAGAAATCTGTGTCACTAGTTTTCTCAGAAAAACACAAATTCCTTCTTTTCTTATTTGTTTGTCTATGAAACAGACCAAATAGTTAAGTTGCCTATTACTCTTTCTTATCAATGAATGCAAATTAAATTATCTAAAGCAGAATGGTTATTATCTCAACTGTAAATACAGCTGTAAATATTAAATATTCTATCACATCCTCCTTATAAAGTCATTGATATCTCTGCAAATTTTTCAGTAGAAATGAGGCTTTAACTATCACTAATAGGATGAGGATCGATGTGGTCAATTTGCACTGACCATCTTTAAATCGATGAATGTCACAAATTCTATTCTGTTCACTAGTTCACAAGGACCCGTCTACAATAAATGCACTAAATGCTGTAAGCAAGTAGTTTCTGAAAACCATTTGGCTGTGTTCCTATTCATCAAAGCATTGAACTCATAATACCATGAAACAATTAGTCAGACTACAAATTAACTAAGAAGCTTTACTCCTACATTACTATGTTTAATTCCCGAAACGAGCACTGAAAGAGTAACAGGCCCATTATCCCAAACTCTAGAATAAATGGGCCCTTGGAATTTTTTTGTCCCATGGGGTTTTTATAATTTAAGCAACATTCTAAGTTAGATCACTTTAACCCTCTAGCTGCATCATTTTTGTCTTAAGAAGAAAACCATCATTTGAATGAAGAATAATCCCCCATTTTGAAAGCATATTATAGTTAATATCAGCCTGTGATTATGATATAATTATGAAAAAATGTGAAATATCAAGGAATGATTTCAAAGTATTTGTTTTTTATGTCCAAAGCATTTATAATTCAACATCACTATATAAAGGTAAAAATTTTTTTCTGTTGACAAATTCTATTTTTAAAAGGGTAAGGTAATATTAAACATGACATTTTCACAAATATTAGCAATATAGGATTGGTTTGCTATATTTTCATCCATAAGAGGTTATTGTTGCAGTTTTATACTGCGATTGTTGTATACATAGACTAATATTTACTTTTTCAAATATTTACTTGTCCCAACCAATCAAATGAAAGGAGAAATGTATCAGAAATTTCCTGGGTAAAAGAAAAAAAATATAGAAATGGTCGATGAAAAATTCAGAGGATTTTAACTGAATTAATTACTTGTAATATTCCCATTTTTTTCACCTCCTACAGTTTATATTACAATATCAAAGTTATATATTACTTTTTTGTCATTTAAATATAGCAGATGAAAAGGGAGTTTTCTGAAATGAGTGGTAACATATTCAGGTTCTTGTCCTAGGTATAGCTTTGGATCATAGAAATACCCAGCATGAAACTCAGTTATTGACACTGTATTTCTTAAAATGGTGCCCTGTTTGGAAGTGGAACAAGGAAGGATGCCTGGCAGTGTCCTCAGGGTGGGAAAAGACTTGCTTAGAGGGACTGAATTCTAGAGAAAATTCTATCTTGAATAGAGCTTGTTTGGCGCTGCATTCAAAGTGTTGCTGCACAGTACTTTCCCAAAAGAGAATTAATTTCCCTATCTCTGTTTTCCTATTTGATCATCTCAGGTGAAAACATACTCAATTTCCTACCCTGACTATTAATAACTCATACATCTTCATTTCTTTCTTTCTTCCTTGTCTTGAGTTGTTCCTTCAACAGTGCCCTAGAATCTAGAGAGAATCCCAGGGCCTCTCCTTTGAGATATTGATCTATAATTGCCTTTTCTCCAATACCTATTTAATCTTTCTATTAGCTCTTTCTTCTCACAGCATGTGTGACAGACATTAGTGGCTGCCTACCAACAACCTTCATTTCCCTCTTTCTTTTTGGCTAGTTTTACCATTTCTCTGCGGTAAAGGCTCAAAGTGTTAGGATACCCTATCTACCAGCCTTTCATGTAATACAGGGAAAGGCTGAGGAAAAGACTGCCAAGGCTTTTGCAAAAGGCAGTTCTCACTAATAAGAGAACGGCATGTGATGAATAATTCCCCTTTTTTTGTTTCCTCCCTGCTTTGGATGCTAACTTGTGAGGACAGGAGGCTTGGAGCTACAATAGCCATCTTGCAATCATGATGGAGAAACATGGAGGGAATTCTGAGGAATGGTGTCTTGGGAACAATGGAAAGAGCCCAGGGACCTTGATGACATCACTGAGCTACTGAAAAACTCTAGGTTCAACTATCTCTGGTCTTCTTCCTATGTAAGAAAACCACACCTATTGTTTTAGCAATTTTTGGTTAAATATTTTATTAAGTGCATCAAGAAGCATCCTGATTTTGATTTAAGGTAGCTGTCTTACCTGGATAAACATTTTTTTGTGTGTTCTTTTCCCCTTTCTTCTTTCTGCAAGTAAGAGCAAATGTGATATTGCTAAATCACAGCAGATATTTTGGTCCATGAAGTGACTTTGAAAATGGAAACTATATGTTAGTTATAATAAAATAGAAAGGTATAAAAAGCCTGGGTCTCTGATGACCAGGAGACCACCGTAAAAATTCTCAGCTGCCCACCTTGAAACTATTTTCACATGATGGAGAAACGAACTTCTATCTGACGTAGCCCACTGTGTTTGTTTTATTTTATTTCATATTATAGGCATCTGAAAGGAATCCTTATACATATAACATGCAAGTATATGTATAAGAAGACATCAATGTCAGTAGCATAAGAAATACATGAAAACATGAATAAAAGTTTTAGCTAGACATTTTTGGATAAAAAGATAAGTGTATTTAAATTTGTAATAGTTACAAATCGTTCTACAAAAAGTCAGCATATATTTAAATTTTTTTGATACTTAAGATTTGTATATTTGTGATTCTACCAAATTTATGATTTCCCTATGGTTATTATCAAAGTTTTTACAGTTTTCTCATCTTATTACTTTAAAATAATTACGGTTATGACTTGCATTTTTAAAAACTTAGAAAAGTTAAGTTTCTCTTCATTTCTTTCTAGGCAAGCAATTTATATTTCTTTTCCTGTTAATTGCCTGACAATTTATTTTGCTTGTTTTTCTATACGAGTTCTCTTTTCTTATTGATTTAACTTACATTAAGGAAGTTTATACTGTATGTTGCTATATTTTTGCATTTTTTTGTTTGCTTCTCTTTGCTTTGTTTTTAATGCTATTTTGTGTCGTGGAGATACGGCAAACATTTATTTAGTAAATTGTCAATTTTCACAATTACAGCTTCCAGGGCTGGTGCCATAATGGCAAAAATTTTCACTATACTGATATCTTATAATTATTTATAAGTATACATACATAATAGAAACATAAAACATTTATGTTTTTCAAATATTTTGAAATGTTTTTACTTTTTATATTTTGATGTATCTAAAATTTATTTTGAAGGGTTGCATGGGGGATACAGCACTTTTTTTCCTCAAAAGATTAGTTAGTTCTTCCAATACCATTTATTGGAAAATCAGTCCTTTTTGCACAATTGAGTTGTCATTTAATCATACTTTAATTCCATTGTTTTTTCTAGAGTAGCTCAGTACCTGAACTAAATATTCAATTACATTTGTTGAATAAATAATGGAATTGTGTAAACTACTTCCACAAATTCTGTTGTTATTTTAATTAAGGTCACATTGTGTTTATGGATTAATACAGAAGTAACTGATGATATACAGTACAAAATTTTCCAATTTGAAAGTTTGGTATCAGGCCGGGCGCGGTGGCTCATGTCTGTAATCACAGCACTTTGGGAGGCTGAAGGGGCGGATCACGAGGTCAGGAGATCGAGACCATCCTGGCTAACACGGTGAAACCCCGTCTCTACTAAAAACACAAAACCAAAATTAGCCAGGCGTGGTGGCAGGCGCCTGTAATCCCAGCTACTCAGGAGGCTGAGGCAAGAGAATGGCGTGAACCTGGGAGGCGGAGCTTGCGGTGAGCCGAGATCACGCCACTGCACTCCAGCATGGGCAACAGAGTGAGACTCTGTCTTGAAAAAAAAAAAGAAAGAAAGAAAGTGTGGTATCTATTTTAACTTATTTCTATTTTTATGCTGTACAGTCTTTGAAGTCTAATTCTCTTAACTAGATTCTTTCCACTTTTAAAAGGTTTATTTCTCCCATTTTTCCTTTCTGTCTTGATCTGCTCCCTAAATATATTTATACTCTTTGCTGTCTTCCCTGCCCTACATCCCATGTATGTTAAGTATTTTCTGATCCATAAGATTCTTGCTATATAATACATCCATGAGGATTATCTCAGTTTTGGAGGCCTGCATTTCTTACAGAACAGGCTACATAACTAAGGTACAGTTGTTTCTCAGTATGCGTGGGGAATTGTCTC
Source organism: Homo sapiens (assembly GCF_000001405.40). NCBI lineage: Eukaryota > Metazoa > Chordata > Mammalia > Primates > Hominidae > Homo > Homo sapiens. The sequence goes on along the minus strand of NC_000023.11, from coordinate 28,508,638 downwards.
CAGGACCTCCCCTTCAACTCATGAGGATACCAAAAATCCATAGATGCTCAAGCTCCTTATATAAAACAGTGTAATATTTGTATATAATCTATGGAACATACTCTCATATACTTTAAATCATCTCTAGATTACTCATAATACCTAATACAATGTAAATGCTATGGAAATTATTGTTATGTGTATTCTTTGGGGAATAATGATAAGAAAAAAAAGCCTGTACCTGTTCAGTACAGACACAGCCATCCATTTTTTTTTCCCTAGATATTTTCTATCTGCCAGTGGTTAAATCCACAGATGTGGAATTCATGGATATAGGGGACTGTAATAAGTAGGCTGGCTTTCTGTCAAATCCAATTTAACTTTATGAAGGATTTTTAAACTAAATGCGAATTTCTTTGAAAAGTTTGAATCCATGGGATCTACTTTAAATCTTATTTTAAAAATCTCATACCTGCACAAAAAAATTGATTGTTAGATACCCGTTATTTTTTTTTAATACTGTTCTTGCTACTGGGATTAGAAGAGCTGGGGAAATATAACAGAGTCATATAAAACAGTTTCTCTCTTCAAACATATTATAGTCTTATTTTACAGACTGGATAGAACTCACAAAACAAGTAGAAATAATACTAGAGAGAACTGACTCATGTACCAAGGTATATCCAGCAGACAAAGTACTTACAGAGCAGAGATTTTAACTACTTTATGGGCCACAGATTCCTTTGTAATGATAACTAAGGTACTTGTCAGGCCTCTTAGCCTAAGCTAAGCCATCATATCCCCTGTGACCTGCACTATACATCCAGATGGCCTGAAGCAAGGGAAGAATCACAAAAGAAGTGAAAATGGCCGATTCCTGCCTTAACTAATGACATTCCACCATTGTGATTTGTTTCTGCCCCACCTTAACTGAGCGATTAACCTTGTGAAATTCCTTCTCCTGCCTCAGAACCTCCCCCACTGAGCACCTTGTGACCCCCGCCCCTGCCTGCAAGAGAACAACCCCATTTGATTGTAATTTTCCACTACCCATCCAAATCCTATAAAACGGCCCCACCCCATATCTCTTCGCTGACTCTCTTTTCAGACTCAGCCCGCCTGCACCCAGGTGAAATAAACAGCCTTGTTGCTCACACAAAGCTTGTTTGGTGGTCTCTTCACACGGACGCACATGAAATTTGGTGCCGTGACTCGGATGGGGGGAAACTCCCTTGGGAGATCAATCCACTGTCCTCCTGCCCTTTGCTCTGTGAGAAAGATCCACCTATGAACTTGGGTCCTCAGACCAACCAGCCCAAGGAACATCTCACCAATTTTAAATCCGGTAAGCGGCCTCTGTTTACTCTCTTCTCCAACCTCTCTCACTATCCCTCAACCTCTTTCTCCTTTCAATCTTGGCACCATCTTTCAATCGCTCCCTTCTCTTAATTTCAGTTCCTTTCCTTTCCTTTTCTGGTAGAGACAGAGGAGATGTATGTTATCCGTGAACCCAAAACTCCAGCGCCAGGCACAGACTCGGGAAGACAGTCTTCCCTTGGTGTTTAATCACTGCGGGGACGCCTGCTTGATTATTCACCCACATTTCAGAGGTGTCTGATCACCGCGGGGACGCCTTCCTTGATCCTTCATCCTTAGTGGCAAGCACCACTTTCCTGGGGGACAAGCAGCCTCCAACCCTTCTCTCCGTGTCTCTACCCTCTCTTTTCTCTGGGCTTGCTTCCTTCACTATAGGCAACCTTCCACCCTCCATTCCTCCTTCTTCTCCCTTAGCCTGTGTTCTCAAGAACTTAAAACCTCTTCAACTCATAACTGACCTAAAACCTAAATGCCTTATTTTCTTCTGCAATGCCGCTTAACCCCGACACAAACTTGACAATGGTTCCAAATAGCCAGAAAACGGCACTTTCGATTTTTCCATCCTACAAGACCTAGATAATTCTTGTAAAATAGGCAAATGGTCTGAGGTGCCTGACGTCCAGGCATTCTTTTACACATTGGTCCCTCCCTAGTCTCTGTTCCCAATGCAACTCGTCCCAAATCTTCCTTCTTTCCCTCCCGCCTATCCCCTCAGTCCCAACCCTAAGCGTTGCTGAGTCTTTCCAATCTTCCTTTTCTATGGACCCATCTGACCTCTCCCCTCCTCCCCAGGCTGCTCCTCGCCAGGCTGAGCCAGGTCCAAATTCTTTGGCAGCCTCCGCTCCTCCACCCTATAATCATTCTATCACCTCCCCTCCTCACACCCAGTCTGGCTTACAGTTTCGTTCCGTGACTAGCCTTCCCCCACCTGCCCAACAATTTCCTCATAAAGAGGTGGCTGGAGCTAAAGGCACAGTCAAGGTTAATGCTCCTTTTTCTTTATCCTACCTCTCCCAAATCAGTTAGTGTTTAGGCTCTTTTTCATCAAATATGAAAAACCCAGCCCAGTTCATGGCCCATTTGGCAGCAACCCTGAGATGCTTTACAGCCCTGACCCTGAAGGGTCAGAAGGCTGTCTTAGTCCCAATATACGTTTTATTACCCAATCCACTCCCGACATTAAATAAAGCTCCAAAATTAAATTCCAGCCCTCAAACCCCACAACAGGACTTAATTAACCTCGCCTTCAAGGGGTGCAATAATAGGGAAGAGTTGCAATTACTTGCCTCTGCTGTGAGAGAAACCCCAGCCACATCTCCAGCACACAAGAACTTCAAAACGTCTAAGCCACAGCGGTCAGAAGTTCCTTCAGGACCTTCTCTATCAGGATCTTGCTTCAAGTGCCGGAAATCTGGCCACTGGGCCAAGGAATGCCTGCAGCCCAGCATTCCTCCCAAGCCATGTCCCATCTGTGCAGGGACCCACTGGAAATCAGACTGCCCAGCTAGCCCAGAAGCCACTCCTAGAGCCCCTAAAGCTCTGGCCCGAGGCTCTCTGATTGACTCCTTCCCAGATATGCTTGGCTTAGTGGCTGATGACTGATGCTGCCGAATCGCATTGGAAGCCCCTGGACCCTCACTGATGCCGAGCTTCGGGTAACTCTCACGATGGAGGGTAAGTCCATCCCCTGTTTAATCGATATGGGGGCTACCCACTCCACATTATCTTCTTTTCAAGGGCCTGTTTCCCTTGCCCCCATAACTGTTGTGGGTACTGATGACCAAGCTTAAAACCCCTTAAAACTCCCCCACTCTGGTGCCAACTTGGACAACATTGTTTTATGCACTCTTTTTTAGTTATCCCCACCTGCCCAGTTCCCTTATTAGGCCGAGACTTTTAAATCAAATTATCTGCTTCCCCATTTTACCTGTCCAAAAACCGGACAAGTCTTACAGGTTAGTTCAGGATCTGCGCCTTATCAACCAAACTGTTTTGCCTATCCACCCTGTAATGCCCAACCTGTACACTCTTTTGTCTTCAATACCTTCCTCGACAACTCACTATTCCGTTCTTGATCTTAAAGATGCTTTTTTCACTATTCCCCTGCACTCCTCATCCCAGCCTCTCTTTGCTTTTACCTGGACTGACCTTGACACCCATCAGTCCCAGCAGCTTACCTGGGCTGTACTGCCACAAGACTTCAGGGACAGCCCTCATTACTTCAGCCAAGCTCTTTCTAATGATTTACTTTCTTTCCACCCCTCCGCTTCTCACCTTATTCAATATATTGATGGCCTTCTACTTTGTAGCCCCTCCTTTGAATCTTCTCAACAACACACCCTCCTGGTCCTTCAGCATTTATTCTTCAAAGGATATCGGGTATCCCCCTCCAAAGCTCAAATTTCTTCTCCATCCATTACCCACCTCGGCATAATTCGTCACGAAAACACAAGTGCTCTCCCTGCCAATCGTGTCCGACTGATCTCTCAAACCCCAACCCCTTCTACAAAACAACAACTCCTTTTCTTCCTTGGCATGGTTGGATACTTTCACCTTTGGATACCTGGTTTTGCCATCCTAACAAAACCATTATATAAACTCAAAAAAGGAAACCTAGCTGACCCCATAGATCCTAAATCCTTTCCCCACTCCTCTTTCCATTCCTTGAAGACAGCTTTAGATACTGCTTCCACACTAGCTCTCCCTGACTCATCCCAACCCTTTTCATTACACACAGCTGAAGTGCAGGGCTGTGCAGTCGGAATTCTTACACAAGGACTGGGACCGTGCCCTGTAGCCTTTCTGTCCAAACAACTTGACCTTACTGTTTTAGGCTGGCCATCATGTCTCCGTGTGGCATCAGATCCCATTGCTCTAGACAACGCTTATGCTGATAAGGTGGTTAGACAAGCAACTAGCATTCCAACTTCTGTCCCTCAATGATAGATGTGGAAGATACTATGGCACAGCCTGCCTTTGCTGGTGAGTGGCAATTAGGCCTGGTGGAACTGCCATCAATAAACCAAGTGTGTTCAGGGTGAGGAACAGGAAAGAAGGAAATATGGGGAAATGGGGTGAATGTCATGTGGATCAGAGAGATACAGTCATGGGGGTCAGGTGTGGTATCCCGAATAACGTGGGAGGCCAGATTGAAGTCTGGGCCAGGAACAATGGTAATTGTGGGAGACTCAACAAAGAGTGAGTATAGCTGAAGGAGCCAGGGAGCAGAAAGTATATGCATCAGGTGTGAGGAAGAAAATAGATCTTGGAAGTTATGAGAGCTGTAGAGAGTGAGTTGAGCATAGTTTGTGATTTTGAGGGCCTCTAAAAGTATTAGAGCAGTGTCAGCCCCCTCCCTTCCCTACACTTCAAGCTTAGGGATTTGCCCCTGCCCAGGACTGGCAAATTGACTTTACTCACATGCCCCAAGTCAGGAAACTAAAATACCTCTTGGTCTAGGTAGACACTTTCACTGGATGGGTAGAGGCCTTTCCCACAGGGTCTGAAAAGGCCACCACGGTCATTTCTTCCCTTCTGTAAGACATAATTCCTTGGTTTGGCCTCCCCACCTCTATATAGTCCAATAACAGACTGGCCTTTATTAGTCAAATCACCCAAGCAGTTTCTCAGGCTCTTGGTATTTAGTAAAACCTTCATACCCCTTACCGTCCTCAATCTTCAGGAAAGGTAGAACGGACTAATGGTCTTTTAAAAACACACCTCACCAAGCTCAGCCTCCAACTTGAAAAAGAGGACTCTGTATATTTTTAAATGAAGAGTGTTTTTACCTAAATCAATCTGGCCTGGTGTATGACAACATAAAAAAACTCAAGGATAGAGGCCAAAAACTCGCCAACCAAGCAAGTAATTATGCTGAACCCCCTTGGGCACTCTCTAATTGGATGTCCTGGGTCCTCCCAATTCTTAGTCCTTTAATATCTGTTTTTCTCCTTCTCTTATTCGGACCTTGTGTCTTCTGTTTAGTTTCTCAATTCATCCAAAACCGTATCCAGGCCATCACCAGTCATTCTATATGACAAATGCTCCTTCTAACAACCCCACAATATCACCCTTACCACCAAATCTTCCTTCAGCTTAATCTCTCCCACTCTGGGTTCCCACACCACCCCTAATCCCGCTCGAAGCAGCCCTGAGAAACATCGCCCATTATCTCTCCACACCACCCCCTAAAAATTTTCACTGCCCCAACACTTCAACACTATTTTATGTTATTTTTCTTATCAATATAAGAAGACAGTAATGTCAGGCCTCTGAGCCCAAGCTAAGCCATCATATCCCCTGTGACCTGCACGTATACATTCAGATGGCCTGAAGCAAGTGAAGAATCACAAAAGAAGTGAAAATGGCCGGTTCCTGCCTTAACTGATGACATTCCACTGTTGTGATTTGTTTCTGCCCCACCTTAACTGAGGGATTAACCTTGTGAAATTCCTTCTCCTGCCTCAGAACCTCCCCCACTGAGCACCTTGTGATCCCCGCCCCTGCCCGCAAGAGAACAACCCCCTTTGACTGTAATTTTCCACTACCCACCCAAATCCTATAAAACAGCCCCACCCCTATCTCCCTTCACTGACTCTCTTTTCGGATTCAGCCCGCCTGCACCCAGGTGATTAAAAAGCTTTATTGCTCACACAAATCCTGTTTGGTGGTCTCTTCACACAGGCCCGAGTCCCTAGAAAAGAGTGACAGCAATATGGACCGAAGTATTCAGGTGGGTTTAAAGAATAGGTTGGGATTTTGAGCAGTCCTTTCAGAAGGGTAGAATCTGTTTAAGTTGATTTAAGTAGAATATTACATTTAATCACATGCATCATACAGCGTTCCCACAAGAAACAGATTTCACTCCCAAGGTTTAAATGAAGATACTTTAACAGGAGTGACAAAACTAAAAGAAGACATTGAGGCATCCAAAGAGTAGTAGCAGCAGGAAATGGTTACCACTTTTAGGCCCCCATCAAAGGGATAGGGGGAGGCCTCTGAAGACTGGAATCATGGAGGTGGGGCTGTCTGATGGGAGGGCTGTTGCTGCTGCCAGAGATCAACACTGAGTTGGATAAGTTGAAAAGAAATACCTACAATTTTCTTGCCTCTCAACCTCCAATCCTCTGTCAATGGGAAGCTAGCCAACAAAAGGGCCCAGCGATATTCTGTGGGAATTAGCCTGCCTGGGAACAGAACAGGAAAGAGGTGGAGAAGAAGCCTGAGAGCTGCAAAGGGAGTGTAGCAAACCGAAATGAGCCAGGAGAGCATGTTTTCAGAATGTTGCCTTCTTTTGTACTGCATACTTGTTGTGTAAAGTGACAGCAAACTAAATAAATATTGTATCAAAACAGTGAATATTGTATTTGTTCTTCATTTCTCTTCTTTACAGTGGATTTTTATGTTTTCTGGACTGTGACTGAAATGATGGCAAGGGTAGGAAGGCTCATCCTACCAGAGACACAAGAGAGAGTAAAGGGAGAAACAAGAGTTTCGTTTTTTTTTTAAATGATTTATCTTTGCACCTCATTTGAGGCACAAAATAAGAGTCAAATCCCAGAATACAAGCTTTTGGAATTGTTATATTTTTTCCTACCAAGAGCAATGCTTTAGGCAAGATGTGCTCCATGCATGTGCAACTTGTACAGTTGCATAGGGCCGTGTTTTCAGAAGTGTCCCACACTTGCATAATGCTCTGCTCTCACTCTCTTCAAATTCTTAATAAGTTTTAAAAGGGGTCCTACATCTTCATTTTGCACTGGGCACTGAAAATTATACAGCTGGTACTCCCTTCAAGGTGTGGAAATGTCTCATCACTTTCTAGAGGATGTATTTTTTTTTTTTGAGACAGAGTCTTACTTTGTCACCCAGGCTGGACAGCAATGGCACAATCTCAGCTCACTGCAACCTCCACCTCCCAGGTTCAAGCGATTCTCCTGCCTCAGCCTCCTGAGTAGCTGGGACTACAGGCGAGTGCCACCATGCCCAGCTAATTTTGTGTATTTTTAGTAGAGATGGAGTTTCACCGTGTTAACCAGGATGATCTTGATCTCCTGACCTCATGATCCACCTGCCTTGGCCTCCCAAAGTGCTGGGATTACAGGCATGAGCCACCATGCCCGGCCGGATGTCTTTATATATTGTTAATGAATATAGTAAGAGCAATAATCTTATGCATCACTCTCCACTGAAAAATTCAAAGTATTTAGGATATTATAATTTTTCCTTCTCTACCACATTTCGTGATTCACTAAAGAGAGATGGACATGCGTGAATCGACGTGAGGAAAGAGTCAGTAAGAATATAACTGATGTGTCCAAGATATGGTATACATTAATGCTGGAGTCAGGATTAGAACCAAGATATTTGGACTCCCAGGCTCAGACATCATTAATCCCTGAAGTATCTAAATGTTATGGATTGTAGAGCATGGCCAGTCAACAGCAATAACACAGAACTCTTGTTTTGAATCTTTTCACTCAGAAAATGTATGGTTCCTGGTAGGAGAATGCAGTTAGACAGAGGGTATAAGTTCTAGTGTTTGATAGTACAGCAGGGTGACTGTAGTTAACAATAATTTATCGTTTATTTCAAAATAGCTAGAAGAGAAGAATTGGAATATTCTGAACACAAAGAAATGATAAACGTTTGAGGCAATGGATATCCCAGTTACCCTGATTTGATCATGACACACCGTATGCATGTATCAAAATATCACATATACTCTAAAATATGTACAATTTTTCTGTATCCAGTTAAAAAAAAAAAGAAAACATATGGTTTCAACTAAAATACATGCTGAGAGTTGTCAACAGAGAGCAGAAAGGAAACTGAGGCCATAATCTGAAAAGGCTAAAGGAAATCTCAGAGCAACCATAAACTCTAGAAAGCTAAGAGTTTTTAAAAAGAGTCTAGACAAGCACTGACAGTCCAAGGCTAATGTAGTTCAGGTCTGCGGGGGTAACATAGGCTGACTTCATTGGATGCGTCTTGATGTCGACATCAAGCCATTAGTTTTAGTATTTCATATTTAATGCACTGAAGTAGTGATTTTTAAAAATTGATTGTTAAACACATCCTTTGGCTCTACATGTTCGTGGGAGTTGGGCCCACCAAAAGCAGTGCCTCTGTGATATTCTGTTCTCTAGCATCTCTGGCATGAAGGACAAGTGTTTTGAGTTGGCTTGGCAACCAGTGACCTGCATGCTTTTCCCTAGCTTATTTAACTACTGGATATTTTGTCAGTGATTTTTCTTCTAATAGCCTTTTAATAAATACAGGTTTTCACTTAAATTTATTTTTTTAATGACTAAGAGAAATATAACTGTAGGGATATGTATTGACTAAGAGAATATCTGTTTCGATTTCTCTTCATTTTAAATTTAATATTTTCAGCATCATATATTGGACTGATTCACACTTAAAACAATAGCTATGGTGTTAAATCCAGGTCAGTAAGATATGAAAGTAAAGGTGAAATTAATTGTATGAGAAAAATCCAACAATATATTTGTTGTCATTTTTTAAGGTTTTGTATTATATTGTTTTGATTTCTATCAGCAGAGGCTTCCAGAAATAACTGTTTCAAACATCAGACTCCAGATGGATGGATTTAAGCTGCAGCATTTTAAAGATAGGAAGATTCCTGTTAAATCAAATTGTCTTATGTCAAAATTACAGGATAAAGTCAATGACTTGTTCAAAAATACTTAGGAATAGTTGTTAATGTTTATAATATTCCTATCAATAGATAACAATTTGAATTCTTGAAATTCATTTCTATTAATTATATGATTATTGGTCATTTTCTCCAGATTTTTAATCTACTCTTTACGTCTAACATTTGTCCTTTTCTGGCCATAGGTTGAGTTAGTAATTAAAGAAAAAAAAATCTATTCCCTCAGTCTGACTTTGGCCCCGTTAGACTGTCATTCTCTCTGACAGGAAAAAGAATGCTCAGCTGCCAGTTTTTATGACAAGAACAGTATTTTCTCATATGTATTCTAGTACCCGACTTCAAAGCAAACTTTCATTTCAACAGTCTCAGTAGAATAACACATTTGTCTTTTATTTGTCTCAATACTGAGTCAAGGAAGCTTTCTATACCAGCAGTTTTCCCAAAGAAGGGGAAAAAATTCAACATTAAAAACAACCACCTACACAGCCCTCTAAACACGGCTTTCTGAGTTAAAGTATAAAAGATTTGCAATGAGAGAAAATCACATAGAATGTCTATTTCTGTGTAGAGACAAGGAACTAAAGAGGAAACCCAAAATAGGAGGGATGGAAGCGGTGCTGCCAGTGACTCAGTAGGGGACCTTTAGTAAATCACTTAACCTCGTCTCCTTGCCTTTCAAACAAATCCAGACCTGCCCTCACCTCCCAGCCCTTTAATCCCTTTGTCCCATTTATATTGCTTCCCTTGCTTCCTTTGGGCCTCTGATACTTTCCTCCCTCCTTTCGCTATGACTAAACAGAATTCTTTTCTTAATCTCTTTTCTGGGTAGTTTTTTTTTTTTTTTTCCTTCCCTCCTCATCTTGCTCTATATGCCTGGAATGATTCTAATGAGTCAGAGGTATCCTTTTAGAATCACAGTTTCCATAAAACCTTCCTGTAACAAGCTGTAAGTTGCTGCTTACCCTTTTAATTTTGATAATTATTAAAGCGAACAGAAACTTTACTTACTTTTATTTCAAAACTTTTTCCTCATTGTTTATCGAAAGGTATTAAACTTGCTAATAAACTGTATTGGTAAGACTTCACTCAGCAAGAGACACGATGTTTCTTCAGAGCAATTACATCTTGCATTCTCTGCTCCCTTCTTCCTTTTTCCTGACCTGGGTCACGAACACAAATAGATTTTGGGAAATGACACATTTGCCCTAGACCTAGATGGAAGAGGAGTTCAGGTCTTGGCTGAAGAAGAGGATGAAAATAATTAAAGTTTAGAGGTTATACTCTGACCAGATTAAAAGTTCTGCTTTAACCCTGGAATCTAACTATCTATCTGTCTATATATATATATATCTATCTACCTATCTATTCCTTACTTATACTATTGGATTTATTAGAACTTTGGAATTATGTCTAACTACATCTGCAGTGCAGACTGCTTGTAGAAATGCAAAAAATTAGATACATAAACACTTACAACTAATTAATATTGTTCTTAAGTACTGTCTACTTTTATAAAGACTACATTGAATCCATTAAGAAGTAAGAAAGCCTCAGAGACCCACAAATTCTTATGTGAGAAACTGCTTCCTCTACAACTCACTTGGGCTGAAAATTGTTACCTAAGTATGGAAACCAAAACAATCCTGGTGTCAATTTTGGCTTGATTGTATTTCTTGGTAGACTCTTTCCATAACAATCACCAAGGAAAAAAGTAGGGAAGGCAACTTAACTTTTTCTCTAGACATTTAAGATCATTGTATATTCCATTTTATGAACAAGAAGCATCAGATGGGCTGCATCGTTTAGGAATTGCACCAGGACCAATATTTCTGCTGCTGTCTTGGCCCTAAAGCCAATAAGGGGAATTATGGTAGGTAGAGAAACCAACCACTGGTTCCATGCTCTATTATTTCTGTGGATTTACAAGATGCTTCCATTTATCTGTGGGAATGGTTTTGAAACTTCCAACTGTAATGTGTAGTGATTGTCTTTTTTTTTTTTTTTTTTTTTTAAGACGGAGTCTCACTCTGTAGCCCAGGCTGGAGTGCAGTGGCATGATCTGGGCTCAACTGCAACCTCTGCCTCCTGGGTTCAAGCAATTCTCCTGCCTCAGCCTCCCAAGTAGCTGGTATGACAGGCACCCGCCACCATGCCCTGCTAATTTTTGTATTTTTAGTTGAGATGGGGTTTCACCTTGTTGCCCAGGCTGGTCTTGAACTTCTGATCTCAAGTGATCTGCCCACCACGGCCTCCCAGAGTGCTGAGGTTACAGGCATGAGCCACTGCGCCTGGCCGGGATTGTCTGTTTTGATTTTATTTAATTAATTAGTTAATTAATTAATTTATATTTATTTATTTATTTTTGAGACATAGTCTCACTCTGTCGCCGGGGCTGGAGTGCAGTGGTGTGATCTCGGCTCACTGCAACCTCTGCCTCCCGGGTTCAAGCGATTCTCCTGCCTCAGCCTCCCGAGTAGCTGGGATTACAGGCATGTGCCACCATGCCCAGCTAATTTTTCGTATTTTTAGTAGAGGCGGGTTTTCACCATGTTGGCCAGGCTGGTCTCGAACTCCCGACCTAGTGATTCGCCCGCCTTGGGCTCCCAAAGTGTTGGGATTACAGGCGTGAGCCACCGCGCTGGCCTTGTTTTTATTTTTAACGGACGTTTTTGTAAACATTTATAGTTTTAGTAATATATATTTTTATCCATGTATTATTTTGAAGTTAGTTACATGATGCCACTTTCTCAGTTCTTTCTAGCAAAAATTTATTTATTTAACTATCTGATTGGACTGTTAATGGTTCTCTTTCCTTTTTCTTTCCTAATTCATAGAATCAGAGCTATTTTTAGACGATTGTATACTTAAAAAAATTCTACCATAATCAGCTCTTAGAAGCATTAAAATGTTTGGAAGATATGGGGGAAAACAAGAAATACTTTGATATTCTTAGGGGATTTTCCAGGGAAAATATGAGTAGCACTGACCTTTTATATCAAAATTTACCCACTCGAATGGGCACTTCACTGTCAACTTAAATTTTAAGAGGACCTAAAAAGGTTGTCTAGAATATAAATTAATTCAAATGTTGCAAGTTGACATATCACTTGAATTTCATATGATACATATTTTCCTAGATCTTTGGATATAGCACTAAGCATAGGAAAATGCTGAAAGGGGTGGACTACCTAGGGACCTTGGGACTTGAAGAATAAAACGGTGATGTGTTATCTGCGTTTCCTTAATATAGCCCATATATCCCAGACAGGGCTCTTCAGAAGCATCTAACCCGGAACTGCCAATAGCCATGGATAAAAGAAAACTCCAAAAAAAGTACTTTCTTCCCTAGCTAATTGACCAGAAATGGGGTGTCCCAACAATAAAAAAAACCTTTTTGGCAATACATACACCCTCAGCCAAACATCAATAGAAAAAAATGCCCCTGCTTTTGGGATTTCAGTGAAACTTAGTGGGGAGTTGATTTTCACACCACTACCCTACTCTATGAAAGCAGGTGGTGGGACTCGAATTTCTTCCTTCCTTTTCCTAGGGTGGGGCTGAGCACGGACCTAATTTTCTAAATGTGGAGCTAATCTTCCCACTGCTGCCTGGTGGAAGCAGACAGCACTTTTGTCAGCAAGTTAATGGGGCAGTTGAAATTCTGCTTCCATTCAGCAGAACCAGGAAGTGCTCCAATTCCTCTGCCAAGATAGTGTTAGCAGGACTGAGCAGGGACCTGGTCTTTTTGCCTCTCCCTGGCTGTCTCAGGCAGTATTCTGATTCCCCAGCCAGTGTAGTGGCCGTGGGGTCCAGCAGGCAGCTGAGCCTCCTCTGTACCCAGGATTAGTGAGACTTAGGAAGGCAGTACAAATTTGGGTCACCAAGCATTTCATTGATGCCAGGCATTGATGCCAGGTGGGAGTTGAACCTCAGCTCCCCACTGGGCCTTGATGTCAGTAGGGCTCAGTAGGGAACTGACCCTCTATTTCCACCTGCATAAATGAAGCTGAATGAGGTGGTAGGATGTAGAGCTGGTTGACACTCTGCTTTCTCAAACCCTGTGCTTCCCTGGTATTAATGGGGTTTAGCAGACAGTGAGCTTCTGCCCCCATCTGTAGTAACAAAGAGGTATGCATCAGTCCTCTCCTTACCCCTTGCTGGTGTCAGAGTGTCCAGTGGGAAGTCGAGCTTATACTCCTACTCAGAGGCAATGAAGCAATGTGACTCAGTGTCCTACTTTCATCAAGATGGTGTTAACAGGGCCAAAGGTGTGGCTAAACCTCTACCCCACTTATCTGTAGTGAGGCAATGTGAGTCACTGCCCCACTTTTGTCATGATAGTGTTGGTGGGGTTCAGTTGGAAACAGAATATGCATGGCAAACTGCCTTCATGCTACACTTGAACAGGCAATTGTCTGCTAAAAAGAGGAGATGAAATAGGATCCATAGTCTCATAATGTAATATCTAAAATGTCTAGACTATAATGGAAAAATCACTTGCTATACGAACAATCAGAAAAATCACAGCATGAATAAAAAGAACCAACGAACTGATAAAACACCAAGGTGGTTGAAAGCAAGGTGAATCAGATCTTCGCATTATCTGATAAGGTTTTTAAAGCAGCCATCATCAAAATGTGTCAACAAGCAATTACATATACTCTTGAAACAAAGGAAAAAAATAGAAAACCTCAGCAAAGAAATAGAAATTATAAAAAAGAACAAAATGGAAATCATAGAACTGAAAAGTGTAGTAATTAAAATAAATTCAATAGGTGGGCTCAAGAGTACATTGGAGATCACAAGAAGATAGAATCAGTGAACTTAAGTACAGATTATTGGAATGCACTCAGTTTGAAATTTATCTCAACTCAGGGGAGAAAAGAGACCTGGCAGAAAATGAACAAAGTATCAGGGAACTTTAGGACAATAACAACTCAGGGGAGAGAAGAGACCGGGCAGAAAATAAACAAAGTATCAGGGAACTTTTAGGACAATAACAAAGATCTAACATTTGTATCATCAGAGTCTGAGAAGAACAAAAACATTTAAAGAAATAATGGTTGAAAACTCTCCAAATTTAGTGAAAGCCATATCCTATAGATTCAAAAAGCTGAGGAAACTCCAAGTAGGATAAACCTAAAAAAATGTATGCAAAGACACAACAAAATTAAACTTGTGAGAACTAAACAAAAAGAAAAGAATTAAAAGCAGACAGACAGAAACAACATATTGCATATAGAGGAATACCACCTTGAATTGCAGTAAATTTCCCACCCTAAAACTATGCAATTTAGAAGGCGTGGTGCAAGATTTTTCAAGTACTGAAAGGAAGTAAATATCAACCCAGAATTCTGCATCCAGCAAAAATATTCTTCAGGAATAAACGGGAAATAAAGACATTCTCAGGTGAAGGAAACCTACAAGAAGGAAACTTATGATACTTTGTTGCAAGTAAAAGCACCCTTAATGAAAGGCTAAAGGAAGTTCTCTAAACAGAAAGGAAATGATAACAAATGAAGGCTTGGAACTTCAAAAAGGAAAGAAAAGCATCAGAATGAGTAAGAATGGGGTAATATATTGAAGACTAGTCTTCTCATGAGTTTCATACACTATATTTGATGTTTGAAGCAAAAATTATGACATCATTAGATGTGATGCTCAATGTATCTAGAGTAAATAATTAAGATCATTATATTTAAAATTTAGGAAAGGTAAAAGGACCTAAATGGTAGTAAGATTTCTACACTTCACTCAAAGTGATAAACCATTAATAGAAGTGATAGCTTACTTACATGCATTGTAACACCTAGAGCAACCACTAAGAAAACAATATAAGATGATATGTTCAAAAGATACTGATATAATTTAGCTTTGTCCCCGCCCAAATCTCATCTTGAATTGTATCTGTCATAATTCCCATTTTTGTGGGAGGGACCTGGTGGGAGATAATTGAATCATGGCAGCGGTTTCCCCCATACTGTTCTTGTGGTAGTGAATAAGTCTCAAGATCTGATGGTTTTATAAGGAGAAACCCGTTTCACCTGGCTTCTCACTCTCTCTTTGCCTGCCGGCATCCATGTAAGATGTAACTTGCTCCTCCTTGCCTTCTGCCATGATTGTGAGGCTTCCCCAGCCACGTGGAACTGTAAGTCCAATTAAACCTCTTTCTTTTGTAAATTGCCCAGTCTCAGGTAAGTCTTTATCAGCAGCATGAAAATGGACTAATACAGATATATAAATAATCAAGATTATATCCTAAAAAATGTACAAGCAACTCATAGGAAGTTAAGAAAAAGACAAACGGAGGAACAAGAAACAGAGAAAACAAATAGAAAACAAACAATAACATGGCAGACTTAAGCCTTAACATATAAATAATTACTTTAAATGTAAATGGTCTAAATACACCAATTAAGAGAGAGAGATTGGCAAAGTGGGTTAAAAATATGATCCAACAATATCTTTCCTATAGGAAACTGACTTCAAATACAATTACATAGGTAGACTGAAAATAAATGGATGAAAAAAGATACACTATGCAAACATTAATTGTTAAAAAGGAAGAGAATATATCAATATCAGATAAAGTAGATTTCACAGAAAAGAAAATTACTGACAACGATAGACATTACATAATGATAAAAGAATCAATTCACCAAAAATATATAATGATACTGAATGCATGTGCACCAAAAAACAGGCCTCAAAATACTTGAGGTAAAAACTGATAGAGCTGAAAGGAGAAATAGATAAATCCACAGCTATAGTTGAGGACTTTAACATTCCACTCTCAGAAACTGATAAAACTACTGGACAGAAAATCAGCAAGGATATAAAAGAACTGAACAATACAACCAGCCAAAAAGGTCTAATTGACATATATACCACAATCCACCCCAAAATAGTAAAATACACTATTTTTTTTTCAAGAACCCATGAAACAGTCACTAAGATATACCATATATCGGGCCATTAACATATCTCAACAAATTAAGACTAGAAAGTGTGTGAAATTTGTTCTTTGACCATAATAGAGTCTAACTAGAAATAAATAACAAAGACATCAGGAAAATATCCATGCACTTGAATATTAAAGAACATGCTTTTAAATCTTACGTAAGTCATGGAGGAACACTCAAAGAAAATGTAAAAAATACATAAAACTCAGTGAAAATAAAAACAAAACATATCAAAATGTGGAACATTGCTAAGCCATATGAGAGGAAAATACAAAAAATGTACAACTCGAGATTTATGAAAAAGTTACATAATCAAAATTGTGTGATATTGGCATCAAAGTAGACCTTGGATTAGGTAATGGATTCTTAGATATGATACCGAAAGCCTAAGCAACAAAAGAAAAATATCAAGAAGTTGGACTTCAAGAACGTTTACTAAGCACAAGAAAAGTTTCTCAATATCATTAGTCATTAGGAAAATGCAAATCAAACCCACGATGACATACCATTTCACACCCATTAAGACGGCTGAAATAAAAAAAGAAAGAAAAATTACAAGTGTTAGTGACGATGTGGAAAAACTGGACTCCCCTTACGTTGCTGGTGGGAATGTAAAGTGGTGCAGCTGCTTTAGAAAACAGCCTGCCAATTATCCAAAAAGTTGAGCATAGGGTTACTATATGAGTCTGCAATTACACTCCTAGGTATATGCCCAAGAGATATGACAACTTATGTTCACACAAATACTTGTACATAAATGTTCATAGCAGCATTATTTGTAGTGGCCAAAAAGTGGAAACAACCCAAATGTCCATCAATAGATCAATGAATAAACGAAATGTGTATATTCCTATAACAGAATACTATTTAGCCATAAAAAGGACTGAGTACTAATATATGCTACAATGAATCTCAATAACATTATGATAAATTATAGAAGCTGAACACAAAAAGCCACACATTGTATAATTCCATTTATATAAAATGTCCAGAATAAGCAAATTTATAGAGACAGAAAGCTGATTCATGGTTTCCAGGGGCTGGAGGTGGGGAGAGTGACTGCTAATGGGTACAGGGTTTTTTTATGGGGTAATAAAAATGCCCTGAAATTGATTACAGTATGGTTGCACAACACTGTAAATATACTAAAAGCCATTGAAATGTACACTTTAATGGGTAAACTTTATGGCATGTAAATCTTGTCTCAGTAAAGCTGCTAACATAAAAGTGAATATGATATTAATGTAATAGACTAGGTTAGATGAATTTGAATACCTGAATGCCTTTTGTGCAAATATAAAAATAGTTATTTAGAACAAAAAGAGACATTTAAATTGAATTCCACTCAAGCCATATCTTCTTGAACAACTGTGCCAGGCACTGTGTTGGGTGTGCTTTGGCAGATACAGAAATGAATTAAAAAAGCAATTCTTTACCTTTGAGAACTTACACTCAGTGGAGGAAGAGACATATATAAGTATTTGTAATCTAAGATGGTCTTTTTCGCATAATATGTTTCATTTATTCAGATGTAGCACCAATACATGAAAATACAGAAGTTAATAACAAAATCGTCTTTAGGAACCTTACGTAGGTAAACCATATTTTCTTCTTGTTGAGCCTCCAGTAGCATTTATAAGAAATAGGAAATCTGAAGCCTGGTGCTAGGCTTTTTAAAATACATCTTAGTTCAAGTCAACTATCATTCTTCTTGTTCCAATCATATTCTTATTACTAATACTTAAAGACTCGCTTTTGGACAATTGTTTGTGAACTCAACCTGCTTGGCTCTTCCATATTAACTTGGAATGATCACTATTTCTAACTGTAATTCTTGACTAGGCTAATAATGTTTGGAATTAATTGACTAGCTTATCAATGTGGAAAGATCTACTTGATGTATCTGACTGGGCAATTTTCTGTGGGTTGTGTCGGCTCATTAAAAATTCTGTGAAGAATATAGTGATTGACAGAAAAGCTTCCCTAAAGCAGCATTTATTTTGGAGATACATTACTTTTTACTAGTGAACTTGGCAGCTTGACCTAATGTAAACTGATTGGAATTAACAATCACACAGCAAGCTACTAATGTCCATGTTGAGAGGGGAGTATTGTGCAATCAAACGCAGTTAATGATCTCTTGATAAATCACAAAGTTAGGACTAAACGTTATTTAATCTGAAGTAGAAGAAAAGAAAATTGTTATATCTTAGGTAAAGGTCTAGCATTGTACATTTACCTATATCTTTTCACTCTCACTCATCTAAACCTAATATTGGGAGGGCATGTGTTAGGAATTTCCCTTTCTTACAGAACATCGAACTAACTAATAAATGAATAGCAGCTATCTGAACACATTTGGTAGTAGCATAATGTGCTGTCTGCCCTAGAGTTGGCCTATCTGGGTTTAAATCCCACTTCTACCACTTAATAGCTTATTAACTTTGTCAAGCCTCTATCTTTCATTGAGTTTTAGTTTTCTCATCCACGTAATGGGAATAAAAATAGAACATTTCATGGGGGATATTTGGGATTTTTGAATAAGATGATACATACAAAGTGTTTAGCATACTGCCTGGCACTTAGAAGCACTCCATAAATATGCATCATTATTGGTATTAACCATTATTTCTATCAAAGAATGGAACTTGGACAAATAGTTGGGATATACTATCACCATAAGGATGAATGTGGGCCACAGACACAATATTGGAAACTGGATTTTTAAAGGCATCTGGGATCAAGGCAAACAGAAGAGATCACCCAAAGAATTGTAGAGGCCAAAAAGCTAATCCCACTCACAATAATCTATTTACATTTCAGTCTCACAGATACCTGCAAAGGTACTGAGTCTGAAAGGTAAGGTGTTCCACTGCCTCTTAAGGTGGAAATGGTAACATTTCCTTGTTAACCCCAATTTAACTATGCTCTTAATTACATCTCTATTAGACAATCAGAAAGCAGATGAGCTTGTTATGTTTATTTCTCTTTAACAAACTGCTCTCAAATTTAGTGTCTTAAAACAACCATTTCTTTGCTCACTCTTTTGTGGGTCAGGAATTCAGAAAGGGCTTGACTAGTGGAATTTCTCTGATCACATGGTTTCAGCTAGGAAGGTTTGTCACAGGATAGGTTAGTCATTCACATACTTAGCGCCTTGAGACTCCTTGCCTGTCCCTCTCTTCACATGAATCTCATTTTCCATAGCCTTTCCAGGTTGGTTTGTGGTTCCTGATGGCTTGGTGGTCTCAAGGTAGTTGGACTCCTTACAAGGGAGCTGGCTTGCCCCAGAGTGAGGTTCCAAGAGGCAGGAAGTAGATATTGTCAGTCTTTTAAGCATGGGCCCAGACCCTGACACAGTGTCACTTTTGCAATTTTTTTTTTTTTTTTTTTTTGAGACAGAGTCTTGATCTGTCACCCAGGCTGGAGTGCAGTGGCACCATCTCGGCTCACTGCAAACTGCGCCTCCCAGGTTCACACCATTCTCCTGCCTCAGCCTCTCGAGTAGCTGGGACTACAGGCGCCCACCACCACGCCCGGCTAATTTTTTGTATTTTTAGTAGAGACGGGGTTTCACTGTGTTAGCCAGGATGGTCTCGATCTCCTGACCTCGTGATCCGACTGCCTCAGCCTCCCAAAGTGCTGGGATTATAGGTGTGAGCCACCGCGCCCGGCCACTTTTGCAATTTTCTATTGTTCAAAGCAGTTAAGAGCTTACCCAGATTCAAGGAAAGGTGATATAGACCCCACCTCTCAATGGGAGACGACCAGAGATTTTGTAGCCATTTTTGATTTACCACAGAGCTACATGCCTATATGAATAAAGTTTTTCTTAGCACTATCATTTGTTTGTTTGCTCATTAATGAAGCATTGGCCTATGGAATATAAAAATATCATGGAATTATTTATAAAATTAAAGTTGACATCAAATGTCATATTATATTTTGTAGATGCTGAAAGTCTCCTTTGCTTTTGAGTTAATTTAGTAGCTTTTTAAATTCCATTCGAGTGCTCTATGTACATAGATAAAAATTTTGAATGAAATGGAGACATACAAAGCCATTTGCAATTATATTCTCAATAGAGCTCTCAGTTTCATAATATAAAATAGGTCAGAAGTAATAGAGTAAATTCATTAAAACAGAAAAATTTGTGAAAGCAAAAAAAATTCTATAGCTAAAATATATGTTCCTAATGCAGGTTGTTATAATAGGCTCATTATTTAAGAATAATTATCTGCATCCAGGGAACACTCTTTTTAAGTCATATTGTTATTAACATAAAAATTGCTATCCACCTAATTTATTCCTGTTACATGTCTTCTATTTCCACTTGAATCAGAAAGCGTTCCATGTAGTTTTTGCTAATAAGAATTGTTCCAAGTATGAGAATTTTTTCTATTTTCCGTATTCCTAAATTTTACAATGCTATTAGCCTGTCTGCCTAATGTCACTTAAGTATGCGGCTGACAGAGAACCTCTCAAAATCCCTGGCCTTACAATAAAAGTTACCAAAGCTTCATCTTGTTTCCCTTTTGCTTATGCAGATGAACATGAGTGATATCTGGCCTAATGTAAGTGATTGTATCCTTTACATGTGATCGGTGTAAAGGATACAGTCATTTTGAAAGTTTGGTCATGTATTTTCATATACAGAAAGTGGTGATCAAATGTGCATGACGAGGTTGTTTACCAGAGTTGAGGAGGCCTAGGAGCAAGATAATGAACAACTGGGGATCTGACTTGATGCATCATAATGAGTCTGATATTATCAAATTTAGAAAAATGTTTCTCTGCCTCAGTGTGTTTTTGGACTGCATTAATTCTGGAAACTGTCTTTGTGGGGTGTGTGTGTGTGTGGTTGCTGACTGGGTACCTGGGGAGAATGAGAAGGCATGGTTTTATTTCATACTGAGAATTTGAAGCTGAACTTATCTTGGATTGCTCAGTTTGGGAAAGACTAACGCTTATTCAAGGAGTGTGTTGTCTTAAAAGGGTGAGGAATAGCATGGGGGAGCCTCTCTTGAAGGAATGGAGGGATAGGTGGCACGGGACACAGGGCAGTTAGTTTGCAAAATAAGGTCTGTTCTAATGGGGCATTTCCTTAAATAATTACATTTTGTCATTTTTCTTTTCCCTTGCTGTGTGAATGGCATAGTTCAAGAAGAGTTTTGACTTGTTTTACTCTGATGTTACCCCCTAGACTTAACAATATAGCAGGCATCAAAAAGAGTGTCACCATCACCACACTATTCTTTGGTGAGACCAGGGTGAAAACAGCAGTATAGAATTGAGGAAGACAATCATGCTGAATTTCTATGTAGCATCCTGGTGTGTGAGGCCAGAATAATGGATCCTCAGAGATGTCCATGTCTTAATCACCTAAACCTGTGACTATTTTATGTTATATGGCAAAAAGAACTTTGCAGATGTGATTAAGAATATTGAGGTGGGGAGATTATCCTGGATTATCTAGGTTGGCCCTAAATGTATTCACAAGGGTTATTATAAGAGGGAGGCAAGAAAGCCAAAATCAGAGAGAGATTTGAAGATGCTATACTGCTGGCTTTGAAGATGGATGAAGGGGCTCTGAACCAAGGAAAGCAGGTGACTTCTAGAAGCTGGAAAAGGCAAGGGTATCTATCCTCTGTAGAACTTTCATAAGGAATATCATGCTGCTGACACTTTCTAGCCTCATAAAATGCATTTTGCACTTGCGACCTCCAAATCTATAAGATAATACAGTTGTGTTGTGTTAAAACATTAAGCTTGTGTTAGTTTGTTACAGCAGCAATAAGAAACTTATATACCTGGCAATGGCAAGGAAGATCATAGGTGTGGAACAGCAGATGGCAACTGAACGGTTCCTGGGTGGAACTAACAGGTCCATTATTCCACAAATATACCAGAGGGGGATTTACTTCAAAGTTTAAGATGCCAACCTTGGGCATATTACTTATTATAGAAACCCAAGGCAGAGGGGTGGGAATATAAAATGATATAGCCTTTATGGAGGGTGATTTGTCAGGAAAGAACAAAATTTCATGTGCAATTCTATTTTTTGGTGTCTTCCCTAGAGAAACCTTTGCACATGAGTACATGGCTGCATCTAACTGGCTGCGTCTAAAAGGACAACCAATTTATAAGTAAAAATATGGCAACAACTTAAGTTCCTACCAACAGAGGACGACTAATAATGACATATTCATGTTATGGAATACTATGAGACAGTTAAAAAAAGAAAGTGGATCCTAATGGCCTGGCATGCAAAACTCTACAAGGACTGTATCGTTCAGTGAAGAAAAGATGAAAAAATTGTATCTAGAACATGACATTAATGTAAAAATACTTACATATTTTATGGATATTGTAGAAGCAAAAATTGACATTTTGCTTTGCTTCCAACATCACTAAGCAATTCATTACCATAATAAATGATAATAAGGATAATAAGAGGGTCACCCTTACCTAAAATTTCCCCCAAGATACTATTATCCTGGAGAGTGGAACAAAATCTTGAATATTTTCTATAAACTTGAATTCCTAACAAAATTAATGTTTTGCTATGCTGATATCTGAAGATATGTTGTGTGACCTTTGTTAATATCACCATCTTGTGAAAACTTTGGTATATTCCATCATTCTCAGGTTCATGTAAACTGGGTAACCTTGGCAATTCTGTCATTTTTTCTTTAGATACTTGTGTTTGCCATGACAGCCTTTCTGAACTATGACTTCCTTGCACTCGTTGCACATAAACTTTTTCTTTCCTTTTTCAAACGATTGTGACTCTGGATCTTCCTCTGATATTGCATCAGCATGTTTTTGAATGTGTACAAAATATCAAGAAGTGCACATACTAAAGTAATAACAATAGAGTAGTCAAATGAGATTTGAGTCTTTTTGCCATATTTCATTTTTATTAGGTGAATTTATTTAATTAAAATGAATTTTTATAAAGATTTAAGAAAGATTTTTAAATATATTTTAAAATTTTAATATTAACATTTAAAATAGTAATATTTTAAAATGTTAAAAATATATACATACTTTTGAAAACTATGTATGTCGAGCTGACTAATGCTGTTATTTTCTTCCCGAGGCAAAAAATTGCAACAGAGCTAATGGGTTTTACTCTGTAGTTTCAGTTCCCTCTTCATTTCCATTTCCAAAGAGCAGGAATTAGAGAAGAGAGAGACACAATTTTCTAAGGGAGAAATTTGTCGAATTTGAATTTTCAAAGGAAACTGCTAATTTGATGGGAGGAGCCCCATTGCCACTGGTAGATGGAATGAGAATGGAGAAAACCCAAGTGAGTGCCCAAAAAAGGTGTTCTTAAAGCACTTGCCTGACATGTACCAACTCCAGTTTAGCCCCCATCTCCTGTTAATTAATCTAAGCTATGTATGTTTTATGTAAAGTCCCTTGATAAACTTCCTCTAGACCATTGCACAAACTACTGATGTCTGTATTACAGAAATGATTTAAGTAGTGATTTCCAAACCAAAGCATTATTAAAGATCAATCATCTATACAATGTATATTCACTCCTGTAGACTTAAAGGAGAGAGAAAGGTTTCCCTGCTATTTCCTGGCTACGTGAAGAATTTAGACAAATTCCTTAACAGTTCTCTGCTTCATAATCCTTATCTGTAAAAGTTTATGCTTCTCTTAATGGTTTCTGGGAGGACTAAATGAGGTAGTGTGCTTAAAGCATCTATCAGGAGTCACTTAGCACATCACTGGAGGGCCTTAAATGTTAGTCTCCTTTCTGTTTCCACCAAATCAGTTAAAGGTTTTATTTACTTATTTATTTATTTATTTATTTATTTATTTATTTATTTATCTATTTATTTTTAAGACGGAGTCTCGCTCTGTCGCCCAGGCTGGAGTGGAATGGAGCGATCTGGGCTCACTGCAAGCTCCGCCTCCCGGGTTCACGTCATTCTCCTGCCTCAGCCTCCCGAGTAGCTGGGACTACAGGCGCCCGCCACCATGCCCGGCTAATTTTTTTGTATTTTTAGTAGAGACGGGGTTTCACCATGTTAGCCAGGACGGTCTCGATCTCCTGACCTCGTGATCCGCCCGCCTCGGCCTTCCAAAGTGCTGGGATTACAGGTGTGAGCCACCACGCCCTGCCAGTTAAAGGTTTTATCTGTAAAACCAACTGTAGATAGACAAGCCCAAACCTCTCATATTACAGATGTGGAAACTGAAGTGCAGAGAGGTTAAATGACTCTGCTAAGGCCAAGGCAACAGTGGCAGAGCCAGTAAAAGAACCCAGTTTTCATAATTAAATATGTCACAATATGAATAGTCTAATTGTTTTGATGTGATTATTTATTTTGTTTCCTTCACTTTCTTTCCAAAAAGAAGACATCCAGATCCTTTCCCAGTTCCCATGGTTTCTAAGATGGTATTGAGGACAAAAACCTACCCCATGCTGCCTTGCTCCCACTCCACAATGAGTTGATCGTGCTGTGGGTCTAATAAGCTATTAAGGTCTATTGTTGAAGATAAAAGAAGGCAAGTACCAATGGAGGAAGAAAGGATTTCTCCTAGCCAGGAGTTCTCAACCTGGGCTGACCACTGGAATAACCTTGGAGGGTTTAAAACTTTCTGATACTTGAGTAGCACTATCCACCATCCAGATATTCTTATTTGATTAGTCTGGGTGGGCCCCTGGCATTGAATCATCTCAGGTAGTTCTACTTAAATTAAAACAAAAATTCTTTAATTAAAAAATTTTTGAAACAGGCTTCTGCCTTGTCACCCAGGCTGGAGTGCAGTAGCATGATCATAGCACACTGCAGCCTTGACCTCCCAGGCTCAAGTGATTGCTCCACCACAGCCTCCAGAGTACCTGGGACTACAGGTGTGCACCACCATGCCTGGCTACTTTTTTTTTTTTTTTTTTTTTTTGAGACGGAGTCTCGCTCTGTTGCCCAGGCTGGAGTGCAGTGGCACCATCACGGCTCACTGCAAGCTCCGCCTCCCGGGTTCACGCCATTCTCCTGCCTCAGCCTCTGGAGTAGCTGGGACTACAGGCGTCCGCCACCACGCCTGGCTAATTTTTTGTATTTTTAGTAGAGACGGGGTTTCACCGTGTTAGCCAGGATGGTCTCAATCTCCTGACTTCGTGATCTGCCTGCCTCAGCCTCCCAAAGTGCTGGGATTACAGGCGTGAGCCACTGCGCCCGGCCCTGGCTAATTTTTTTTTTTTTTTTTTTTTTTTTTTTTTGTCAACATGGGGCCTCCCTATATTGCCCAGGCTGGTCTCAAACTCCTGGGCTCAAGAGATCCTCCCACCTTAGCCTCCCAAAATGTTGGGATTACAGGCATGAGCCACCATACTTGGACAGCCCAGGTGAGTTTAATG
The DNA here is from genome assembly GCF_000001405.40 of Homo sapiens. NCBI lineage: Eukaryota > Metazoa > Chordata > Mammalia > Primates > Hominidae > Homo > Homo sapiens. The sequence goes on along the minus strand of NC_000023.11, from coordinate 28,483,263 downwards.
GTTAACTCAAAGTTGAGAATCATCACTTTATTTTATTCCCATTTGCCCATCATTATATCTGGAGCAAAAAATAATTAAATCTTAAAATTTACCTACTGGTAGGTTTGCATTCAAGGTTTCTGAAATTCCAAGTAGGATGTACCAACCCACCAACTGAACATAGCATTTTAGGTTTCCCACATGGTACATGACAGCTATTATGTTAGTCAATCTAAGCTGCATAGATGATTTCATCATTTTTGATACCTTATTTTGGTCATTGTCAACTTTTTTTTTTTTTTTGAGGCGGAGTCTCACTCTGTCCTCAGGCTGGAATGCAGTGGCGTGATCTTGTCTCACTGCAACCTCCGCCTCCAGGGTTCAAGTGATTCTCCTGCCTCAGCCTCCCGAGTAGCTGGGACTACAGGCGCCCGCCACCACACCCAGCTAATTTTTTGTATTTTTAGCAGAGACGGGATTTCACCATGTTGGCCAGGATGGTTGCGATCTCTTGAACTTGTGATCCGCCCGCCTCGGCCTCCCAAAGTGCTGGGATTACAGGCGTGAGCCACCACACCCGGCCCATTGTCAACATTTTTGAAAGCCCATTTTTGAATTAAAAACACTACATAAAGTCAGGAAACAACAGATGCTGGAGAGGATGTGGAGAAATAGGAACACTTTTACACTGTTGGTAGGACTGTAAATTAGTTCAACCATTGTGGAAGTCAGTGTGGTGATTCCTCAAGGATCTAGAATTAGAAATACCATTTGACCCAGTGATCACATTACTGGGTATGTACCCAAAGGATTATAAATCATACTACTATAAAGTCACATGCACACATATGTTTATTGCGGCACTATTCACAATAGCAAAGACTTGGAACCAACCCAAATGTCCATCAATGATAGACTGGATTAAGAAAATGTGGCACATATACACCATGGAATACTATGCAGCCATAAAAAAGGATGAGTTCATGTCCTTTGCAGGGACATGGATGAAGCTGGAAACCATCATTCTCAGCAAACTATCACAAGGACAGAAAACTAAACACCGCATGTTCTCACTCATAGGTGGGAACTGAACAATGAGAACACTTGGACACAGGGCGGGGAACATCACACACCAGGGCCTGTTGTGGGGGTGGGGGCTGGAGGAGGGATAGCATTAGGAGAAATACCTAATGTAAATGACGAGGTGATGGTTGCAGCAAACCAACATGACACATGTATACCTATGTAACAAACCTGCATGTTGTGCACATGTACCCTAGAACTTAAAGTGTAATAATATAAAAAAAAACTACAAAAAGTGACATTAAATAAAAAGGCTAAATAAAGGCACACACTAAATTTGAATCCAAACTTTAAAAAAAAATCTACCTATGTGAAAATGATAATACAACCACCCTGGGAACCAAAGAAAGCAATTATTTATTTTAAGACAGTGTCTCACTCTGTCACCCAGGCTGGAGTGCATTGGCAGGATCTCAGCTCACTGCAACCTCCATCTCCTGGGTTCAAGTGATTCTTGTGCCTCAGTTTCCCAGGTAGCTGGGATTACAGGCACGTGCCACCAAGCGCAGCTAACTTTTGTACTTTTTTTTAGTGGAGATGGCATCTCGGCCTGTTGGCCAGGCTGGTCTAGAAATCCTGACCTCAGGTGATCTGCCCGCCTCGCCCTCCCAAAGTGTTGGGATTACAGGTGTGAGCCACCACACTCAGCCAATTATTTAAGTATTTTTTGATGAAAGCCTCTGTACAAACTCAGTGCTATATATTCTAAGAACAAGAAGAATGGCAAAATATCTTGAACTTACTATGTTTATTGTTAATAGTGGTTTTGGTGTAGTAAATCGGCAACTTTTTTGTGTTTGTTGTAAGATAGAGAAAGTGAGTAATTATATAGATGTTAGGGGAACCAGGCCTATCAATGTGGGAAAAGGAAGAATGATACAACTATGAAGTAGAGAAGAGTGAGAAAAACACTGCAACATTACATTGAAAAAAGAGTTATCAGTCTGAACCATGATTTTTTAAAAATCCGAGCACTGCTCATTGAAAAGGTTTAGAAGCAACGTCATATTCTAAGAATGCTGAGCATGCTTTGTTGTTTCTAAATAACTTTCCTCACTAAGAGGAACTGAGACTCCATGGAGAAGTTCTGGACTCTCAGTCTGGAGCAGGTGAGGCATAAGGTGAAACTGAATCAGCTCATTGGGCTGGAAAGCAAGAACGTGATTTAAAAAGCACTGGGACATTTCAAAAGGAACATAGAATTTGAACATATATTTCTCCAAAGCAGATATACAAATGGCCAATAAGGACCTGAAAAGATGCTCAACATTATTAATCATCAAGGAAATGCAAACCAAAAACATAATGAGATACCACTTCATACACACTAGGATGGCTACAATTTAAACAACAGAAAATAAAACGTTTTGGCAAGGATGTGTAGAAATTGAAATTGTTGTATATTGCTGGTGGGATTATAAAATGGTGCAGCTGCTTTGGAAAACATTCTGGTAGTTCCCCAAAAAGTTAAACAAAGAGCTACCATATGACCCAAGAATTCAACTGAGGCATATAACCAAGAGAATTATAAACAAATGTGCACACAAAACTGTGTACAGGAATGTTCATAGCAACATTATTCACAATAGTCAGAAAAGGAAACAACCCAAATGTTCATCAGCAGACGATTAGATAAACAAAACTATGAGATACCCTTACAATGTAACATGACTCAGCCATAAGTATTGATACATGGTACAACCAGGATACACCTTGAAAACATTATGCTTAGTGAAAGAAGCCAAACATAAAATGACACATATTGTATGAATCTATTTATAGGAAATATCCTGAATAGGCAAACCCACAGAAATGAAAAATAGATTAGTGTTTGCCAGGGAATGGGGTGAATGGTTAATAAAGAGTGACAATTTTTTGTTTGTTTTGTTTTGTTTGAGACAGAGTCTCGCTCTGTTGCCCAGGCTGGAGGGCAGTAGTGAGGTCTCGGCTCACTACAGCCTAAACCTCCCAGGTTCAAGCTATTCTCCTGCCTCAGCCTCCTGAGTAGCTGGGATTACAGGCACCCACCACCACACCTGGCTAATTTTTGTATTATTGGTAGAGACAGGGTTTTTACCATGTTGGCCAGGCTGGTCTTGAACTCCTGACCTCTCCTATTTAATGAATAGGAAGTTTCTTTCTAAGGTGATGAAAATACTCTGTAGTTAGGTAGTGGTGATTGTTGCTCAACATTGTGAATATACTAAAACTCACTAACTTGTACAATGTAAAATAGATAAAATGCACATTCTTGGCCAGGCGCGGTGGTTCATGCCTGTAATCCCAGCACTTTGGGAGGCAGAGGCAGGCGGATCACAAGGTCAGGAGATCGAGACCATCCTGGCTAACACGGTGAAACCCCGTCTCTACTAAAAATACAAAAAATTAGCCGGGCATGGTGGTATGCACCTGTAGTCCCGGCTACTCAGGAGTCTGAGGCAAGAGAATCTCTTGAACCCAGGAGGAGGAGGTTGCAGTGAGCCGACATGGTGCCACCGCACTCCAGCCTGGGCAACAGAGCAAGACACCATCTCAAAAAAAAAAAAAAAAGAAAAAAATTGCACACTCTTCTCAACTGTGCATTGAACATCCTCCAGGAAAGAGCATATGTTAAACCACAAAACAAATCTTAAAAAACTTAAGAAGATTGAAATAATATAAAGTATTTTCTGACCATGATGGTATAAAACAATCAATAACAGAAAGAACTTCAGAAAATGTATAAATACATGGAAATTAAACAATATGTTCCTGAACAATCAATGGGTCAATGAAGAAGTTAAAGGAAAAATTAAAAGAATTGTTTTGGACAAGCATGGAAATACAACACACCAAAACCTATGGGACACAGCAAAAGCAGTTCCAAGGGGGAAGTTTATAGGAATAATTGCCTACATTAAAAAAGAAGAAATATCTCAATAAACCACTTAATGGTGCACCTCGACAAACTGGGAAAACAAGAATAAAGTAGCCTAACGTTAGCAGAAAGAAGGAAATCATAAAGATCAGAGTAGAAATAAATGAAATAAAGACTAGAAAAACAATAGAAAAGATCAAAAAATTGAATTATTATTTTGGAAAGATAGAAATATTGACAAACCATTAGCTAGACCAAGAAAAAAGAGAAGAGTGAAATAGATAAAATCAAAAATGAAAAGAGAGACATTACAAGGGATACAACAGAAAAACAAAATATCAGAAGAGACTATTAGTTACAATTATATGCCAACAAATTGGATAACTTAGAAGAAATGGTTAAATTTCTTGCCACACACAACCTACTAAAATTGAATTATGAATAGAAAATCTCAACCGACCAATAATGAGTTAGGAAGACTACTCAGTAATAAAAAGTCTCCTATCAAAGAAAAGCCCAGGACCTGATGGCTTCACTGCTAAATTCCAGCAAACATTTTAAAAAGAACTAAAATTAATGCTTCCCAAATTCCTCCAAAGATTTGAAGAGGAGGAACACTTCCAAACCCATTTTATGAGACCAGCATTAATCTGATACCAAAGTAAGGCAAGAACATTGCAATAAAACTACAGGCCAATATCCATGATAAACATAGGTGTAAAAATCCTCAAAAAATATCAGCAAACTGAATTTAACAGCACATGAAAAAGATTATTGGCCATGATCAAGTGAGATTCAGCCCAGGGATGCAAGGATGATTCACATATGCAAATCAATAAGTGTAATACATCAGCTTAACAGAATGAAGGACAGAAACCATATGATCATTTCAATAGATGTAGAAAGAACATTTGATAAAATTCAACATCCTTTCATGATAAAAACTCTCAACAAATTACGTATAGAAGAAATGTACCGCAACATAATAAATGCCACATATAAACACAGCTAACATTATACTAAATGGGGAATAGTTGAAAACTTTACTTTTAAGATCCAGAACAAGACAGATGCTCACTTTTGCCACTTCCATTCAACATAGTACTGGAAGACACAGCTACAGCAATTAGGCAAGAGAAAGAAATAAAATACATCAAAGGCTGAGTATGGTGGCTCATGCCTGTAATCCCAGCACTTTGGGAGGCCAAGGTGGGCAGATTGCTTGAGCCCAGGAATTTGAGACCAGCCTGGGCAACATGGCAAAGACCGTTTCTACAAAACAGAAAAAATAGCTGGGTGTGGTGGCGTGCACCTGTGGTCTCAGCTATTTGGGAGATTGAGGTGGGTGGGTTGCTTGAGCCCAGAACGTCAAGGTTACAGTGAGCCATGATTGCACCACTGCACTCTAGCCTGAGTGACAGAGTGAGGCTCTGTAAGAAAAATAAAATAAAATAAAATAGATCCAAAACGGAAAGGAATATGTTAAATTGTCTGTGTTTGCAGATGATAATCTTTCATACAGAAAATTCTAAAGACTCCACCAAAAAACTGTAATAACTAACAAATGAATTCAATAAAGTTGCAGGACACAAATCAACACACAAAAATCAGGAGTATTTCTATACACTAACAGTAAACTATCTGAATAAGAAATCAAGGAAGCAATCTCATTACAACAGCTATAAAAGAATACTTAGGAATAAATCTGTTCAAAGGGGTAAAAATCTTTACATAAAGACTATAAAACATCAATGGAATCAAACTGAAGAAGACACGTGTAATTGGAAAGGTATCTCATGTTCATGGAGATTCAACGCAATTGTATCAAAATACCAATGATATTCTTCACAAAAATAGAAAAAAATTCTAAAATTCATTTAGAACTACAAAAGACTCAGAATAGCCAAAGTAATTTGGAGAAAAAAAGAACAAAGTTAAAGGCATCACATTTCTTGACTTCAAAATATACTACAAAGCAAAATGTACTACACAACAGCATGGTATTGGCATAAAAACAGACAAATAGACCAATGAAACAGAATAGAGAACAAAGAAATGAAACCACACATTTACATTTAAATGATCTTTGACAAAGATGTCAAGAACACACAATGGGGAAAGGACAGTCTCTTTAATAAACGTTATTGAGAAAACTGGATATTCACATACAAAAGAATGAAATTAGACAATTACCTCGCATCACATACAAAAATTAACTCAAAATGAATTAAAGACTTAAAATGTAAGACCTCAAACTGTGAAACAACTAGAAGGAAAAATAAGCGAAAATCTCCCTGACATTGGCCTGGGAAATGACTTTTTGGATATAACCCCAAAAGCACAGGCAACAAAAGCAAAATAGACAAATGGCACTTTATCAACTTAAAAGCTTCTTCACAGCAAAGGAAATAACAGAGTGAAGTAACAATCTACAGAATGGAAGAAAATATTTGCAAACTTTATCTCTGATAAAGGCTTAATATGAAAAATATATAAAAAATTCAAATGATTCAATAGCAAGAAAACAAATAATCTAATTAAAAAGGGCAAAGGAGGCCGGGCGCGGTGGCTCACGCCTGTAATCCCAGCACTTTGGGAGGCTGAGGTGGGCAGATCACTTGAGGTCAGGAGTTCAAGACCAGCCTGGCCAATATGGTGAAACCTCCCCCCCGTCAACCCGCTGTCTTTGCTAAAAATACAAAAATCAGCTGGGCATGGTGGCATGCACCTGTAGGCCCAGCTACGCGGGAGGCTGGGGCAGGAGAATCACTTGAACCTGGGAGGTGGAGGTTGCAGTGAGCCGAGATCAATGCCATTGCACTCCAGCCTGGGTGTGGCAGCAAAACTCCATCTCAAAAATAAATAAATAAAAATAAAAGTAAAACAAAGGGCAAAAGACTTGAATAGATATTTCTCAAAAAATACATACATATAGTCAACAGGTAAATGAAAACATGGTCAACATTTCTAATCATCAGAGAAATACAAACCAAACCCACAATGAGATATCATCAAACCTCAATTATAATAGCTATTGTCAAAAAGACAAACTATAACAAGGGTTGGAGATGATGTGGAGAAATGAGAACCCTTAAACACTGCTGATGGGAATGTAAATTAGTACAGCCATTATAGACCACTGTATGGTTGTTCCTCAAAAAACTGGATCACACTACTGGATAGTACTACTCTATGATCCAGCAATCCTACAACTGGGTATATATCCACAGAAAATGAAATCAGTATCTCAGAGGTATCTGTATCTTCATTCTTGTTGCAACATTATTCATAATAACCAAGATATGAAATCAATCTGAGTATCCATTAACAGATGAATGAATAAAAATATAATACATAAATGTATACACAATGGAATATTTATCCTTAAAAAAGAAGGAAGTTCTGTCATTTGTGACAACATGGATGAACCTGGAGGTCATTATATTAAGTGAAATAAGCCAGACACAGAAAAACAAATACCACATGATTTCACTCATGTGAAATGTAAAAATGTTGATCTCATAGAAGTGGAGAGTAGAATGGTTGTTACCAAGGGCTGGGGTGATTGGAGGGTGGGAGTTGAGGAGACATTGGTCAAAGGATACAAATTTCAGTTAGATAGGAGGAATAAGTTCATGAGATCTATTGTACAACATGATGACTATAGTTAACAAGACTATATTCTAACTATATTTTTCAACACATATGTATTCTTGAAAAATGTTAATAGAGTGGCTGTAAAGGGTTCACACCACAAAAATAATAACTGTGTGAGGTAATGCATATTTTAATTAGCTAGACTGGGTCATTCTGCAGTGTTTACATACTTCAAAGCATCATGTTGTACACAATAAATACATGCAATTTTTATCTGTCAACTAAAAGTAATAAAGAAATAAAATAGTTAAAATGGTGAATTTTAGGTTATATGAACTTTATCTCAATGAAAAGTGCCTACAAAAGAAGAGCAAGTGTCTTAGAATCAACAGATGTGAGTTCATATCCACATTTTGCTGTGTCCCAGATGTGTGAATGTGCGTCGAGTCCTCCACTTCTCTGTGTTTCCTGATCTTTAATATGGCCATTAATAAGCTAAATTTTTTTCTTTTATTTATTAACTTTTAAGTTCAGGCGTACATGTGCAGGTTTGTTATACAGGTAGGTTGTATATCACGGGGGTTTGTTGTACAGATTATTTTGTCACCCAGGTAATAAGCACAGTACCAGATAGGCAGTTTTTGATCCTTTCTCTCCTCCCATCCTTCATCCTCAAGTAGGCCCTGGTGTCTGTTGTTCCCTTCCTTGTGTCCATGTGTCCTCAATATTTAACTCCTGCTTATATGTGAGAACATGTGGTATTTGGCTTTCTGTTCCTGCATTAATTCTCTTAGGATAATGGCCTTCAGCTCCATCCACGTTGCTGCAAAGGACATGATATCATAATTTTTTATGGCTGTATAGTATTCCATGGTGTATATGTACCACATTTTCTTTATCCAGTCTACCGCTGATGAACATTTAGGTTGATTCCATGTGTTTACTATTGTGAATAGTGCTATGATGAGCATACGTGTGCATGTGTCTTTATGGTAGAATGATTTATATTGTTTTTGGTATATACTCAATAATGGGATGCTGGATCAAATGATACTTCTGTTTTAAATTCTTTGAAAAATTGCCACGCTGCTTTCCACAGTGGCTGAACTAATTTATATTTTCACCAGCAGTGTATAAGCGTTCTTCTTTTCTCCACAACCTCACCAGCATCTGTTATTTTTTGACTTTTTAATAGTAGCCATTCTGATTTGTCTGAAGAGATGATATCTCGTGGCTTTGACTTCCATTTCTTCAATGATTAGTGATTTGAGCATTTTGTTCATATGCTTGTTGGCTGCGTATATGTCTTCTTTCGAAAATTGTCTGTTCATGTCCTTTGCTCACTTTTAAAATGAGGTTGTTTGGTTTTTGCTTCTTAATGTAAGTTCCTTATAGGTTCTGGATATTAGTATTTTGTCAGATGCATAGTTCACAAATATGTTCTCATGTTCTGTAGGTTGTCTGTTTACTCTGTTGATAGTTTCTCTTGCTGTACAGGAGCTATTTAGTTTAATCTGGTCCCACTTGTCAATTTTTGTTTTTGTTGCAATTGCTTTTGGAGTCTGTCACGAAGTCTTTGCCAGGGCCTATGTCCAGAATGATATTACCTAGGTTGTCTTCCAGGGTTTTTATAGTTTTGGATTTTACATTTAAGCCTTTAATCCATCTTGAGTTGATTTTTGTATATGGTATAAGGAAGTGATCCAGTTTCAATCTTCTGTATATGGCTAGCCAAGTAACCCAGCACCATTTATTAAATAGGGAGTCCTTTCCCCATTGCTTGTTATTGTCTACTTTGTAAAAGATCAGATGGGGATGGGTGTAGGTGTGCAGCGTTATTACTGGGCTCTCTATTGTGTTCCATTGGTCAATGTGTCTGTTTTTGTACTACTACCATGCTGTTTTGGTTACTGTAGCCTTGTAGTGTAGTTTAAAGGTGGGTAATGTGATGTCCTCAGCTTCTTCTTCTTCTTCTTCTTCTTCTTATTCTTCTTTTGCTTAGGATTGCCTTGGCTATTTGGGCTCTTTTTAGGTTCCACATAATTTTTAAAATAGTTTTTTCCCCTAATTCTGTGAAGAATGTCATTAGTACCTTCATAGGAATAGCACTGAATCTGTAATTTGCTTTAGGCAGTATGGTCATTTTAACAATATTGATTCTTCCTATCCATGAGCACAGAATGAATTTCCATTTGTTTCTATCATCTCTGATTTCTTTGAGCAGTGTTTTGTAATTCTCATTATAGAGATCTTTCACCTCCCTGGTTAGCTGTACTCCTAGCTATTTTATTCTTTTTGTGGCTATTGTGAATGGTGTTGCATTCTTGATTTGACTCTTGGCTTAGATGTTGTTGGTGTATAGGAATGCTACTGATTTTTGTACATTGATTTTGCATCCTGAAACATTGCTGAAGTTGTTATCAGATCTAGGAGATTTAGGACAGAAACTATGGGATTTTATAGGTATAGAATCATATCATCTGCAAACAGAGATGGTTTGACTCCCTCTGTTCCTATTTGGATGCCTTTCTTTTCTTTCACTTCTCTAATTGCTCTGGCTAGGACTTCCAGTACTGTATTGAATAGGAATGGTGACAGAGGGCATCCTTGTCTTGTTCCAGTGTTCAAAAGGAATTCTTTCAGCTTTTGTCTATTCAGTGTGATGTTGGCTCTGTGTTTTTCACAGATGGCTCCTATTATTTTGAAGTTTAACTCAAATCTGGGGAGACACATTGCAAGGAGCCCAGATATAACTTTCTTGGGTGCTTATAATATTTGAATATCCCACATTTCCATTGCAACCTACTTCTCAAAAGATAAACTCTCTCCATCCCTTACTTGGACATGCTGCAGGATTAGCACAGTAGCTCGGTACATTTTTGAACACATGTGCTCTCTCTGTTCCCATGTCACCACATCCTGGTTCTGTTTTATGCTGTAATAAAGAAAATGCCGTCATTTTTCTGATTTCTTTTTCTCTGGCCAGCCTTTAAGTTTGGAAGATCTTGTTTGTAATCTATCTGAGGACCACCTTGTCTTTCAGGCCAGGTAGATTCTCATAGTATATTCATCCATATTTTATTTTCAACCATGATATATAAGCCAACAGCTCCCATACAGTTCACCTCTGAGATCTGGCTCTAAGTGTGCTATTGACTGGTAGATTTCTTCAACTGCATATGACAAGTCAGAACCTCAAACTCAAGGTATAACAAATGCAAATCATTCTCTTTACATTCTCCCCACAGCTTGAACCTTTTACCCAATGTTTGAACCTCGCTTGATATAGTTTGGCTCTGTGTCTCCACCCAAATCTCATCTTGTAGCTCCCATAATTCCCACATATTGTGGGAGTGACCTGGTGGGAGATGATTGAATCATGGGGGCGGGTCTTTCCCATGCTGTTCTCGTGATAATGAATGGGTCTCATGAGATCTGATGGTTTTAAAAATGGGAGTTTCTCTGCACAAGCTCTCTCTTTGCCTGCTGCCATCCACTTAAGTGACTTGCTCCTCTTTGCCTTCTGCCGTAATTGTGAGGTGTCCCTGGCCATGTGGAACTGTGAGTCCAATAAACCTCAGGCCCAGTCTCGGGTATGTCTTTATCAGCAGTGTGAAAACGGAATAACACATCATTTAACAAAAATCAATATCTTAAATAACTTCCTACATAGAATCTGGGAAATTATCTCAGATTCCTATGAATCAACATGGTATTCTATCAGTGAAGTTTGCATAGTTTTCATGTAGGATGTAAAATATGTCCATCTCTACTTACAACTACCAAATAAATATTTACTTAAGTATTAGAAAGACATTCTAAGATACAGGTTAAAAAAAATCAGACTCTGAAATCAAATAGAAATACAGGTTTTATCCCTTTAGAGCCATGTGATTTTGTCCTGTTACTAAACCTACCTGAATTTCAGTTTTCTCACCAACAAAATAGGATAACTGAAACCTTACACTATTTTGGTTAGGAATAAATGAGCTAATACATACAAAACTATTAGCATAGCATGATTCAGGTACATATCAAATGCTATGCTTTGAATGAAGGTGTCCCCTCCAACATTCTTGAAGCTTAATCCCTGTTGTGCATTGTGGTGGTATTAAGAGGTGAAACCTTTTGGAGAAGTGATTAAGTCATGATGGCTCCACCTTCATGAATGGATTAGTGCCTTCTGGAAGGACTGGAGGGAATTAGCTTAAGTCCCTTTTGCTCTTCCATTCTTCTTCCATGTGAGGATTCAGTGCTCATCCTCTCTGGAGGATGCAGCAACAAGATGCTGTCGTGAAAGGAGAGATAGAGCCTTTCACCAGACACTGAACCTGCCAGCGCCTTGATCTTAGACTTCCCAGCCTCCAGAACAGTGAGAAATAAATTTGTGTTCTTTATAAATTACCTTGTCTAAGGTATTTTATTATATCAGCACAGACAGACTAAGACAGGAAACCAGGTCAGGGAATCTTGTGTTTTTAAGTTTGACCATTTCTTTTGCAGAAGGTGTTTTAACTCCTATTGCCTTATCTTGGTTTTAGATGTACTGAGACCTTATTTTGGGGGTGGGGACAGTGTTTCCATTCACAGTGAATAAAGAGAAACCAAGCAAAACCTTAAAATGAAAGAAGTCATGAGGCCCTCTAACAAGGCGCAGGATACTGGTCAGGTAAGTCAAGAGAGGATGCTAACTAGAGGAACAGCTAGTATATTCCAATGACTCAGCTCTACTATTCCCCTGGGAACATGAACAGAGCTCATTTCGGAAGACCTGAGTCTTCTTGGGCAGAAGTTTTCCCTCTTTTAGGACACACCCCATAACAATCAGCTCCTGGTTTCTGGGAACTCTTATTAACCAGAATTATTCTACTTATTCTCAAATTTCTGATCTAATTTTAGTCTGCAGTAGTGATTTTCAAGCCTACTTTCATACTGTAATCATCTGGGGAGATTTAAGAAATTTTGATGCCCAAGCTTTACTGCAGAACAATTAAATTAGGATCTCTAGAGATGGGACTCCAGACATCAGTATTTTTAAAAACTCCCTAAATGATTTCAGCATGCAGCAAAGGTATACAACCACTGATCTAGCTTCGCAACACAAAAATGTGGTCTGTGAAAAGCAACATCGCATCAATTGGGTACTTTTTAGAAATGGAAAATCCTGGCCTTGTCCCAGATCTAGTCAATCAGAATTGACAATTTAACAAGATACTTGACTGACTTGTATTTTAGAAGCACTGGTTTAGAACAATGTTTCTCAGTTCTGGATGCATATTAATATTAGTTGTCAGATCAGATGTTTGAGTAGATTTGAGAAAACAAGAAAACAGGATACGTTTATGAGTCAGTAAATGGGGTCCAGAGGAAATGAGGTAGGGAGGGAGACAGCACATTAACTGACACAGATAATCCAAAGATATGTCTGAATCTGTTAGAAGGTATGGAGGATCACATTTTATATTTGTCACTTTTAATTTGTGGTAGTCAACCCCCAAGAGGATCCCCAATAATCCATATTTCCCGATATTCAGGCCTTTGTGTATCCCCCGCCTATACTGAATCAGAGCAGGTTACATATGACTAATAGAATATGGACAAGTTGATAATGCTGGTTTCACTGCTAGTTAATAAAAGTCGTTGCAGCTTCTGATTTGGCCTTTTGCATCCCTGGCTCTAGGGAAAGTAAGCTGCCATGCTATGATGACACCCAAGCGGATCCATGAAGAGAAGAACTGTCTTCCCAGTAGCTAGTGCCAAATTGCCAGTAATGTGAGATATCTTATAAGTGGAACTTCCAATTTTAGTTGAGCTTTCTGGTGACTGCAGCCCCAGCCAATACCTAACTGCAATCACATGAAAAAGTTGAGAAAGAAATTTCTATGAAATCTCTAACCAAATTATTGACCCACAGAATTCATGAGCATAATAAATGGTCATTTTATACCACTAAGTTTTGGAGTTATTTGTATTGTACCATTAAATCATTGCAAAGGTGGGATGCTGCCATAACAAAATCCTAAAATATAGCATTGGATTTGGGACAAAGAGACAGACATTTGGAAAAGCCTTAACAGAAAGGTGATGGCTCTGAGGGAGGCTGCCAGTGAGACCTTCAGTAAAAGTGAGATTACTCAGTCTCTCTGATAAACAACACAACTAAGAGTCTAAGAATCCTTTAGGGGATTGTTTCTATTCAAGGTAGAGAAGAGCTTATCCTGTAGATATTTATGGGTGTGGATTTTGTTGGAGTAGATCATAAATTTATTCGTAAGAACTCCACAATGATTTTAAAAGAATTATATCATCATGTACTGAAAAAGGCAGAGAAATTACAAAATGAAAGGAGGCCATTTGGTCCCTAATATCTAAGGGCAGAAAACAAGATGCAAAACTACCAAGCTGCAAACACGAGCTATTTTTTAATAGAAAAGAAAGGATGACTCAGATGGCGGAACGAAGAACCCACACAGTGGAGCCAAGAATCATTCCCAGGCAGTAAAACTGATCCATAATCAAAGAACTAGCAACAGGTGCCTGGCTGGATTTCAGAATTGCCTATAGACCAGTGACTCCTGTGTGCCTCCAGTATCCCCCATTTTTGAACTGAAGGGTCTATAGTGATTTGATTAACCTATGATTGTTCAATCATTGTGTTGGGTGTGTAAGTGACAAATAACTTATTTTTACTTTACAGTTTCTCAAACTGAGAGAAATTGTACTAGAAGATCAAGGTGTGTACTTGAACAACCACACCTGAAGAGCTTCAGCCACACCTTGACCTGACCTAGATGATGCAGTTCTGGACCTTGATCCCGGCTCTGTTACCGTAATTGGATGTTTTTTGACTAGATGTGAATGTATGTTGCATGTGGGAGGAATGTGAAATGAGTGTCCAGAGGGTTCACTGTGGCAGACGAAATTTTCCAAATATGGCTGCACCTATATATACATATTTTCCATTTGCTCTTCTTACTGTGTGACTGACATTCTTCCCACAAAAAAGCGAAAAGGTGAACATTCCCTCTCCTTGAATCAGGCCAGAGGCTTGTGAGAGCCTCAGTTAACAGAGTATGGTAAAAGCAATCTGTGACTTCTAAGGCTGGTTCAGAAAATATTACAGCTTACCCTGGCTCTCTTTCACTCTAGGGATGTTTTTCCTTGGATTCCATACTCCATGCTGTGAGGGAGCCCAAACTAGCCCATGTGGAGAGACCACATGGAGAGCTCATATAAAGAAGAACCAAGGCTCCTAGCCAACAGCATCAAACACTAAACCTTTGGGTAAGTGAGCCTTCAAATGATACCAGCCCCCAAATTTTGGATCTTCCAGCTCCACATTGTAGAGCAGACACAAGCTCTCCATCTTGTACACTATTCAAATTTCTGACCCATAGAATCCCTAAGCATAGTAAATGATTGTTTTACACCAGCATGCTTTGGGGTGATCTGTTATACAGTCATAATAACTAAAATATAGTCCTTAAAGATTTACTTTAGTCATCTGGAATTGAGACTACAGGATGTGAAGGTTGACTCCATTGCTTTTAGTTGTAATAAATGGTCTTACTAAATTCTCTATTACTCAAATATTTATAATCAAACAGGGAAGCTAAAGTTATTTCAACATGATAATTAATTTGTGATATTCTTGAGAGAAGAAGGTACATAAGTAATTAAAATTTTGATTCAAATGACCTTGTCTTTCAGGTAATGCAAGAATGAAGTAAATAAAGGTATTTTTGTTATAAAGAGAGATCTAAGCAGAATAGGTGACAATGTCAGAACATGAAAGCAGAATTTAGAATAGTGAGGTCTACTTTCAATAATTTAGTGATGATTACATAGATGAAAGGAAATGTACAAGAAGCTTTTTTGTTTGTTTCTTTTTCCATAGAGGGCAGGACATGAGGGAACATGGTGGAAACTAGAGCAGCAGGAATTTGGGTCACAAATTAGAAAGCACTGCCCGACTATAAGAGATATAAAGTACTGAATATGCTATTAAGATACATTATGTCATCTAATAAAATTTAAAGAAACATTTATATAGCTTTCTATTTAATTGAAAAATTATCTCCCAGCTGTATAAACTTGGAATTCTGTCAAATATACCACATGTGAAGACTTTATTGACAAAAATAATTTGAGGTGCGGGTGTTGGTTGCTTCAAAGTTTTTTGCAACAATCATCTGTACCCACACATCTTAGTCCATTATGGAAATCTTTAATTAATTTCAGGATGCCTGCTATAGTGGAAAGCAAAATATGTACAGTCAGAAGAAATTTTGGTTTCTGTCTCTGTCTTTGTCATTATCTAGCTCTGTGACCTTGGTTAAATCATTTAGCTTCTCACAATTTTGATCTCTCTATACATAAAACACAAAATATATCTGGCCTCTTGCTTCACAGTGATGCTGTACAAATTAAAATAAATAATGCATGCTCTTTGCCTGGCATAGAGTATACATAAAGGGAAAACTGCTGCAGACTAGAATGGAATCAAACTAGAAGCAGCCTAAAAACTGAACCATACTGATAATTAATGCATGATCCTTAAGATACTGTAGCTGTCTTTTTGTACAAACTCACACCCAGTTTATGAATCCCTAAGTCAAATTTATATACTGAAATAAGCACACATGTTGGACTCTAATAATATGAACCTGACATTTATTATCAGTGTGATTTGGGGCAATTCAAACATAGTCTGTCATCTGACAAATGGGGATAAGAAAGATAATACATGACCTACAGGGTTTAATGAGAGGTTTTAAGTGGCATAACCCATCTAAATATATCTTCCCAGGTATATAGTGAATTTGATTCATAATTTCCCTGATATTTCAGAGATGGGGAGCATGGGTGCTTGTGGAAGCAGCCTGCTCCATTGGTAAAGAGATGTCATTGTTGATAGAGTCTTCAGATCATCACAAAACTTACTTTCCTAAAACCTCCAACTATTATTGGTCTTTCTTCTGTTTCCTGGAGTATCGCTGACTAAAAATATCACTTCCTTCACAAAATACTATTTCAAAATATTTGGAGACAGCTATCATGTCTCTTTAGGCTTTTCTCTTATGACAAAAATATCCACTTTCCTCAAAAGTTCTTTATAAAAATGGTTTTCTCTGGATGGTCTCCAGGATTCCTTTTGAAATGTGGTGTTTAGAATGGGGCATGATTCTCTACATGTGTTCGGGGTACCATATATCACCTCCCTTGAACTTGACTCTCAATACTTGTGGTTGTGTTTAGATTTTTTTTTATGCCACAGCAATAATTACAGTACCATCAATGATTGCTTACTACAATCAATGCACACTACTTGTTCTATTCTAAAAACCCTATGAAGCAGGAATTTTTTCCCCATCATATAGGTGCTACTTATGAAGTTAAGCACTTACCTAGGTTCACAAGTTCACAAAAACAGCATTGTATGGAAAAATGGGTATTTGAATGTAGCTGTTCCGGAGGCTCTTCCATACTGCTTTACACTGAAGTTGAAACAATGTTGACTCTCTGTCCCAAATATCAAGATGGATTTTCTTCCCATGTACAGTTAAAATTTTGTCATCTTGATTTGTGATTGTATTTTAAGCACTGTCAAGATATTTTACAAGCCATTTCTGTCTTTAAATATATTGGATTTATGTAATCTGCAAATCAATATGCATTCTGTCCATTTATTCATCAAGTGTATTAATAAAAGAGAGTTGACTGGACAAACCACTAGAAGTCCCTCTTCATTTCGCACAATTCAGGAATTGATACCTTTTATGTCTGATTGTTTAACCACTATAAATCCACCTTAACTGTATTTTCATCCAGCTTATATTCCTTCATTTTGCCCATAACAATAGCATAAGAAATCTTGTAAAATATTACACTAGAATTCGGTAAGTGATGTCCATGATATACTCTTTATTTCTGGCTAATGACCCATGTTGATTTATGGTCAATCAGATAAAGAGTTTTAAAGTACAAACAACATATTAAAACCAATTTACGCCTAGTGTTCCATTGTTGGAACACTAAGCATGTGGGAGTTATTTATATCCTACAGCTCAAGGTCATCGCCAAGGTCTGATTGCAAAAATTCAAAAAATTGCAACCTCAGGCATAAATGGGTTAAAGCTATCACAATTTCTATAATATTACAGAGGAATTCTTATAAAATATTCAACTCTAGATATGAATTCATTATATGATAAAAATGATGTCTTAATCATTGCAGACTATAATCCAAATTCAGTGAAAATCCTGTTGTTATTTTAACCATGTTTAGAAATTATAGGTGTGGGAGGCAATAACAATTTTCACTTTGTGACATTTTCATAATGACACTAAAAATACTTTCAAAGAGTTAACAGCATTACAAAGATGTGAAAATTCATGCAATTTTGAAAAACGTGCTAAATGTAAAATGATTAAATATTTTACCAACTAAAAATTTTTGCATAGGACTAAATTAAGTATCACAGAACTTTTACCCTTCAAGAGGGGCTCATTTTCTTTGGACTAATCTAAGACTCTCTTGGTCATTCATTCATTCTTCCAGCCACCTAATAATTTATATTTGCAAATAGTATGCTTACGATTGGGAGGTCTCATAATATATTAGACCCAATTCCTGTGTCTATTGAGTGGCAAGAATGTCCTATAATTCAGCAAGAAAGATAATATGTATATAAATTATTTAAAATAGATTATGATAATTTCCATAAAATAATTCAGGCAGAAGAGAGAAAGATCAGTTTTGGCCAAGATAATCAGCAGTATTTCATGGAACAGGTTGAATGTAAGCTAGGCCTGAGAATATAGTGATATATCAATGTTTCAAGAAGTGTTGGATAGTGTATTACCATTCCAATCCATTTTAATTTTGAAGGTGTTTATTTAATGCCTAAATCAAGCGTAGAATGGAATCTTAGTGAAATACAGGGAATACCCAGGCACTATCTATTCAAATACCTTGTTTTATCCTAGATAGTATGCTATACACTGGGTTCACAAAAGAAAACAAGAAATAATTCTTGCTCTCTAAGAATCTATAGTGTTGCAATAACCAAGGACATTCTTGCAAGATGCCAAATTCAGGTATTTAAGTCCATGCATTCTCATACCTTTTTCCACATTGGACATTATTCATCATTTCAAACTTGGCTAATGCAGTGTGCCACTCTAAGGGTAGGTAGGTAGGTTCTTCCTGAAAGGCCAGCAAATCAACCAAATTGGAAAACAGAACAACATGCCATATGAAAATGTGTTGCCAGGGATCAAAACAGAGCCAGAAAGTAAGGTTTGTTTTCTTTCTAGTGTGAATTGAAACTACACTAATAAACAATAATGAATGTTATGGAAAGATCATTTTAGATGGCAAAGGACCAGGGACTACAGTCATTTGTTGCATAATGTTCATGGTTGAAATGTAATTATTTTATTATTGTGTGAACACTCTGTAAAAATGTAGAGTTTCCTCATACTTATGCTTTGTGGTAGAAAATTTTAAATATCATCCCCTTCACCTTACCACCAGTATAGTGTCATTTTGTCAAACAAACAATATTGAAAGTTTTTCCTCTCCTCATTACCCAGTTACCTGTGTCCTGTCAGAAAAGAGAAACTACTGTGGGTGTTTTATTTATTTATTTTAAAATTAATTAATTTGTTTTAATTGGCAAATACACTATAGGGATTTTAAAGAGCCGAAATTTCATACAGAGACTGATATGGTTTGGCTGTGTCCCCACCCAAATCTCACCTTGAATTGTAATAATCCCCATGTGTCAAGGGCAGGACCAGGTGGAGATCATTGAATCATGGGGGTGGCTCCCCCATACTGTTTCGTGGCAGTGAATAAGTATCATAAGATCTGATGGCTTTATAAATGGGACGTTCCCTGCACAAGCTCTCTTGCCATTTAAGATGTGCCTTTGCTCCTCACTCACCTTCTGCCATGATTGTGAGTCCTCCCCAGCCATGTGGAACTGTGAGTCCATGAAACCTCTTTCCTTTATACATTACCCAGTCTTGGGTACGTCTCTATTAGCAGTGTGAGAACAGACTAATTCAGAGAGTTACAAGGGTGATTGACACACTGAGGATCCAAAGAAGGGGCACAAGGAAGTCTGGACATTGAAAGCAGAAACTGATGCCATACCTAGGCTGAAGGGACAAAGGGAAGGGCAGCATTATTGGAGACCAAGAGCTGATGGTGGAAGCTGGAACTATCATAGGTCAGCCTGGTGAAAAATGGGGCCATGAAGGAAAAGACTGGCTAGAGAGAGGTGGAGCAAAGGAACTAATCTGCTGATGAAGACAAAGCCCAAAGCAGTGAGTGAGTAGAAAAACCTTAGCTTCTTTTCACCTTCCGCCCTCTAGACTTCCAACATTAGCTCCAATTACCTGAACTTACCATGAAGGAAGAGGGAAAGAGACAGGGAGAAATGTAGTTTCTTGTAGTCCAGAAAAGGGCAGAGAGAGGTTGGGGAGGGATCTGAGAGCAAAAATTCAGCATAGGACTCAGAAATAACCGCTGTTTTGATTTCGGGTCTCTTATGTTTATAAAATCAATAAATGTTCACACTAAATGAATGATATGTAAACATATATTTGGATTCTACAAGGCTGTTTCATAATTTACACACATTAATAAAATTCCTTTATCTATTTCACACATATTATGATGCTCTTTACATGTCTCCACTTGCAGATCATTTCCTTTTTTTTTGGATAATTTATATTTATTTTTTATGGAATGCCATGTTTATCTTTTTATATATGACATTTTCTTGTCAGTAGTAACACATATCCATTCTTAAAATTGGAAAATTTTATTTACTGGTTAAAATTTATTTACTGGTTAAAAAATTATTATCCTCATTCTTTTTTTAAAAATTATACTTTAAGTTCTGGGGTACATGTGCAGAACGTGAAGGTTTGTTACATAGGTATACATGTGCCACGGTGGTTTCTTGCACCCATCAACCCGTCATTTACATTAGGTATTTCTCCTAATGCTATCCCTCCCCTAGTCCCCATCCCCATAGAGGCACCAGTGTGTGATGTTCCCCTCCCTGTGTCCATGTGTTCTCATTGTTCATCTCCCATTTATGAGTGAGAATATGTGATATTTGGTTTTCTCTCCCTGTGTCAATTTGCTGAGAATGATGGTTTCCAGCTTCATCCATGTCCCTACAAAGGACATGAACTCATCCTTTTTATGGCTGCATAGTATTCCGTGGTGTATATGTGCCACATTTTCTTTATCCAGTATATCATTAATGGGCATTTGGGTTGGTTCCAAGTCTTTGCTATTGAGAACAGTGCTGCAGTAAACATACATGTGCATGTGTCTTTATATTAGAATGATTTATAATCCTTTGGGTATATACTCAGTAATGGGATTGCTGGGTCAAATGGTATTTCTGGTTATAGATCCTTGAGCAATCGCCACACTGTCTTCCACAATGGTTGAAATAGTTTACAGTCCCACCAACAGTGTAAAAGTGTTCCTATTGCTCCACATCCTCTCCAGCATCTGTTGTTTCCTGACTTTTTAATGATGGCTATTCTAACTGGCGTGAGATGGTATCTCATTGTGGTTTTGATTTGCATTTCTCTAATGACCAGTGATGATGAGCTTTTTTTCAAATGTTTGTTGGCCGCATAAATGTCTTCTTTTGAGAAGTGTCTGTTCATATCCTTTGCCCATTTTTTGATAGGGTCGTTTGTTTTTGTCTTGTAAATTTGTTTAAGTTCCTTGTAGATTCTGGATATTGGCCCCTTGACAGACAGATTGCAAAAATTTTCTCCCATTCTGTTGGTTGCCTGTTCACTCTGATGATAGTTCCTTTAAGCTCTTTAGTTTAATTAGATCCCATTTGTCAATTTTGGCTTTTGTTGCTATTGCTTTTGGTGTTTTAGTCATGAAGTCCTTGCCCGTGCATATGTCCTGAATGGGATTGCCTAGGTTTTCTTCTAGGATTTTTATGGTTTTAGGTCTTACGTTTAAGTCTTTAATCCATCTTGAGCTAATTTTTGTATAAGGTGTAAGGAAGGGGTCCAGTTTCAGTTTTCTGCACATGGCTAGCCAGTTTTCCCAGCACCATTTATTAAATGGGGAATCCTTTCTCCATTGTTTGTTTTGGTCAGGTTTGTCAAAGATCAGATGGTTGTAGATGTGTGGTGTTATTTCTGAGGCCTCTGTTATGTTCCATTGGTCTATATATCTCTTTTGGTACCAGTACCATGCTGTTTTGGTTACTGTAGGCTTGTAGTATAGTTTGAAGTCGGGTAGCGTGATGCTTCCAGGTTTGTTCATTTTGCTTAGGATTGTCTTGCCTATATGAGCTCTTTTTTGGTTCCATATGAAATTTAAAGTAGTTTTTTTCATCCCCATCAAGCTACCAATGACTTTCTTCACAGAATTGGAAAAAACTACTTTAACGTTCATATGGAACCAAAAAAGAGCCCGCATCACCAAGTCAATCCTAAGCCAAAAGAACAAAGCTGGAGGCATCGTGCTACCTGATTTCAAACTATACTACAAGGCTACAGTAACCAAAACAGCATGGTACTGGTACCAAAACAGAGATATAGACCAATGGAAAAGAACAGAGTCCTCAGAAATAATGCCACACATCTACAACCATCTGATCTTTGACAAACCTGATAAAAACAAGAAATGGGGAAAGGATTCCCTATTTAATAAATGGTGCTGGGAAAACTGGCTAGCCATACGTAGAAAGCTCAAACTGGATCCCTTCCTTACACCTTATATAAAAATTAATTCAAGATGGATTAAAGACTTGAATGTTAGACCTAAAACCATAAAAACCCTAGAAGAAAACCTAGGCAATACCATTCAGGACATAGGCATGCGCAAGGACTTCATGTCTAAAACATCAAAAGCAATGGCAACAAAAGCCAAAATTGACAAATGGGATCTAATGAAACTAAAGAGCTTCTGCACAGCAAAAGAAACTACCATCAGAGTGAACAGGCAACCTATAGAATGGGAAAAAATTTTTGCAATCTACTCATCTGACAAAGGGCTAATATCCAGAATCTACAATGAACTCAAACAAATTTACAAGAAAAAAAAAAACCCAATCAAAAAGTGGGCGAAGGATATGAACAGACCCTTCTCAAAAGAAGACATTTATGCAGCCAAAAGACACATGAAAAAATGCTCATCATCACTGGCCATCAGAGAAATGCAAATCAAAACCACAATGAGATACCATCTCACGCCGGTTAGAATGGCGATCATTCAAAAGTCAGGAAACAACAGGTGCTGGAGAGGATGTGGAGAAATAGGAACACTTTTACACTGTTGGTGGCACTGTAAACTAGTTCAACCATTGTGGAAGACAGTGTGGTGATTCCTCAAGGATCTAGAACTAGAAATACCATTTGACCCAGCCATCCTATTACTGGGTATATACCCAAAGGATTATAAATCATGCTGCTATAAAGACACATGCACACCTATGTTTATTGCGGCACTATTCACAATAGCAAAGACTTGGAACCAACCCAAATGTCCATCAATGATAGACTGGATTAAGAAAATGTGGCACATATACACCATGGAATACTATGCAGCCCTAAAAAAGGATGAGTTCATGTCCTTTGTAGGGACATGGATAAAGCTGGAAACCATTATTCTCAGCAAACTATCACAAGGACAAAAAACCAAACACCGCATGTTCTCACTCATAGGTGGGAATTGAAAAATGAGAAGACTTGGACACAGGAAGGGGAACATCACACACTAGGGCCTGTCATGGGGTGGGGGGAGGGGGGTGGGATAGCATTTTGTAAATGACGAGTTAATCGGTGTAGCACACCAACATGGCACATGTATACATATGTAACAAACCTGCACATCGTGCACATGTACCCTAGAACTTAAAGTATAATAAAAAAAAAAAAAGAAAGTCAATGGTAGCTTGATGGGGATAGCATTGAATCTATAAATTACTTTGGGTATTATGGCCATTTTCACGATACTGAGTCTTCCTCTCCATGAGCATGGAATGTTTTTCCATTTGTTTGTGTCCTCTCTTATTTCCTTGAGCAGTGGTTTGTAGTTCTATTTGAAGAGGTCCTTCACATCCCTTGTGAGTTGTATTCCTAGGTATTTTATTCTCTTTGTAGCAACTGTGAATGGGAGTTCACTCATGATTTGGCTGGCTGTCTATTATTGGTGTATAGGAATGCTTGTGATTTTTACACATTGATTTTGTATCCTGAGACTTTGCTGAAGTTGCTTATCAGCTTAAGGAGATTTTGGGCTGAGACGATGGGGTTTTCTAAATATACAATCATGTCATGTGCAAACAAAGACAATTTGACTTCCTCTCTTCCTATTGGAATGCCCTTTCTTTCTTTCTCTAGCCTGATTGCCCTCACCAGAAATTCCAATACTGTGTTGAATAGGAGTGGTGAGAGAAGGCATCCTTGTCTTGTGGCGGTTTTCAAAGAGAATGCTTCCAGCTTTTGCCCCTTCAGTATTATATTGGCTGTGGGTTTGATATAAATAGCTCTTATTATTTTGAGATACATCCCATCAATATCTAGTTTATTGAGAGTTTTTAGCATGAAGGGGTGTTGAATTTTATCAAAGGCCTTTTCTGCATCTATTGAGATAATCATGTGGTTTTTGTCATTGGTTCTGTTCATGTGATGGGTTACATTTATTGATTTGTGTATGTTGAACCAGCCTTGCATCCCAGGGATGAAGCCGATTTGATTGTGGTGGATAAGCTTTTTGATGTGCTGCTGGATTTGGTTTTCCAGTATTTTATTGAGGATTTTCGCATCGATGTTCATCAGGGATATTGGCCTGAAATTTTCTTTTTTTGTTGTGTCTCTGCCAGGTTTTGGTATCAGGATGATGCTGGCCTCATAAAATGAGTTAGGGAGGAGTCCCTCTTTTTCTATTGCTTGGAATAGTTTCAGAAGGAATGCTACCAGCTCCTCTTTGTACCTCTAGTAGAATTAGGCTGTGAATCTGTCTGGTCCTGGGCTTTTTTTGGTTGGTAAGCTATTAATTACTGCCTCAATTTCAGAACTTGTTATTTGTCTATTCAGGGATTCGACTTCTTCCTGGTTTAGTCTTGGGAGGGTGTATGTCTCAGGAATTTATCCATTTCTTCTAGATATTCTAGTTTAATTGGGTACAGGTGTTTATAATATTCTCTGATGGTAGTTTGTATTTCTGTGGGATCAGTGGTGATATCCCCTTTATCATTTTTTGTTGTGTCTATTTAATTCTTCTCTCTTTTCTTCTTTATTAGTCTGGCTAGCGGTCTATCTATTTTGTTAATCTTTTCCAAAAACTACCTGCTGGATTCACTGATTTTTTGAAGGGTTTTTCGCGTCTATCTCCTTCAGTTCCACTCTGATCTTAGTTATTTCTTGTCTTCTGCTAGCTTTTGAATTTGTTTGCTCTTGCTTCTCTAGTTCTTTTAATTGTGATGTTAGGGTGTCGATTTTAGATCTTTCCCACTTTCTCCTGTGGACATTTAGTGCTGTAAATTTCCCTCTAAACACTGCTTTAGCTGTTTCCCAGAGATTCTGGTACGTTGCATCTTTGTTCTCATTGGTTTCAAAGAACTTATTAATTTCTGCCTTAATTTCGTATGCACCCAGTAGTCATTCAGGAGCAGGTTGTTCAGTTTCCATGTAGTTGTGAGGTTTTGAGTGAGTTTCTTAATCCTGAGTTCTAATTTGATTGCACTGTGGTCTGAGAGACTGTTTGTTATGATTTCTGTTCTTTTGCATTTGCTGAGGAGTGTTTTACTTCCAATTATGTGGTCAATTTTAGAATAACTGCGATGTGGTGCTGAGAAGAATGTATATCTGTTGATTTGGGGTGGAGAGTTCTGTAGATGTCTTTTTGGTCTACTTGATCCAGAGCGGAGTTCAAGTCCTGAATATCCTTGTTAATTTTCTGTCTCAATCTGTCTAATACTGACAGTGGGGTGTTAAAGTCTCCCACTATTATTGTGTGGGTGTCTAAGTCTCTTTGTAGGTCTCTAAGAACTTGCTTTATGAATCCGGGTGCTCCTGTATTGGGTGCATATATATTTAAGATAGTTAGCTCTTCTTGTTGCATTGATCCCTTTACCATTATGTAATGCCCTTCTTTGTCTTTTTTTTATCTTTGTTGGTTTAAAGTCTGTTTTATCAGAGACTAGGATTGCAACCCCTGCTTTTTTTTGCTTTCCATTTGCTTGGTAGATCTTCCTCCATCCCTTTATTTTGAGCCTGTGTGTGTCTTTGCACATGAGATGTGTCTCCAGAATACAGCACACTGATGGGTCTTGACTCGCTATCCAATTTACCAGT
Organism: Homo sapiens; assembly: GCF_000001405.40. Taxonomy (NCBI): domain Eukaryota; kingdom Metazoa; phylum Chordata; class Mammalia; order Primates; family Hominidae; genus Homo; species Homo sapiens. The sequence goes on along the minus strand of NC_000023.11, from coordinate 28,457,384 downwards.
CTGTGTCTTTTAACTGGGGCATTTAGCCCGTTTGCATTTAAGGTTACCATTGTTATGTGTGAATTTGATCCTGTCATTATGATGCTAGCTGGTCATTTTGCTCATTAGTTGATGCAGTTTTTTCACAGTGTCAATGGTCTTTACAATTTGGTATGTTTTTGCAGTGGCTGGTACCATTTTTTTTCATATGTAGTGTTTCCTTCAGGAGCTCTTGTAAGGCAGACCTGGTGGTGACAAAATCTCTCAGCATTTGCTTGTCTGTAAAAGATTTTATTTCTCCTTTGCTTATGAAGCTTAGTTTGGCTGGATATGAAATTCTGGGTTGAAAATTCTTTTCTTTAAGAATGTTGAATATTGGCCCCCACTCTCTTCTGGCTTGTAGGGTTTCTGCAGAGAGATCTGCTGTTAGTCTGATGGGCTTCCCTTTGTGGGTAACCTGACCTTTCTCTCTGGCTGCCCTTAACAATTTTTCCTTCATTTCAACCTTCGTGAATCTGATGGTTATGTGTCTTGGGGTTGCTCTTTTTGAGGAGTATCTTTGTGGTGTTCTCTGTGTTTCCTAAATTTGAATGTTGACCTGTCTTGCTAGGTTGGGGAAGTTCTCCTGGGTAATATCCTGAAGAGTGTTTTCCAACTTGGTTCCATTCTCCCCATCACTTTCAGGTACACAAATCAAACGTAGGTTTGGTCTTTTCACATAGTCCCATATTTCTTGGAGGCTTTTTTTGTTCCTTTTCATTCTTTTTTCTCTAATCTGTTCTTCACGCTTTATTTCATTAAGTTGATCTTCAACCTCTGATATCCTTTCTTCCACTTGATTGATTCAGCTATTGATACTTGCGTATGCTTCACGAAGCTCTCATCCTGTGTTTTTCAGCTCCATCGTGTCATTTATGTTCTTCTCTAAACTGATTATTCTAGTTAGCAGTTCCTCTAACCTTTTTCAAGGTTCTTAGCTTCCTTGCATTGGGTTAGAACATGCCCTTTTTCCTCGGAGGAGTTTGTTATTACCCACCTTCTGAAGCCTACTTGTGTCAATTCGTCAAACTCATTCTCCATCTAGTTTTGCTCCCTTGCTGGTGAGGAGTTGTGATCCTTTGGAGGAGAAGAGGCATTCTGGTTTTGGGAATTTTCAGCCTTTTTGTGCTGTTTTTTCCTCATCTTCATGGATTTATCTACCTTTGGTCTTTAATATGGGTGACCTTTCAGATGGGGTTTCTGTGTGGACATCCTTTTTGTTGATGTTGTTGCTATTCCTTTCTGTTTGTTAGTTTTCCTCCTAACAGTCAGGCCCCTCTGCTGCAGGTCTGCTGGAGTTTGCTGGAGGTCCACTCCAGACCCTGTTTGCCTGGGTATCACCAGCGGAGGCTGCACAACAGCAAAGATTGCTGCCTGTTCCTTTCTCTGGAAACTTCGTCCCAGAGGGGCACCTGCCAGATGCCAGCCAGAGATCTCCTGTATGAGGTGTCTGTTGACCCCTGCTGGGAGGTGTCTCCCCATCAGTAGGCACAGGGGTCAGGGACCCACTTGAGGAGGCAGTCTGTCCCTTAGCAGAGCTTGAGCACTGTGCTGAGAGATCTGCTGCTCTCTTCAGAGCCAGCAGGCAGAAACGTTTAAGTCTGCTGAAGCTGTGCCCACAGCCACCCCTTCCCCCAGGTGCTCTGTCCCAGGGAGATGGGAGATTTATCTATAAGCCACTGACTGGAGCTGCTGCCTTTCTTTCAGAGATGTCCTACCCAGAGAGCCATTTCTTTTTAACAACTGCACAATATTTCATTGTATGGATGCACTTTAATGTATTTAGCCAGTTTCTCTTGAGGGTTGTTTTGGTCATTTTTTAGTTTTTATGATTGGAAATAATGTCAGATTTGAAGATGCTTGTACTTGTAAAAATGCTGACTTTTATTATTATTTTAATATGATTGATTTCTAAAAGTAGATTACTTGATGAAATATATGCACTTTTAAATTTTTGATAGATATTTCCACATGTCCTTTCTAATATTTGTAGTAATTTGTGTTCACATTAAGATTCTATGAAAGAGCTTGTTTACTCACCATTTCCCAAATATTATATATTGTCAATGTTTGTCAATCTGGTGAGTACATAGATGTGTATGTGTATTGTTGTCTGCGTCTACTATATGTGTTTGTGTCTATGACAATGTCTATGGTTATAGCTATATATCTATGGTTATGTGTATGAATATATCTATATCTATATATCTATGACTATATCTGTGTCTACATAACTATATTAATACAATTTGTTTTTATTATTCATGGATTCTGTATTTGCAAATTTGCCCACTTACTAAAATTTATTTGTATTCCCCAAATCAATACTTTTGGCACTGCTGTTTTCATTTGTGGGCATATTCAGAGTGGCAAAAAATTTGAGTCACCCAACATTAATGTTCCCAGCTGACGTTGAAGAAAGCGATGCTGTGCTTTCTTGTTTCAGCTCTCGTGTCTCACACTAAACAAGTGTCCTTTTCAAGGTCTATTAGATGCAATGTTTTTGTTTTTGTATTTTCGTGCTTTTTGTTGGTAATTTTGCTGTTTAAAATGGCCCTCAAGCACAGTTCTGAAGCTTTGCTTAGTATTCCTAAGTGCAAAAATGTTGTGACAAATATTATGGAGAAAATACGTGTGTTAGGTAATCTTCATTCAGGTATGAATGTGTGTTAGGTAATCTTCATTCAGGTATGAGTTATAGCGCTGTTAGTCAGAAGTTCAATGTTAATGAATCAACAATACATATTAAATAAGTTGTCTTTCAATAGAAATACACAGAAAACAAGATTATTGATTAAGTTGATGAAAATGTTTTGACCAGAGGCTTGCAAGAAGCCTGTGTTCTCCTAAAAGTAATCATTCAGTATTCACTAATTCAATGTTCACAGAGAATTTATAGAGCATAACTGCTATGAGTAACAAGAATCAATTGTATCTACATCTATGGCACTATCTACGTGTCTTTCAATAGTTCTCTGTCTTTGATTCAATAAATATTTTTCAAGAGCCTCCTATGAATTAGACACAAGAAATGGTTTTTTTTTAAATTTTATTATTATTACACTTTAAGTTTTAGGGTACATGTGCACAACGTGCAGGTTTGTTACATATGTATACATGTGCCATGTTGGTGTGCTGCACCCATTAACTCGTCATTTAGCATTAGGTATATCTCCTAATGCTATCCCTCCCCGCTCCCCCACCCCACAACAGTCCCGGGTGTGTGATGTTCCCCTTCCTGAGACACAGGAAATGTTGAGCAGACACTCAAAACACAAAAAACTGAAGAAAAAATATCTAGATTGGACTACATCAACATTTAAAAACTTTGAGTTTTAAAGGACACTACCAACAGAGTGAAAAGGCAATCCACAGATGGCAGAAGATAAAGGATTAGTATTCAGTGTGTGTGTGTGTGTGTGTGTGTGTGTGTATATATATATATACACACACACACATATATATATATGATTAGTATCTAGTATATATATGAAGAACTCCTACATATCAAGAAAAAATAATCAAACAATTTACTGAAAAAATGGGCAAAGGAATTTTGAATAGACACTCCTCCAAAGAGGGAGCCAACCATAATTCCTGAAAGGGAATGGACACTTCTCCAAAGAGGGAGAATTCGCTAGTTCCAAACACTGAATTAGTGATTACTGAATTGTTACTTTTAGGAGAACTCAGGGCTACACTCTTGCAAGCCTGAGGCCATAATCTCAAATGTTGAAATATTGAAGGGTTAAAATCTTTAAAGTCTAAAATCCCCAAAATCACAATCCTGAAAGATAAAAATCCTGAAAATAGAGTTCTGAAAAAATAATTTAAGAAATAACTTAAATGTTTATTCACATTTTAAAAAGAGGATTTATTTGAGAAACATATAAAAACACAACACTTCATAGGCTACTTTACACAATTAATTAGGCAATAATAACATACACGTTTTTGCAAATATAAACATATATACTAACAACAGTCACATGGGTATAACAGCTATGGTCAGATGAACCATATTTATAAAGAAATAGACAGGGCAAAAGAAAAAATGTACAAATGCATATCACTATGGTTGGTAACCGTGTACACTCAGCTTTATAATTGTGGTTATGAAATACCATGAGAAACAACCGGTCTTTTGACTAGACAAATAAAAAACCACCATCGGTTACCACCACATATGCAGTCACCCAAAGAGCCAAGATCTTGAGAAATTTTAACTTTGCAAATGCAGATATACAAAAAGGACATCTCTTCATATATTGGGGAAGTTTTGGCGTTTTTACATACATGTGCAATGCTTGCACACAAAGTCAATGTTGTGATAATGCACTTTTGTGGAGTCGAATTTGTAAAAATGCATAATACTTATTAGAACTCTCTAAAAATCTCCACATAATTTATACCTTCAGTAGTGGAAATGATGTGAAGATGAAATACATAGCATAGCGAATTGTAAAAAATAATGTAAAACCTATTTGAAATAGTGAAAAAACTAAAAACATTTTTAAAAAACTAAAAAGAAAATTCAACATATGAAAAAATAAATTACAGGGATAGATTCTGGATCATTGTATGAAGGTAGTCCATAAGAGCTGGCCAGCTTTCATGATCATTAACTATATTGTGAAATCTTTCATCACAATGAATAGCTGCTTTTTTTCATTTAGGGCATGGCTGACCTCAGAGAATATGTTCACATCCATTTTCTACATGGCACTGCTATTATTGAAATTTATCTGTGATTCAATATACATTAAATCTTCCCATCTTCTATGCTGCCATGCTTCTATGTTGTTTTGGATACAGGAAAAGCCATCCTGCATGCACTCATATACAAATCACAAATATGGTAGAAACAATACTGGTGATTGAACAGCAACACCATTGCCTAAATGTCTTCTTATCCTATCATGCACATAATTATTTTAAAACCAGTCAGTAATTTGCTGGCTTCTTCATCAAATGCAGCTTTAACTCATTAAAAGCTCTAGGAATTTCATCAGCTGGAAGACATGCCAATTCAGACAAATGACACATTTGTAAACTGAATTTTTCATCATTGCCTTATTGCATGGCCAATCCGCTCCTCTGAATTTTCCGCCCAATGCAAATGAAGACAATAACAAGGTAATAGTTCTACCTTACATGATGCAACTAACACAATGTCACTATCCTGTGCACAAACAAAAATGCATTAATTCCTTCCCCAGAATTCAGCTTTCACAATTTCAACATTTGGGATTTGAATCTTTTGTGATTCTGATTTTCAGGATTTTAGACATTGGGGATTTTAGACTTTCAGGATTTAGACTTTAGAGATTTTGGTCTACTGGGATTTCAACACTTGGTTTTGTAGTGTTTGGGATTATTTCTTTTGGTATTATTATCCGTACTCCTCCAAAGAAGACAGAGGAATAGCCAATAAGCATATGAAAAGATGCTCAACATCTCGAATTATCATGGAGGTGCCAATCATAACCATGGTGAGATATCATTTCACACCCATTAGGATGGCTATTATCAAAAAAAAAAAAAAAGAAAATAACAAGTGTTTGCGAGGATGTGCAGAAATTGGAATATTTGTGCATTGCTAGTGAGAATTTAAAATGGTGCAGCCACTACAAAAAATGGTATGGCAGTTCCTCAAAAAATTAAACACAGAATTAGCAAAGCAGAGGCTGAGGCAAGGTTTTTGCATGCATGTTAGATGATCCTAGGGCTTAGGTGGAAGGAAATGGAGGAGCCAAACAGGAAAGGATGATAAGGATGAAAAGCCAATGTAAGTGTGTCTTATCAAGGTAACCGCTTTGGGTAACAGGGCTCAATTCTACCAAGATCCACAAAACAAATAGAATGCTACCCCAAGTTGTCCACCAGAAGAGTCAGAGACTAGAGCATTTATCCACCAGCTCTCATCCACATTGGTTGAGTGTTGGCACAGAGGGCCTTAACCCTACACTTGTGGGCTGCACTTGCTGGCAGACCAAGTGAACTCCTGCAGCTGGAAATTATGTACAGTAAAGGAGAAATTGAGTTTGTGAGAAGATGTTCACAGCAGCTGTGGCTGAAATCACTTGTGGGTATAGAAATGTGGCATGGGAAAACAGAGGCATCTGATACCTTTGTTAATGACTGATTCATTTTTATATCTAGGTCATTTGAGTTTAGAGTCCATAACTCTGTGTCCTTGAAGTCTTAGAGTTTCAGATGTTAAGGCGAATATAAAATCCTTAAACCAGTTCTGCAAATGGCAGAAACCTGACATGAGAAAGACCAAGGTAGATATGAATATGGATCTCAAGAAGAATGGTACCAGATTCTTGAGAAGCAAGAACTCACTCACATTCTTATTCACATGCTGACATCTGAACTCCAATGATACTGAATATGTTGGTAGAATAATTTGTATTTTATAGAAAAAATAACATGAGTGCTAGGGAGATAATCAATTACTTTTTAATCAATTGAGACTAGATTCCATTTTCTTGTCTCTTATCTCAGATTATTTTCCCAAGGTTCTACTTCCTCATGGTACTGCTGATACTGTTTTCCTTCCCTCCATGCCCTAGCTGCATCAAGGTTGTTTCTGTTGCTTTTTACATGATTATTTGACCCAGCCTATTTCACTCACACATTGTTCACTTCTTTGGGCCTCAGGCCACTCATCTTTAAGGAGTGGGACTCTGGTGTTTTTCAGTTTCCATCAGCTGCAATACTCTATGCTTACTTGTCTGTGTGTGCTATACATGCTTTACATGTCCTGGTAAAGGGAACTTTGATGCGCATTTAAAACAAAAAACTATACATATGTAAGTTGCTTGCTATAGTTAGTACCTCTTCTTCTAGAGGAAAGCATACATTAGAGGGAAATTTTGAGTTGTCAAATCTGGAAATACACATTTGCAGAGTTTAAAAAGACATTTTAGCAACTTTTGAAAGTGAAAAAAAATCTTACTTTTTGGTAAAGCTGATTAATTTTGTCATACCAATTTTATGTAGTTGAGAAAATACCAACCAGCACTAATAAAAAAAAGTGTGAAGGAATATTTGCTATAGCATTTTTAACTTAAAAAACCAAAAGACAGCAGGCATTTGAGAATATGTGTATATATAATTATATATATGAATTTAATATATAACATAAAATATATAATATTTATAAATTATATATACTTGCTATTTTTCTATTTGTAGTTCAAGAAATGTATTATGAGCTCATCTCTATCCAAGCAACTGGAGAGAGAATACATAGATTTTGCCAAGAACACAGATACTGTGAAATTTATATTAAGTCACTTATCTGGTTTACTTGAATAATAATCTCTGAAACAAAATGAGCTATGAAATAATTGCATGCCTCAGTCTCTCAATCTGTAACAATAGAATAGCAATACCTTTTCTTACTCCTCCTCTCTGAGGAGTGTTTTATTGAAAAAAATAATTATCTCTCAAAAGGCTTTAAGCACATTAATAGAAGGAAGTTATTAACATTTAAGGTAGTGTTATTATGTTATTAGATAATGGAGAAAAAATTGGTCAATTCTTACCACCTGCTGTAGATTCAACACACAAGAGAGTCTGTACTTTTATGAATAGCAGAGTGAGCAAAACCTTGATTTTTAAAAATAGCTTCTTAAAACTGCCACTCAGGAATGCTTTGCTTCTGGTTGCTTAACTGAAAGGCTATTGTTAAGGCATGTTTTGGGATCTCTTTTACTCAGTGATGTTTTGCCTTTTTGTTTAGGAAGCTACACTTCTATCAATGTATTTTTATTAAATGCCTAAGAGTACTGTGCACAGGACTATGCTTAGATATTCAAAGATGTATGAAAACCGGTTCCTAAGTGTAGCGAGCTCATGGACTTTTTGGAGGATTCCTTTCCGCTAACTGAAGAAAGAAAAGAGAAAAGTATAACACCAAATAAAAACTGTGATCAACTGTATTATAGATATGCACACATGAAAAACATATACTTGGGATCTGTATCAAGTTTCACCAGAAAACCCTTAAATGGGATTTGATGAGTTAGCATGAATCAAATCATGCAGTTTTATCATTGCCGAGTGATTCTAATAAACTGAATTTCTCAAAACGCAAACCAGAGGATCTCACACTGGAGCAGAGAGAGAATATTCAGAAAATGACAGTCAGTCTAATCAAGATAACATTTTATCGATGGCAATGTAAGGGTAATAGACAATTTCCTTCTTTCCTTGTCCATGGTACACAATGATAATCAATCATGAAGACCCACTCTAACTTCAGAAACGTTCTTAACTCAGTAATCAGGAACACGGGTCAGCAAAATTTTTATTAAATTGTCCGTAAATATTTTATGCATGTGGATAACATAGTCTCTGTTGCAACTACTAACTCTGCTGTTGGAGTGCAATTTGCAGCAAAAAGCAGAAGCTATATAAACAAATGGGTGTGGCAGTGTTTCAATAAGATATTTACAAAAACAGGCAGCTGGCCTGTGGGCCATAGTTTGATCACCCCTGGTCTAGAGAGCCGTCATGATTCAATCAGCGTTAGCACATAAGAATTAACCTGCTTGCTACTCTTGGTTTTGATGCAGCATTAATACACTTGACCTTTCTCATGTTCAATTTAACCACAAAACTCAAGCTAAATGGGTCCTCTGCCTTCCATTTCTGGTTCAGTACCTTGCTAATACTGTTTACCTCTGTCAGAGATTTTTTTGTTTTTTAACATTCTGAGCCTCAATTTCTCATCCGGTAAAGGAATATAATAACAATGCAGGGTTGCTGCAAAAGTCAAATGAGAAAACATAGATGAAAGCATTTGTAAACCATAAGACACTAGAGTATTTGAATAAAACAACAATTGTACTTAATAGGTGAATGTGTTGCATAAAGTTTGGAAACCAGTTTTTTGACCAGATAAAACTCACAACACTTTTTTCATGAAAAACTACTTTTTCGTCTTTTTGGTTTGTTTAAAAGGCATTTTGTTGTAGCTAAAATGCAAGGGACCTAGCTAAAATTGCATGGACAGCATTTTTGACTGCTTACTTATAGCTTCTTTTTTTAAGATACTCCTTTTTCTTTCCAACTTTTATTTTAGGTTCAGGGGGTACACGTGCAGTTTTGTTACATGGGTATATTGCATGTCACGGAGGTTAGGTGTACAGATTATTTCGTTACCTAGGTAATAAGCATAGTACCAGATAGGTAGTTTTTTTATCCTCACCCTCCTCCCATCTTCCACCCTCCAGTAGGCCCCAGTGTCTATTATTCCCTTCTTTGTGTCATGTGTACTTCACGGTTAGTTCCCATTTACAAGTAAGAACATGCAGTTTTTGGTTTTCTGTTTCTGAGTTAGTTTGCTAAAGATGATGGCCTCCAGCTGCATCCATGTTGCTGCAAAGGACATGTTCTCATTCTTTTTATGACTGCATAGTTAGTATGCCATGGTGTATATGTACATTTTCTTTATCCAGTCTACCATTGATGGGCATTTAGGTTGATTCCATGGCTTTGCTATTGTGAATAGTGCTACGATGAGCATACACATGCGTGTGTCTTTATGGTAGAATGATTTATATTCCTTTGGGTGTACACCCAGTAATGGGATTGCTGGGTTGAATGGTAATTCTATTTTAAGTTCTTTGAGAAATTGCCACACTGCTTTCCACAATGACTGAACTAATTTATATTCCTACCAGCAGTGTATAAACGTTCCCTTTTCTCCCAATCTCACCAGTATCTGTTATTTTTTGACTTTTTAGTTATAGCCATTCTGACTGTTGTAAGATGGTATCTCATTGTGGTTTTGATTTGCATTTCTCTAACGATTAATAATGTTGAGCATTTTTTCACATGCTTGTTGGCCGCATGTATGTCTTCTTTTGAAAAGTGGCTGTTCATGTCCTTTGTGCATTTTTCAATGGGACAGTTTGTTATTTGCTTCTTAATTTGCTTAATTTCTCTATAAATTCTGGATATTAGACCTTTGTTGAGCGAACAGTTTGCAAACATTTTCACCCATTCTGTAGGCTGTCTGTTTATTCTGTTGATAATTTCTTTTGCTGTGCAATAACTCCTTAGTTTAATTAGGTCCCACTTGCCAATTTTTGTTTTTGTTGCAATTGCTTTTGGAGAAATCTTTGCCAGGGCCTATGTCTGGAATGGTATCCTAGGTTAACTTCCAGGGTTTTTATTGTTTTAGGTTTTTTTACATTTAATTCTTTAATCTGTCTCGAGTGGATTTTTATCATGGTGTAAGGAAGACACCCAGTTTCAATCTTCTGCATATAGCTAGCCAGTTACTCCAGCATCACTTATTACATGTACTCACCGGCAGGCGGTGGTATGGTAGGGTTCGTGTATGCACACTGACTTATAGCTCTTATGGTATTTCTTCCTCTAGGAGTCTTAATCTAATGCCAAAGTATTTGGGAAAAAAAAATTATTGTACCAAACTCTCCAGCTAGAAACCATGCATCTGAGTCCTGAGAAAATTAAAGTCAAGCAATAGTGTCCTACCAATAAGCCAAATAGCAATGTTTATTCTAGACTGTAATCTATGTTATCAGAATGGAAATACAAGTGCACACAAAATGTGAAAATGAAATTTTCACAAGAAAGCTGAAAAGTCAATTAAAGGAAATATCTGATATGAGAGGATTAGTGAATATTCATACTTCTGATTGTGACAATATTCCCTAATCAATAGTTAATCAATAGTTTCTAATCTTTGATAGATATGAATAATGTCAAAGTAAACAGTTGGCTAAAGATATTTGATATAATTATTAAATGAGATCCTTAACAATGATAATACATTTTTCCGGATGAAGGAAGGATAACCTTTTATATAACATTTTACATTCAATTTAAGAGGAAAATGTTTTTAATAAAGATCAACTTTCCATAATGAATATTACTCTGAACACAATTTGAGACTTTCCTGCCTCAGCCTCCTGAGTAGCTGGGACTACAGGTGCCCGCCACCAAACCCGGCTAATTTTTTCGTATTTTTAGTAGAGACGGAGTTTCACTGTGTTAGCCAGGATAGTCTCGATCTCCTGACCTCGTGATCCGCCCACCTCTGCCTCCCAAAGTGCTGGGATTACAGGCATGAGCCACCACGCCCGGCCTGGCTTGATTCTTTAGAGACCATAAGAGACATATAGAGACTATACTCTTGAATACCTATCTGATTCACTTACTTTACGGGCAATTTTTCTGTAGAAAACAGTTGAACCCCTACAGTCTTTGGAGAGTATAATTACATTTTTGAACCAAATTGGAAAATATTTTCCTCCCAAGCTACCTTTTCCTAGTAGAAAAAAGCATAGTTTTGTTTTTGTCTTTTAATTTTTCAGCAATATTTTGACTATTATCATTACAATAGCAATAATTCTTTGCTTCTTTTTTGGTTTTAACTCAACTTGTGTTTTGTATTCTTTCCTTTGGAGAATAAGGATGGAGCCTTTTTTTTTTTTTTTTTTGAGACGGAGTTTTGCTCTTGTTGCCCAGGCTGGAGTGTAATGGCACAATCTCGGCTCCCTGCAACCTCCACCCCCCGGGCTCAAGCTATTCTCCTGCCTCAACCTCCCGAGTAGCTGGGATTACAGATGCCCACCACCACGCTCAGCTAATTTTTTGTATTTTTAGTAGAGACGGGGTTTCACCATGTTGACCAGGCTGGTCTTGAACTTCTGACCTCAGTTGATCCACCCGCCTTGGCCTCCCGAAGTTCTGGGATTACAGGCGTAAGCCACCGCACCCAGCCCAAGGATGGAGACTTCTAATTTGCACAGCATCATGTCCTTTTTAAGGGGAAAGATTATCATGAGCAAAACTCAAAAGATATTGCCATGAATAACTGAAAGCAAGTTGTGTTTTTGCGAATAAGGGGAAACAATTAGACTTTGTGTCTTCTACTCTTCTCAGGGCTTGGTCTTTATTTTTCTTCTGATTACATCAAGGTTCTGGAGGATGAGAGCTTCTAAAGTTTCGAAATTCTATTGAGCTTAACTTTAGTACTTAGAGCACGTTCTGCAGCAATTTAAATTGTGAAAAGAGCTGAAGACAGGATGAGTTTCTAATTGTAGAGATTTAGGTAGGTTTCTGAATGTCTTAAGGCCTCAATTTCAAAATCTTTCAAGAATAATACTACCATCCTGGTCTACCACACAAAGTCATTATATGCATGAAAAAACTCTGCAAGCTGTGAACACTATATCTTTACAGTATTTTAATTACTAATAAAGTTGTGGGCACTGATAAAAATAACTTCCACATAAAGGTATTTTCTAATCTTTAAGAAGAATCTATTTAACACTGATAATGAAGGAGAGAGTTTAGTCAGCATGCAGTATATAGAAGAGACTTCTTGACCAGAGTAGAGCAAGGAGAACAGATTCATTTTATGTAGACCACCTACTTTGCCATTAATCCCTATGCATTTCAAAGTATTCCTCTGTGGTTCAGTTTTGTAGAGAATGCATGGCATCTTCAGGAATAGGGGACCAAGAAGAGGCAAAAGCACAATGGGATGAGTTAGGAAAAAATGCGGAGCCCCGGGAGAAAACTTTGAGGAAAGCCCAGCCTATTAAAACCCATCAGGTAAATCTTTGCAGTATATGAAACTATTTTAGTACTACAATGGAGCGGTCAGCAAACTGTGGTCTCTCCCTTATTTTATGCATATGGTTTTTTTGGAACACAGCCCCACTCATTTGTTTCTATACAGTCTATGACTGCTTTTGTGCTGCAAGGGCAGAGTAGAGTAGTTACAACAGAAGCTGTATGATCCATAAAGTCTAAAAATATTTACATCTGGACCCTTTACAGAAAAGTTTGTTGAGCCCTGCTGTAAGATAAAAATATCTGTATGTGATGGGCTGAACATATAGGAAGCAATCTGCATCATTATTGAATGGATAAATGTTTTAACCTAAATTTTAAACATTTTTCTAAGAACCACTTTCTTCTCGTGTGTGTATGTGTGTGTGTGTGTGTGTGTGTGTGTGTGTGACAGAGAGAGAGGGCAGGAAGAGAGGAAGAGAGAGAAAGTATTTAAGATAGGTGATTGGTGGTTAGAAATGTTACACAGGCCAATGCCTCTTTATGAAAAGAGAATATAGTAAGATCAAGATTCTAATATCAATTTGAGGTTTTGGTTGGAGTGAGCCTACTCTTAGTTATAGAAAAAGTTCTATATACATACATTTACATACATACATTTACATACATACAGTAACATTTGTTCTGAAACTACTTTCACTATTATATCTCATGGTATAGAAGTAGTAGGGGAGGGAACACATAGCTACTGAAGTTTAGTAGAGCACCCTGATGTTTCCTGAATGATCAAATTGATTTTGGTCTTTTAAAATGGGATATATCTGAGAAAGAGGTGAAAATGATGAGCAACTCTCCAATCATTAAGACTCTATATGCAGGAAAAAAATGCATATGAAAGTGAGGGTCATGAGTTTAGAGGACTAGCTTTCAGAGTTGTAGGAAAGACAGGTTAATTATAATTCAAGTAAATTACCATAATAGGCATATTACAATAACACCAGCACTGTATTTCTCTGGTGGAAGAAAGGAGTAGTACAGCTTTCTTGTTACCTGCTCACAAAGACTTTGGAGAACGTTTCATTCAATATTTTTCTCCAGGTTCAAGCAATCTATTCTACCTATATATAATCTATAGGATAGCACTGATTTGAAAGAAGGACTCTATTCTCAGAGGATCTTAAGGTTGGAAAAGGAGAAATACATTTATTAATTACCTCAATAAGGCTTAGGAGTTCTACTAGCAGAAAGTTAATTTTGCTGTGAAAAAGTTTTTATTTTTTATTATTACTCTGCCTTCAATTTTTTTTACTTTGAAATAATTTCAAGCTATCCAAAAGCTGTCACAACAGTACAAATAATTATTATCTATCCATCTCCTTCACCCAGGTTCACCAACTGTGAAGTTTTCCACTTATGCTTTCATGATCTCTCTCTCTCTCTCCCCCCACCACCCCCTTATAGTTTTTTTCTCTCTAAACTGTTTGTAAGTTATAGGAATCATTCTTCATTTCTCCTAAATGTTTCACATCTCATTGTGTGTTTTTTATGAACAAAAATATTCTCTTATATAATCAGTATAATTATTCAAAATCAGGATATTTAACACTGATACTGTAGGATCATCTAAATGGCATTTTAATTCAAATAACTTCAATTATTCCAATAATATCCTTTAAGCAACTATTTTTTTATATCGAATCCAATCTAGAATAAGATTTTGCATTCAGTTGTCATATTTCTTCAGCTCCTTTAATTTGAAAAGTTCATGAGGATTGCTTTATCTTTCATGACATTAACATTTTGAAGAGTTAAGACAAGCTATTTTTGTAGAATGTCCCTCAATTTTGAATTGTCTGAAATTCCCTTCTTATTAGATTTAGGTTATGCATTTTTGGCAGGAATACTACATATATGACGTCGCGTTTTTATTAGTGCAAAGTGTCAGGAGGTACAAGGTGTTGGTTTGTCTCGTTATTGTTGATGTTGACTGATCACTTAGATACAGTGGTTTCTGCCAGGTTTCTCCATGGTATGGTTACAATTTTCCCTTTTGTAGTCAATAAGTAATTTGAAGGGGCGGCCCTTTGAAGTTATTTTAATATCCTCTTCCCTTTCAACTTTTCATTCACTGATTCTAGCATCCATTAATGATTGTTACTTGTATAAATTTTAATTAAAATTCCTGAAAAATGTTGAACTTTACTCTTTCTTCTGACATTTATTAGTTGATATTCTATATTAAGAAGGCATTGTATCTTTTTCTCTCCCTCTCTCTCTCGTCTATTATTATAGACCCATAAATTATTATTTTATTTAATAAGTTATGACCCATTAATGTTGTTGTCATCCTTATTATTATTAATAGCAAAGTGTCTCAGATTTGACCATTGGAAATTTACTCAAGTTAGCTTCTTTTTTTCCCTTTCCTCATTCTTTGAGAATTTTCTTACTTTGTGACACAAAAAGGTGTTCTAGGTTTCTAGATGTGTGGGTTGTTTTTTTTTGTGTGTGTGCTTCAGCCTCAGAATAAGGTGTTTCTTCAAGGAGCCCTGTGTAAAATGTGTTGATTATATTTCACCTATTTAGACTTATTTCTTCTAACGCTTCTCTTTCCTGTAGCCACTGTCTGTTCTTGTTAATATTTTATTCCCCTTCTCTGTAGTCAGGATTGATATTTTGTCCACCTTCATGCATAGATTGACAGTTGTTCTTTAACTCTACTTGGTTCCACTACATGATTGTGAGATTGAGGGGTTGGTCCTGGGAGAAGAGAGAGCAAAAGTATTGTGTATAATTTAAGTAACATTTTATTTGCTTGCCATGGCAGGTGCGTTTTAGTTTTCTTTTTTCATATTTGAAGTTATTGCAGGACTGAAAAAATTTTATTCACTTTAGTAATTATATAGATGATGGATAATATAGAGAAAAGAACATGGAACTAGAATTCAGAAAATCTAATTTATAACATGGACTATATGTAGACCTTTGGCAAGCCAGTGTAGTTCTTTAATCCTCAGCTTTCTCATCTTTAAAACGAGAATGGCTTTCCTTTCCCAGTGATCTCAGATAAGTACTGTTTATACAAAATTATTTTTAATCCATGAAATTCTATCTCTTTGCCTTGAATTTATTTTTTTTTTTTTGCCCCTTAAGAAATGTATTTTGTACTGGAAAATAAATTAAAATATTATTATGTCAATATATTATAATGTGATGACAGAGTAAGTACTAATATATTTGTAGGTACTGAAGCAAACTTGATGCAAAATAGAGGCATTGTTATTTTCTTCATAAATATATTTATAAAATTAAATGGAAAAATGATCATTGTCAAGTGTTTATTTGCTTTAATAGGCTTATAAAGTAATTTGTCATAAAGCTGACATTTCATTGCTTTAGATAAGAGGAAGGTTTAGTGATCGTTCAGATGCTACTTTTCACATAAAAGGGGATTATAACCGTTGACTTTATTGAATGAAAGAAGAAATCATATGACAAAGGTATTACAATATTATTTTCACCAAAGTAAGAGCCAATTTATAACATTAAGTTTAAATAATTTGAGACTTATGGCTGAGATTGAATATACAAAGGAACAAGGGCCAGACCATATATAAAAGTAGGACTCTGACTCACAACCTCTACATCAATCAGTCCAGGATTCCAGAACACAACCTCTGCAGGAACTGGCCCCAAATGGTCAGAGCTTGGTTGATAGCTGCCAGTTTCCCTAATTTTTGTCTCCACTTACAATGTGGGACCAACTAAAGGAAGACAAATTTGCCCCCCTAACCAATAATATATGATGCCCCACTTCTAGTTAGCCTGCCTCCAGCTTCTCCATGCCAACACCCTCTAATCAGGGCATAACTGAAGTTTTCTGCCTTAGTCTATTTGTGATGCTACAAAGGAATATCTGAGGCTGGGTATTTATAAAGAAAAGAGGTTTAGTTGGTTCAGGTTCTGCAGGTTGTGCAAGAAGCATAGCACTGGCATCTACACCAGGTGAGGACCTCAGGCTGCTTCCACACATGGTGGAAGGTGAAGGGGAGCTGGCTGTGCAGAGATCACATGGGGAGAGAGGAAGCAACAGAGAGGAGGGAGGTGCCAGGCTCTTTTTAGCAACCAGCTCTTACGGAACGAATAGAGTAAGAACTCACTCACTCACTCTCTCACCCAAGGGCATTAATATATTTATGAGGGTTCCACCTCCGTGACCCCAAAGCCTCCCATTAGGCCCTACCTCCAACACTGAGGATCAAATTTCAACATGAGATTTGGAGAGGACAAACATCCAAACTATAGCACCCTCCTTTTATGTTGCTATAAAGCTTGCCCACTCCCCTGCTTGCCTTTGAGGTTATGCCAAATGCAAGTGATGGTGGCTGACTCTTTTGCTCTAGCAAGCTCTGAACAAATAGCTTTTCCTGCTTCTCATTTGGGTGGCCTTCATTTATTTCTACATTACTATCTCTCTTTTATTTGACAGATATCTTGGTGACTTCCTACATGACCTACATTAAAAATGTCTACAAGAAATCTGAATTTACCATTATATTGTCAAGTTCTTTATATCCAGTCTTTTTTATTGTATTCACTAATGAAAGGTTTGCCAAGCATCTGCCCTGTTTAAAAATATAATTAAGAGTAAATATAAAAGACAATTCACATCTTCTGGTCATTTAAAATCTGTGCTATGCTTTTCTATGAAAAGAATATATTTCTCCTGAAATGGTTGTAAAGGGGTCAGGGTCCAAATATGTGAATATAATCAATGAAACATAAAGCAATATTTTTACCCTTTTCTAACCTTGAAACCTAGTCATTTCCTAAACTCATATAATGCACTTTGACTAAGTTAGTGCATTTGGAAAGATGGTTGGCCAATTAAGCAATAAAACTCCGACATAAAATCATTTCTGGGCTCAGATATTGCTTTGTGCAGTTATTTTCTTTCAGAGAGACTTTGATTTGTGTAAGCACTGGTGGTCATGGCAATTACGGATGAATCCTCTTCTTTGGCTAGTGAGATCCGGTCGCCAGAAAACAAAAGACAAACAAACCAACCTGTAGTTCACACTTTCTATGGAATCACTAAGTATTTACAATCTTTCTAGATAGAGTTGTCAACAATTAGGAAGGTATCACCAGATTCATTATTCTTGTTCACTTTTCTATGATAACCTATTACCATGATCTATCTACTCCATCCATTCAAATGCTATCATCTTTAAAGATAAAAGTAAACTCTCATTTACTTAATGAAATATTGCAGAATCCTCTTTGGGCTCAGTGACAGTTTTCTCTTTTCAAGTCTATGACACTTATAACCTATGCCAAATAGCATTCTCACAATTGGACCAAATACTTCTTGAAGCCAGGGCCAATATCTCGGTTTGTCTTTGGATCTCTCATGGATATTTTACCATATCTCCTTGCATTTGTGTTGCAATGAATGGAAATTTATTGGGTTTAATTCACTGCATTTAACTCTGGCTTATACTTTATGCCCCATAGTGCTTAGGGTGAATGCAGGGCAGATACTCACTAAAAGGTCTTTTGGCTAATCAGTAGTTAAGGCCCAACTTTCTCAGTCATAGCCTAAGGACTGAGAAAATTTGAAGGTTAAAAGGTATCACAAAGTAATGTTAATACTAATTATGTAGGTATATCTTTATGTATCTATGTAAATTCTGAGTCTCAGTTTATGGTCTTTACTCCTCACAGTCTATGATGGGACAAAGGAGAAAGAATCAAGTCAAATATCCTGAGAACATGTTTGCTGACTCTAAGATCTTGCACTACAGGCTTTTTAAATAGATTTTTATTGCATGATTAAATATTGTCTTTGTATCTGTTCCTTAAGAGGCATAATCAATAACTTACAGATTGTTAAGGATGTTTATATTTTCATTAAAGAACACTGGTAAAGGTCATGCACAGTTATATTCATTTCTTCATTCTTTACTTTTTTAAGGGAAAAGTAGTCATTTCTTTTCAATTTATACCATTATCCTTTGTTTCAGTATGGGAGATTCTTTTTAAAAAAATATTATTGGGAGCAAGGGTTGGTCATAAGGAACCACAGAACCAACATTTATTGAATGCCTGATATGTACCAGTCATTGGTAGAAATTTTCTTATCTCGCTGAATTCTTGTGAAAGTTTTGTGAGGTGGGATTTAACAACTACATTTTATAGTTGAAATCTGATACTTAGGGAAGTTAAACTACATGTAATTAGGTGTTTTCTTTCATTTACTATGCTTGGTTAGATTGCACTACATATTTTAATTAAGAAGATAATTAATTGTTATGAGTATGTTTATGTTTAAATAAATGTGTGTACATGAAGTCTTAGAAATAAATGTGTTATACAGAGTTTCCCTTTTATAAGTTTTAATGTTCAATTCAAACAAATATGTGTCCCTTCCTAAATCTCTCAAACCTAGTGAAGAAAAACATAGAAAGCTATTTACCTGCTTTTCCATGAGGACAGTAGCAATCCCTTCTTCAGTGATAACTAACTCAACTTTTAACAGCACCACACAGATCATTAGAACACACATATACACAGACACAGACGCAGACACACACACACACACACACACACACACACACACACACACTTCAAAATCAGGCTTTTAAATAAGTTTTACGGCAAATAGAACTAGAAACATGACAAGTTATAACTTCACTAACGTGGTAAGCACAATTTCTTGCCAAGTCTCTTTAGCAGGGCACTAAAAAGGATTTTAGCATTCAGTGGGGCACTACCAACAAACTCAAGAGATATATTGCTTATACATGCCAGAACAGGCAAGAAACATATTCTGGTGAAGAACTGCCTTACTTATGCAGGGTTGTGTTTTTCAAATCTAAAGAAATCCCAAACTATAAATGAGAATAAAGGAGAATAAAACAAAAATTCTTTGGGTTCTAATTAAATTCTTGAATTATTTCAGCGTTAGGTGTTGCTTTTTCAGTATCCTTTACTGTGTACATTATTTCTGTCTTATATCTGGTATCCTTATAACATCAACCAAAGGCGAGGTCTATCCATCAATTGTTTTGCTTTCCATGCAGGGAAGTACTGGAGCAGCGGAGCAAACCAAAACTGAAGGAGAAATTATAGCTCATTCCCTTTAGAAGCTGATAACCATTAGGGGAAGGCTTCCATCACTGTATAACATGAGGAACAGATTTAATGCTGTGGAAGTCCAGAGGTAGGAAGGCATAATGTGAACTAGAAAGTGGAAAGGGGGTCGATAGGAGGCTTCGGAGGTGAAATATAATGTATTGATTATAATTATAAGCTCTTCAACCAGAGAGACCCACCGATACTTGACCATTAAGTCTATCGTATATTAGTTGTGCCTCTGTGATCAAGTTCCTCAAGTTAGAGAATGCTTACTCTCCTCATATACAATGGAGATTCTAACAGTAATTATCTCATAATGTTAGGAAGATGAAATAAGATAATACATTAGAAATGCTTTATTTATGGCATATAGTAAGCTTTCAATAGGAGTTGAAATTTGTTTTGAAGTTGTCATTAGATGTACACTAGGTTTACATTAGATTTGATGGAAAGAAAAAGGCAGGCAACCATGGTTCCAAAGTAGATCAAGCCAGTGTTCATAGGAAACACCAAATGTGAAGGATGATTTAACATAATAACTTATCTTGATATAATGCTTTATAGTTTGCAAAATAATTTTATTGAGAGAATGGCATTGTGGTCATTTAAAAAATTATAAAGGAAGAACTATTATGTCCAGTTTAGAAATTGTAAAACTTAATCTCAGGGAAGCCAAATCCCATATGCACATCAAAACTGTGAATTCATATCCATGTCCAGAACTTATTCAGCTGAAAAAGTTTGCTCAATGAACAGTGTGGAGGTTGGTGTTTGGAGATAAAGGTCTGTATGCACATTATGATTTTGATTGCCAAGGATGAAGTATTTACATTTGCTTTAAAAAGTAATGTAGGGTTAAATGGAATTGGTAAGTGGAAAGGCAACATAAGGAAGATAGATGAAAACTTTCGTCATGTATACAAGAATAAACACTATGAGAAACCATGAGAAGAGGGTCCTACTTCATGAGCTTTACTGGAGGATCTCCAGAGTAGGAGCTCAGAAATGTTTGTTAAGTAAAAGGGCATTTGATGCAAGGGAAACTGATAGTGGGTATTAATATGATTTGATGTGAAGCTGATAGGAGGGTACCATTCATTAGAAACAAAGACAAACAGAATTCAACTGAAATTTTATATGACAAATAAAATGAGAAGAAGACAAAGAGGACGCAGCAGTTATTAGATGATAAATAACAACTGAATACATCTTACAGATAGTTGTGTTTCCAATTTCCAAGTAATAAAGTGATATGGTTTGGCTCTGTGTCTCCACTCAAATCTCATCTTGAATTGTAATCCCCATGTGTTGAGGGAGGTACCTGTATTCCCCACGTATTGAGGGAGGGAAGTGGTTGGGTCATGGGGCGCTTTCCCCCATGCTGTTCTCGTAATAGTGAGTGAGTTCTCAGGAGACCTGATGGTTTTACAAGCATCTGGCATTTTCCCTGTTTGCACTCACTCCCTCCTGCCACCTTGTGAAGAAGGTTCCTGCTTCCCCTCTGCCTTCTGCCATGATTTTAGGTTTACTGAGTCCTCCCCAGCCATGCGGAACTGTGAGTCAATTAAACCTATTTCCTTTATAAATTACCCAGTCTCGGGCAGTTCTTTATAGCAGTGCAAAAACAGACTAATGCATAGAGTATCTTCTTTTTACTTTGAGAGAATTAGATAATTGATTTGAGAAATGTATGCTCCAGAATGTGTTTTTCTTTGCTTCTGATTCTGTAGTGAAAGGAAATGAGTAGAGGTGAATCTTAAGCTGTTTCCCACCCCCACACACCCCTCCCCCGGGCAGCCAAAGAATATGGGAAAACTTTTAAAATTAATATAAAATATTTATACATTTTTATGGGGTCCATGTAGTATTTTGTTACATTCAAGCTGGTTATCTTTGGGTAAAGTCGGGGGAATTCTCCCTTCACAGCACCATCAACCCACTTGGTGTTCAGGAACCCATTCATCCCCCACTCTCCCTTACACTCTGCTTATAGAAACAGCTTAAATGGGTTAAGGCAGAGGGGCAATGGGCCCAGACTCAGGAGCATAGATGAAGGGCAGGAAAGTGCCGTGGCTCCTTAGCATCAAGAAAGAGGCGTGCCTGCTCAAGTAGAAATCCGGTGAGCCTAAAGGTGACTGGCTTAATTAGTGATCACTACTAATCTCCACGGGGCTCCCAGATGCTAGTACAAATGGTACTCATTTGACAGGAGGCCCAGTAGTCAGCAGCCTGTGGCTCTGGTCGTGGTTTTTCAGATTGAGTCTCCTTTGTGGGGCCCATGAAACCCTCTTGAAATCCTTCCTCTTCTCTTCCTCTCTTTCCTTCCAATCTGCTCCCACAAGGACACTTTGAAAAACTTCCCTAATCTGGGAGGAAATTCTGGCTCTCATTCATCCTGATTTTTATCATTTTAGGTCATTTATAACAGTCTGAATTAAATGTATTCTCTAGGAGTTCTCATTAAAAATTTTCTGAAAGGAAAATGCTTTCAAATGGGAAAAATGTCAGACTTATGATTATATATGGAATAGTATATGTTTCCCACAACTGTTGGAAAAATATATAATCATAGAGGCCACTGTACTTTATTATGAGAAATATAATTAACATTATCTAGTGCAGTCATTGTCCTTTTCTGTGTGTAAAGGGGTTGCTGATTTGAAAATAAAACAGATATCAAGCATTTCTCCATGCTTGCTTTATATAACACTGAGGTTTTAAATAATATATTACTTTCTTTAAAATCTATTTACATGGTAATTGCCACTGTATAATGTATGAAAGATCACTTCGCTGAGTTTAAATCTGGTCTGCAATGTGGGCTGGACATATATTTTATTATTTTTAAAAAGCTTCTTAAATTACCCTTTGTGTATTTCTAAAATACAAGTAGCTACTTTTAGAAAAATAATCATGAACTCTAGCTATTGTTAACCTGTTTTGTGATCCTTTGCTTTCTAGATTTGGTTTCCTTTCTGAAATGCCATTCTGCTTCTTTAAAAAGGTAGGCAGCAACAGGAGATTTTAATACCACCTAAGAGAATCTTATTTTTTATATCCTATTTTGAATTTTTACATGATACAGCAGACTTTTAAAAGCTCTACTTTTGGATATGTTATTATATAGGAAGAAAAATTGTTGTGCTGATGATTTTTTAACATCATTAATTATTTTCTCATTCATTACTGGGCCCTGGGTACCCACAAAAGGAGGGACCACTGATGGTTGCTCCCCAGTGCATTTATCTGTCTCCCCATGATTCCATTTATCCCCCTCACCTGTCACCTTGCTCCTTTAGTATTGAGTTTTTTTTCAATTATCTGTTACTATCACCAGTGCTAGCTATCATATGTCCTGTGATCTTTACAGAGACCTTGCAAACAGTAAGGACTAAACGAATTTTTGTTAAGTAATTCACCACTATGATTGGCAGTCAGAAAGAGAGGATCCTATATTAAGAATAAAACTGAAAAATGTATTTGTTATGGGGGGACCTAATGGTGAACTCAGCTTAGCTCATGATGATATCACGTTTTTGTGTAGGTGTTTTTAGATTGCTTCATTACACCCAAGAAGAAGCAGTCAATGGACTTCTTTTCACTTCTATCTGCACTCACATCTTAAGTGATCTTATCCAGATTCCTGGATTTAAATACCATTTATATGCAGATGATTCACAAATTTATATATATTCCCAGAGCACTCTCTGAACTTCAGTCTTATATGTTCAATAGCCCTCCTAGCATCTACATTTGAACATCTAAAAGGCACCAAAATAAAATTCATGATGTAACGGAAATGATATGAATATAAAGACCATAATCTTATATGAAAACTTAACAGATGTAGAAAATAACACTGCAATTCAATGATAATTTTCTGGTGTAGGTGGAGTGATGGGAGTTTAAAAAAATGTATTAATTAGATTGTGTTTGTCTGCAAATGGCAAAATATAAATTTACAATTGCTTAAAAATAAGAACTTTTATTAGCTTACATAAATGTAAATGCAGAAATTGGGTGGATTTGGACTTAGTACAAAAAACAAGAGTTCTAGATATGTTTCTCTACATGTTTTTTTTTAAATGTATGCCCTTCACTATATATGGGCTTATGTTTGGTTCAGCTTCCTTTATGATGACAGGATGGCTGCCAGTACCCACTGGGGTAATGTGGGTTCCATGTTCATGTTCACCAGAAGAAAGGGAGAGACAGCTTGACTTTCCATGGTTCTCTCCTAATAATGATGAAGTTTCTTTCCAGGAATGCTCAAGCAAGGTTTTTCTCATATGTAATTGGTCCGTACTATCTTAGCCCATCCTACATCTGAATTTTGTTTAGGCGTCAGCCCCTCCTATGTAACTCATGTCCCACTAGGTAAGCTAACTCCAACTCCATCTCCAGAGGTGGGTTCATATTTGTCTAACCCAGTGGGGCAACATCCATTCCTCTGCCAGTAAGTTGATTCTGAAATCCAGGCTTAAGGCAATCATCCTAGAGACTGGGGACATGGCATATTGTTGCAAAAGAAAGAACTTATGTTCAGCACTATGCAGGAAGTGAACAAACCCTGGCAGTGAACACCTAGAAGTGAATGAGAAACATATCACCTGGTTGGCAGTAGCAAGCCATTTCGTGACCCAAAGGCAAGCTAGCCAGCGGGCAGAGCTGACTCCATCAGGAATGCACTGCTGAGAAATTCATTTTTAAGTTATGTCAGAGCCAAGCACTGATCCCTCTTTTCTGGGACCTAAATATTAAACAATTTAGTGTGGGTCTTATCAAAAGGATGAATACAAAAATCTACATAAAAAATTAGGCGAAATTATTTTAAAAAAAATGCAAGTGACTGCCTCTAAAGCTTAAGCTTTAAACTTCTCAGTGAATCCATCTCCGATGGCAACGCTGCTGAAGGCCTTACCTTCCACCTCGCCAACTCTGAACTTCCAGCTAATCGAGTAAGCAAATTATATATTAGTACCTACAGGTGAAATCATCCTAACTGACGAAAAGATATGCATGTGAATAGAGTGTTCAAGGATGACTCATATCCACATTGTTTCCTTTTGTTGGAAAACAGTTGTATATTGGATCTATTATTCTTTTTTAAAATTATTTTTATTTTTGAGATGGAGTCTTGCTCTTGTCGCCCAGGCTGGAGTGCAGTGGTGCAATCTCAGCTCACTGCAACCTCTGCCTCCTGAGTTCAAGCGATTTCTCCTGCCTCAGCCTCCCAAGTAGCTGGGATTACAGGCCCGACACCATGCCCAGCTACTTTTTGTATTTTTAGTAGAGGCAGCATTTCCCCATGTTGGCTAGGCTGGTCTCGAACTCCTGACCTCAGGTGATCTGCCCACTTTGGCCTCCCAAAGTGCTGGGATTACAGGTATGGGCCACCGTGCCCAGCCAGGGACCTATTATTCTTAACTTGCTTTTTTTTTTTTAAATAGATCTTTTAAACATATTCCTCCTATTTAACTGAAATTTTGTATCCTTTGACCAGTATTTTTCCAACCTCCTCTCCCCCAGCCCCTGGTAGCTACCATGCTGCTCCCTACTTCTATGAGTTGGACTTTTTTAGATTTCATGTTGAAGTGAGAGTAGGTGGTATTTATCTTTCCGTACTTGTCTTATTTTACTTAACATAATGTTCTCCAGGTTCACCTGTGTTGTTGAAAATGACAGAATTTCCTTCTTTATTAAGGTTGAATGGTATCCCTTTGTGTATGTATACCATATTTTCTTTATCTGTTCATCTGTTGTGAACACTTAGGTTGATTCCATAACTTGGCTATTGTGTATAACACTGCAATGAATGTGAGAGTGAAGATGTCATTTGGCATACTGAATTCATTTCTTTTGGATACCCATCCAGTAGTAGGATTGCTGAACCTATTCTTTTTATTTTCAAATTTGTGATTCATCATAATTAGAGAGATTGTACTTTTGGTATTATTTTAAATTGACATAATAATTATACATGTTTATGGGGTACAGTGTGATATTTTGATACATGTATACGATGTATAATGATCAAATCAGGATATTAGCATATCTATTATGTCAAACATTTATCATTTCTTTATGTTGGGAACATTTAAAATCTTCTTTTCTAGTTATTTGAAAATATACAATAAATTATTAACTATAGTTACCCTACAGTGCTATATAGAACTTATCCCTCTTATCTAGCTGTAATTTTGTATCCCTTAACCAACCTCTCCCTACATGCCTGTAATCCCAGCACTTGGGAGGCCGAGGCGGGTGGATCACCTGAGGTCAGAAGTTTGAGACCAGCCTGAGCAACATGGAGAAACCCCATCTCTACTAAAAATACAAAATTAGCTGGGCGTGGTGGGGCATGCCTGTAATCCCAGCTACCTGGGAGGCTGAGACAGGAGAATCAATTGAACCCGGGAGGCGGAGGTTGCAGTGAGCCAAGATCGCGTCATTGCACTCCAGTCTGGGCAACAAGAGCGAAACTCCGTCTCAAAAAAAAAAAAAAGTGGGTAAGATAAAGTACACGAACAGACACTTTTCACAAGAAGACATACATGTGGTCAACAAGCATACAGTGATCATTAGAGAAATGCAAATCAAAACCACAATGAGATACCATCTCATACCAGTCAGAATGGCTATTATTAAAAAATCAAAAAATAACAGATGCTGGTGAGGTTGTGGAGAAAAAGGAACACTTTACACTGTTGGTGGGAGTGTAAATTAGTTAAACTTTTGTGGAAAGCAAAATGGCAATTCTTCAGAGAGCTAAAAACAGAACTACCATTCGACCCAGCAACCCCATTACTGCATATATACCCAGAAGAATATAAAATCATTCTACCATTAAGACAAATGCCTGCCTATGTTCATTGCAGCACTATTCACAATAGCAAAGACATGGAATCAACCTAAATGTCCATCAGTAGTAGAATGGATAAAGAAAATGTGGTATATACACACAATGGAATACTATGCAACCATAAAAAGGAATGAGATCATATCTTTTGCAGGAACATGGATGAAGCTAGAGGCCATTATCCTTGGCAAACTAACGCAGGAACAGAAAACTAAATACCACATGTTCTCGTTTGTAAGTGGGAGCTAAATGGCGAGAACTCATGAACACAAAAAGGGGAACAACAGACATTGGGGCCCACTTTAGAGTGAAGAGCAGGAGGGAGAGGAGCAGAAAAAAATAACTATTGAGTACCAGATATAGTACCTGGGTGACGAAATAATCTGTACAACAAACCCCTGTGATATAACAAACTTGCACAGGTACCCCTGAACCTAAACTAAAAGTTAAAACAAAAAAGAACAATAGTCATAACAATAACAGTGAGTGGAATAATACCAAAAAAAGTAAAAATAAAAACTACTTAACTTTGATCCTATGCTTTCCTCCAGTGGATTACATATCACTGCAATTCTATTAGTACATATTTATCCTGATCCCTAGACTTTATGTTAATTCCTTGTTCATTGTTCCCTTTCAGATTCACTCTTTGTTATAATTTCAAATTTTTACTTAGAAAAGTCAATGCATCCATATGCCAAAAGTAATGTTTAAGAAACAAAACAAAACTCCAAACACACATACATTTTAAATATGATGCCAGGAAATACCTAGGGCACTTCTATATCAATTTTCTGCCAAGAGATCTTATAATAGATTTTTGCACCCTTAGAAATCATAATTATCAATGTCCCTTTGATGACACCTTTGCAGGTTTAAAAAAATCTGTATCTCTTTTTTTTCTCTCTTTACTCCCTATTCTGTTGGTTTCACGTCTCACTTTTGTCCATTTGGCTGAAATATAGCTCTTTGGGAAAGATGAAATATATTTTTATTACGAAGGGTGCCTTAGAGTTTTAAAAATGTTTTCACACGAGGCACCATCTTTGATCCTAATGTCAATGTTATCATATAAATGAGTAAATATTTTTATATTTATCAATAAAGACATCGAATGTCCATGGAAGTTATCTAATCTACCCAAAAACATGCACTTAATAATATGTACTGAGATTCAAACCCGCAGAAGCAAGAGATTTTGTCTGTTTGTGAATGAAAGTAATGTTTTACCAATGCCTAGAATAGTACCCGGTACATAGTAGCTGTTCAATAAATATTTGCTGAACGGAGTTGAATGGAGTAAGAGGTAATATAGGTTACAGTAGAAAATCCATAGGGAAGTATTGAATTCAATGAGATCTGGACATAATTGTTGGTAGTGTCATGGACTTGTTCTGTAACTTAAGTTATTTAATCTTTTTGATTATCATGTTCCTCAGTTACTTGCTATAGTAACCACATACCGCTATATGGATTAACTTTGATCACATATGTAAAATTTTTGCCAAGCAGGGACACCAAATAGATGTGCTATTTAATTTCTTTAAATTTGTTTTTATTTATTTTTGAGACAGGCTCTCACTCTGTTGTCCAGGCTGGAGTGCAGTGGTGCAATCATGGCTCACTGCAGCCTTGACCTCCTTGAGCCCAAGCGTTCCTCCCACCGCAGCCTCCTGAGTCACTGTGACTACAGGCACACACGACCATGCCAGGCTAATTTTTGTATTTTTTTGTGGAGACAGGGTTTCACGATGTTGCCCAGGCTAGTCTCAAACTCCTAACCCTTAGAAATCATAATTATCAATGAGTATGATATTGCTCAAGCTATCCACCTGCCTTGGCCTCCCAAAGTGCTGGAATTACAGACGTGAACCGCTGCTCTAGGCTGACTAGAAGCTAGGTTTAATATATGGTTATTAATGAATGGTTATTTCCATTGCATACAAAATCTTTTTTTTTTTCATTTATTAGAAGCTCACATTGAGGAAGAAAAAGCTCAAGTAGACATGTAATAGAATGGTGCTCATTATTGTTTGTAAAATTAAAAAAAATTTAACAAATCATAAAATAAAATTATGAAATTAATTAGAACTAAAGATATGATAATTTGCCTCAGGGGCAGGATGATGATAATGTGAACCTTATCTGTATCTATAATGTAACCTCGACATAGGTGATATTAAATCTGAACAGCAGCAATGATAATTTTTAAAGATTGTGCCAATCATCATGAGCTAAAATGAAATATACAACTCACTACTTCCAGAGTTAGCTTGTTCATAATGTTCCATCTTTATTTTTATTTTTTGAAGTTGGAGCTTTTATTTCTGAATTAATTCCTAAATTTGCTTCCTGGGTTGATATCCGGCACTCAGTAGATAAAGAAGAGGCGTGATGGGATGGTCTGTAAGAAAGCTGAAAGTATAGCTTTTTATAGATGAGTAATTTGAGGCAGAAAGAAGCAAAATGACTTACTTGCCTGAGATAAAACAATGACTCAGGTTCCTAGCAGGAATAGAACATGAGCTCTGGATTTAAGGCTGCTCAATTTTACTCCAAGAAATTATTCTTCTCCCTGTACTTTCTTTAGTAATGTGCAATATACATTGACACTTGAGTGAGAGAATTTATTTTTTGATTTTGTTCATCTTGTGTATGCATTTCACTGCCTAATTATCATGTAAAGATTGCTCTTCAAGATTCTACTAACCTTCACTTCTGTCTATAAGCTGCTAATTTCTTAAGTTTGCTTTGACATATAAGAAGCTTTTGCCACATTTTTGTTGCAATAATCATTTTTGTCAGCTTTATGATCCTATATATAAACGAACATAAATATAAGCCATAAATGCATAAATGAGAGCTTTACATCCCCCTTCATTTTGTCATTTATTGCTATTTTTAAAAATAATTTTATGTAAGTTCTAGGCATATTTGTGGTGTTACTGATCTTCTTTTCCATTTTCTTTCCCATTCACTTACACAACAACAATTATAGGTTTGGGGGACACAAAATGGTTGTTAAATAATTACATCCAGTCATTTATAAAATATTTCAAAACCTACATTTTGAAGGGCATAAATATACATTATCGTGACTCATCAGAAACAGTAGTGTTACATTAAGAGAAGTGCAAATAGAAAACACAATTTCTAAAATTATCACAACCAGAATAACTGCGTTTCTAAAAATGTGTTTTAAAAAAATTATCCAGGCAATTTTTATTTTGTTGATGAAAGGCAAAATACATACTTTAGACCAAAAACCTACAAAATCTCAAGTATGGGGAATGACAAAGCTGTAGCTCCATAATTGCTGTTTCACAATTTTCATGTGATGATCAAATTATGTCAAGTTCAAAATGATCCAATCAACAGAGTACATTGTACAGAGTACATGTACTCTGATACATGTACATGTAGCCTCAAAATAAATAATTGTAGTTTTCCCCTTTTCCATTTTTTGCACTTCTTCAGAAATGCTGTAAAGAAATTCACTTTTTCTGATTATAAAAGTAATATATAATTGGATTGCTTGTAGCACAAAGGATAAATGCTTGAGGTGATGAATACCCCATTTACTCTGATGTGACTATTACACATTGCATTCCTGTATCAAAATATCTCATGTACCCCATAAATATATACATCTATTAGGTACCCACAAAAATCAAAATTAAAACTTTAACTTTTTTAAAAAAGTAATTTATGCTTACTGTATAAACTTTGAGAAATCTACAGGAGTTTAAGAAACTACTGAAATTCATGTACTCATACCAACTGGTGATAAAAACTTGAAAATAAACTTGATAAAAACTTTGGGTGCCTTTTCAAACTTTTATGCATGTATAAGTATTTTCATATTTTGCAATATTAATATTTTGTTCAGCTCTAATACATATCATGTAAAATTTTAAAGGATAAAGCATTATATTAATATCAAACTTCACAACAGAAATGCTAGGTGGAAGGAGACAATAAAAACTACAAGAAAGAATATGGGCCAAAGATTTCACATTCATTAAAATATTGCATAAACAAGAAAGTGTAAAAATATTATCAGGATTAAAATGCCTCATAACACTTTTCAGGCACACTATTTCAAAGCACTCGTGGAGGAAATATTTCAATAAGAAAAGAAATGATCAATATGATTATAAATGACCAAATTAGTACGAATTATTGTTGTCTACAATACAATGATTTGAAAAACTATATCCCAATCAATCTGGAACCAAAACTTTAACACAGCAGTTCTCAAACATTTTGGTCACAAGATCAATTTATTCTTAAAAATTGTTGAGAATGCCAAAGAACTTTTAAGTGGATTATGTCCATCAATATTTACCATATTGTGAATTATAAATTCAAACATAAATTTTAAAATATGTATTTATTAAAAGTTATAATATTAAACCCATTTTAGGTTACATAAAGATGTGTCTTATGAATAAATATCCAAAGCAGAAAAATTTAAGGATTGGCACTGTTTCAGGGTTTTGCAAATATTTTAATTGTAGGAAACAGCTAGATTCTAATACCAGCCTGTTGTGATATATGTCATGCAGCCTCCGGAAAAAATACACTATATACTCACGAACGAAGCAGAATGAAAAAGGCAGATAAATACTTAGTATCATTGTGAAAACAATTTGGACCTGGCATATACTTTGAAAGTGTCTTGGGCACCCCCAAAGGGCTGCAGACCACAGTTTGAAAACTGCTGCTCTGAATGATGTTAACGATTTGAGAAAAGGTGCTTAGGTAGTAAAAGAGTACAGAGAGTGGAGGAGAGAGCCCTTTGGGGGTGCCTTCCATTGGGAAACTTTCCAAATGGACTGGAAAAAAATAAACATCAATATCAATATTGGCAATTTAATGTAATCATCTGATGAACAAAAATATAATAGATAACCTTTGATCCAGAGAATATAAAATTTGATGTGTCCATTGAAAAGTAAAAAAGGAGAATGCTATATATTACAAAATAATTTTCAAATTAAAACATGAAATAAAGTGCAGACACGAGGCCTAATATAACAGTACAAAAAATAGAAATAAAAATATTTTAAATTTATGTATAGAGATAAACTGTCAGATTGGATTAAAAAGCAAGCAAATAAGCACATAAGATAAAGATCCAGCTATTTATTTAAATAAAATGGAAGGGAAAAGCTGTATCAGATAAAGATGAAGAGATTCAAGCTGAGTGGGGGGTAATTTTAATCTCAGACAAAATAGATTTTAAATTGGCGCACATTGAATGTTGGTAAGCAGAAAAATAATTGAAAAAGATGTAACAGTCTTGAACATCTTTACATTAACAACAGCTTCAAAATTTATAGAGCTACAATAGACACAACCAAGCAAAGAAATGCAGAAATCAACAATTGTAATTACAGATTTTATTATACTCTTTTTATTAGATACTGATAGATTAAGCAAGCAATAAAAGGCTAACTGAATAATAGTATTATTAAGTTTGAACTTTAATATTATAAATACAGAAAATGTTTTATTTATATAGATTCAGGGAGTACATGTGCAGGTTGGTCACATGTATATATTACATGATGGTGAACACTGTGAATTTTAAGTCATTATAACTAGGTTCAGACACATCTTTATTAATCAAAATAGGAACCATTACAATCAATATATTTTTGTCAATGAGAAATGTTTACTCCTGTAGCATAAAAATCCATGCTTTGGGATTCCACAAACTCTTGGAAAGCATTTTCTGCATCCTGCTGGTTGTGGAAGCATTTTCCCTGCAAAAAGTTGCTGAGATGCTTAAAGAAGTGGTAGTCGGTTGGTGAGAGGTCGGGTGAATATGATAGATGAGATAAAACTTCATAGCACAATTCGTTCAACTTTTGAAGTATTGGTTATGCGACATACGGTCAGGTGCTGTTGTGGAGAAGAATTGGGCCTTATCTCTCAACCAATGCCAGCTGCAGCCATTGCAGTTTTCAGTGCACCTCATCGATTTGCTGAGCATACTTCTCAGATGAAATAGTTTCTCTGGGATTCAGAAAGCTGTAGTGGATCAGACTGGCAAGAGACCATCCAACAGTGACCATGACCTTTTTTTGGTGCATGTTTGGCTTTGGGAAGTACTTTGGAGCTTTTTCTCGGTCCAATCACTGAGCTGGTCGTCACCAGTTGTCATATAAAATCCACTTTTTCGTCACACAATCTGATTGAGAAACGGTTCATCGTTGTTGCGTAGCATCAGAGAAGACAACACTTCAAAATGATGATTTTTAAAATTTGTGCTCAGCTCATGAGGCACCCACTTATCGAGCTTTTTCACTTTTCCAATTTGCTTCAAATGTTGAATGACTGGGGCAGACGTTGAGTTCATTGGCAACTTCTCGTGTAGTTGTAAGAGGATCAGCTTTGATGATTCCTCTCAATTGGTCGTTGTCAACTTCTGATGGCCAGCTACTAGGCTCCTCATTTTCAAGGCTCTCGTCTCCTTTGCAAAACTTCTTGAACCACCACTGCACTTTATGTTCCTTAGCAGTTCCTGGGCCAAATATGTTGATGTTGCAAGTTGTCTGTGCTGCTTTAAAACCCATTTTGAACTCGAATAAGAAAATCACTCGAATTTACTTTTTGCCTAACATCACTTCCATAGTCAACAATAAACATAAAATAAAAAGTAAGTAAGAAGTCATTAGCAAAAAAAAAAAAAAGAGTGAGAAATGCCCATTAAAATGATGTATAACATAACCACATTTAAGAATGTATTCCAATATCAAACAGGAAATTCCAACAATGCAAAAACCACAATTATGTTTGCACCAACCAAAATTATCTATTGAACATTGTAATCAATAGGTGATTTTTCAACCCTCTCCCTCCTTCCACTCTCCCCTCTTCGGGAGTCCCCAGTGTCTATTATCTCCATCTATATGTTCATGTGTACCTATTATATAGTTCCCTTTTATAAGTGAGACCATGTGGTATTGATTTTCCATTTTTGAGTTATTTCACTTAGGATAATGGCCTCCAGCACCATCCATGTTGCTGTAAGAGACATGATTTCATTATTTTTACAGTTCCATAGTATTCCATCGTGTATATATACCATATTTTCACTATCCAATTATCCATTGATGGACACAGGTTGATTCCATATTTTTGCTATTGTGAATAGTGCTGCAGTAAACACACAAGTGCTGGTGTCTTTTGATATAATGATTTCTTTTCCTTTGGGTAAATACTCAGTAGCGGGATTACTGGATCAAATAGTAGTTCTACTTTTAGTTCTTCAAGAAATCTCCATACTGTTTTCCATAGAAGCTGTACTAACTAACATGCCCACCAACAATACATAAATGTTCTCTTTTCTCCACATCCTTGCCAACATCTGCTATATTTTGAGTTTTTGGTAATAGCCATTCTGACTGGTGTGAGATGGTATCTCATTAATTTCAACAAACAGAATATA
This sequence comes from Homo sapiens, assembly GCF_000001405.40. Taxonomy (NCBI): domain Eukaryota; kingdom Metazoa; phylum Chordata; class Mammalia; order Primates; family Hominidae; genus Homo; species Homo sapiens. Next base: position 28,423,341 of record NC_000023.11, on the reverse strand, counting down.
TATTCTTTTCAAGCACACATGAATCGTTTACAAAATTCAAAATTCACCATGTGCTAGGTGTCAAAGAAAGCTTTGTTTAATCTCTAAGAATCAATATAGTCAGAGACAATATTTTCTGACTGTAATATGCAGTAACAAAAAATATGATATTATTATAACTTAAAGCAGCCTACACATTTATAATATTACAGAAAAACCACTACATAACTCAGTTAGTAAAGAAAAACCATACGATAAATTATAAAATACTTGTAGCTGAATGACAATGATGACAATAAAAGCACATGTGAAAGTATGTGGAATTCAGTCTGTAGAGGAAGTTTTGTATATTTAAAGATATTTATTAGAAAACGAAAGGATTTTAATGGATGCGCTAAGCATTCAACTCAAGAAGCTAGAAAAGGAATTAAACAGGAACATTAAACAAAAATCATAAAAATAAAGACATAAATGAATGAATTTCAGAAGCAACAACCAGTGAAACTGATTTAAAAAAACCGAAAAAGCTGGCCCTCTGAAAAGACTAATGAGAAAAACAAGTCTCAAGTCAGATTGATAAAAATAAATATATAAATAACCAAATACAGAAGAAAAAATGAAAAATAACTACAGCTATAATAGGCATTAAAATAATAAAAAGTTATAAACAACCATATGCAAATACATTTAATAATTTGAAGAAATGTGGAACATATGAGTCCTGAAAGAAATCAAATATTTATCTACATTTCCCTTCACGTTCACATATAACCACTCTTCCCAAAAGCCTCAGATCCAGATGACTTTATATGTGAGTTTCTGCAAACTTTCAAGGAATAAATAATCTTAACACAAAATACAAAGAAAGAATGCCCCCCAATATAGCGAAAAAGCATAGTATAAGAAAATTATTGATTAATTTCAATTATGGGCACATTTTTTAAATTCCTGAACAAAATGTTGGCAACTGAATCTAACAGTGGTTAAAAAAAGAACATATCTCATAATTAAGTCGGGATTGTACCTACACTAAAAGATCATTTAACATCAGAAAAACTCTCAAAAAAATTAAACACCTTGTGAACTAAAGGTGAAAAAGGTCATACAATTTTAAGTATATGCAGGCAAAGAATTTGAGAGATCCAAGATATATTTACTAAAAAAAGAAACGATAATTCAAAGGGTAGTTCTTAACTAGATAGTAGTTAATGGACAATTACCCACCAAATCAACAGCTAATATCACACTCAAAGAACCAAGGTAAGATGCATCCTCCCTATGGTGGTTAAAGTTCATTATAATCTAGAGCTTCTGGCCAACTAAATATGTCAAAAAATATTTGAAGGAAAAAAATAATGTTCTCACCTTTCTCAAATGATGTGAATAAAACAATTCCTGTAAAGCAGAAACATCCAATTAAAAATTTAATAAAACCTAGGATATATTAGCAACATGACCCAAAATGTAGCTAACGATTAATCTAACCAAGGATTCACAATACACGTATAGAAAAAACTGTAGATGTCTCCTAAATAGGGCATAAAAGCAGCTATGAATAAATGGAAAGATATGCTATATTAATGAATGACAAAACAAAATAATAAAAGCTGGATTACTACTTAAATTTCATGAAATGCCACTGAAAACTCAAGTTGAAATTTTGGGGGAATGTGACAAACTAATTCTAAGTTTTTATGAAAGCATGAAGGTTCATGATAAACCAAAATAATTTTGAAAAAAGAATAGTAAAAAGATGAGAATTGCCTATTCAGAAATTAAGTCATGCTAGGATTTGGATGTAGTTTGGTTGGCCCCATCAAATCTGACGATATTTGATCACCAGTGTTGGAAGTGGGGCTTGGTGGGAGATGTTGGATGGGTGGGGCACAGATCCCTCATAAATGGTTTGGTGCCATTCTCATGGGAGCGAGTGAGTTCTTACTCTATTAGTTCCCTGAGAGAACTGATTGTTAGAAAGAGCCTAGCACCGCCTCCACCCTCTCTCTTGCTTCCTGTCTCACCATGTGTTCTCTGCACACTGCTACCCTTCACCTTCCACCATGAGTGGAAGCATTCTGAGGCCCTCCCCAGAAGCAGATGCTGGCGTCATGCTTGTTGCACAACCTACAGAACTATGAGCCAAATAAACCTCTTTTTAAATAAATTACCTAGCCCCAGGTACTCCTTTATAGCAACACAAAGTCATATTAAGCTATTGAGTCATAAACTATATTAATAAAAACTAACATAGGATTACTGGATTACTGGAAGAAACTCTACTTGGTCACAGTATACAGGGTTTTTTTTTACACATTGATTTGTTCTACAGATTACTATTTCCATCACAATTTTAGCATTTACTTTCTATATTTGTTGTACATTTTTAAAAGATTCTGTTAGCACAGTTATGCAGCCTTAATAAATGGAATTTGAGAATTTTTCTAAGAATTGAAACTTCTTTAAAAACATTGAAATGATCTAGTCTTCAGAACTTTAGAACTCATTTGTAAAATAAACTTGTTCTGAGGTTCTTTTTAATGGCAGATTTTAACTAATATTTCTAATTATGTTACTAGTAATAGGCCTATTTTAGTTTTTGACATGTTTAGTTAGGAATCATGTAATTCCTCTAGATTTTCAAATGTGGTGCCATAGAATTACATGTGTTATAAAATTAGAAGTATTTTAATCCTTTACCTACATTAAGTTGTGTCACTATTCTTATTCTTAATTTTACATACAATGATTTTCTATTTTTTTCTTGTTCCAACTTGTAAGCCTTAAAAAATCTTTTTAAAGATTCTGTTTACTTTAGTTTGTGTTGGTGTTTTAATCTAATGCATTTAGGTACTTAACTATATTTTATCTATACAAACTTTCTTTTTCTAGGGTTGTTTCCTTTGTGTTTTTAATTTCTTTCCATGACGGTTATATTATTTACTTTTCTTCCTTTTTCAATAATAATGAAAACATATAAGATACGTATTTTTTTCTGAGTGTAACTTTTGATGACTCCCATTTATTTTTGCATGGAATATTTTCCTGCTGTCTGCTTTTTAGGTAGATAGATTTTTAATTTCCGTTTTTTCTTTCCTTTTTAAAATATTCCAAGTATATATTCTGGTCATCTTTTGATTTATTTTAACTTTATTGGATCATAAACTGTGAGTATTTATACTATAAGGCTTTCTGTGGAAGTCTTATAGATTTTGAATAATGTTTACTTATTCATTAATTCATTCAACAAATAATATGAAGCAATGAGCCTTATAATAAGACTCAGTTGGGGTAGAAATAGGGAGGGGAGACCTAGTTGGATGCAGAGGGGATTTCACTTAGATGGATTAGTACAGTCATGCATCTCTTAACAATGAGAATATGTTCTGAGAAATGCATCATTAGGTTATTCTGTCATTGTACAAACATCATAGAATGTACTTGCACAAACCTAGAGAGTACAGCCTACCACACGCTGAGGCCATATGGTATAACCTATTACTCTTGGGCTACAAACCTGTATAGGATGTGACTTTACTGAATACTGTAGGCAATTGTAACACAATTGTAAGTGTGTATCGAAACATATGTTTAGAAAACATAGAAAAGGTAAAGGAAAACATGATTTTATAATTGTATATTACCACTGTTGCATATGTGGCCCATCATTGACCAAAATATTATTAATGAGGCACATGACTGCATGCAACAAAGTGAAAAGTGTGAAAGAATACCTCATGTTCAGGACCTGGAAGTAGAGAGGAATTTTTGGAGCATAAAGTGAGAAAGAGGAAAAGTTAGGCAAGATGAGGCTACCTAGAAAACAATTACTTTTTGAAACGATCTCTCTTCCAATTCCCATGTCTTAGAGCTTCACACGCTTTGTTTTCGGATCCTAGAAGGCATACTAAGGTACTTGGAGTAGAGGTATTCAAGTCCTCCTTTTTAGCATAGGAAGCTGTATTACTTTCCTAGGGTTGCCATAATAAAGTACCACAAATGGTGTGGCTTGGAACAGCAGCAATTTATCATCTCATTGTTCTGGAGGCTAGAAGTCTGAAATCAAGGTGCCAAAAGGGCCATTCTGCCCCTGAAACCAGTAGGGGATGATACCTCCTTGCCTCTCCCTAGCTTCCAGTGGTTTGCTGGCAATCCTTGGCATTCCTTCCTTTGCAGGTGAGTAACTCCAATCTCTGCCTTTGTTGTCACATACAATTCTCCGTATATGTCTATGTCTTCACATGGCTGTTTGTTTTTAAGAACACCAATTATATTGGATTAGGAGCCACCCTACTCCAGTATAACCTTATCTTCACTGATTACATCTGCAATAACCCTATTTCCAAATAAGATTAGTTCTGAAGTACCAGGTATTAAATAATTAAACATCTCTTTCTGTAGGGGGACACAATTCAGCCCCGAACAAAGGCACGATTCTATTTTTAGCCTTTGCAAAGAAATACACTGATCTTCTAAACATTATTGGGCAATTAACTCAATTTTGACAGAAATCTGTAACGACATCTAGCCCACTGTGCATCTACAAGTCCATCAACCCAGCCTTTATTTTTGTCACATTTCTTTAGAAGTCCTATCCTTGGCTCATGAGAAAAATTAGCTCTGCTCTTATTTGTTAGGTATATACCACTCTCATGCTTGGATTTTGATAATTCAGAGTTAAAAATAAAACAAAAAGTAAGGCTGTACGTGGTGGCTCATGCCTGTAATCCCAGCACTTTGGGAGGCTGAGGCGGGCGGATCACCTGAGGTCGGGAGTTTGAGACCAGCCTGACCAACATGGAGAAACCCCATCTCTACTGAAAATACAAAATTAGCCGGGCATGGTGGTGCATGCCTGTAATCCCAGCTACTCGGGAGGCTGAGGCAGGAGAATCGCTTGAACCGGGAGGTGAAGGTTGCGGTGAGCCGAGATGGCGCCATTGCACTCCAGCCTGGGCGACAAGAACAAAACTCCGTCTCAAAAAAAAAAAAAAAAAAAAAGTAACATCTGTTGAGCTCGGCATCCCATCTAGTGCTTCATCATCCACTGTAGCAGTTGTTTCTGACCTTTTTGATTGTGCAGATTTTGTTCTTATTATCAAAGTTGTTCATTGCTCCCTACTTTATATAGGGGTGGTGTTAGGATTCAATTGTTGAAGAAATCATTCAAGGCCATCCAGGATTACACAGTCTAAATGTTGGAAACAACTAGCATAACCTTCAAAATGCTCCAAATAGCTTTATCCCCCTAAAAATTGGTCTCCTCAGCAGGAGATGTGTATTCAAGTGGCTAAAATTCAATGTCACCAAGATTCCTACTGAAATAACTCTTCTCTAGACACTTGCAGATTGTTATATTTATTCCCTTCCCTTCCCCCAATATTTTTCCCCTATATTTTTGCTTCCTCCTTCCCGGGCCTACATTTATTCCTACTACATATCTGGTAACTGACTTCTCCAATCAGGTCACAGAAGTGGTGCTTTTAAGCCTCTCCAATAGATAACAGCATGGCCTAGAATGTTCCATTCTGCTTTCTTTTCTGGATCCAAACCCAGTCATGGAGCCAGGCACAAGTGGATCTTCCCTCATGCTCTCCATACAGTGCATGTGTTAGGAACTGAATTTGTCCCGTCATAGCTCATACGGTGAAATTCTAATCCCCAAAGTGATGGTGTTTAGAGGTGAGGGGCCTTTGGTAGGTGATTAGGTAATGATGGTGGAGCCCTCATGAAGGGGATTACTGCCCTTACAAAAGAGGCCCTAAAGAGCTGCCTCGCCCCTTCTGCCATGTGAGGATGCAGTGAGAAGATTGTTGTCTATAAGCCAGAAAGTGGGCCCTCACCAGACACTGAATCTGCTAGTACCTTGCTCTTGGACTTTGCAGCCACAGAACCCTGAGAAATAAATTTCTGTTGTTTATGAGCCACCCAGTTTATGGGTTATAGCATCCTGAATGGACTGATGCAGCATGGACATTTCTCCATTCTGATATCACAATTTTTTATTGGTTTCCGGGATTTTGAAATTAGCTAATCTGAGCAATGTACCTTTGTGAAAGTAGTAAGTCATGTCTGTGATTCCAAGGGGTAATATGTGGATGTCACCAAGTTCTTCTGGAGATGGTGCTCAATTAAATGACTAGCAATTGGTGCTTCAGATGAGGCAAAATGAGAGATATTTTCGGAGGCACAATGTGTCTTTTGGCATCTTTCCATCTTATCTACTCACATGTAAGGCCTGCTTGGACCAAAATTGTGATATTTACATATTGACGTTCAAGTTGTAATTGACATTACTGAATAGTAGGTGAGAGAAGTGGTGGGTAAGAAACTTGATACTTAACTTATATTTAGAATCCGGTGAATAATATATTTCTCAGCAAATATTTATATATCTGATTTTAAAGTTTAATTATTATTATTATTTATTGAGATGGAGTTTTGCTCTTGTTGCCCAGGCTGGAGTGCAGTGGCGCAATCTTGGCTCACTGCAACCTCAGCTCACTGCAACCTCCGCCTCCCGGCTTCAAGTGATTCTCCTGCCTCAGCCTCCTGAGTAGCTGGGATTACAGGCACGTACCATCATGCCCAGCTAATTATTATTATTTTTTTTTTTTGTATTTTTAGTAGAGACGGGGTTTCATCATGTTGGCCTGGCTGGTCTCGAACTCCTGACCTCAGGTGATCACCCACCTCGGCCTCCCAAAGTGCAGGGATTACAGGCGTGAGCCACCACACCCGGCCATTATTTTTTAAAAGAACATTTTTTTCTTCTCAAAACTGTGGGGTTTTTTTTCTTTTCTTTTTTTTTTTTTTTTTGAGACGGAGTCTCAACTCACTCTGTTGCCCAGGCTAGAGTGCAGTGGTGCGATCTCAGCTCACTGCCAGCTCTGCTTCCCAGGTTCACGCCATACTCCTGCCTCAGCCTCCCGAGTAGCTGGGACTACAGGCGCCTGCCGCGACGCCTGGCTAACGTTTTTTGTATTTTTTTTTTCTAGTAGAGACGGGGTTTCACCGTGTTAGCCAGGATGGTCTTGATCTCCTGACCTCATGAACCGCCCACCTTGGCCTCCCGAAGTGCTGGGATTACAGGCGTGAGCCACCGCGCACGGCCAAAACTGTGTTTTAAAAAGTAACCAACTTAAAGTTACTCTAATATGTAAGTTGTTCCAAAATGACATATAGTTGTGACTGTTAGACAGTTAATACCCAAATCTCTGTGAACCAGTCTCTTCCTAGTTGGCACCTATATAGTACAACTCAGTCTGGTGATTGCAGGTACTACTAAAAGTTAAAAGACAGCTTTGATATAAGACAACCACTTAAAATTTGTTCAAAGATGGGTTATTCATCTTTTAAGGCTCATTAGTAATACAAAACTAATGGTGAGGTAGGTCAGCTTTCTTTTTAGTGAGTTGACAAGTTCTTGAAGTGAAATTAAATCTGCCATGCGATTCAAACTCTTTTTGTGCTTTCCTCTTGGATGAAATCACTGGAGCACTGGGAAACCAAGAAAACAATACAGGAACAGAAAATCCATGCATTCATTTACTTTTGCTTAGGGTTTTCTCAGGCAGCTATTGTGACTCAAATAAATAAGCATCTGAGACTACTCCTCCATTCAACATTTTTACACAAAGAGAGAACTGAGGAGAGCAGAGATTCCTTAGTCCCAAAGCTGAGGTGTGGTGACAATTTATAAGCCCAGTTTTTGAAGTATTAGCATTACAACAAAGAAATTTTTATTCTGTTTCATTTCACTTTTTCAAATTCAATAAAAATATAGAATGATGTTTTGGAATGTACCACATGGGGTTTTTAGAAGACAATAAAGGGGCATTTGTCCTTGAAATTCCCATGATTTTTTAGAATCCACTCAACCTAAGTGGTAGAATATGATGAAGAATCTGATGTCTCTTGAAAACTCATTTAATAAAATGTGAAGCCCCTTCAGCATGACTGATTCTCTATTCATTCGAGAGCTTTTGAACTTGCTTTACACTGCTCATATCCTTTCTTGGGCAGACAAAATTTGGTTTTTGAGGATGAAGTTGTAGTAATCAAGATAAATTTATATTATTTTAAAAAATGCATTCTAAAGAAATCTGAAGATTGTATTTGTCTTTAAATTGTAAACATAAGCTGTAGGGTCTTCTCTTCCAATTAAATCATCGTCCATTGGTTGAACATATAGTTTTTTTTTTTTGTTTCGTTTTTGTTTTTTGAGACCGAGTCTTGCTCTGTCGCCCAGGCTGGAGTGCAGTGGCGCGATCTCGGCTCACTGCAAGCTCTGCCTCCCGGGTTCTGGCCATTCTCCTGCCTCAGCCTCCCGAGTAGCTTGGACTACAGGTGCCCACCACCACACCCGGCTAATTTTTTGTATTTTTAGTAGAGACGGGGTTTCACTGTGTTAGCCAGGATGGTCTCGATCTCCTGACCTCGTGATCCGCCCGCCTTGTCCTCCCAAAATGCTGGGATTACAGGCGTGAGCCACCATGCTCTGCCGGTTGAACATGTAGTTAATTTGCATCCAAAAATGAATTGATCTTAAACTTTTAGATGAAAATACTACCTTATAATACTTCATTTTGACTAATAGAATTTGAATTTATTTCAGTATAATATCTTTTAGAAAAAAATGTACAATTGATTTTTATCATGATTGTGGTAATTGTATGGCAAGTTTTTAAAAACCTGATGTTTTTTCTATGGAAGTAATATGTCATCTTCCACTTTTGAGTTATCCAAAGTCTTGTCTTCGAAAGAGGCACAGAGTCAGGTTTAAACCCAATAAAATAGTTCTTTATTTTTAGAATGTCTATACTCACTGATATCTACTGATTTCATTCTCACATATTCCTCTCTTTAAAAACATGAATAAAACCTATGCTCAATTTATACTCATCGCCATTGATTTAACAAATATTTACTGAGCACCTACTCTGTGCCTGGTTCTGTTCTATATCTGTGTAATCTGCACTGAACAAGACAAATAAAATCCCTGCTTTCATAGAACTTAAATTCTAGTAGGGCTTCGGTTGTAGTGATGGGTGTAGTTTGAGAAGGCAGAAAATAAAAATTAATTAAAATAGAAATTAATTAAAAAATAATCAAGAAAAGGGAGATTAGGGGAGATTAAGTGTTTTTGAAGACAAAAATCAAGGTGATAGACTAGCTACCTTGCTTTATATAAGATAATCAGAGAATTATAGTAACAGTTAACATTTATTGGACACTTATGCATCAAATACTTCTCTGTTTCCCATATATATTGATTAGGCTATTTCAACAACTTAGGATGTTGGCATTATTGTCATCTTAATTTTACATATGCAGATACTCAGTCCAGATTGTTTACCTAGCTCTTTTAAGATCACACTATTAGGAAATGATGGAGATGAGATTTTAACCTATATAGTTTGACACACAGACAGTGTTCTTAACAACTGTGATATTTTTGAGGAAATTATACTCGGCCCCATAGCGGAAAGATGAAGCACAAGGTATGGAAAAGGGCCAACTAGGTACAGAGGGACCAGTGAGTGCAAAGGCCTTAAGGCAAGAGAAATCATGATGTGTTTGCAAAACAGAAAATAGTAAGGTTGGAGGATAGTGAGTAATTGAAAATGTCATATGAAAATTGCTTTAGGAAGCACCCTGGGATAGATCGCATAGGGCCTTTAAAAATCATAGTAAGGAGTTTGTATTTTAAGAGCAGTGCAAAGCAATTAGAGGACATTAAAACAAAGGAGAAACTTGGTATGGTTTACATTAACAAAAGTCTGCTTATGGTATGCAGAATGGAGAAGAATGGGATATAAAAGCAAGGAGACCAGTGGAAAGGCTATTGCAGCAGACAAGGAATACAATCAAAGCAACTTGAATTAGGAAAGAGATAGTGGAAATGAAGAAAAAGGGATACATTCAAGATATATTTTTGATAGGATGTCAGTAATACTTGATAGATTAGCTGTGCAGAATTGAGGAAAGGTAATACATCAAATTCCATTTTGAATATGTTCCTTTTAAGATGCTTTGACATCTAAATGGCAATATCAAATAGGCAAACAGGGAAAGATCCTGGCTGGTGATATCTATTTGGAATCAACAGCATATAATTGGTACTTAGAACTATGGGCCTGCATATTTTCTGGGGCAGTGTTCCTCAATCCTGACTGCACTTTGGAATCGTCTAAAAAGCTTCTTAAACGTATAGATGTCATGCCCTGTTCCAGGTCAATTAAATTTAAAATGTTGAGAGGATATTCTCTGTATTTACATATTTAAAGAACCCTCTAAGTGATTTGAGACAGCGTCTGGGCTTGAGAACCACTGGTCTAGGAAGAGAGCATAGGAAGGACTGTGCCCTGGATCTTTCCATCATGTGGAAGTGGAGAAGAGGTGAAACCAGCAAAGGAGGCCGAGGAGTCAATGATGAGATAAATCTGGGAATGTGGAATCGAGAGAAGGAAATGTTTCGTGAAGACTAGACATATTTCAAGAAGGTCAATAGACTTAAGGGATACAAAGAAGTTGAGTAAGATGAGAATGTTTGGATAAGGCACTATGGAAGTTTGTTAGAAGCTTTGACAAATCGATTTAATAGGCTGTTTGGATGGGTGCTGACAAAGCAAAGGTGTCCAAAACCACAATGAATTTGAAAAGTTTTTATGTGAGGAAGAGCAGTTAAAAAGAGTGTTGGTTGGAGGACGATATTAAGGTGGGAATTCTTTCTTTTACGAGAAGGGAGTTGCCAAAGTGTGTTTTCTGTGGGTAAGATGAAAAAATAGAAATGGGGGAATTGCCCTTGAGAAGGCAGAAGGGATGCCACTCCGTGATAAATTGGGGGTGATAGCTTTTGATAGGAGTAGAGGTACTGTTACCTCATAAAAAGGGTGAAGGTTCTGGAAAGTTGGTCGACAAGGAAGCTGGCAGAGATGCTCTTTGCTTCTATTCATGAAGTAGGAGGCAACCTTAGCAGCTGAGATTGGATTGGGGTATGAGAGTAGGAGCTTAAATAGAGAGATGGATCTATAAACTGACTGTTTTGAAAAGTGGGAAAATAAATATCCTAGGAAAATGTATTAGACTTTAGTGCTCTTTCTCTGATAGTTGCTATGAATTTAAAGTGGGAATGGTCAGCAAAGTTGTGTGGATTTTATTTTTCCCAGAAATTTTCTGCTCCTTGGGTGAAAATAGTTGAAGGGTTGAGATTTACCAACTGGGAGTAATTAAGGGAGGAAGAGAGTGCAAAGGAGTTCAGAGCATTTTAAAAGGAAGTGATTGTAATAATAAGCATAGAAACCATGATGGGTAAGGAGAAATGTTTGGATAGGACCTGCCCTTCCTTTTATTCTTTTTGGAACATTAATCATATTTTCTTATTATCAGAATACACAGAAGGTCATACAAAGGTATAAAAAAATACTTTCTCATTTCTGAGAATGGGATTGAAGAGGGAGAAGCCAGCACTAGGTTGGGTCCGTGATTAATAGGAATAAGAAATATATTATCCTTTCTGAGAAAAGTTGAAGGCTCGAGAACTAAAGATGCCTAAGGGAGAATGTACCTGGGAATAGCACATCCAGTAGTAAATGCCAGAAATGCCCCAGCATGCCATGATTCCATGATCTACATTTTTTCCCCCATCACTTTCTGAGCTGTCAATTTTCATAAAATGCAGTACCTGCCAATAATGAGTTCAAAAGACATATTGGTGTTTACTGATGGGAAAGAAAAATAAAAGGCCACAAATGACCCTAGATATACTGAGACATAAGCATTAATAGCACTGGAGTGAGTTTGAGTATATTGATTTAAAATTTTGCAAAGTTCTACAAAGGAAACTTATGTTTTATTTTTAAATTTTGTAATTATCAATTTTATGTCAAATTATATTATTGTATTAGAGATTTGAATCTCTAAAATCATTACAGTGCTTCCTTTTATGTGTTTTGCTATAAATATTACACAAAATTTCATATAACTTTATCACATCCATGAATATATGGAGACGTCCCCCTGTGAAACCTGTAATACTGCTGTATCTTTCCCAATCAATGAGACATTGAGCTGAATTCTCTCCCGTATGTCTAGGAGCTTTTATCCCAAAAAGGAGTGAACATGTGATAATCAAATAAATGAATGCAAATATGAAAACTGTTCCTATCAGAGTTTGTGGTTTTATAAGAGTTTCCTTGCGTAGTCAACAACTGAGAATTGTGAGCAAAACTCTGGTAGTCTATAATAGGCCTGTCTGCATTGGGTTTCATGGCAATATACTAGAACTTGAACAAATAAGAAGTGATGTTTCTGTGGACAAACGATAACTGTGAAGCAGTTGTCCTAGAAAGATCTGACCCATAGATGACTTAATAGTGGCAACTTTATTTGGCCCATTAAAATGCATTTCCTTTTCTTCTCCTTTGATTCTCACAACAATTGTGTAATTAAGTTGAAGTTGTATCATGATCTCTAATGAATCTGAGGCCCAAACATGCCAAGTAGATTGCACACAGTCAAACCAATAGGTTTAAGAACCAAGACTTTAACTTAAGGATTTAACAACCTGGATGCTTTCCACTAAGCTACTGACAATTTTGAACTTACACTAAGCCTTGTGCTCCTGGAAAACAGCAAACAGTGACAGTGAAGAAAATCTTCACACTTGTGTTCTGGGAAATGGGTTGCTGCAGCAGTCCTCAAACTTTTTTTTTTTTTTTTTTTTTTTGAGACCGAGTCTCGTTCTGTCACCCAGTAGTGCCATCTCGGCTCACTGCAACCTCCGCCTCCCAGGTTCAAGCGATTCTTCTGCCGCAGCCTCCCAAGTAGCTGGGACTACAGTCGCGTGCCACCATGCCCAGCTAATTTTTATATTTTTAGTAGAGATGGGGTTTCACCATATTGGCCAGGCTGGTCTCAAACTCCTGACCTCGTGATCCACCCACCTTGGCCTCCCAAAGTGCTGGGATTACAGGCGTGAGCCACCACGCCCGGCCTCCCCAATCTTTTTGGCACCAGTGGAAGAAAATGCTTCCACAGACCCAGGTTGCGGGGTTGGGTATGGTTTTGGGATAAAACTATTCCATCTCAGATCATCAGGCATTAGATTGTCATAAGGAGCATGCAACCTAGATCCCTCTCATGTGCAGTTTACAATAGGCTTTGCACTCCTATGAGAATCTAATGCCATGGCTGATCTGACAGGAGGCGGAGCTCAGGCAGTAATGCTTGCTCACCTCCTGCTGTGCTGCCTGATTCCTAACAGGCCACAGACTCGTACCAATCAGTGGCCTGGGGGTTAGGGACCCCTGTGTCACTCTACAGAACCATCATTTTCCATATGAATCAGATAAGACTCCCAGATGCCCCCTTGCTCACCTATGAAAAGGCCAGACACAGACCCTCCAAATTTCCATTCTTTGTCTCATAAATAATTGGCTGAATGACTTGCCCCCACTGACCAAATTGGGTAAGTGCCTACTAACTTGACATCAGCAAATTTTAGTCAGCATTTCTTTTTTCCCCAGGCCCCTAAATTTCAGCCCACCCTTGAGCTCCAGCAAACATTGGAATGTGGGGCAACCTCACCTCCTCTAAAAGCATCTCCCAGAGAATCAGCTGACCTCAAAGTAAAACATGTCCTGCTTAACTGTCTGATTACCACATCTGCTCATTCCATATCCCCACACCCAATTCTTCCTAGACTTGTTTACTCTTCCCTATAAAGAAAAGTCATGAGTTCAACTTGTTTAGATTTTACACGTAAGTGTGATCATGTAGTATTTTCCTTTCTGTGCCTGGCTTATTTCACTTACCATAATACCCTCCAGGTTCATCCATGTTGTTGCAAATGACAGAATTTCCTTCTATATCACATTTTCTTTGTCCATTCATCCATTGATGGACACTTAGGTTGCTTCCATAGCTTGGCTATTCTGAATAAAGCTGCAATGAGCATGGGGTGTAGATCTCATAGAATCAAGAGCATAGAACAGTGGTTGCCACGGACTAAAGAAAGGTGGGGAAAATGGGGAGATGCTGGTCAAATGGTATAAACGTTCAGCTACAAGATGAACAAGTTCAGGGACTCTAATGTACAGCATGGGTGGCGACAGACGTTTGAATTAATTTGATTGCGGTAATCATTACATAATGTATACCTATGTCAAATCGTCATGTTATACAGCTGGTATATATTAAATCTTCATTTGACAATTAAATATACTACACTAAAAAAATAAGCATTGCAAATTAAAAAGAAAGAAAAAAAGAGAGAAAGAAACAAAGAATCAAAGAAAGAACCAAAGAAGAAAGAAAGAAAGAAAGAAAGAAAGAAAGAAAGAAAGAAAGAAAGAAAGAAAGAAAGAAAGAAATAAAGAAAGAAAGAAAGAAAAAGAAAGAAAGACCGTATCTGCCTGCCCTTTAAGATGCTTAGAAATCTTAGGATCTGAGTGTTCTCTGTATTACAGTAGCTCTCCTTTCTCTATTGCAATAGTCTCTCCTTATCTAAGCCCAGATTTGTTTTTTATTTCATACCACACAAACTCTCTTTCCTTAATGACTTTTTGTAAATAACATTTATTGTCACACCTCTCCTTTCCCTACATCCACATTTTTGCACCACTCCTTGAAAAGATGATTAAAAAGGACATAAATCTGGGTAGACATAAAGAAGGATATTCTGTGCATTAATGGAGGACAGGACTCAAATATATCTCATTTAAAAATTTCCTTGGAAAACCTACCACATCTTTTAGTACTACATTAGGGCCAAGTTCATGTGTTAACACCAAACACTATGGAATTACCTTGGCTCTATCTCACTTTGATGTGACATTAATATCTTAGGTTAGCCTTTAGTTTACTTTTAGCTTAAATTTTAACCTAACCTGATCAAATCTAAGCTTAAATTTTAACCTTACCTGATCAAATCTCTTGACCCAAGTTTAGTGTTTTCAAATGTGTTTCTCTGTTTCTCCCTTAATGTAACATCTAGAAAAGTCAAGATTTGACATTGTTTGCTTAAATAAAATACTGGTTGGGAGGACCTGACAATTTATTAGAAATAAATTCTATCTTCAAGAAATATTGCTGCTTAGCATGTTTCTACACAAGCAATGAAAAGCCTGCAGAATGGGCTTGTTAGCACAAAGGACAACTGTGGTAAGAGCTGAGGCATGAAAAAAATTTCCAAGACTCTCCAGAGCTTAAAATCCTGTTATTTATTCATTTAAGTTCTGACAATTGTGCTAATAGATTTTATTTTTAACATGACTTCACATTCCTACCCAGAGCTAGCCCTCAATGCATTTATTTGGCAATAAATTTGTGAAATAACTTGTATAGAAAACCTCTAGGACTTTTATAAAATATTCTTCCAGGCCACTCCACCAAGTAGAGAACTGGTGTCATTGTAAATAATATATTTAAAAGAAATATTTCTTGAGATGTTGAAATGTATGACTAGTTTTATCCCCTTGCAAATTTTAAAGTCATAATTTGTTCATAAAAAGTCATTATTTGGGTGTCCCAGTATGTAAGCAATATAATACCTTATACTCTAAAATAATGTTTTTCTTAATATTTCAGATTGGTGGCAGTATTTTTAAAATTGTGATAAAATCTATATTACATAAAATTTACCACAAATCATTCGAAGTATAAAGTTCATTTTAATCATTTTAAGTGTACACAATAATTTTTAAGTATACAGACGTGTTAAGTATACTTATATGGTTGTGCAAGCCATTTCCATAATTTTCTCATCTTGCAAAACTGAAACTCTATACCCATTAAACAACATCTCCCCTTTTCCCCTCTCCCTTCCCCATTGAAAATGACCATTTTACTTTCTGTTTTTATGAGTTTGGCTACTCATATAAGTGGAATCACACAGTATTTATCTTTCTGTGACTGGCTTACTTCATGTCATATAATGGCCACAAGGTTCATCCATGTTGTAGCGTATACCAAATTTTTTTCATTTTTAAGCCTGAATAATATTCCATTGTATGTGTATACCACATTTTGTTTATCCATTTATCTGTCAATGGACAGTTGAGTTGCTTTCACCTCTTGAGTACTGTGAATAATGATCCTCTGAAGGTGGTAGTATTTTAAACCAGGGATGGTGATATGGTTTGGCTCTGTCCCCACCCAAATCTCATCTTGAATTGTTGTTCCCATAATCCCCACGTGTCATGGGAGGACCCAGTGGGAGGTAAATGAATCATGGGGGTGGTTTCTCCATGCTGTTCCCGTGATAGTGAGTGAGTTCTCACTGAGATCTGATGGTTTTATAGGGGCTTTTCCCCCTTTGCTCAGCACTCCTTTCTGCCACCACGTGAAGAAGGACGTGTTTGCTTCCCCTTCCACGGCGACTGTAAGTTTCCTGAGGCCTCCCCAGCAATGCAGAACTGTGAGTCAATTAAATCTCTCCTTTATAAATTGCCCAGTCTCAGGTATTTCATCATGTCTTGGGTATTTCATCATAGCAGCGTGAAAATAAACTAATACAGATGGTATATCCCCCAACTGTAATTGGAAATGAATGGGTGGGAGGTTTTTAGATGTCACAAAAACTTGGCTGCTACTGAAATTTAGTGCCCAACTACCAACAATGCTAAATATCATGCAGTATTTAGGGCACAGACAATTAATATTAAAGAATTGTCCTGCTCAAAATGCCACTAGCATCCCTGTTGAGAATTTCTAGATAACCAAGTTGTTGTCAATATATTGGGTTCAATTTTCTCTAGAATTCAATAAATTTTAAAGTTAATATGCAGGTAGCCTTCGTTTAATGTGTACGCTAGGGTCCTTACCTAAATACCTCAATCTAAGCCTCTATTCCTTCTGAGGGAGGGAAACTCTACAACAGAATGCTTCAGGGCCAATCTTGGGTCTATATGTTGAAAGGTTCCAGAGTATGCCACTCCAAAATATGCCATTTTAGCATAAGGGTGATTTTGAGAAAAGGTGTTTGAGATTCACCAAAGGCAGAAAGAAGCCTTCAAGGGGATTCTTTTCTCTGACTAAAAGCAGAAACTTGAGAATGAGGACTGCCATAAATACCCTCTCACGGGGAAGTTCTTTGAACATGAGAAAGATGGAAAGTTGACACCAAGATGGACCTGCACAAACAAACCTTACTCCACTAATTTCCCCCAGAATCCTAAACTTCCTACAGCTTGATGCTCTTGGAAGCTGATATGGTTTGGCTGTATGTCCTCACCCAAATCACATGTGGAATTGTAACCCTCAATGATGGAAGAAGGGTCTGGTGGGAGGTGATTGGATTGTGGGGGCAGACTTCCCCCTTGCTGTTCTTGCGATGGTGAGTGAGTTCTCATGAGATCTGGTTGTTTAAAATGTGTAGCATCTCCTCTTTTGTTCTCTGTCTCCTGCTCCACCATGTGAAGATGTACCTGCTTCCCCATTCACCTTCTGCCATGATTGTAAGTTTCCTAAGGCCTCCCCAGCCATGCTTCCTGTACAGCCTGTAAAACTGTGAGCCAATTAAACCTCTTTTCTTCATGAATTACCCAGTTTCGGGTAGTTTTCACAGCAATGTGAGAATGGACTAATACAGAAGCCTAAATCCTTTTTCTTTGTCTGTCACTTCTCCACATTATTGTTCTTTTGTTAAGATTTTACATAACCCCAAGTTTTAACCACTTGTTTGAGTTACTCATCACTGAGTGCTCCTTTGTGTATGGATGATGCAAGCATTAATAAGTGTCTGTTTAGGCCGGGCGTGGTGGCTCACGCCTGTAATCCCAGCACTTTGGGAGGCCGAGGTGGGCAGATCACCTGAGGTCAGGAATTCGAGACCAGCTTGGCCAACATGGTGAAACCCCATCTTCACTAAAAATACAAAAATTAGCCGGCCACAGTGGCAGGCATCTGCAATCCCAGCTACTCGGGAGGCTGAGGCAGGAGAATCACTTGAACCTGGGCGGCAGAGGTTGCAGTGAGCCTAGATTGCGCCATCGCACTCCAGCCTGGGAGCAAGAGCAAGACTTTGTCTCAAAAAAAAAAAAAAAGTGTCTGTTTATATTTCTTTTGTTAATCTGCCTTTTGCCAGTCTAATTTGTAGGACCCCGGGGAGGGAACCTAGGAAAATAGAGGGAAAATGATTTATTTCCTCTTCTACAATGATTTCTATTATAATGGCAGCCCATAATGTATGAAAAGAGGGGAAGCCATTAGAACATTCCTTGATTGGGTGAAAAGATTTTGTTCTATCCCTATACATAAGCACCAAAGCATCACACATGCACAAGATCTCAAATAGTGTAAAATCATTAAGGGAAACCATTGTGACTGGCTGTGAGAATGGGGAGTGGTAGGACTTGCGCTGTTCATATGCCACTCTATTTTGATATAGTATTTAAACAATTTTTAAATTTGTCAGCAGAATCATTTGGTCAAATAAGAACTTCTTTTATGGATTTTATAATACTTATGTCCTTAGTTTTCTTTACAATTTTATTTTACATGCATACATTTATAAACAAAATATTTTTACCTGTTTTGGAAACTATATAAATTAAATCACTTTCAATGGATTATTTTATGTCATGTTTTTGCTCAATATTGTATTCATAAGAGTAATCTTTGTGTTACACTTGCTAAGGAATTTTCACAACTTTTGAAAGTATTTCCCCTTTTATAATAGTTTAATAAGTAACATAGAGGATTAGAGTCCACTACTGAATATATCATTTTGGCATTTCATCCTAACTCCAATAAGCGGGGAACGATATATAAGTCCAGTAAGAAAATTATCAAAAACAAACAGAATCAGGAAGTTACTGTAGGAAAACTGTAATGTGTCAATGGAAAACTATGCATTGTCTATAGAACATATTTCTGGATTATCTGATTCTAACCTTTGTCCTTACCTTTGAGCTATTGTACAACCTTGTAAACTGTAGATAACTGATACACAAATAAATTCTGCACTCTAATAGAGATTTAATTAACATCCCCTACACACACACACACACACACACACACACACACACACACACACACGTCCTTACATTCCTACTCCTAAAAAAGCCAGTTTTGCTTCTACTTGCAATTCAATTCCTCCACTCCATAAAAATCTGTGCTTTTTGACTTTTCTTTTGAGCTAGTTATAAGTGTCTGATTTCCTTATCTGAGTGAGAACATCTTTACCACATGTTTATTTTTATATCTGTATGAGAGTCATGATTTTACCTTTTTCTGAACATTATCTTTTGACATTACCAAACAAAAGGCATAACTTTAACATTATGAGGAGGAGATAATTTTATAATGTACTCTCACTTTTCACAAGATTTAAGAAACTTTTGTCTTTGTTAAAGGACTACCACTTTAAGGAATATAATTGATTTCTAAGGAGCAGAGACTTAGGAAATGTTCAAATCTCACACTTCGCAGAGTTGTATCTTCCATTCACATGGAATGAATGGAGCACTGTTAATATTCTTCAATTATTGCATGCTAGTTATAGAGTTTTATTATCAAAGCTACAATTTAACCAATTAGTGTAGATAAAATATTGCCCTATTACATGCTGGCAAGATTCTCTCTCATCATCACAAACAGGAATTGGCACACAATATTATTTAATCGTTTTAATGGCCTATTAGGAACGGTGTTCCATGGCACATTTTTATAATCTTCATGTAGACCTGTGATAGCCAAAGACAAGGAAAATATACATACACACATACATACACACACACACACAATTCCAACGTTTCAATATGACAAAAAAGAGACTGATATTCTTAGTCTGCTGAATTTAGAAAGACTCAGCATGTTATCTTGAAGTCACTTCAGTGAAAGAAGGCTTTACAAAGTTGTTAATTTATCTAGAGCTGGCACCCTTTGGGAAGAATACCAGAAAATTGGAACAAAAAAGAGGTGCAGCTTACCTCACAGCAGGAAAGAAGCAGCCTTTTAATTGGATTAAATCTCATCACCACAAAACTTATGGATCCTGGCCACTGTGCCAAAGAGGTGAGAAAATTTTAAATTAACTCATAGGCTGGTTGAGAGAGGTAAAACTCACCATTCACTCAGAAATTTCAAAGTTGAGGATTTATTAATGTAAAGGCATGAACAGAAGTAATGAAAAAGAAAAGTTCTGGGAATTTTGTGTCTTACCCCAAGATGTCTCTTGTGCCTTGAAACCACACATTTAGGCTAGGTGGAATCTCTAAGAACATTTTTAGGGAAAAAGTTCTCATAGAAGCACAAAGATAAAGTATCACCTTATTGCATATTCTCTTCCAAAACAGCAAGTTTTAATTTGGTTACAAAATAAGTACTGTACTTAAAAATTTTTTTTAATTTTATTTTAATTGTATTTTAAATGTACATTTTTAATTGTATTTTAAATTGTAATTTAACTGTATTTTAAAAATTAAAAGAAAATTCACATGAATCTTACATGTCATTAATTGTTAAAAATGTTGAAAGGGTTTTTTTGTTGTTGTTGTTTTCTTTTTGAGATGGAGTTTCGTTCTTGTTGCCCAAGCTGGAGTGCAATGGCACGATCTCGGCTCACTGCAACCTCCGCCTCCCGGGTTCAAGTGATTCTCCTGCCTCAGCCTCCCAAGTAGCTGGGATTACAGGTGCACGCCACCACACTTGGCTAATTTTTTGTATTTTTAGTAGAAACAGGATTTGACGATGTTAGCCAGGCCAGTCTCAAACCCCTGACCTCAGGTGATCCACCCACCTGGGCCTCCGAAAGTGCCGGGATTACAAGCGTGAGCCACTGAGCCCGGCCATTGAAAGGTTTTTAACAACCACTACAAAAAACTATGGAGCTTACTATTAATTTTTATAATAATTTAAAACATATATATTTATATTAGAGATAATAAAACATTATAAATTCCTAATTTCCCTATCCAGAGCATATCTTGGTAAACCTAATAAATGAATAAATAATTATTAAATGGAATTTTGTGCAATCAATGAATTACAAATGGAATTATTTAATGTAGAATCCATTAGATAAATTGTGGCTGAAACCAAGCCTGATTTTTCTTTTTTTGATAAACTACATTTATTAATTTTTCTCCATATTCAATGGGATAAGCTTATTCTACATAACAAATATAATATAAACAGAGATGGTGGTTTCTCTTAATACCCTTTTTTCATTATTATACTTTAAGTTCTAGGGTACATGTGCACACCATGCAGGTTTGTTACATATGTATACATGTGCCATGTTGGTTTGCTGTACCCATTAACTCGTCATTTACATTAGGTATATCTCCTAATGCTATCCCTCCCCGCTCTCCCCACCCCACGACAGGCCCCAGCGTGTGATGTTCCCCACCCTGTGTCCAAGTGTTCTCATTGTTCAATTCCCACCTATGAGTGAGAACATGCGGTGTTTGGTTTTCTGTCCTTGCAATAGTTTGCTGAGAATGATGGTTTCCAGCTTCACCCATGTCCCTACAAAGGACATGAACTCATCCTTTTTTAGGGCTGCATAGTATTCCATGGTGTATATGTGCCACATTTTCTTAATCCAGTCTATCATTGATGGACATTTGCGTTGGTTCCAAGTCTTTGCTATTGTGAATAGTGCCGCAATAAACATAGGTGTGCATGTGTCTTTATAGCAGCATGATTTATAATCCTTTGGGTATATACCCAGTAATGGGATGGCTGGGTCAAATGGTATTTCTAGTTCTAGATCCTTGAGGAATTGCCAGTGTCTTCCACAATGGTTGAACTACTTTATGGTCCCACCAACAGTGTAAAAGTGTTCCTATTTCTCCACATCCTCTGCAGCACCTGTTGTTTCCTGACTTTTGAATGATCGCCATTCTAACTGGTGTGAGATGGTATCTCACTGTGGTTTTTATTTGCATTTCTCTGATGTCCAGTGATGATGAGCATTTTTTCATGTGTCTTTTGGCTGCATAAATGTCTTCTTTTGAGAAGTGTCTGTTCATATCCTTCGCCCACTTTTTGATGGGGTTATTTGATTTTTTCTTGTAAATTTAGGTTCTTTGTAGATTTGTTCTTTGTGGATATTAGCCCTTTGTCAGATGGGTAGATTGTAGAAATTTTCTCCCATTCTGTAGGTTGCCTGTTCACTCTGATGGTAGTTTCTTTTGCTGTGCAGAACCTCTTTAGTTTAATTAGATCCCATTTGTCAATTTTGGCTTTTGTTGCCATTGCTTTTTGTGTTTTAGTCATGAAGTCCTTGCCCATGCCTATGTCCTCAATGGTATTGCCTAGGTTTTCTTCCAGGGCTTTTATGGTTTTAGGTTTAACATTTAAGTCTTTAATCCATCTTGAATTAATTTTTGTATAAGGTGTAAGGAAGGGATCCAGTTTCAGCTTTCTACATATGGCTAGCCAGTTTTCCCAGTACCATTTATTAAATAGGGAATCCTTTCCCTATTTCTTGTTTTTGTCAGGTTTGTCAAAGATCAGATGGTTGTAGATGTGTGGTATTATTTCTGAGGGCTCTGTTCTGTTCCATTGGTCTATATCTCTGTTTTGGTACCAGTACCATGCTGTTTTGGTTACTGTAGCCTTGTAGTAAAGTTTGAAGTCAGGTAGCATGATGCTTCCAGCTTTGTTCTTTTGGCTTAGGATTGTCTCGGCAATGTGGGCTCTTTTTTGGTTCCATATGAACTTTAAAGTAGTTTTTTCCAATTCTGGGAAGAAAGTCATTGGTAGCTTGATGGGGATGGCATTGGATCTATAAATTATCTTGGGCAGTATCGCCATTTTCACAATACTGATTCTTCCTATCCATGAGCATGGGATGTTCTTCCATTTCTTTGTATCCTCTTTTATTTTGTTGAGCAGTGGTTTGTAATTCTCCTTGATGAGGTCCTTCACATCCCTTGTAGGTTGAATTCCTAGGTATTTTATTCTCTTTGAAGCAATTGAGAATGGGAGTTCACTCATGATTTGGCTCTCTGTTTGTTTGTTATTGGTGTATAGGAATGCTTGTGATTTTTGCACATTGATTTTGTATCCTGAGACTTTGCTGAAGTTGCTTATCAGCTTAAGGAGATTTTGGGCTGAGACAATGGGGTTTTCTAGATATACAATCATGTCATCTGCAAACAGGGACAGTTTGACTTCCTCTTTTCCTAATTGAATACCCTTTATTTCTTTCTCCTGCCTGATTGCCCTGGCCAGAACTTCCAACACTATGTTGAATAGGAGTGGTGAGAGAGGGCATCCCTGTCTTATGCCTGTTTTCAAAGGGAATGCTTCCAGTTTTTGCCCATTCAGTATGATATTGGCTGTGGGTTTGTCATAGATAGCTCCTATTATTTTGAGATACGTCCTATCAAGACCTAGTTTATTGAGAGTTTTTAGCATGAAGGGCTGTTGAATTTTGTCAAGGGCCTTTTCTGCATCTACTGAGATAATCATGTGGTTTTTGTCTTTGGTTCTGTTTATATGCTAGATTACGTTTATTGATTTGTGTATGTTGAACTAGCCTTGCATCCCAGGGATGAAGCCCACTTGATCATGGTGGATAAGCTTTTTGATATGCTGCTGGATTCGGTTTGCCAGTATTTTATTGTGGATTTTTGCATCAATCTTCATCAGGGATATTGGTCTAAAATTCTCTTTTTTTGTTGTGTCTCTGCCAGGCCAAGCCTGATTTTTCTTAGGAACTATTGAACTATTAATAGTTGGAGAGTTGAAAAACAATTTAAGAGTTTCAGTTATATATATCCTATTTCTTCGAGGACTGACAATTTACATTTTAAATTTCCTAGACCCTCTACTTTCTTACTTTTTATCAGTCTCTCTTATTCTCCCATATAAAGAAAAGTTATCAAATCAATCATTTTGAAATAAATTAACTCAATTAATCTTAATTATGTATGTATAAGTATAAAACATGTGGGTCCTCCAGTAATTTTTTCCCTAGGCCAAATGGTGTCCTGTAATTTGGAACAAGTAAAAGTTGGAAATTAAAAAAAAAAAAAACAACCACTGAGTGTTGGGCTCTTAGGGCAGAGAAGCATTTTATATTAGGTGATTCTATAAGATCCATGCAATGGGCAAAAATGCTCTTCTTGGGGAGCAGATAAATTATAAAGTAATTAGGCTAAACAAGATATTTGCTAGTTGTTTAGTACGATATTAGTACTGCCCTCGGGGTGGTGGGAGAAAGAGATACCATATATGGATTTCTCATGTGCCAACTTCGGTCTTAAGATTTTATTGAATGACTCCCTACTATGAAACAATAACCTTGCTTTTTCTTTGCCATAAAAACAAAAGTTTTCTAGCATTATATCTACATATTGTTTCTAGCAACAACAACAACGAAATCAACCATCCACATTATGAAATTATAATCTGGATATTTGTCAAAGTAGATCAGAATCTGTGAATAATGAAATGGAAAGAAAAGAGTTTAACACATGTGTAAGCTAATAGTATTTTTAAAACTTATACCACGTGCATGTTATGGTATTAAGGGATTTATGGTTTAACACTAGATAGTACCTTCTCAGTCTGACACATACTCTGTCCCACAGTAAGACAGAGTAACCTTCAGTGATAATGACAAGTGAAATTACAAGTCAAAAGTAATCTATATTTGTATCACTTCATTTTAATAGGTTACAGAGGTTTAATGTGATAATGTTGAACTTAATGCTGTGCTCCCCCAAAGCAATAATTGTAAAATCCCCCAACACTTTCTGAGAAATTGCTAATTCCAAAGAACCATCCTGCTCTTGAATATCTGATAAAGTTCCACCCCACCCTTACTCAGTGACTCAGATAAGACAGATCACTATCCTTCCTCATGAGACCCATGACTCACTGATAACTCTGTTATTTGTTTCAAGGTTTCCTTTTTTATTGGACATGTGTCTCATTAACAAATGTGCTCCCTAATGCAATAGCCTAAATAAACTAATTTCCTTTATTGTCTGGTTCACTTTGTCTTTCGTAGTGTAGTACCGTGACTTGGATGAGATTAAACTTTGCCTTCAGATCCCCATATACTCCATCCAAGTAAAAAGGCCTCTCAGAGCCTTTGTATTCTTTTCCTGACAGGTGATCTGAAACTCAGCAATATGTTTGACTCCTATTCCTATGCCTGAAACCCTTGTCCACAGTAGGGATTTGATTTTTATTCTTTTTGAGTACTGGCTTGGTTTCTGGCACTAAATTCTTTTAGTTTCATGGTCTGATCATTTGATGATTTCTGTAAGAGGATAAATGGTTTATAGAGATCTTGTCTCTGTTAGGTAAAAGATGAAAGAAAATCTGTTCTTTAGTCTTTCCTGTTTGTCTGTTTGTCTATTTTGAGTCCAAATCAATGAAGAATTTTACGTCCACTGGGATGGATACCTAGTGGTTTGTATTTTTGTGTTTATGCTTGACCCAGGGCTGAAATTTTAGAATTGAAGCTATAAGTTTTCCCTCTGTGTCTGTTTATATGTTTATGTTTGTAGTTTATATAATTTACCTATCATTGTGTAAGTGTGCAATAGGTTTCTATCTCTAGATGGTATTAATGTTAATAAATAAATAAAACTATAAAAATCTAATAAAGGAGCTCTATTCTGAATGGCTTATAGGGATTTTAAAAACTGACTTATATAAATAGAAAATTCCTAAAATTTCCAGAAAATAGGAGATTTATCTACCAAAACTTTCGATATGCTTAATTTAAAATGTATTTTTACAGAAACCAACTTGGAAATGTGTTAAGAATTCAAATTAACATAATTTAGGTAAATTTTAGCACATTCTACTAGCTTAACACTTTTGGTTTTATCTTCTCTGATTTATCAGTGTTAAGTATACTATATTTATAAACTTTTATTCTACTAGGAAATTATTTTCCTAAAATTATACAGGCTTACTGATGGAATATACTGGCATTGCTTTTACTACATGCTTAAGATTATTAAAAAAAAGTTTACATTTAAAAAAGTTGAATCACTGATTTGAAAAACTTTATTCCAACAGAAATTATATCCTTTAGTGTGTCATATTCAAGAATGAAACTCATATAATCAAACATGACTGAATACTTTTGATGAAATAAGGTTGACTTTATAGAGTCCATACTTACAAAACCTTATTGGGAAAACTTGTCTGGTACTTCTCTCACAGGGTTCTCAGCCTCATAGGTGAGTAAGGAGGGTCACTTCCTGGAAACTTAGGATATTTTGGGGAACTCAAGGAGACAGAGATTCATCTAAGTATAGTTGGATGAGATTCATCCAAGTTACTGCAAGTGAAATCTTATAGTGAGTTCTTGGCTTGGCTTCTTTGCCTCGTAAAGTTTTCTTTAAAAAGCCTAATCTGAGAGTCTTTAGGCAGACTACTGGGAGAGAAAAAAAAAAAAACACTTAAGGTGGTTTATATGGTAAATTACCATTGTTGCTGCATCTATGTAAATCATTATGGCAAATCTAATGAGAACACATTTGTGATCAAGAATAATTGTTCTTTGAGATTATTTTTGAACAGAATGGTGAAGATTATAAAGATAAATTTTGTGTTTCTCTGGAAAACTGTGCATTATCTATAGCATATCATTTTGAATCATCATTCTAGTCCTATTTATTGTCTTTGAGCTATTTTGCACCTCTTTGTAAATTGCAGGTGACTAGTGGATACTCAAAGTGTTTTGCATGGAGGAGATTGTGACTTTTCACACTGTGGAAAATCTAGTTTTGGTATCTATCTGCAAACTGGACTGGATTCTGTTACCTTCTTCAAATTGTCAAATGTTACCAAATTTTTGGTTCTTCATGTTTCTTTCAATATCTGATTACAATTCTTCAAACTAACATTCCAAATTTTTTCTTTCCCACATGACTTGGACTCACTGAGAATTAAAACCTGTCTACCCGGATCCTTCACGGGATCTAGGTTGCCTTGCAGCTGACCCTTTCCCCCAAAATCTGAAGAAGCTCTGTCAGCTGAAGTCCAATAACTTGCTAAAAACTTTGAAAGACTCATCACCACAACAGTCTATGCATGGGCTGAAATTTTCCTTGAATGAGATGATGTCTGGACCACTAAGGAAATCCAGGAAAATGCTTGTGTGAGAGGTAACCATGACAGGTGATAATGTCACTAAGAGCATAGACATCCTATTTGAGAGTATCAGGATACTCAATGAGTGGTGCTGCATAACCGAAATATTTTCCTCCACCTATCTCTTGAAATCTGCCAGACCAGTTAATCTCAGGGTTCGATTTCTGGCGCTTTAATGCAACCATTTATACATTTCTCTTTTTTTTTCATTTTAGACAAACTTCTGCCTGATCTACAGAACTCTAGAACATAGTTTCAAGAGATACTTCAACTGGTTTGTCAAGAGAAACACCAGAAAGAATCCTTGAGCAAGTTTCTTAGACATTGCTTTGCCGCATTTAGGAGGTTTATGATTACCTCTGAGTTACAATGGTATTCATTCTTCATGACCAAAAGAGAGGACTGACAATGTAAAAATGTATTTCAGCTCTCTGCTCCTGGAAAGCAGTGAGTGTTGAAAAATACCCCACACTTTCTTTGAGAATGGGCCTCCATCCTCATTAAGGACCTGCATGATCTCCCATATTCTGAGATAAGATCCACTTCCACCCTTCCTCAATGACTCACAAAATTTCTCTCTACCCTCCTTATGACTCTCATAAGACTTGTTGATGACTCTCTTATTTACCTGCCTTTATAAAATCCCAGGCCCTCTTTCTTTTCTATGAGATGTTCCTCATTAATGAGCATGCTCTCTTTTGCAATAGCCTGAATAAAATCATCTTCTTAATTGTCCTGGACACTCTGTCATTCACAAATGTCAAGATCCAACAAAGTGTCACTTATTCTATTCCTCAGGTGAGAGCGAGGGCTGCTAGGTGGAAAATAACACCTTTATTAACACGAGCCATGGCACTTGTCAGAAAAAATCAATACATCTCCATAATAACCCCCCAAATTTTATACTATAAATGTTATAAAATAATTTACTGAAAATAAGTACATTGTCTTTAAATTTTGGCTTAAAATCCCTTATCTTTCCATTAGTCTTCTCCACAGACAAAAAGGAAGAGGTGATTGTTACAAATAGCGAAATTTTGAAACTCACAATGTGAAATAAGCAATAAGCCATCAGGTGTGGTTGTGTTGTGTTTGTAGTGTTCTTTAACTTGTTTTGCCCCTGTGTTTATTTCTAAAAGAACTACTACAGGGCTTTTTTGAGTAAACTATTTTGCTAAAGGTTTGGGGGAAATGGAGACAGAGAGTAAACAGAATATAGGAAAGAAATTCAAAATAAACATTAAAAATCATGGCTCCAAAGTTTTTCCATGATCCCCACCCTAGAAGAACCCTCACTGACTTTGCTTCTCCTTCTTCCCAGTATTATCTGCCATAATACTGGGGGCCTTCCACCAGAATAACTCTAGTCCCTTCCTCTTGTGGTTCCACATCTTGGATCTTCTCAAAGCTCTGTCGCTTAATTTTTTAAAATTGTGAAATATTACAAACACATAAAAATAGTGTTGAGATAATTTTCAGAAAAGGTTAAATCATGACTCTCATGCAGATATAAAAGTGAACACATGTTAAAGAATTTATTTTATACATATGCTATGAGGGAACCAGGCAGATGTTATAACCGGATCAAAGGAAAAGTCAAATTAGCACAAATTTATATGGAGTAAAGCAATGTTTAGGTGAATTGCAAATGAAGACAAAATCGTGGTTTTTATTTTGGGTTATGGAAAAGGAAGGCATTAAATTTCTATCAGAAGGACACTTTAATAGTTTGCAGAGATTTCATGTGGCAGTGGTGAATTTTATTTGAGCCCAGTATCTATCAGTTATCTACAGTTTATAAAGAAATGTAGAATAGCTCAAAGGCAATGAACAGAGTTAGACTCTAATAGCTCAGGAGAGTGTACTATAGGTGTATATTTTTTCATTGAAATACATTTTTTCTATGATAAACATGCATGCAACCCATAAAAAGAGAGAATATTTTACTGTATTGTTTTAGATCTCCTTTTCAAAATGAAATATAATAGATATAACTAAAAACTCAAACCCCTCTACTCCAGTCCTCTTCCTGCCCAAAAGTTACCACTGCCCTGAATTCATTATACATTCCATCCAAACACATTTTTGTACTTTTACTGTAAATGTAAATGCCCACAGAATTACACCTTTAATTCTGCATTTAATGATTTAGAAAATTATATCATATTTATAATCCCTATGCAATTTTTTGAATCAATATTTTCAAGATAGGAATGTAAATGACAATTCAATTTTCTAATGTTAAGCCATCCTTGTATTTTTGATATAAAGCACTTGATTAAAATCATTGGTTTATTTAAAAATATATACAGGCACACCTCATTTTATTGAGTTTCACTTTATTCCACTTTGAAGATACTGTGTTTTTTTACAAATTGAAAGTTTGTGGCAACTCTGTGTCAAGCAAATCTATTGGCACCATTTTTCCAATATCACGTGCTCACTTCGTGTCTCTGTGTCACATTTAGGTAATTCTTGCAATATTTCAAACTTTTTCATGATTATCATATCTGTTATGGTGATCTGTGATCAGTGATCTTTGATGCTACTATTGTAATTGTTTTGGGGCACCACAAACCATGCACATACAAGATGGCAATCTTAATTAATAGATGTTGTTTGAGTGTTCTGACTGCTCCACCAACCAGCAGTTTCCCATCTCTCTCCTTCTCCTCAGGCTTCCTCTTCTTTCAGACACAACAATGTTAAAATGAGGCAAATTAATAACCCTAAAATGACCTCTGTTCAAGTGAAAGGAAGAGTCACACGTCTCTCACTGTAAATCAAAAGCTAAAAATGATTAAGCTTAGTGAAGTGAAGACAGCATGTCAAAAGCCAAGACAGGCTGACACCTACGCCTCTTGTGCCAACCAACCAAGTTATGTATGCAAAGGAAAAGTTCATAAAGGAAATTAAAGTGCTACTTCAGTGAACACATGAATGATAGGAAATTGAAGCAGCCTTATTGCCGACATGGAGAAAATTTTAGTGGTCTGGATATAAGATCAAACCACCTACAACATTCTGTTAAGCCAAGCCTAATCCAGAGCAAGGACATAACTCTCTTCAGTTCTATGAAGACTGAGAGAGGTGAGGAAGCTGCAGAAGAAAAGTTGGAAGCAGGCCAGGCACGGTGGCTCATGCCAGTAATCCCAGCACTTTGGGAGGCTGAGGCGGGTGGATCATCTGAGGTCAGGAGTTCGAGACCAGCCTCAACATGGAGAAACCCCGTATCTACTAAAAATACAAAATAAACCAGGCGTGGTGGCTCATGCCTGTAATCCCAGCTACTCGGGAGGCTGAGGCAGGAGAATTGCTTGAACCTGGGAGGTGGAGGTTGCAGTGAGCTGAGATCGTGCCATTGCACTCCAGCCTGGGCAACAAGAGCGAAACTCCGACTCAAAAAAATAAAATAAATAAATAAATAAGAAAAGTTGGAAGCTAGCAGAGGTTGGGTTCATGAGGTTTATGGAAAGAAGCCAACCCCATAACATAAAAGTGTAAGGTGAAGCAGCAAGTGCTCATAAAGAAGCTGCAAGTTATTTGGAAGACCTAGCTGAGATAACTGATGAAAGTAGCTACACTAAACAATAGATTTTCAGTATAGATGAAACAGCCTTCTATTGGAAGAAGACACTACCTAGGACTTTCTTTTTCTTTCTTTTTTTATTTTTTATTTTGAGATGGAATCTCGCTTTGTTGTCCAGGCTGGAGTGCAGTGGCACAATCTTGGCTCACTGCAACTTCCTCCTCTTGGGTTCAAGTGATTCTTGGTGCCTCATCCTCACGAGTAGCTGAGACTACAGGTATGCGCCACCATGCCCAGCTAATTTTTGTATTTTTAGTACAGATGGGTTTTCACCATGTTGGCCAGGCTGGTCTCAAAGTTGATAAAGCAGTGGCAAGGTTTGAGAGGACTGACTCAAATTTTGAAAGTTCTACTGTGGGTAAAATGCTATGAAGAGCATCATATGCTACAGCAGAATCTTTCATGAAAGGAAGAGTCAATTAATGTGGCAAACTCCATTGTTGTCTTATTTTAAGAAATTGCCACAATCACCCTAACCTTCAACTACCCCACCGTCCTGATCAGTTGACATTGAGGCAAGACCCTCCAACACCAAAAAACTTGGTGAGCTCTCAGACAATTATTAGTTTTTTAAAGCTATGAAGTTTTTTTTTTTGTTTATTTGTTTGTTTGTTGTTTGTTTTAGACAAGGTCTTGCTCTGTTGCCCAGGCTAGAATACAGTGGTGTGATCATGGCTCGCTGTAGCCTTAGCCCTGACCTCCTGGGCTCAAGAAATCCTCTTGCCTCAGCCTCCTGAGAAGCTGGGACTAAAGGTGTGCACCACCACGCCCAGCTAATTTTTTAAATTTTGTGTAGAGACAAAGTCTCACTGTGTTGTCCAGGCTAGTCTCCAATTCTTGAGCTCAAGTGATTCTCTGGCTTCCACCTCCCAAAGTGTTGGAATTACAGGCATGAGTCACAACACTGGGCCTTAGATAATTTAAAGTATGTGCATTGTTTTTTAGACACAATGCCGTTGCACACTTCATGGACTGCAGTATAGGGTAAATATGTTTTATATGCACTGTAAAACCACGAAAATTATGTGACTCACTTTATTGCGCTATTCGCTTTATTGCACTGGACCACAACCAAACCCATGATATTTCTGAGGTAAGCATAGCTGAATTTGATTTGCTAATATTTTAATGTTTCTGTCTAAGCGTGATTTGTCTGTAATTTTTCCTACCCCTATTGCCATCACAGATTTTTATATGAAGGCTATACTCACTTGATGAAATGATTTGGGTGATTTCTTTCTTTTACATCCTCTGGAACTGTTTTTCTTTATTTTTATTTTTATTTTTATTTTTTATTTATTTTTTTATTGTTATACTTTAAGTTTTAGGGTACACGTGCACAATGTGCAGGTTAGTTACATATGTATACATGTGCCATGCTGGTGTGCTGCACCCATTAACTCGTCATCTAGCATTAGGTATATCTCCTAAACCTATCCCTCCCCCCTCCCCCCACCCCACCACAGTCCTCAGAGTATGATGTTCCCCTTCCTGTGTCCATGTGTTTTCATTGTTCAATTCCCACCTATGAGTGAGAACATAGTGTTTGGTTTTTTGTTCTTGCGATAGTTTACTGAGAATGATGATTTCGAATTTCATCCATGTCCCTACAAAGGACATGAACTCATCATTTTTTATGGCTGCATAGAATTCCATGGTGTATATGTGCCACATTTTCTTAATCCAGTCTATCATTGTTGGACATTTGGGTTGGTTCCAAGTCTTTGGTATTGTGAATAGTGCCGCAATAAACATACGTGTGCATGTGTCTTTATAGCAGCATGATTTATAGTCCTTTGGGTATATACCCAGTAATGGGATGGCTGGGTCAAATGGTATTTCTAGTTCTAGATCCCTGAGGAATCGCCACACTGACTTCCACAAGGGTTGAACTAGTTTACAGTCCCACCAACAGTGTAAAAGTGTTCCTATTTCTCCACATCCTCTCCAGCACCTGTTGTTTCCTGACTTTTTAATGATTGCCATTCTAACTGGCGTGAGATGGTATCTCATTGTGGTTTTTATTTGCATTTCTCTGATGGCCAGTGATGATGAGCATTTTTTCATGTGTCTTTTGGCTGCATAAATGTCTTCTTTTGAGAAGAGTCTGTTTATGTCCTTCGCCCACTTTTGGATGGGGTTGTTTGTTTTTTTCTTATAAATTTGTTTGAGTTCATTGTAGATTCTGGATATTAGCCCTTTGTCAGATGAGTAGGTTGCGAAAATTTTCTCCCATTTTGTAGGTTGCCTGTTCACTCTGATGGTAGTTTCTTTTGCTGTGCAGAACCTCTTTAGTTTAATTAGATCCGATTTGTCAATTTTGGCTTCTGTTGCCATTGCTTTTGGTGTTTTAGACATGAAATCCTTGCCCATGCCTATGTCCTGAATGGTAATGCCTAGGTTTTCTTCTAGGGTTTTTATGGTTTTAGGTCTAACGTTTAAGTCTTTAATCCATCTTGAATTAATTTTTGTATAAGGTGTAAGGAAGGGATCCAGTTTCAGCTTTCTACATATGGCTAGCCAGTTTTCCCAGCAACATTTATTAAATAGGGAATCCTTTCCCCATTGCTTGTTTTTCTCAGGTTTGTCAAAGATCAGATAGTTGTAGATATGTGGCGTTATTCCTGAGGGCTCTGTTCTGTTCCATTGATCTATATCTCTGTTTTGGTACCAGTAGAATGCTGTTTTGGTTACTGTAGCCTTGTAGTATAGTTTGAAGTCAGGTAGCATGATGCCTCCAGCTTTGTTCTTTTGGCTTAGGATTGACTTGGCGATGCGGGCTCTTTTCTGGTTCCATGTGAACTTTAAAGTAGTTTTTTCCAATTCTGTGAAGAAAGTCATTGGTAGCTTGATGGGGATGGCATTGAATCTATAAATTACCTTGGGCAGTATGGCCATTTTCACGATATTGATTCTTCCTACCCATGAGCATGGAATGTTCTTCCATTTGTTTGTATCCTCTTTTATTTCATTGAGCAGTGGTTTGTAGTTCTCCTTGAAGAGGTCCTTCACATCCCTTGTAAGTTGGATTCCTAGGTATTTTATTCTCTTTGAAGCAACTGTGAATGGGAGTTCACTCATGATTTGGCTCTCTGTTGGTCTCTTATTGGTGTATATGAATGCTTGTGATTTTTGTATATTGATTTTGTATCCTGAGACTTTGCTGAAGTTGCTTATCAGCTTAAGGAGATTTTGGGCTGAGACAATGGGGTTTTCTAGACACACAGTCATGTCATCTGCAAACTTAGACTCCCACACAATAATAATGGGAGACTTTAACACCCCACTGTCAACATTAGACAGATCAACGAGACAGAAAGTTAACAAGGATATCCAGGAATTGAACTCAGCTCTGCACCAAGCGGACCTAATAGACATCTACAGAACTCTCCACCCCAAATCAACAGTATATACATTCTTTTCAGCACCACACCACACCTATTCCAAAACTGACCACATAGTTGGAAGTAAAGCTCTCCTCAGCAAATGTAAAAGAACAGAAATTATAACAAACTGTCTCTCAGACCACAGTGCAATCAAACTAGAACTCAGGATTAAGAAACTCACTCAAAACTGCTCAACTAGGTGGAAACTGAACAACCTGCTCCTGAATGACTACTGGATACATAACGAAATGAAGGCAGAAATAAAGATGTTCTTTGAAACCCACGAGAACAAAGACACAACATACCAGAATCTCTGGGACACATTCAAAGTACTGTGTAGAGGGAAATTTATAGCACTAAATGCCCACAAGAGAATGCAGGAAAGATCCAAAATTGACACCCTAACATCACAATTAAAAGAACTAGAAAAGCAAGAGCAAACACATTCAAAAGCTAGCAGAAGGCAAGAAATTACTAAAATCAGAGCAGAACTGAAGGAAATAGAGACACAAAAAACCCTTCAAAAAATTAATGAATCCAGGAGCTGGTTTTTTGAAAGGATCAACAAAATTGATAGACCACTAGCAAGACTAATAAAGAAGAAAAGAGAGAAGAATCAAATAGATACAATAAAAAATGATAAAGGGGATATCACCACTGATCCCACAGAAATACAAACTACCATCAGAGAATACTACAAACACCTCTGTGCAAATAAACTAGAAAATCTAGAAGAAATGGATGAATTCCTCGACACATACACCCTCCCAAGACTAAACCAGGAAGAAGTTGAATCTCTGAATAGACCAATAACAGGCTCTGAAATTGTGGCAATAATCAATAGCTTACCAACCAAAAAAGAGTCCAGGACCAGATGGATTCACAGCCGAATTCTACCAGAGGTACAAGGAGGAACTGGTACCATTCCTTCTGAAAATATTCCAATCAATAGAAAAAGAGGGAATCCTCCCTAACTCATTTTATGAGGTCAGCATCATCCTGATACCAAAGCTGGGTAGAGACACAACCAAAAAAGAGAATTTTAGACCAATATCCTTGATGAACATTGATGCAAAAATCCTCAATAACATACTGGCAAACCGAATCCAGCAGCACATCAAAAA
The DNA here is from genome assembly GCF_000001405.40 of Homo sapiens. Classification (NCBI taxonomy): domain Eukaryota; kingdom Metazoa; phylum Chordata; class Mammalia; order Primates; family Hominidae; genus Homo; species Homo sapiens. The sequence continues at coordinate 28,388,188 of NC_000023.11, read as the reverse complement.
GCTTATCCACCATGATCAAGTGGGCTTCATCCCTGGGATACAAGGCTGTTTCCATATACACAAATCAATAAATGTAATCCAGCATATAAACAGAACCAAAGACAAAAACCACATGATTATCTCAATAGATGCAGAAAAGGCCTTTGACAAAATTCAGCAACCCTTCATGCTAAAAACTCTCAGTAAATTAGGTATTGATGGGACGTATCTCAAAATAATAAGAGCTATCTATGGAACTGTTTTTCTAAGAAAAAAATTACATAGTCTCTAAAGACTCGTTAGACTGGCATGTGAAAAATTTGGGGCTGATTCTCCCTTCTCTGCAGCCTAATTACTAGGTTAACTGGCAATTCAATTTCTTTAAAAGTATAGGTATGTTTAGATTTTTTTTAAATTTTTTATTGAATTGAGACTAATAAATTATATTTTTTCCAGGAAATTATCCATTTTATCAGATTTTCTACTTTATTGATATAAATATGTATATAATATACTTTTTAATCATTTTTCTTATTGTGGTAAAAAAGTATAACATAAAATTTACATCTTAACTATTCCTAAGTGTCCAGTTTAGTGGTATTAAGTATATTCACACTATTTTGCAACCAATCTCTGGAACTTATCTTTTAAAATTGAAAGTCTATACTTATTAAACAACATTTCTCCATTCTCTCCTCTTTCCTAGCCCTTGGCAACCACC